>NC_000001.11:145684587-146309587 GCF_000001405.40 Homo sapiens | reverse complement strand
CTTTATTGGCTGAAAGTTCTTGTCTGGTGAGCATGGAATAAGTCACTCACTTCCTGAATTTCAGCCCTGGCTAAATTTGCTTCTGGAAAAACATATATATATTCCTCAGATTTTTGTCTGTTGGTTTGCAAATCTCCTTCACTCCAGCCCTGTCCTGGAATGAGCAAGATTTACCAAATAGGGACAGCGTGAAAGGGAATTTAGAGGGTAGAGGTAGAGGGAAAAGGAATAGTATGTGTAGCTTGCTGAATGAGATGTCTGCTCTTGCTGTTTCCATTTCTTCACTTCTCAAACAATTTTTAACCCAATCTAAACTGGCATCAGCTCCCATTGTATTGAAAGGGCTTTCACTCAGGACACTAACGCCCCCCCCCCACCTCCCATATTACTAAATCCAGTGGATACATCAGCCTTGATCTTACTTGGCATCAGGGTAGCATGTGATGCTTTTGGTCACATCCTCTTTGATAGATTCACTCTTCCTTTGCACTATTATTTTTTCTCTATCTTAGTCATGGGTCTTCAGCATCCTGTGCAAGCTCCTCTTTACTCCTAAAGTACTGGTGTTCCTCAGAACCCTGTTCTATATCAGCCTCTTTTCTCTCTAAACATTTTCTGTGAGAAATATCATCCCTTTCCATGGCATTATTGAGATCCATCTGCCAATTATTTCCAAATCTCTATCTTCCCTGACCTCTTTTGACTGCTTTCTAGAACTTCTTCAATTAGAAATTCCTGAAAGCCTGTTAACCAACTCCCTCCCTCAAACCTATTCCTCCAATAATGCTCCTCATCCAAACATATGCCACACCATCTACCCAGTTTTTCTAGGCAGAAATGTAGGATTCATCCTTAATGCCTCTTTTGCTCACCTTCCACATTCAGTCAATAACCAAATTCAGTATAATCTACATATTTGAATCCATCAGTTTCTCCCTGTCCCCACTGGCCTAAGTGATCACCATCTATGTGGCGTTTTGCACATCCCTTTGCTAGTTTCCTGCCCCCAGGTTTTCTCCCCTTGGATCATTTTCCACTAACCACTAGATGGTTCTTTATGTAAATGCAGTTCTGTAAATTCACCACTTGTGTTTAAAATCCTTTAGTTGCTTCTCACCGTCCTTAGGATGGAGTCCGAACTTCTTATCACGGTTCATAAGCCTCTCATGATCAGTAACTTGCCATCAGTCTGAACTCCACTCACACTGACCTCCAGTGTTTCAAACATACCCTGCTTCCTTTTGCCTCTAGGCCTTCACAGATGCTGTTTCCTCTGCTCGGAGCGTTCTACTGTAGGGCCTCTAACATCTGTAGACTAAATTCTAGCCTCAAATTATCAGTTATCTTATTCCTGAATCAGAACTGAACTGGGATTCTTAATATTTTTTTTATTAATTCTTGAATTAAAGCCAGGATTTATATTATCCTATATATTTCTTTGAAAAATGCAAAGATATTTTCTAATGAAACTGTATTTGAACTAATTAACTTAGGGTTCAGTTTTTAAAAATCATAGCTGAATGTAAACTGGAACGTATTTTTTTTCATGGTACTGGAATGTTTTCTTGGTTGTTATTCATCATGACATTCTAGCTTTGGAATTTTTCATTTCCAGCTGACTTCTAGCAGTCTCCTTTCTTACCTCTCAACCCCTTACACTCTGGTTGCCCTATACTTGCCCCTAGATGGATCCAGTTTGCATGCAGTGGTAGTTGCTGTGAGGCTGCGGTTAAATAGAGCTGCTCAGACTGCAACAGGAAAGCATTGAATCGAAAGCAAAGGGGAGGAAGCACAAACCGATACCCACCACAAAGCTGCTGAGTGCCCAGCATGACCCAAGCCGCACCCTCTGATGAGGAGTCTTGTGGAGGAGTAAGAAGCCACAGACTTTAATAAACCATCAGCACAGCCTGTCCTCCACTTCCCTGGTCCAGCCTTCCCGGATCACCATGAGTATCACCGGGTACTGACCTAAGAAGCTGGGTGATGACAGAAAAGTGACCAGAAATGTAGAGTCCAGAGGAAGGTACCCGAAATGAATGACTGTAGACCATTTTATCTCAAACTCCCTACACAGTCAAGCGTGGTGAGCACGAAGGTCCGGGGCATGAGAATGTTTCTGAGGAGCTCCCTGCTTGGGGTGATTCCCAGATGAAGACTCCTAAAAATGTTCCCTAAAAATGCCTTTGCTACCTCCCTGAAAGGCTGCTTCTAGTAGTGGCCAAAACAACTTATAAAAATTTTGTAACTAAAAATAAAGCCCTTGCGAGATACAGTTAAGAGAACTTTAAACATACACTAAGGTACGATGACTATTTTTAGATTCCTGACTTCAATGGAGGGAGGAGAAAGGAAGGAGATGGAGCAGCAAAGACATGTGTTACCTACTTGATTTTGCTCATGGCCTACCCTGTTTACATCTGTCCCTTTTGCTATCAAAGGAGATATTAAGGAATTATAGGAAAGGGAATGAAAAGTGTGGAAAAATATATAGGAACTAAGTACAGATTTTAAACACCGGTAAGGTGGAGAACTCCTTGGAAATCTAGAGCTTCACAGTGGCTCTATAATTCACCTGCTCAGGTTCACTACCTCAGAATCTAAGAAGGTGAGATCTGGGCCCTACTTTTGCAGCTGGAAGGTCAGAACACAAAGAATGGAGGTGACTGACTCAGTCTGGAGGAAAGGTTGCTTGGCTTGGCTGGAAGTGGGCACTTGTGTCATCATAGAGTGCCAACCTCACACTTCAGATAACAGAACAGGAAATATTGTTAGTTCAGATGGGAGAGCAGAGGACTGACTGTGTATCCAAGACCATTAAGTTATTCAGTCACCTCTTTGTGTTGTACTTTCTATCCTACAAGGGACCAGAGCTGGCTGTGGGGAGCTTGGGCAATAGATGAAGCAGGCCATCAGGCCAGTCCCTGTTCCTTGCAGCTTTCTTCTCCCTTCTATCACGTTCAGCTTCTTTAATCTGCTCAACCCAGAAAGTCTTCCAAGATTGACATCATTACCAAAGTTTAAATGGAAGAATCTCAGGCATTTTGATAGGAGACAGGGGTGACAATTCTGGAGTAGAGGAACTGTCTCTCACAAGGCCTCTCTACTACAAGTGGTAAAAATTTGTGCTTTATTTTAACAACCACAACAACAGTGAATTGGAAAGGATCTAATAACAGAACAGAATTTGTAGTCAGACAACTTTGTTTTGAAACTATTCTTCCTTTCTTCCCTTCCTCCCTCCCTCCCTTCCTTCTTTCCTTCCTTCCTTTCCTTCGGAAAGGAAAGGACAGGGAGGATAGCCATAGAATGGGAAGCTCCTTAGACCTCAGAGGAATGCCGCAAGCTTCCCAAGTCTGAGTGCCTGCCCAGAGTTTGCCTACTTTCTTCAGTAGTCAAGGATATTCCTCAAGTTGTGTTTAATATCTATGCATGAGCCAAACTGTGGTAGGTGGGTGACTGCATTCCCCAGGTGCAATCTTTCAGCATGTGACCTGATGTAGTACATTACATTCCTTAGACAAGGAAAAAATAGCGATATGAATGCAAAGAGGGGGAGGCAGAGAGTGTAAGCTACTCTAAAACACTTAGTTATGAAAGAAGAAAGATTGGCTAGAAAGCATGTATAATAAGGAATGAATTCCATTTTTTTAATTGAGAGAGGTTCAGGAATGTTTATATACTTGAGGAAAAAGCATAGTGAGAGATCTTAACAAGTCACTTCATTCCTAAGCTTTGATACCCTCATCCGAGGTGAGGAGGAGAGGAGAAGAGTTTCTATAAAGATTAAAATTGAATTAAAATCATATGCACAGTAGTGGCTTATATGCCACAAAGCCCTTTACACATGTTAATTTTTATAACTATTATCATCTAGTGACTGTACAGATGAGTAAGCCCTGGTCACAGCTGTTCTATATTTTCTACCCTATATGACAGAGCTGTCAAGAGGAGACAGGCTCTTGAGTAGGCAGGGCTAAGACACATAAATAAGAGGCTAACACTGGTGTGATTTGTATCTTGACATGCTTTGAGCTTTTGGAGGATGGTGTGTGTATGTGTCTGACTTACTAGACGCAATGAGTTACCATTTATTTCAACTTGCCCTGTATTCTTATTTTAAAAATCTTACTTAAAACATGGACACATGTCAAATCCAACATGTCTCTAAAAAGAGCTAATGTTTGGAGAAAATTTTAGAAATATTCACAAACTATGCATCTGATAAAGGTCTATTCAGAATCTATAAGGAACTTAAACAATTCAACAAGCAAAAAATAACCCCATTAACAAGCGGGCAGGCCAGGTGCAGTGGCTCACACCTGTAATCCCAGCACTGTGGAAGGCTAAGGCAGGTAGACTACTTGAGGTCCGGAGTTCAAGACCAGCCTGGCCAAGATGGTGAAACCTCCCCTACTAAAAATACAAAAATTAGCCAGGTGTGGTGGTGCACACTTGTAATCCCAGATACTCGGGAGGTTGAGGCAGGAGAATCGCTTGAACTCGGAAGGTGGAGACTACAGTGAGCTGAGATGGTGCCACTGCGTTCCAGCCTGGGCGACAAAGTAAGACTCCATCTCAAAAATAAATAAATAAATAAATAGAATACATTTAAAAAGTTGGAAAAGGACATGAACAGATACTTTTCAAAAGAAGTCATACAAACAGACAACAAACGTGGAAAAATACTCAACATCACTAATCATTAGAGAAATGCAAATCAAAACCACGGTGAGATACCATCTCACACCAATCAGAATGGCTATTATTAAAAAGTCAGGCCGGGCTCAGTGCCTCACACCTGTAATCCCAGCACTTTGGGAGGCCGAGGAGGATGGATCACCTAAGGTCAGGAGTCTGAGACCAACTTGGCCAACATGGTGGAACCCTGTTTCTGCTAAAAATACAAAAATTAGCCGGGTATGGTGGCACATGCCTGTAATCCCAGCTACTCAGGAGGCTGAGGTAGGAGAATTTCTTGAACCCGGGTGGCAGAGGTTACATTGAGCCAAGATCGCACCATTGCACTCGAGTCTGGGTGATAGAGCAAGACTCTGTCTCAAAAAAAAAAAAAAAAAAAAAAAAAAAAAAAAAATAGTCAAAAGCCACAGTTGCTGGCGAGGCTACCAAGAAAAGGGAATGCTTATCTATTGTCGGTGTGAATGTAAATTAGTTCAGCTACTGTGGAAAAGTAGTTTGGTGATTTCTCAAAGAACTTAAAACAAAATTACCGTTCAACCCAGCAATCTTCATTACTGAGTATATATCTAAAGGAAAATAAACCATTCTACCAAAAAGACACATGCACTCACATGTTCATCACAGCACTATTCACAATAGCAAAGACATGGAATCAATCTAGGTGTTCATCAACAGTGGATTGGATTTTTTAAAATAGGGTATATACATAGCATGGTATAATACACAGTCAAAAAAATGAGTGAAATCATATCCTTTGTAGCAACATGGATGGAGCTAGAGGTCATTATCCTGAGTGAATTAAGGCAGAAACAGAAAACCAAATGTGTTAGTAAGATCTCACAAGTGGGAGTTAAGCATTGGGTACTCATGGACATAAAGATGACAACAATAGGTACTGGGGACTACTAGAGGCAGGAAGGAGGAAGGGGGACAAAGCTTGAAATACTTACCTATTGGTCACTATGCTCATTATCTAGGTGAGGGGATCATTCACACCCCAAACCTCAGTGTTATGCCATATACCCATGTAACAAACCTGCACATGTACTCCTGAGTCTAAAATAAAAGTTAAAATTATTTTTTAAAATAAATAAATAGATCGGGCGTGGTGGCTCACGCCTATAATCCCAGCACTTTGGGAGGCTGAGGCGGGTGGATCACTTGAGGTTAGGAGTTCAAGACCAGCCTGACCAACATGGTGAAACCCCATCTCTGAAAAATACAAAATTAACTGGGCGTGGTGGCATGCTCCTGTAATCCCAGCTACTTGGGAAGCTGAGGCAGGAGAATTGCTTGAACCCAGGAGGCAGAGGTTGCAGTGAGCTGAGATCGAGCCATTACACTCCAGCCTGGGCAACAAGAGTGAAACTCCATCTCAAAAAAAAAAAAATTAAAATTAAAAAATAAATAAATAAACAAAATTAAAAGTTGCCATGTTGAAAAACACTAATCCATCTTGAGATGCAAGGATCTGTACAAATAAGACTATATACATGAACTTCAGGTTACATAAAGGAGCAGTTTCTGTTTGTAGGTGGGGGGAGTAAACTTTTTGTGTTTCTTTCTGGCTCATTGCAGGATCACATTATAATTTTGCTTTGATACAAATTTGGCAACAGGAATCATAATTCTTTTTCCAACTGACTACAGTGCTTGTATACTTTTAACGAATAATCGCTGTGAGTTGTACAAAGCCTTATATATTCAACAAATCAGTGAAGTTTTTATCCTCTTAATATTTACTTTGTAGCTTTGCTTTGAACCACCTCAGCCCCAGTTCTACACAGTTGGCAGTAAAGATATCTGCAAATTCCACTCCCCCATTTCCTTTCTGTTTTGCCCTTGGTTTTTCAACAGTGAGATGATTGTGCCTTCATTTCTGGGTGCATCCCTTCACTTATTCCTTATTTCCCTTCTCCATCCCTTACTCCTTCCTTCTCTTCCCCAGGCCTTCACAACCTCTAGATTTTATTACTAGCAACTTCTTAGGCCAATCCCATAGCATGCTCCTTCATGCATTACATGAACAAATTTTTTGAGGGTGCTGAACCAAACAATCAGGTGTCTTTTTTCAAGAGTGAACAAGAAGCCACTTTTTAAAAACAGTTTTACTGAGATATAATTTGTATTCTATAAAATTCGCATTTAAAGTGTACAATTCAATGGTTTTCAGTATATCTATTTAGCAGGGCACCCGTCACCATAATTAATTTTAGAATATTTTCATCATCTCCAAAAGAAACCTTATATTCATTAGCAGTCACTCATCAATTCTGTTCTCCCATACCCCACCCCTTTATTCCCTCTAGTCCTAGACAAACACTAATCTGCTTTCGGTTTCTATGGATTTGCCTATTCTGGACATTTTATATAAATGAGATCATATAATATGTGGTCTTTTGTGACTGGCTTCCTTCACTTAGCAGAATGTTTTTGAGGTTCATCTATATTGTGGCATCTATCTGTACCTCATTCCTTTTTATTGCCAAATAATATTTCATTGTATGGATATTTCACATTTTGTTTATCTGTTCATCAGTTGATGACAAATGGATTGTTTCTACTTTTTGGTTATTGTGAATAAAGTTTCTGTGAACATTTGTGCACAAGTTTTTGTATGGAAATATGTTTTCATTGCTTTTGGGTAGATTCCCAAGATAAAAGAATTGCTGGGTCATATGGTAACTCTATTTTTAGCATTTAGAGGGACTGTCAAACTTTTCCAATGTGGCTACACCATTTTACTTTCCCACTAGCAGTGTATGAGCTTTCCAATTTCTCCACATCCTTACCAACAATTATTATTTTCTGCCTATATTATTATAGCCATTCCAGTGGGTGAAAATTGATATCTCATTGTGCTTTTGATTTATATTTTCCTAGTGACTTTTCATGTGCTTATTTGCATATTTTTCTCTTGAAAAATATCTTGTAATCCTTTGCCCATTCCCAACTTAGATCATTTGTCATTTCTTATTGATTTGTGTTTTTTATATTCTAGTCCCTTAACAGATAGTATAATTTGCAAATATGCTCTCTGATTCTGTGGGGCTGTTCTTTCACTTGTTGGTGTCCTTGAAGCACAGAAGTTTTTCATTTTGATTAAGTTCAACTTATCAACTTTTTTTCTCTTTTATTATTTGTGCTCTTGATGTTGCATCAAAGAAATTACTGCCTAACTCAAAGTCACAAAGATTTACTGCTTAACTCAGGTCAAAAGAGTTAGTTTTCTTCTAAAAGTTTTATATTTTAGCTTCTTTTTTTTTTTTTTTTTCATTTTTTCCATTTTTATTTGATGTTTCCAAATATAAAAAAGTCAGGATGCTTACATCAATTATCTCAAATGAGACCATGCAAAGCAATTCAGTGTATACAACAATCATTTTTCCCCTTCAGTTCTGCTGCTTTATACAACAGTGTGATTGACAGAAAATTGGATGGCATGTGCCTGGTCAGAAAATGTCATCTGTTTACAAAATAACATCATGCAGCACAGTTTCTACTTTGTCTGCAAGTCAATTCACAAAAACTACTTATTTTCTGTTTTTTATTTGGGAGGCACATGGAACTGAAAAATTTAGCTGCCCAATTTTATTCAACTACCCCACCAAAAAAAAAAAAAAAAAATCACAAATGACAGTCCCAACACTCTGCAAATTTTGGAGGGTTGAGATAGTAGACACTATTTGTCATACTCAGCAGAGTTAACTACTTAACAGAAATAAATCTCCCTAGGGCCTTTCCTCTCATTTTGCTAGACTGGGTTCCAGGAGAATCGTGAAGAACCCCTCATGTAAAATTTGAAGTGTGAAAACTGTGTTGTTGCATTATGCAGATTTTTGCTAGTTGCATAGACTAAAGACGTTTTGCTAAATGGCACTGAAAATCCTTACCGAGTGTCACTATTCAGTACAAGTGTTTCTGACCAAAGAAAATTATACAACAATATTTATAGGCTAACTTTAAAGAGATGGTTGACGTTAATACTGTACATATTTTACATGTCAAATACATAGTCCAAGAGTTTATAAAATAAATTCATGCATCATTACCTTATTACCTCTAAGAATATCATGTACAAGATGGGCACTCCCCCACCCCCCCAGTACTTATGACAGCATTTCAGGTGGAAGCAGTCTTATATACAAAAACAATCCAGTTTCTCTGCTATGTTAAGTATATAATTTAAGGAAATTTCAGAGATTACTGACCAAAAAAATCTTAGTCCATTGAAGATAGAAAGTGTCAATTTGTGGGATTTAAAATGTTTCCTTTATAAAAGAACACCCAGAATATGTAACCTCTGTACAAAGAAAAAAATATACAAATTCTGGATGATCATGTTTGATCACACTACGTACTTGAAATGTTGCTGGTTAAAAGTTTTTCTGCTTTACTCATTCCTTTGACAGCATTAATTTGTGAACATTTATATTCAGTTCAGCTGTATTTATGGCACAAGATCTCATTTCCAAAATGGCACTAATTTTCCTTAAGTGTAACAGCACTCTATTTTTAGCAGTAATTATATTTTTAAAGGTTAATTTGTAGAACAAATGTTTTAACTATACTTTTTTTCTACTCTATACTCCCCAGTTACAATATTTACAAAGGGCTGAAGTCTATATAAAAAAATGATCTTTGGCTGGGCATGGTGGCTCATGCCTGTAATACCAGCACTTTGGGAGGTCGAGGCAGGCGGATCACGAGGTTAGGAGTTTGAGACCAGCCTGACCAACATGAAGAAACCCTGTCTCTACTAAAAATACAAAATTAGCCAGGCATGGAGGCAGGCTCCTGTAATCCCAACTACTCGGGAGGCTGAGGCAGGAGAATCGCTTGAACCTGGGAGGCGGAGGTTGCGGTGAGTTGAGATTGTGCCATTGCACTCCAGCCTGGGTGACAAAGCGAGTCTCAAAAAAAAAAAAAACATCTTTTACTTTCCCCCATCCCTCATTTTAGTCAAACTTCTCCCACCTCATTTCTGCCCTGGTTGGGGAAGTGCAAGAGTTTCAGATAAGGTACCTATGTGTTTTAGATGGGATTCTTGATTTTAAGTGAGTATAAAGTAAAAGACTTAATTCTTAGTTCAGGTATGTTCCAGTGCCTCGAAAGTTAGTTATGTGACAAATAGTACCTGTTGACAACCTAGAAAAGATGAGACATTCTAAGGTGCCCTAACAATCTTCAGTCTCTAACAGCTGAACAGGAAGGCCATTTCACTCAACTGTGATGCGATCATCACTGACTGGCATTTAGAATTAGATTTCAAGACTCCACTCCTGTGGGGGCCACTAAATAACTGAATACATTTTAAGAGCAATCTACACTGAGGGAAATAACGGTTCTAAGGTATTCTGCATAGAAAGAGTATCGATAATGGGAACTGGCAACTGAGCATGCTAAATCAAATTCCATGAATACAGTTTTCATAAGATGTCTTTACTACATGCATTTTGCTAATATTTCCCTAAAATATTCACCAACTCTACAGAGTTATACTTTGTGTTAAGGTACTATTGAGTTATAAGGGAAATAGCCATATCAGGTAGCTAGTGACATAATACCAGTTGTGAAAATTCAGACAAAATGAGTCGACAAATCCCCAAAAATGGCAAATTAAGCCCTGTGACAAAATAAGTTATTGGATCATACAGAAATAGCCCAAATCTGGAAATTTTGAATTAAAATTGTAATCCTGTAAAACAAGTTTTGGGGTGAATGGATTTCTTTAAAACCAATAATATTTTTAATTCCCACCACAGATGGATTTGCTGAATATGCTAATGCTGTGAATGAGAAAACAATTTTGGGGTAGGTATACCCACAAGTAATCTGATGACAAAATAAACCACAGACTGATGTCAAATGGACAAAAAACTGAAAATATGCTGTGAGAAATAGACAACCAAAATAATATAGGGGGTTGTGGGGTGTGGCACAGTTAAGGCATCTAAACAAAAATTCCACATGGCTTTGGCTTATTAAAATATTTTACACTATTTTTTTAAAAAAAGATTTGAAAGCATCTGAAAAACATGCAAATTGTTTGAAAACCTTGCATGGCAAATTCAGACAGTTTGCAAGCGTCAATCAGATGTTTGACGAGGAAACGAAAGAAGCCTCTCCCCATGAGACTGCACATGGTGGGAGAGGCCTACCCAGTTCTCTCTATCTTACACTAGATGGCAACCCAGAGGTCTGTGCAGCGGTTACAAACAAGGCATTATTATCCGGAAGGGAAGGGACTGTAGAATTTCCATTGGCTGGGGAACAACCCAGCTTTAGCTTTTCCAGATACTCTGCATGTACAGGTTTATGACACTGGAGAACTTTGATAGCATCTTCTACTTTGAACCACTCTCTCTTCCTTCCAATATTAACAGAATCTTCCCAATCTTCTAATATTTCAGTGACTGTTAGAACATAAACATATGTTCTGTGCTTTCGGTCTTGGTTCTGCTCAAATATGCCCAGAAGTCTGCCTAGTTTTCCTTTGACTCCAGCCTCCTCATAAACTTCCCTCACGGCAGCACCGCCAGGTTCCTCCTCGGGTTCCATTCCTCCTCCTGGGACAATCCACTGGTCTGGGTACCGGCTGCTACTCACCAGCAGCACCTCGTCCTCCTGCTCGCTCCGGAAGCACAGGCACGCCGCCCGCTTCTTGAAGCCCTCGCGGTCGTAGGTCCGCGTCTGGTTGGGCTTGAACTTCATCATAGAGGCGGGCTCCTGCTGCTGCTGCTGCTGCTCCGGCCGCCGCCGTGGGGGCCCGGCCGCCGCCACCCCGCCGGGGAGTGGGGGCGAGGGCGAGTCGGGCGCAGGAGCGCCCGGGAGCGCTAGTCGGTGCGGGAGGTGCGGCGAGGCCGGTCAGTCCCGGGGCCGGCGGCCGCTCCGACGCGGGCGGGACGGGACGCTAGCGCGGGTCACTGGAACCAGGGTGCCGAGATGAAAGCTCCGCCTCTGCCCAGTTGTCCGCCGCTCTCCATGGAGCCCGACTCCCGCTCGCCTCCGCTCCCTCCAGCCGTAGCCGCCAGGGGAAGGGCGGCTAGAGGCGCGCGCCACGCGGAGACAGTTGCGAAGACCCGCTCCCACTGAGCAGCAGCACCACGGCGACTGTATTTTAGCTTCTACATTTAGGCCTATGATTCACTTTGAGTTAATTATTGTGTACAATCTTAGGGGTCCAAATTAATTCTTTTGCGTGTGGATATCCAGTTGCCCAGCACCACTTGTTGAAAAGACCATTTTTTTTTCCCCATTGAATTGTCTTGGCTCTTTCGTTGAAAATCAATTGATTGTAACTGTTAGGGTTTATTTGTGATTCTCAATTCTGTTCCATTGATCTGTATGTTTATCCTTCTGTCAGTAACACACTGTCTTTGTTACTGTAGTTTTGTTGTAAGTTTTGAAATTGGGAAGTGTGAATCCACCAACTTTGTTCTTCATTGTTTTGGCTTTTATGAGTCCCATGCATTTCCATATACATTTTAAGAGCAGCAGAAATTGACAAGTTGATTCTAAAATTCATTAAAAACCCTCACTTCTAAGAAACAATTAAAATATTTTCTTTCCAACTTAGGATGAAATTGGATAAGGAGGACTGAGCAGGTACATTTTTGAGTTGTGGTGATGGGGGATGGGTCATTTGAAAGGGGGACCAACCTGATGGAGGAGGGGAATAAAGGAGCCACAAAGTTTGGTAAACTTCCCACCCTGGTGAGAGGAATGTTTGTTCAGAGGAGGCAGTTTGTTCTAACACCAGGGAATATTATGAAAGATAATTGAAATTGTAAAGTCCATTGATATCTCCCCAGAAGACAAAAAGGTCTCTAAGTAAGCAGTATTGTTAGCTTGTTGATTCTTACAGAAGAAGATTTTCATCCAACTAAGGGAAGCAGCTGGGACTTTCTCAGGGCTGTAAGACAGAAAAAAAATGAAGAAATCCTTCTGTATCTTTTCTTACCTCTCCCTGTGGCCAGCCCTAACTTTTGTCCATTTTTGTTACCCTTCCCTTTTATAAGCTCCCCAAAAAGAGAGAGAGGAGAAAGAGAAAAAGAAGAAAACCACAGTGGGAGAGAGGGTTAGAGATCCTGGGGATGGGGGAGGAATCCTGGAGCATTTCAAATTAAAGATCCCTAAGGTACTATGGGTGGAACCTACTAAGTAATATGACAACTTGTAGCAAGAGTCATAAGGATGATCACATCTTCAACTCAGTGATCCAATTCCTGGGAATTTATGTAAGGAAATAAGACAGGCAAAAAGTGTGAGTGGGAATGTTAATGAAAATATTACCTATAATAGTGCAAACAGGAACAACCTAAATCACCAAAATAGAAGCATGTTTTATGACATCATGGCATGTAAAGATGGCAGATTATAATACTAGCTTCACTGTCAAAATATACTCTGAATTGTATCACTTTTCACTGCATTCTGTATCACTCTGGATCAAGTCACTATTATTCCTCATCTGAATTATTGCAATGGCCTCCCAACTGGCATTTCTGCTTTCACCCTTGTTCCCCACCCCCGGTCTACTCTCAACACAGCACCCTTAGCAGTCCTTTAAAAACTTAAATGTAAAATTCATATGGAATCATAAAAGGGCCTAAATAGCCAAAGCAATCCTAAGCAAAAAGAACAAATCTGGAGGCATCACATTACCCAACTTCAAATTATACTACAAGGTTATAGTAATCGAAACAGCATGGTACTGATATAAAAGTAGATGCATAGACCAGTGGAACAGACTAGAGAACCTGGAAGTAAAGCCAGATACTTAGAACCAACTGATCTTCAACAAAGCATACAAAAACATAAATTGGGAAAAGGACACCCTATTTAGTAAATGGTTCTGTGAAAACTGGAGAGCCACTGGATAGAAGAATGAAACTGGATCCATCTCTCTCACCACATACAAAAATCACCCTAAGATGGAATAAAGACTTAAATATAAGACCTGAAACCATAACAATTCTAGAAGAAAACATAGGAAAAATTCTTCTGGACTTTGGCCTAGGCACAAAATTATGACTAAGACCCCAAAAGCAAATGCAACAAAAATTTAAACAAATAAACGGAACCTGATTAAACTAAAAGGCTTTTGTGCGGCAAAATATATAATCATCAGAGTAAAGAGAAAACCCACAGAATGGGAGAAGATATTTGCAAGTATCCATCTAAGAAAGGACTAATATCCAGGATCTACAAGGAGCTCAAACAAATCAGCAGGGAAAAAAAAACCAAATAATTCCATTAAAAAGTGGGCAATTTACATGAATAGATGCTTCTCAAAAGAAGATACACAAATGGCCAATAAACATGGAAAAAATTTCAACATCACTGAACATCAGGGAAATGCAAATCAAAGCCACAATGAGATACCACTTTACCCCAACCAGAATGGCCATTGTTAAAAATCCAAAAAGCGATAGATGTTGTCACAGATGTGGTGAAAAGGGAACACTTATACACTGCTAGTGGGAATGTAAATTAATATAACATCTATGGAAAACAGTATGACGATTTCTCAAAGAACTAAAAGTAGCAATCCCACTGTTGGGTATCTACCCAAAGGAAAATAAGTCATTATATCAAAAAGGAAAATAAATCATTATATCTGCACATGTATGTTTATCGCAGCACAATTGACAATGGCAAAGGTATAGAACTAACCTAAGAGCTCATCAACCAATTAGTGGATAAAGAAAATGTGGTATATACATGCCATGGAATACTACTCAGCCACAAAAAAGAATGAAATAATGTCTTGCACAACTTGGATGGAGCTGGAGGCCATTATTTTAAGTGAAATAACTCAGGAATGGAAAACCAAATGCCATATGTTCTCACTTATAAGTGGGAGTTAGCTAGGATTTATGTATTTTGCTCACTACTATATCCTCAGTGTCTTGACTATTCCTGGCACAGAGTAGCTGCTTAATAAATAATTTACTGAATGAGTGAATACATCCACAAAAGTAGTGATTATGAAAATTGGGTCATAATTTGAAAAGTGGAAAGTATGTTACTGTAAGCTGTGATGTGCACAGTGGCTGTGGCAATGTGGTGTAGCATAGTCTGGGAGCTGCAGATGAGAGAGATCTGGATTTGAATCCTGAGTCCACTACTTCCTAGTTATGTGAACTTCGGCAAGTGTACCTAACCTCTCAGTTTTATCATCTGTGGAACAGGTAGAATAATACCTCCTTCATAGCATGGTGAAAATTAAATGAGAAGATGTAGGAAAAACCTGGCACATAATAGGTGTTCTATGAACATTAACTCTCTCTCTTCTCCTAAAGAATATATACACAGTGGGTAAGAATTGCAAAATAATTGGGTGTTTCAAAGACAGGGATGATGCACTTTTATAAAAAAATTTTAATACACAAGTCCTCTCTAAGCATGGATATATATATAAAAACAGTGCCAGACTAGGAGTATGGAGACCTGGGTTCTGGGTTCACCTCTGATGCAGGCTGTGTGACATTAAGCAAATCCTAACCTCTTGGGACTGTCTTTTCATCTGCAAAATGAAGAGGTAGAATTTAGTAAGTTTGCGTCCCATCAATGCTTAAAATTCTATAATTCAGAAAGGCAGGCCATTCTACCTAGTTTCATCCCGCTTTAGCTCAGCCTTACTCAGATATGCTGGCCAGATGTTTCTAATCTTACACATAAAAGACTCTGGTATTCAGAGGCCAAAAGAAACTGGACAATTTAAGAAAAGTACTAAGCAGATGAGTTTTCCTTCTGTCTGATTCTTAAACAGCTACATGACAATTATTCAAACTTAAGAAAACAGGAAAAGAAAAGCAAGTATGCACATTTAGGTTTGAATCAACTATGTGAATATTTAGCCATGAAGAAAAATGTGTTTTTTTGTGTGTGTTTTATTAATTATTATTTGTACAACAACCAAAAAGTAGACGTCAGCAGTTTTCAACTGTAACTATAACCTTGTACCATGTGGCTGTGGGCCAAAGTGCAGGAGGGAGTAGCTGGAAGGGAATCTGGCTAGAGCCTTCCCCTGCTCTGGAAAGCTCGTGGCTTTGTTTTTTTCACATTGCTACACCGAGACGGAGGAGGGGAGGATGTTTGGGTTTACAGGCCACCAGCCACTGTCAGCAAGTTTGTAGCCCCAGCTTCACTTCCCTGAAAGGGCGGGGGAGTTTCAGCTGCCCTGGCCTCCCTCCAGCAACTGAGCCACAGAGGATTCAAATACCCCATCAGTTGCAAGGCCCTGACTTTACCCAGCTGAAAACTGACTATCTCATCTGGGAAGGGTCAGTTAAAAAATGACAGAACTGCCTAAAGTAAACAAAGGGAACAACCACAACAGAAACTTTCTCTGCAGTGTTTCCTTATAATTACCGGCCCATCCCACCAGGGCTCTGGCTTGAGTCCCCATCCACTCTCCCTGTTGCCCCCACAGGACCTTGTTTGAGTAAGCCCTAGCTGACCTGAGGATCGCCTCCCTGTCTACATGCCTCTGTCCCACCCTCTCCATGGAGGGGAGGGAGACTCCCGATTGCAGGAAGTTTTGAGAATGGAGTTTGAGGATTGTCAGGCAAAAAGACCCTCTAGAGCTCATTCATTAGGACCCCTAATAGATGAGTAAACAGCTTAAATGAAGTGCCTAAAGTTGAGAGCAAGTATGGGACAGAACTGGTTTTCTTCTTGCTAACCGAGTGCTCTTTCCAGTAATCATATACTGTTGTAAGGCACTAAAGATAAGGAAACTAACATTGAAGTTCTTTCTCCACCTTTTCATTCTAACCAAATCCTACTTTGTTGGACTTTTACACTTTATAGATAGGCTGGGCATGGTAGCTCACACCTGTAATCCCAGCACTTTGGGAGGTCGAGGTAGGTGGATCATAATGTCAGGAGTTCAAGAACAGCCTTGCCAATATGGTGAAACCCCATCTCTACTAAAAATAAAAACAAAAAAAAAATTAGCTGGGTGTGGTGGCGGGCGCCTGTAATCCCAGCTACTCAGGAGGCTGAGGCAGAGAATTGCTTGAACCCGGCAGGCGGATGTTGCAGTGAGCTGAGATCATGCCACTGCACTCCAGCCTGGCTGACACAGCGAGACTCAATCTCAAAAAAAAACAAAAACAAAAACAGAAAAACACGCTTTATAGATAAACATATTTTGAATTTAGACTTAAGGACAAGGACTAAATCTTACACTCTGTGTACCTTGTTCGTACTTCAGAGTTCATGAAGTGTGTTCATGGTCAGCAGCCAAGTAGAGCGGGTAGGACATTTGCTTCAGAGTTGAGCAAGCCTCAGAATCCCATCTCTGCACATTCTAGCTGTGTAAACTTGTAGGCAGATTACCTACTCTAAAACTTAGTTTCCACATTTGCAAAAGGGGAACAATAATAGCTCCACCTCATTATTTTGTCATGAGGATTTCATGAGATGATACATGTAATGCACATTGAAAAACTCAACAAATGTTAGAAATTGTAAATAGTTCTGGAAGGCATTTATCATTCCCATTTTACAGATGAGAAAATTAAAGCTCAGAGAGTTTAAGGGCTAGAGTCATACAATTGGTTAGTAAGATAGCTAGGATTTAGCTCAGCCTCCCAGCTCCATATCCACAGTACTTGCTGCCCCACCATTGAGTGTAGACAATTGGGGGTGGCTCTAAGCCATGGGCCAAGTATGTCTGTCCCTATCATCATGGAATGACATGTTATTTATTAAGCCCATATATGCTTGAGGTGCCAGGAAATGGATGCTTCTGGGGTGAGGTAGGCTCTTCATGTGCAGCCTTCATGTACAGATTCCAGCCAAGGAAACCAAGCCTGGCACTAATCCCTTGTCCAAGCCCAGAGACGCTGTGCCCACGGAGTAGGTCAGAAGTCCTTGAATATCCTCAGCTTTCCTTTCCTCTGGCAATGCTTCCTTGATGCCCTAAGAATATTTTGCTTACCCTGACATTAGAGCCCTCTTCACACTCCCAAGCTTTCTAGTATTTTGGGTGTGCATCTGATTCTCCTGTTGAAACTGGACTCCAAAGTGAAGTGCTCAAAATGGTACATAGAGGTATGAGAAAAACATATGTGAATACTTGCTTCTATTTATTTTTTAATCTAAAATATTAAGAAAATTAGGCTTTACTAATATTAAAATGTCACAGTAGAGTGTACGGAATTTATAGCAAACATGCAATTATTAGGCATGTATGCTGGTTTTCTTTTCTTTCTTTCTTTCTTTCTTTCTTTTTTTTTTTGATGGAGTGGTATGAAGAAAAGAGACTAGAGGTAACTGTTCTAGAAAGTAAGGTCCTACAGGCAGAAGATGTGTCTTTTTCTAATGTGTATTCCACCCCTCCCTCATTAGCACTAAATGACTCCTCCCTGATTAAATAAATTTGGCATCTATGTAAACTTGGTGGTCTTTCTTGTTTTTCCCCTCCTTTTGTCATCCATCTGATATAATGTCTTATTCAATATTCTCCCAAGACCTGAACAAATAATAAAGCTGTGTTAGTAAAGAGTGCAAATTGCCATAAAAAGACTGAAAAGTAAGATTCATAGTCCCCAAGGAGATGGTTAATGGTAGTCAATAAGGCATATAGCGGGCAAAAGAAAAGCTAAATGTAAAACTTCATGGAAGAACTCATGGACACAGTCAGGCAGGGAGCCCCAGCACTACAGCCTGAGAAATCAAATGTAATCTGAGCATATGTGTGTTTTCAAACTAACCACTGCCCTCTCTCTCCTCTGAAACTTGCAGAAAGCAATGCAACACAATGCAATGAGCCAGGGTCTTGGAGAAAGAAAGAAATCCCAACTCTGTCACTGTCCTGGTTGGGTGATCTTGGGCAAGGTCCATAATCACCCCCACTCCCAGGAAAAATAGTTCTTCACCTACAAATGAGGTTGAGCTAGATGATTTTGGAGGTTACTTTCATGCTTTGAAGCAGCCCATGTTTTCTTCCTGAGGCAATTTATACTTCAAGTGACACCATGAAGCTCACTGGACCAAAAATATCACCTTACCACCAAGCCTTTCATGGTTTGTGACATCCTCTCCTCAGGCACCGTGTCTCCATGCGGCGCTTCCCAACCTAGCAATAACTTACTGGCATGAATCCACTTCAAGTATCAGTTATGTCCATGATGCATGTAGAGTGGGAAAGCAAGATATGAAAGGTTATATATGTGGTATGCGTATGTCTATAAATACCTACAAATATATGTGCATACACATAGAAAAAGAACTGAAAGATACTCAGCATACTTTCAACACTGATTATTCCTAGGGAGTAGGAAAGCAAGATGAAGGTATGAATTTTACCATTTACTTTAAATCCTCCTATATTTTTGTTGTTTTTTAAAAATAAATGATTTTACTATTTACAAATAAAAATTTTAAAAAATAAACATTAAAGTCCTATACAAATGTTTAATAATATTTGTAATAAGTAGCACCAGTTTCTTCAAGAAGCCCTACCAGAAGCAAATCTGCATCTTGATACTGCATTAGAGCCTTGGCTGAAGTACTAATAATACCCGAACATTCTATGGAGGATTGGGCCCTGGACTGGGAGAACCTAATCACATAATCAGAAACTCTTATTGAGTAATTTTGGGCAACTTGAGTTTTCCCAAACTTTACTTGAGTTTGTTTTTCTCGACTAGAAAACAATGCTTTTGAACTAAATCCTCTATCGGGAACTTTCTACTCTGAAGTCCTGTGATTCTTAACAACAGTACATGCAAAAGACACAGGAAAGTGAGTATGTCATATGGCATCCAGGATACTTTCCCCCAAAGCAAAGTGAAAACTGATGTGAAACTCCTTCTTCCTTCCTTATTTTCCTCTCTCTCTCTCTCTCCACCTCTGTTATCTAAATGCTCTATATTTGAAGCATTCATCACTTTATAGGCCTTGATGGGATACAGAGGACAACCTTTTACTTTAGAAGCTGAAAATGTCAGATACTTGTTTTCCAGCTTCCCTTACAGGTATGCATAGGCATAAGGATCTGCATTGCTTTTTGACTCAGGAGCTAGTGACCTCAAATAGCAAAGACTGTTGAATCTGTTCTGCAGCAGGGAGTGGCATTAGTTGTAATAACAACATTCATTTTTTAGATGCTACAGTGGTGGTGGTTCTGGTGGTTCTAGCAGCAGGGACCAGCATCCAGGCTTGGGGCATTCACTGAGCAGTGGTTTCCATGCAGTGGGGGCATTGATGACTTCATGATATTGTTCTGCAGTACAATTTTAGGTGTTGCTTCTGGCTATGTAGCCTCTAAACCTGGGTTTCTAGTCCTCCTGGAGAGCTTGTGAACTACCTAATATTTTTTAATAAATTCATTTACCGCTTAGATTAACTACAAATTGTTTCTGTTGCTTGCGACCGAAAACATTTACTAATGTACCTATTATTTTTTTTAAAAATCATGCACTTGGAGATTATATATATATACACACACATATGTTTTTAAGGGAAAAAAACTCCCCTTCCCTTTGTTGATCCCTTATTTTCCCAGTTTCTTCTCTGGAGGTAGTAATAATGATTTGTTTCTTATGTATTCCTCCAGAGATATCTTGTGTGTACACAAGCACATCTATGTATTTAAGAAAAGTTACTTAAAAATCACTCAAATAGGATCACTCCATATACACTGTTCCATAATTTGCTTGTAACCTTAAGACTACATGTTAGAGATAATTCCATAAATATAAAGCTGCCTCATTCTTTTTCTTATTTTTATTTTTAGAGACAGGTCTTGCTCTGTCTCCCACGCTAGAGTGCTGTGGTGTGATTATAGCTCACTGCAACCTCTAACTCCTGAGCTCAGGGGATCCTCCTGCTTCAGCCTCCCAAGTAGTTGGGACAACAGGTACGTGCCACCACTCCTCGCTAATTTTTTATTTTTTGTAGAGTCAGGCCTTGCCATGTTGCCCGGGCTGGTCTCGAACTCCTGGCCTCAACTGATCTTCCCATCTTGGTCTCTCAAAGTGCTGGGATTACAAGTGTGAGTGACTGTGCCTGGCCTGCCTCATTCTTTTTATTGGCTGCTTAATATCCCTCTGAATGAATATACTGTAATTTATGTAGCCAATTTCCTCCTGTAAGCAGTTGGGTTGCTTACAGTTTTTGTGACTACAAATAATGCTGCAGTGAATATCGTTGTAAATATGTATTTTTAAAAAAATATGGAATGCTTCATGCATGTCATCCTTGTGCAGGGGCCATGACAATCTTCTCTGTATCCTTCCAATTTTAGCATATGTGCAGCTGAAGTGAGCAAGTAAATATGTCTTAATGCCCAGTGCAAGCAGATACATGTCTGATAGGGAAGTTGCAGCGTCAAAAGGTAAATGTAACTTTAACATTTTGATAGATAGCACCAAAATGCACTGCAAATTTAGTAACAATTTTTAATCCTACTAAAAATATTTTAGACTCCCCCCCACCAAATCTTTACGTCACCAGTGTATATTATCAGATTTTATAATTTTGCTGTTCTAATAGGTGAAAACTGATTTTCTCATTGTTCTGATTTTCATTCTTTAATTTATGAGTGAGGTTGAACATTTTTCATGTATTTAAAAGCCATTTGTAAGTATTCACCTGTGTAGTATATTCATGTCCTTTGCCTGTTGTTTTCTATTGGATTTTTATCTGTGTTTAATTGCTTTGTAAAAACTTCATCTTTTTTTTTTTTTTTTTTGAAATAGGTTCTTGCTTTGTCACCCAGACTGGAGTTGCAGTCTGGCACCCTCCTGACTTGGCCTTTTTTTTTTTTTTTTTTTGAGACAAAGTCTCACTCTGTTGCCTGGGCTGGAGTGCAGTGGCGCAATCTCAGCTCACTTCAACCTTCGCCTCCCAGGTTCGAGTGATTCTCCTGCCTCGGTCTCCCAAGTAGCTGGGATTACAGGCATGTGCTACCACTCCCGGCTAATTGTTTTGTATTTTTCGTAGAGATGGGGTTTCACCATGTTGGCCAGACTGGTCTTGAACTCCTGACCTCAAGTGATCTGCCTGCCTCGGCCCCCCACAGCACCCAGCCCTGCCTCAGCCTTTTAAAGTGCTAGGATGACAAGTGTGAGCCACTACACCTGGTCAAAATTCCATATTTTAAAGTAAATTTGCCTTTTGTCATACTTGTTGCAAAATTTTTTCCCAATTTGTTTTTGGTTTTCTGATCTTTTTAAATTTGATCTGATTTTTGGTTTTTGCTTTGCATAAATCTTTAATTTTCACAAAGCCAAATTTGTCTATATTTTTGCTTATGGCTCTGGATTTGTTTGGAATGGCTTTTGGCTGGGTAGCTTCTCATGGTTTCAACATTGAAGCTGCTAATTTAGAAAAACAATACTTGAGACTTCTGGTTAAAGACAGCAGATTAAACACATGCTCCACTCCCTCCTAGAACTCAACCAAAATTTAATGTTTTGATTAAGTGATACATTCACATGGTTTTAAAACCAGAAAAATACAAAGATGCACAGCCTGAAACGTTTCCCTCATCTATGTCTCCCATCAGCTCAGTTTCCACTTTCTCCCTGTCCAGAAATAAGGACTGTTATGCTTTCTTATGCGTGTTTCCAGAGTTTCTTTATGCATATGTAAGCAAGTAAGAATTTTGGTGAGTTTTTTTTAAGGAGAAACCTACAAGGACAAAAGAATATAAAAAGGACAAGAGTAAGAAAGATAATTTTAAAAGCTGGAACATAAGGCCGGGCACAATGGCTCACGCCTATAATCCCAGCACTTTGGGAGGCTGAGGCAGGTGGATCACTTGAGGTCAGGAGTTCAAGACCAGCCTGGCCAACATGGTAAAAACCCATCTCAACTAAAAAAACAAAAATTAGCCGGGCATGGTGGCGGGTGCCTGTAGTCTCAGCTACTTGGGAGGCTGAGGCAGGAGAATCACTTGAACCGGGAAGGTCGGGGGTGGGGGTTGCAGTTAGCCGAGATTGCACCACTGTACTCCAGCCTGGGTGACAGAGTGAGACTGCGTCTCAAAAAATAAATAAATAAACAAATAAAAGCTAGAACATAGATGAATGAGTGGTAACTGAATCAAGAGACCTGAGAAAGCTGAATCCTAAGCCTGCAGATGAGAAAGGTAAAGCAACTCACTTTACATTTCAGAATCCCCCAAATGCTCAGCAATTGGTGGCACCAGGTACTTTTGGAAATAAGGGTGAAGTTGTGGCTAAAAACAGTAAGTTGCATTGAAAATCAGTTCAGGAAACAATGAAAGCTCCAGGCCCCCTCTTCCTCTTGCTGTTAGATGGATTGCCCCTTCCCCACGATGTCCAAGAATGGAGGTTTTTCTGGTGGGAGAGTAAGACAGAGAAGGGACAAGGCACTATTGTGTGAAAGGACAACATGCTGGGAAAAAACAGGAGATTATAAGCCCATTGCCTTCTGCCATCTTCTCTTACTTAGGAAACCCTGACAGCCAGCCTGAATATTAGGAAAGCCTTCTCTGAAACCCTGACACACTGGAGAGAAATGCTCCAAAGATAACTCAGAAATGACAGCATCTCTGAAAGAAAAAGAAAACAAGAAGTATTAATAATATCTCCAGAGAAATAAGAGAACTAGTGCATATATGAAATAAGAACAGAATGCTATGTTTTAAAAGGAACATTCAGAGAACAAAAAAAACTTAGAAATTTAAATATGATAGCAAAAATATAAAAAAGCTTAGTAGATTTGGAAAGTAGAAGGGAAAGCAGAAAGATAACAGATAGAAAATAAAAAATATGGCCGGGCGCGGTGGCTCACGCCTGTAATCCCAGCACTTTGGGAGGCCGAGGCGGGCGGATCACGAGGTCAGGAGATCGAGACCATCCTGGCTAACACGGTGAAACCCCGTCTCTACTAAAAATACAAAAAATTAGCCGGGCGTGGTAGCGGGCGCCTGTAGTCCCAGCTACTCGGGAGGCTGAGGCAGGAGAATGGCGTGAACCCGGGAGGCGGAGCTTGCAGTGAGCCGAGATCGCGCCACTGCACTCCAGCCTGGGCGACAGAGCGAGACTCCGTCTCAAAAAAAAAAAAAAAGAAAAGAAAAGAAAAAATATAAGAGCAAAATTAGTTTATTTGGGAGATGACCCCAGTAAACATCTGTACGGGAGTAAAGTAACGAGAAAAGGATCCTACGGAAGTTAATATATCTTTTTTTTTTTTTTTTTTTTTTTTTTTTTTTTGAGACGGAGTCTCGCTCTGTCGCCCAGGCTGGAGTGCAGTGGCGGGATCTCGGCTCACTGCAAGCTCCGCCTCCCGGGTTCACGCCATTCTCCTGCCTCAGCCTCCCAAGTAGCTGGGACTACAGGCGCCCGCCACTACGCCCGGCTAATTTTTTGTATTTTTAGTAGAGACGGGGTTTCACCGTTTTAGCCAGGATGGTCTCGATCTCCTGACCTCGTGATCCGCCCGCCTCGGCCTCCCAAAGTGCTGGGATTACAGGCGTGAGCCACCGCGCCCGGCCGGAAGTTAATATATCTTGCAAGTTACTGTGAACCAGTGGAACTTGACTCCATCGGGGAACTCTGGGAGACCTGTGTAGAAAGCATGCTTCAGGGTTAAACCGCCTCATGGTTGAGCAAGCTGGGATATTTATCTACTAACTCTCATCAGTCATTGGTTAAGGGTCTCTCCCAGGGAAAAGGGGGTTAATTCCCCAGCACTTCCTGAGCAAACTTTCAGTAGCTAGAAAAAGCCCTCAGGCAAACAGACATATGTGCTGGCAGTTTTGAAGGCCTGGATGTTAAGTGCCAAGAGAATTTGGGCAGGGCACTGATGGCAAATGTTATATCTTCCCTGCACTCTCTCTTAGGAAACTACTGAAGAATGTGCTCCACCAAAACAGTGTTGTGAGTCAAGAAAGAGGAAGAGGCGGAATTCAGGAACCAGAGCACTCAACACAGAGGTGAAGAGAGTCCCCAGGATGTGGGTAAAGGGAAGTCCCAAGATGACAGATGCACAGCAGGCCTAGAGGTCAGTTAGCCCAGAGAGGAGCAGATCAGTAGGCTCTGGAAGAGCTCTCTTCCAGATGAAACTGATGGAATACCAAGTTTGTTTGGACATATTGAGAGGAGACTTAAACAACTACAGAGGAGTATGGATTAAATTAGTGGCATATGCATAGAAAAACTAGGCAAATGAAAAATGAGACAATTATTAACTCCAGAGAAAGCAAAATAGTTTTGAAGAAAGTGATCATAATTTATTATGCAACACAGGTGTGAATAGTATTTATTTGATCATAGTAATATAAACACTGAGTGTCAGTTTAATAGTGACGTAGAAATATAGGCCCATGTGGTATAGGAAGAGGCGAAAACTGAATCCCCATCTTCCACAGTGGAAAGTCAATAGAGAAAACTAAGAGGTAGCTATTTAGAGATACAATGATTTCCCTCCTCCCCCTAAAAAAAGATTTAGTGAAAGCATTGAAAGTGATTTCCTCTGAGGAGTGGGAAATGAAGGGGTGGAGTAGGGGAATGCTGTTTCTTGTAATTAGTAATTTAGAAATATTCGATTCTTTAAACTATGTGCATATTTAACTTTGATGTTTAAAAAAACTAAATAAAACTCAGTAATTTTTTTCCTTTGCTGTATGAAAAAGGGAGGAGGTGAGATGGAAAATGTACCTCATTCCTAGCTGATAAGAAAACTGGGCAGGCAAAATGAAACTTGCTTGTTCCATGAGTCCATCAACCCAGCAGGGTCAATGTCTTTTCCATCTTCTTCAGTCAGAAGAAAAGCTATGAGCAACTGGGAAATCAAAACTGAAATTCCTTTGAAAGAGCCATTGATGCCAAACTGACCTGAAATCTGGGGCTACCCTAAGAGGGCTTTGGCCTAAATAAATGGTCCAGGGTAAGTACAAAGAAAGGATTCTATCAAATGCAAAAATGAGACCAGGATTATATTAAGGGAGCTAGTAACAGCACTTGAGTGCAAGTAGAATACATTCTTAATTATGTCTAGTATGAATTTCTTTAAATTCTTTAAAAGCCAGTTGTTTTAAAATACAGAAATTAAAAATATTACTATATTGATTTATAGTTTTAATTTTAAAAACCATGGGAGTACTTTGTACAGTCTTTTAATTAACCGTATCTATGACTGAAATTGCACATCGTTTAGGTCTCTGGCCCGATCATGATACCAGAGTCTGTTACTTTCTGATTGCAGGCAAAATAACTACAGGAATGAGGCCTCCTGAAGG
The DNA here is from genome assembly GCF_000001405.40 of Homo sapiens. NCBI lineage: Eukaryota > Metazoa > Chordata > Mammalia > Primates > Hominidae > Homo > Homo sapiens. Next base: position 146,283,654 of record NC_000001.11, on the reverse strand, counting down.
CAGAATCAGTTCTCCTTTCTCTTCCTGCCTTCAATCTTTACCTACTAGATCCTTCTCCTCAGCCTAGAAAAATGCCCAAAAAGTTCCAATCTAAAATAAAAATAAAGAAGGAATTCTCACTTAAGCTATCACCCAAACTTTCTCTTTTCCTTCATCATAATACTTCTAAAAAAATACGCTAACTTCCTTTTCTTCCTTTACTTCCTCACCACATACTACTTCTTAACTCCTTGTAATCTAGCTTTCACTTTGACCGTTGCACTGAACCTGCTGTCTCAGAGGTCTCAAAGGACTTCTTACTTGCTAAATTTCGGTCCTGCTTAGCCCTCATCCTCCTCAACCTCTCTGTTTTTGACTTTCAAAATGTCTCACTGTGTCTCTCTCTGTTGCTCTGTCTCTCTCTCTTCTCTCTGTCTCTCTCACCCACCCACCCTCTAGCCCCCTTATTCTGTGTTATTCCTCTCTTTTGGTTTTCTCTCCTCCCTTATTATTCTTCCTTTGAGTCTTCTGTCCCGCTCATTCTCTTAAGAATAGGCATCCAATGAGATCCCATGACTCCCTGCAATATCTGGGATCTGCCTATGTCTCCAAACTCATATGCACCCTGTTCCCCCTTGTTCATTTCACTCCAGTCACACTGATGTTTCAGTTCCTCTAATGGGCCAATGAGCTCTTTATTACCTTAGGACCTGCTCTCTCTACCTGGGACACTCTTCCCCATGTTCCCCCACACCCAAAGCGCTTCATCTGGCTATTTCCAAATCAACTTTCAGGTCTCAGCTTCATATTACTTCCTCAGAGTGGCTCTCCCTAAGTGCATCCCCTCCCCACCCCTCCAAATTAAATCTGTTTCCCCATTTTTTCTATTTTAGAAATAGTTTTTTTATCAAATTATTATATGGTTTAAAATGAAAGACTACTTGTGTGTTTATTTGCTTAAATCTCTACCTTTCTCTCCAGAGTGTAATTTCCATGAGGACAGGAACCATGTCAGTTTTGTTTAACACTGTATCCTTAGCATTCAACACAGACCTTGAAGCAGCAGACAACAAATATTGGTTGAATAAATGAGTGAACGAAGTGCCAGGCACTACAGTAAGTACTTCTTCCTGCCAGGCGCTATGGCAAGTACTTTACATATATCACCTCGTTTTTATTCTTACCACAACCCTATGCATAGGTACTACTATCAGATGAGGAAATGGAAGCTTACAGAGACAGACCAATATGCCCAAAATCTCACAGAAAAATGAATGTAGCTATCACGACGTGAAAAGATGTAGAGGAACCTTAACTGCAGATTATTAAGTTAAAGAAGCTAATCTAAAAAGCCTTCATACTGTATGATTCCAACTATGTGACATTCTGGAAACAGCAGAACTATAGAGACAGTAGAAAGGTCAATAGTTGCTGGGGGTTGTCCTCGGGAGGGATGAAGAGGCAGAGCACAGAGGATTTTGAGGAACGAAAATACTCTGTATGATATATAATAGTGGATACGTGTCATACATTTGTCCAAACCCATAGAATGCACGATGCCAAGAGTGAATCCTAATTGACACTACGGACTTGGATGGTGATGATGGGTTGATGTAGGTTCATCAGCTGTAAAAAATGTACCACTCTGTGTGGGGATGTTGATAATGGAGAGGGCCTTTGCATGTGTGGGGACAGGGAGTATATGAGAAATTTCTATTCTTTCTGCTCAATTTTGCTGTGAATCTAAAACTGCTCCAAAAAATAAAATATTTTAAAAATGAGTGTCAGAGGTAGGATATGAAAACATTTGTTTGACTCTATGTAGGGCTTAATTATAATATTATACTGCTTCCCAGTTGACAAATCTAATACTTTCACCGTCCAAAACTTCCCTCACACTTACTTCCTGTTGTCTGTTTCTATGGTTTCTCTTGAGTCCTCCTTCCAGGATCCATTCCAAGCCAGACAATGGTATGTGGGTGAGAAACTGTGGTCATGGAGGAGACTGGACAGACCGGAAAGCTTTTCTTTTCTAACACATGTTTCTGAGGAGCCCTCAGGAAGCCTGTGAACCAGGAAAACCACGGTGATGGTCAATGCTCTGACAGCTCCCCTGCCCCTTTCTCCATGCTCTTCTCCTGCCGTGCCTTCCCCAAGGCTGTGGGTTGCTCCCCACTGTGCTGCTCCCCTTGGGCCTTCTCTCCCTGCCCACATATGCATGTGCCAGCCCTTTCCCCTCACAAAAATGTCAACATAGAATGGTAAGTAGAAAAAAAATAAGATGCAATATCGTACAAATAGTTGTTATGGGTTGAATTGTGTCCTCCCAAAATTGATATGTTGGAGTCCTAACCCCCGTTACCTCGGAAGGTGACCTTATTTGGAAATAAGGTTGTTGTAGGTATAATCAATCAAGTTAAGATGAGGTCATAATGAAGTAGGAGGGAACTTAATTCAAAATGACTATTATCCTTATTAAAAGAATGCCATGTGGAGAGACAGACATGCACCAAGGATACTGCCATGTGGAGAGGAAGGCAGAGACTGGGGTGATGCAGCAGAAGCTGAGAAACACCAAAGACTTCCAGAAAAACAGCAGAAGACAGGAGAGAGGCCTGGGACATATTCTTTCTCACAGTCCTCACTAAGAACCAATTTGCCAACACCTTGATCTCAGACTTCTAACCTCCAGAACCGTGAGACAGCAAATTGCTGTTACTTAAGCCACTCAGTTGTGGTACCTTGTTATGGAAGTGCTAGCAAGCTCATAGAAATAACAGAATCCTGATCTTGTAAAGCAAAATAAACTCATGTATTACGGGTTATCATCTTGCATACGCACATACACATATACATAGATGAACACATAGAAACAATGAAAGGCAATATATTTTAAAAGTTATCAATACTTCTTTGGGGATAATGGATGCTGAGTAATTTTGCTTTGTACTTTTCTCTGCACCTTTGGGTATTTTCTCAGTTATCTTACCTCTCTACAATATTATGCATTATTACCTAGACCAGCGGTCCCCAACCTTTTTGGTACCAGGGACCTGTTTTGTGGAAGACTATTTTTTCCACAGGTGGGGCAGCAGTGGGGATGGTTTCAGGATGAAACTGTTCCACTGCAGATCATCAGGCATTAGATTCTCATAAGGAGCATGCATCCTAGATCCCTTCCATGCACACTTCACAATAGGGTTTGTGCTCCTATGAGAATCTAATGCTTCCACAGATCTGACCAGGAGGTGGAGTTCAGGGGGTATATGGCCTGGTTCTTAACAGGCCATGGACTAGTACCTGTCCATGCCCCGGGGGTTGGGGATCTCCGACACAGACAGATCCCCAGACCTCAGTTTCCTCATCTGTAATTTGAGAATAGTTATACCAATCTTCCAGCATTGTTGTGAGGAATAAAGTGCCTGACACAAATAATAGGTCAGTGGGTCTTCCTAGAATAGGGAGAGCAGCTCCAAAGAAGTAAACCTGGACAGACCTCTGTACCTCTATTCATCATCAGGCTTCAGTGTTGCTGCTAAGCAGGCATGCGGATGCTGCTCAGCACTGGCCTCCCTGTGTGGTAAGGGTGGGTGTGCAGAGATGAGATGGCACAGGGGAGCTAGCTGGATGTCTTGGGTTTGGGAAGGTCAGCAAAGAAAGGTAAGAGAGGGTGAAAGTTTGATTGAAGAATGTTGGCTATGTAAGGACAACTTAACCCATTGGGGTAACATTTCTTAGTTTGGGTTGGGGTCCAATGGGGCAACTGAAAAGGAAAAAGGAACCAAGAGAATAGAAAGCATAGCCAAGAAGCCCAACAATCCCCTCCTACAGGAAGAATGCCTTGCCTCCTCATTTCTTCTCTGAAACCCCTCTGGAAATGGGAGTGGACAATGTAACTTACTTATCATTTTCCACAGCCCATGGGAAGGTGTTCTTTCCCCAGGAGGAATGTTTCCCAAACAGCCCTCCTTCTGGCCTTATCTGTGATAAGTTGTTCTTTTCTGGGGACTGTTTGGGTATCCTTGACTCTGACATACTCAGTAGGGCAGGTTAATTCTCTTGAATCTTAAATTTAGCCATCTGTGACTTCATATTAATCTTTGGTCTCCAAAAACATTGGGCTGTTTTGCCTCTTTCTACTCACTTATGTCTTCTTTATCTTAATTCCAAATCCCAGCAACTCAGAGAAGAAATGGGTCCTGCAAATGATATTCACAATCTATTGCTTTATGGGAGGTCAGTGAAGGCCTTTCCCATTTACTTTGTTAAAATCTATATCTATTTTCATTCCTAATTTTTTATCTGCAAGATTATGTAGCAACATGGGAAACATTTATAATATTAAATAGTGAAAGAAGGGGACACAAAAATTGCATGTAAATTATGATTCTATTTGAAAAAAAGACTGAGCAAATAGACAATCAAAAAGACATACACACATACGAGAAAAATAAAACTGGAAGAAAACAGAGCAAAAAATGAATAATGACTATGGTAAAGTGCTGGAATTGTGGATTTTTTAAATTCTTCTCTATTTACCTAAAAATTTTAAGGTAATAAGAAAATACTTTTATAATTAAGAAACAGACTTACTAAAATAAAGTAGGGGCAGAAATGAGGAACAAAGTTTGCTAAAATAAATAAAACAGGAAAGCTTGTAGATAAGGTTTTATGGAAGTAAATATACGTAGCTCCCAGCTTAGTGTGTGTGAGCTGATGGAGAAACACGACTACAGAGCTCTTATGGAAAGCATTTAACCATTTGTCACCCTTGCAGTCTACTTCAAGAGTGACTAAAAGGAAGAACAACATGAGGAAGACTTCAAATGTGTTGAGGATTTGAGAAGAGGGGCTAGAAGTCCAGGCATGTTAGAGGTTTGGGGGCTGTAGAGAGATACTGTAGAAGTTACTAAATTGGGGGTTTTATGGGAAGTGCTTCAAGCATGACATTGTGAGGCTATGATACTGTTTATTTTTAGAAGTCCTGTTGAGAGGAGTATCTTTCACCTCTCACTAAATTAGCTATGCTCCTTGGAACCATGGACATCTTTCTGCTGTAGCAGCAATAGGATCAAAGCACGTGTTTAGAAAGAGAAGTGAAAAACACCAGATGTGAGCAAAACCACAAGGGGAATTTCAGACAGGCAGCATGCACCAGATGACCCAATTTGGAACGTGGCCCAGGCCCCAGGACAGGCAGACCCTGTAAGGATCAGGCTGGACAGTCAGAGGTTATTGATCCCGATTTAAGCCAAATGTTGCTAAAACTTGATCTGTGACCTTGCTTAAGCCATTGACCTCCTCTAAACCACTTTCACCATCTGTAAAATGCAAGGACTGTGAATTTCCTCTCAGGAATAGCTAATGGAAACCATGCTAAAAAGTAGAGATAAGAATGAAGCACGATCTTGCGATCTTGAACAATGGTGGTAAATTGTATTTGATTATATAAATACCACAACATACACACACTTACAGTGTATAGATGCGCACACTTTATGAGAAGAATGTGTATAAAAAACATAGAATTGGCCGGGCGCGATGGCTCATGCCTGTAATCCCAGCACTTTGGGAGGCCGAGGCAGGTGGATATCTTGAGGTTAGGAGTTCCAGATGAGCCTGGCCAACATGGTGAAACCCCGTCTCTCCTGAAAACACAAAAATTACTGGGGCATCCACCTGTAATTCCAGCTACTTGGGAAACTGAGGCACAAGAATCACTTGAACCCAGGAGGCGGAGGTTGCAGTGAGCTGAGATTGCACCACTGCACTCCAGCCTGGGCAACAGAGCAAAACTCCATCTCGAAAAAACAAAACAAAAAAACCCCATGGATTAAAGATTGTGTTCCATCAATTCACAGAGTAAATAATCTATGTGTTGACAATTGAAGGGGTAGAAAAAATATTTTTTCTCTTACACATAGCTCTTTAAGATTCCTAGGGCCAGATTCAGCATACTGTCTAGCACAGTTAGTGACAAATGAATGCTAGTATAGAATAGAGATTATGCTTCAAATTTCAACTGTCTTCACCACTTAGTTGCTATGTGGCTTTGGGTAAGGCACTCCATCATTTTGTGCCTTGGTTTCCTAATCTGTTAAATGGGAAAAATACTAGTATCTACCTCATAGACTTGTGAAGATTACATAAAGTGATATATCTAAAGAGCTTAGATGAGTGCTGGGTGGATAATGTTAGTTATTACTATCTTCTAAAGTCTTCTATGTGGACTTCAAAGCTCTCTGCATTTCTTTATTTCATCTCTGTTTTCTCATTTAAATGTTTCCCACATTCTTGCTCCATTCAAGAATATTTCTTGTTTGTCTTATTCATCTATGTAGGATATTGCTCCCTGTAGACTTTAAACCAGCTTACTCATTCCCCCTCAAAGCCATTACTGTTTTCCTATTTACGTCAATTTTGAGTCAGTCTCTAAGTTGACCCTACAACCAGAAATCTATGAAGCGTCACTCAATCCTCTGTTCTCCCACTCCTGGGCTTCTTATATAACAGGATGTCCTCTTAACCACAGGGGATGTTTCACTAAAATTAAAATGTATATCTTTATTTTCTTTAATAGAAGAAGTAATCAGTTATGGCATCACAGTATATAACAGAAAATCAGCTTGGGATCACTGAGCATGGCTGTCTTTAAGAGGATGGGGCAGTGAAAGGAGTCCTGGGTGCAGTGAAAATGCCTTCTACCCTTTGGAGAGATGTTGACATTGGAGAGAAAGAGGGATGCAGTACTGGGTCCAGGAAGGGAAGATGTTGGAATTCATCCTAGGTCTCATGTACCAAGGAAGTGACTCTGTATGAGAACAGAGGGGAAAATCAACAACTGATCAGTGATAACTATGGTATTTTGGCCTTAGGGCTATTAGGGGATGATGAGGGCAAAACTGAGAGGAATGTTAGGGAATCACTTTCTCTAAAGTATCAATATAAATTGACTCTACTTTTGGCACTCACGGAAACAGCAGAAAGAGGACATCACAACCCCTACCTGGACAACTTCTGATCCAGTTTCACCAACAACAGCGTCACTCCTTTCGAAGAGCACTCTTGTCTTCCACTGTTACCTTGTATGATTATGTGATTGTTATCGTCCTTATCATTATCACTCTCAAATCACTTGAATTTCTTGCATCCCTCCACTATGTTATCTTCTAAAATAATTTTACTATAAGATGATTTAATCCCATGGAAATTTTTGAGCCCCTATTATGAAGGCTAAATCCTAGGGAATACAAAGATGAGTAAAAGAGTCATTGCTCTTAAGGAGCTCATATCACAAGATTTAGGCAGATTGAAATTGCTAACCAACATTTAACCCAGGTCCAGGTGCTCCTAGTTATCTTCCCTATTGGTTTGTCTTGTCCTGTTCATTTATTTAACACATATTTATTTATTTCTTTATTTGAGACGGAGTCTCGCTCTGTCGCCCAGGCTGGAGTGCAGTGGCGCGATCTCGGCTCACTGCAAGCTTCGCCTCCCCTGGGTTCACGCCATTCTCCTGCCTCAGCCTCCCCAGTAGCTGGGACTACAGGCACCCGCCACCATGCCCAACTAATTTTTTTGTATTTTTAGTAGAGATGGGGTTTCACCGCGTTAGCCAAGATGGTCTCAATCTCCTGACCTCGTGTGAAAGTGCTGGGACTATAGGCGTGAGCCACTGCGCCCGGCCTTAACACATATTTATTGAGCACCTACTATGTGCTAGGCACTGGGCTAGCCTAAGGATGCAATAGCAACTAAAATAAGCATCATATTTACTTTTAGAGAATATAACTGCAATGTGAAGAATTAGGCTCAATGATATACCTGGTTGACTACAGAAGAAATATTAAGTATTCCTGACTCTCCTCCACAGAGTGGGGTGCACTCCAGTGCACTCCTCTTCCAACCATTACGTAGTGAAGTTATAGCTGAGACATATTTAGTTCTTATGTGAGTCCAACTTGAGAGGCACCTGACAATAAGAGGACAAATCTCCACTGTAATGCTGAATAGCTGGTAGTCTCATGTCCAGTATTCCTGTGCAAACACCCTTGCAGGAACCAAGTACCCTTCATATTATGCCCTGATTCTATATGGGTTAGACATATACATCAAATAATTTTGGTTTGTCAATAAACAATCTAAATAATAGAAGGTAAAGTCAATTATATAAAGTTTCCAAAGAAGGATAGGGGAAGAGTTTCCAAGAAAAGTTTTTTCTTATTGGAAGAAGCATATCAGATGAAGGCAAGCATTACTTTATGTATATATGTATGTTTGTATGTATTTTAAGGCAGGGTCTGGCACTGTCACTCAGGCCAGAGTGCAGTGGCATGGATCTTGGCTCACTGCAACCTCAGTCTGCTGGGCTCAAGTGATGCTCCCACCTCAGCCTCCCAAGTAGCTGGGACTACAAGCATGCACCACCACATCCAGCTAATTTCTGTATTTTTTTGTAGAGATGGGGGTCTTACCATGTTGCCCAGGATGGTCTCGAACTCTTGGCTCAACTGATCCTCCTGCCTCGGCCTCACATAGTTCTGGGATTACAGATGTGAGCCACCACACCTGGTGGCTCACTAATTTTCACTAATGGCAATAAAACCACTACTTACAATATCAGAGTGTACAACTAATGTATTAGCTGACTAAATAAGGGATGTAGTAAATTTAGTCAGGGCTTCTGCCTATATAGAGTAAGACCCCAAGGCATGGAAGAATGACTCACTGTAATAAACTAAGCCAACTAAATATTGATGAATAGTGCTCACATAACAGCATAATATTAGAACAGAAAAGAAAATTATAGATTGTACTGGATAACTCATTCAAGCATAAAATTTGGAATCTGATGGTCCTAGGTTCAAATTCCAACTCAGCTTCCTCTTTGCCACCTCTGTGGCCTTGGGCAACTTGAGTATTTTTAAATTTGAATACTACAGATCTATATTCCTAGCTAGTAGAGTTCTTTCTCTTATGGATTAAATAAAGTAATACAATTGAAGTCACATGGTGCACAGTGAGCACTTCATAAATACTCTAGTCTTCTTTTCATTGTACAGAAAAGGAACAAAAGCCTGGAGGACTGATCTAACTTTCCTGAAGGCCCACAGTTAACCAATGTCAGATCCAGATGAAAGCCCCTGGCTTCCTGACTCCTGGTCCAGCTGGCTGTCTATGATTTCCAAAACAGGGCTGTGCCAAAGACAACTGAAAATACATTTACCTCTGTTTTTTTAAAGCTGAAGAGAATGAAGTAAAAAGAGAGGAGGAGGCTGATGTGGGGTGAGAGGTATAAGAAGCAGATTTACTTTCCTGGTTTTGCATTACCTTCCTGAGTTTACACTGCCTGAGCACACACCCACTAACGGTGGGGGGAAGTGGCAGAGCGTAGCCAACATGGGATTAAAAATTGTGTTACATCAACCCACAAAGTAAATAATCTACCTGCCCACAGTTGAAGAGGGTGTAACAGGGTATTGTGTTTTTTCTCACACATAGTTCTTTGGGTCTGCTAGGGTCATTCCAGATCTAATTTTCCAGAAGATCCTATATACGCCTTTCCATTGGAGTTTTGAGCTTGCTAATGTGTGGATTTGGCAGACAAATGCAAATTAAAGAAGATATATATGAAAAATCACTTGTAGCCTAAACATGATTTCTGTGTGGGACTGGTGCTCCACATGGATAAAAAAGCCATGGGCCAGAGACAGGATGCTTGACTGCTTCCCTGCACTGCTGTTAACACTCGGGGGGACCCAAGAAAGGAGATTAACTTCTCTGGGCATCTATTTTGTCACCTATAAAATACCATCAAGTAGTCATTTGCTATACATTGAATGCAAGACGTTTGTCACATTTTATTTTTCTGTATCCTTTTAAGAGCTTCATGGGGCAGATTGTACTCCCACATTACAAGTAAAGAAATAAGGGCTTAGAGATATTGTGACTTGTCCAACGTCATTTAGCTGGTAAGTGGTAGAATCTGACAGAACCTGGATTTGAACCCAGAATCTGCTTTCAACCTCCAAGCTACACTACTTAATATTGTGAGGGAGGGAAAGGATGTTAACCTTCAAAGTACTTTACATCAGTTTAAACAAATGTTCAATACAATCATTTATTAGGGGTATAATTCCTAGGAGGTGCCTGTACTTAAGTCATTTTCAGCTCATTGACTTTCTCATTCATTGCCTCTCATCTGACCTGTGAGCCTCAAACCACAGTTATCCTATTTCATTTCCTTTGTTTTTGGTGTCAGTACTCCTCCCACATTGGCTGATTTCAGGGGGAGCCGGCACCACTTCTCTTCAAGTAGGGGAGTGTAAGTGTAGGAAGCCACTCATACACACACACATAAATATGCGCGTGCACGCACACACACACACACACATTCATATTAGTTTGTGATACACATACGTGGTTTCAGAAATTGACAATTTAAGAATATGTCATTATTATGACAGTGCATATATCATGTATAAATAATTCCCCAGAATTGGGGTTGGGTGAAAAAAACGCTGTGATAAGGTGATAGAAAGTGAAGAGACATGTACTAAGGAGAATACTAAGAGACTTAGAACCTTCTGGCTTCAGCCCCCACCTTGAATTTTAAAAGAAGTTCATGAATTTTTTCCTGCTCATTCGGTCTCCTGAAAGATCCTTACCCTTGGTAGGAAATGAGCTTGATACAACCCAGTGTTGTATCAACTGATACTGAGCTTTCACTCTGTTATCTGTATCTGCATTCCAGGTAGTGGTGGTCATCAGACTGTAAACTTTGGAGGCTCAGGGTCACATCTGTGGAATTCTCTCTTCTGTGGTCCGGCATGGCATACAATTAGCAAATTGGTGATGACAACGTTTTTCATTCCTTCTATTGCTTTTTATTTGGTTTGTTCAGGAGACAGACACAAAATATTTTGAGACTCATTTAATTATAGCCCACAACTGTCATGGCATTCAACAAGTGCAGTTATTCGTTAAATATGTACTTGTTGAACATCATGGTACTATTATTGAACATCACAATAATATTTCATTTTTTGCATTAACCCTTAATGGTTACAAAGTGCATCTATAATTAGTGTCACACCTAGGCTTCCTAAGAATCCTTTGAGAAGGGAGAAAGGGATAAAAGCATTACCTACCTTATGAGGATTTGTGAGAATCATACAATAAAAGACAAAAGTGCTTAGCACTGGAAGCTGATGCAGCGTAAACAATCATGAAATGTTACTACTAGCACAGTTATTAGCCCATATTACTGATGATATACCTCACTTCCTCAAGTTTGCACAGTGAAGTAGTAGAATTCAGCTAAGAATCTGTTTCCAGACCCCAAATCTGTCTTAGGAAACTATCAGTTGAGATCGCAATTATGGAAGGCAAAAAAACAGAGCCTTAAAGGGAGAGCAAACATGACAGGTTTTATGGTGGGTGAGTAGGCAGAAGTGTTTAGGGACCTTATGTGCATTGTCAAGTGCTCAGGGGAGAGGGTGAGGCCCAGGCTATGTACCACAGGCAGCTGTACAATTCATTTTTGGTTCCTCAAATGTTCTATCTTCCCTCAGCACCTTCACATAGAATGTGTTCCTTCTCCCCTGTCTTATTCTCTGTCTTCACCTCTCTTCCCAACACTTCACCCAACATTCACGCTTCCAGGCTCAACCCAAACATCTCTTCTTCCAGGATGCTCTCCCTGAGCCCCTGTCTGCACCTACTGACAGGCACTCACAGTACTCTGCATGCCTCCTTTAGAGAATAGTTGTCCAATATTTGTCTTCCCAGCTAGGAGGTAAGCACTGAGAAGTCTGCAACTTTCCCTTGCTTGCCGGCTGATGTCTCCCCAGCAGCAGTGTCCAGCACGTTTGTCAAGTGCGGAGCAGCTGCTGGCCACCTTAAAGATGGAAAGGAACGAGACTGAAAAAAGGGTGGGAAGTCATGAAAACAAATTTAAAATGCTTTACTATTTTGCCCTAGAACCACTCGGGGTGGTGCTATTGGGAAGAGCTAGGCAGTGAGAAAACATAAAGGAGGCAACGGAAAGGAGCGAGAAAAAAGACACAAGAAAGGCATGGAGAAGTCACTTGATGCAAAGAGTAGCAGACATAGGTGCTCATCCTGAAGAAGGCTGGGCCATGGATGCCAAGCCTTCCGCAGACATATGAAAGGTTGCTGAGAATTAGCCGTTTCTCTTTCTTTCAAACTTCCCCTTGTTTATGTCTGCCGTCTTTTGTCAGAAAGAGATGCAGGGGCCCTGCTCTCTCCAGAAGACTAACCCCTGCAGCAGTCCATGGAATCCAGGGCTAAGTCTGCTGAGGGGAGAGGGAGGGAGGGAAGAGTTTCCACCAGGATGACATATTTCTGACTCTGCCCTCTGACAACAAAGGGTGCCGGTGGTGGGACTTTTGGCAGGAAGCACCCACCTTTGGGGGAGTCAGAATCATGTTGCGGGGTGACAGTGACTGAGGCGGACCCTGGAGCCCTGGCCGTCTTCCCTGCGCGGCCCTAGGCAGCGGTGCCTGGATGATCTCCTGGGCGCCTCCTCCGAGGTTCAGGCAGGGCTGAGGGAGGATGCGATGCCCGAGCTCCGGCAGGGCCCATTTTGTTTATGTTCCCACTCCTTCGCCCTGGGAAGCCCCGAGTTCCCACACTCACTGAGGCAGGAAGGTCACCACGGACACCTCATCTGTCTGGGCCGTTGACTAACTACAGATAAGCAGCAGCTGCCACATCCATGTTGGGGTCACCTCCCAGTCTGCCCACCCTGGAACCAGGGGAGAAGCCCCCATCCCCGCCCACTTGCACATGATGCCTCCCCAGCAAGGTCAGCTGCTCCTGAGGCCAGGATGGCGACATGGGGCCACAGAAAAACTTGCTTTTGCGGGAGAAGCAAGACATGACTAAGGGATTGAAAGGTCTTAGACATGACTACCCGAGAGCCCAGGCTTATATTTCCACCTTACCTTTTTTTTTTTTTTAGATGGAGTTTCTCTCTGTCGCCCAGGCTGGAGTGCAGTGGTGCGAACTCTGCTCACTGCAACCTCCGCCTCCCGGGTTCAAGCAATTCTCCTGACTCAGCCTCCCGAGTAGGGATTACAGGCACGCACCCCCACGCCCGGCTAATTTTTGTATTTTTAGTGGAAATTGGGTTTTACCATGTTGGCCTGGCTGATCTGGAACTCCTGACCTCAAGTGATTCGCCCGCCTCGGCTTCCCAAAGTGCTGGGATTAAAGGTGTGAACCAGGGCACCCAGCCTACCTTACATTTGCTGAGCACTTTAGAGTTTCACAGCGCTCTACTGCCTGCATCTTTTCACATGACTCTGACCACCACCCGTGAAGATCGCAGAGCAGGTGTTTTTGTGTCCATTTTGCAGATGAGTAAACAGCCCCAGGATGTTCGAGACGCTTGCCAAATTCACACAGATAGTTAGTGGTAAAAGTCATGTTCACGGGGGCTTTGTGCTACCCCATGCAAACACACCACACCAGCTGAACAATCCCAATTTTTATCCCTAAAAGAGGACTCTTTCTCCCAGGTTTAACCTGTTTTCCACCCAAGCCTGCCGTGTAGTGAGAAACATAGCAGTTTTGGAGTTTGAATCTGATTCCTCTTCTTGTTAACCAAATGATTTAGCAGTTGTGTATTTGGGACTTGATTTCCCTGAATATTTGCTTCCACATGTATAAAATGCAGATAATGCTGCCTAACTTGAACGGTTGTTGTAAGGTTTAAGAATAACAAGAAACATCTATTCTCTGTTTTCCATACCCTAAGCTTGGTTCTAAGCACCTTATGTTCATTGACTTATTAAATTCTCACAACATGCCTGTGTGATTTCATGCATGCTATCATTATTTCATTGTACAGTTGAGGAACAATGGCAGAGAGGTAAAGAAACATACCCCAGGTTACACAGAGAGCAGATGGCAGAGCCAGGATTGCAACCCAGACTACAGAGCCGAGTGCTTAATCTCCAAGCTATATTGACTATGCAAATTATGTTTACTGTCCACAATCGGCACTCAATCAACAGCTATTACTAAGAATTGGGGAAGGGTTTGTTTGAATTACAAGAAAAATGATCAGCTAACTACCTGAACTAATTAGATGAATCAATAGTCCTGTCTACTCAAAAATATTTTCTATGTAGTATTCTGGTTTCTAATTTCTTCCCACTAGATTCATAGCTTTAGAGCACGAAGTCACCCAAGGGACTTTTGGCAATGTCTAGAGACATTTTTGGTTGTCACAAATGTGGGGTGCTACTGGCATCTAATGGGTTAGGCCAGGGATACTGCTAAACATCCTACACAGAAGAGTTCCTCAAAAAAGAATTATCTGGCCCGAAATGTCAATATGCTGAAGTTTAGAAACTACTTTAAAATTGAGTATTTAGAGTTGAGTCATGATTACTTAAGTTTTGAAGTGCCCTGCTGGATCCAAATTTGACACATATACTAATTTGTTTATTCAAATTGGACACATATACCAGTAAAGTAATGCCCTGTTTAATATCTAGTGATACATTAACATGGTTCCTTATATGTGATCATTTGTCATTACTTATTGTTGCTGCTGCTATTGTTACCAAGCAAAGCAGATGTGTGCCCTAGAAATGGCCAGGCTGATTTGGGGTTTGTGGTAGAGTTAGAAAATTGAAGCTGTTTTTCTGTTAAATTACGTTACCAACCTCCAAATTGCTGGCATTTCTTCCAATATATTGAAGTAGGTCATAAATAAACTCACAGCAATGCCATTTCCTTTCAGCATACAACTCTATGAATCCCTGGTATCTTTCAGTGCAGTCAGCTCTTGTTTTGTGTGTTATGTACACACCAAACAGATTTTTAAAGTTTAATTTTGTTGGCCCCTTTTGAAAACTCCTGTAGCTAATGACATTTTCAAAATGATAAAAGTTTTATTTTGTCAAACAGAACTTTGACCAACAGAACACCCTTGGTACCCGATGCACGTGTGGCGCATCTGTGATGCCTGGCAGCATACTGAACTTTCTTACTTTGTTGGAAAACACTGCGTGTCACATCATCAACACTGATTTTCATATCATCATGCATTAGCTTCAAAGACTGTGTTTATAATCCTCAAAGGAGTTGTATCAGTCAGTTTTAGCCAGGTTGTGATACAGTAATGGATAATCCCCATATCCTAATAACAAAATAGATTTGTATTTGTTCATGTTACATGTACACCGTAAATTGGCCACTGATTACTTCATGTCTTTTGCATTCTTAATCTAGACTGAAGGAGCTGGCCCTATTTGGGATATGGTAGCATCATAGCAAGGGAAATGAGAAAGATGAAACCACATGATGGGTCTTAATAGTTTCTGCTCAGCATATATGACATATGTTTGCCTTCTATTGGTCAATGCAAGTCCATGGCCAAATTCCTTCCATAGGCCCCATAGGCAGGGGCAGCAAATATTTTAAACAATAAGATAATCTGCTATAAGAGTCTGTTTTTGCCACCAAAGTCACAAACTTCTAAAGAGCCAGGGACTCAGCCTTGAATCATTGCTTTCTAAAGATGTTTTTATCAAGAAATGGGGAGAGAATGTAAAATGAAAAAGTTGAAGAAGTAAAATTATCAGATTCTAATGGTTAATTTGACAAGGAGCAGAGTTGGGTGGCAATGCCAAGGAAAAGACAGAAATGAAAAATAATTTCTAAGATTCCAGACTGATAAATGATAGTGTCAACAAGTGAGGTAGAGAAGAGAGAAGAAAAAGAGGTTTAGAAGGAGACAAAACAAGTTTCATTTTTGATGCAATGAATATAAGGTGTCTTTGGAACATCCGTGTAGAAATATGCAGTGGACAGCTGGATATACGAGTGTGGCTCCTGAGAGAGTACTAAGCTGGAAACAAAGCTCTGAGATGCAAGACCATGTAAATAATAATAATCACTATTAGGGTTGCATTTATTGACTATTTGCTATGTGTCAGGCACTATGCTAAGAATTTTCATACAATTTGCGTATGTTGTATTATTTAATTTTCATGTAACCATCTAAGCTGGGTATATATATATATATATATATAGTCGATGTTATTTATACTCATTTGGCTGATGAGTTTAAAAGAGGGAAGCTTAGGGCCGGGCGCGGTGGCCCACATCTGTAATCCCAGCACTCTGGGAGGCCGAGTCCGGCGGATCATGAGGTCAGGAGATTGAGACCAACCTGGCTAACACGGTGAAACCCTGTCTCTACTAAAAATACAAAAAGTAGCCGGGCGTGGTGGCGGGCACCTGTAGTCCCAGCTACTCGGGAGGCTGAGTCAGGAGAATGGCATGAACTTGGGAGGCGGATGTTGCAGTGAGCCAAGATTGCGCCACTGCACTCCAGCCTGGGTGACAGAGCGAGACTCCATCTCGAAAAAAAAAAAAAAAAAAGAGGGAAGCCTAAAAGTTGATATAATTTAGCCTAGGTCTCACAGCTAGGAAGTTGCAAAAAAGATGCAAGTGTTTAATCTGTGTAACTGACATTTTAGCCAGGTACAGTCTCAGTTGGAACCATGACGGCAAATGAGAACATCCAGAAACCAAAGATAGAAAGAAAAGAGAAGAGCAGTGGGCCAAGGGCAGGACCCTAAGGAATATGAACACTTAAGGAGCAGGAAGAAAAAGAGCCCTTGGAGAAGACAGAGAAGGAACAGCTAGAGGGAGACTTGAAGAGCACAGTCTCAGAAGCCAAGTGTGCAGAGAGTGACAACGAAAGGGAGGGTCTAACAAAGTCAGGGATAACAGAGTAGCTGAAGAGCAGACCTTGGAAATGTTCCTTGGTGTTGAGAGTTAGGTCTGCTCCCTGACAGCATCTCTAATCTCAGGGAAGCATCTGTAACCAGCCTATTCCCCACCCACAACTCAGGAATAATAATAATAAAAAAACACAGGTGGCTAGTCACACACTGACTTTGGAAACATCAACCTGTTGCTGGTTCACTCTCTGAACTTTGTTTCTCAAGACTGCCTTGAATTTTTTACCTGTCTGGATAGATCTTTGTTTCTGGGTCTTAGTGACCTGGCTTTCAGTCTCTACCTATGTACACTTCTCTGAGGTTCTGGACTGTTCTCTCAGCTTAGGAAACCCAGCCTTACACCACATCCTTATTTTTGGTTACTACCCACTCCCACCTACAGTCAGTGAGGTTGGGCACTGACCCTCAATCCACAGGGCTGTATCTCCAGCTGATTCTCTGAAACTCAGCCTCCATACGGGAAATGAGTTGTGGTCTCAGCTGGTGGTTGCTGTATCTGTTCTGTAGATGTAGCAAATGTCTGACAACAGGGCTGCTGCCTTCGAGATCACAGGTTGCTGGTCAGATTTGCCAAGTCTTGCACTGCCTGTTGCCAGAGCAAGCTGTCTGTCTTCAGGTGGGCCTTCCCAGTTGCCATGTTATTTTTTGTCACAGCTCCAGTAGCTTATGGAGATAGAAGGCTTATATTTGGGGAAGAGGATACTTATGTAAATGGGACTTCTCATGTCTTCTGGATAGTGGCCTGGCTATAGTCTGGAAGCCCACACTGTGTGGACACCACTGGGACTTTCTCATAGCCCTGATTGATTGGCAAGAGTCCTTGAAATCTGTAGAGTAGGCAACTACAGCATCAGAGTGGGTAAGTATCCAGACCTGCCTCACTCTCAGAGATTTGAACCGAATGAGCCAGTATTATGAAGAAAAGCAAAAAGCATCTCCTCGAAAGTCCTGCAAGAAGAGTCCCCTCTGATGTGAGGGCACCAGAAACCTGTAGCATCTCTATTATTTTTGTTTAGTTGGAGGCTGCACCCACCCATCAGCCTTCCCTGACCATATCCCTCAGTGAGGGTTACCAGACTTAGAAGATGAAAATACAGGATGCCCAGTTAAATTTGAACTTCAGATAACAAATACATATTTGGTATAAGTATATGCCACACAATATTTGGGATAGATTTATATTAAGACATTATTCAACATTTATTTGAAATTCAAATTTAATTGGTGTTCTGAATTTTATCTGGCCTCCCTGTGGCCACCACAACACCCATAACTTGAGACTTGGTAGGAATTCATAGGCCTTGAAATCCACTGGGGCCCTATCTCTCCCAAGAAGGCAGTGGAGAACTTTGTGAGGAAGAAAAGCAGATGACTGGGCCTCTGCTAGGATTACTGGGATCCTAATACTGTCTGGTTCCCTCTCCTGGGCCAGCTCAGAAGGACCATAAAATTAGATCTTCTGAGTGCCTAGCACCTTGTCTGCCTTCCATCGTTGCATTTGGATGACAGAGAGTTTGCAGAGAACACAATGCCTCTTGACCTATGGCAGCAGCATGATCAGTATCCTGCAGGACTTTCAAGGGGATGCTTTTTGCTCTTCTTGGAAAATGTCCTAATATATCCTGAAACATCCACATGCAACCTGACTAGCTATGCTTCATACAATACTCTAGCCCCAACAGTTCTGAGTTACCTGAAACATCAGCACCTTCAAAACAGCACAGAAATGTGTGACATTTCTGAACCAAGTTCAGTGTAGCCAGTTATCTGTGATTCTGGAGTGAGAGACACCCTGGTCACTGAGGTTACCTAGACATTTTCAAGAGATGTCTAACACCATTTTGTCTTTTTCTGTGCAACTGCCCTAGTAATGACCTCCTAAAATAGAGAAGGAAGTTTCCTGATGTGCTGAGGTTGACACTATGTTTGGCAAGTCAAGACTCGCTGCACCTCTGCTCCAGTACAGCACAAGCAAGCACTGACGATGTGCCAGGCACTGCTGAAAGGGCTTGCCTATATTAACTAATTTAATACTCATGATAACCCTATGAGCTATATGCTATTATTATTGCTGTTTTGCGGATGAGGAAACTGAAACATGGAGTGATAAAGTAACTCCTATAAAGCCATACAGGTAAAAAATTTACTAAGAATAGAAATGAATGCAAGCAACTCAGCTCCACAGTGTGTCCTCTGCACCTGCATGCCAGCTCTACACAGCTGGAACCTAGCTTCATTCAGCATCACACTGTTGAGACTGGTGCTGCCAACACTGTGGAGTGGGCCACCCTGACCCAGGAGAAGCTTTATGCCACACTTCATTATCCCTGCGTGGAAAGGGGAAGGGCCTGTGGTCAAGCATGTTTTCAAGCCCTAGAGGGTCCAATGTGTGATAGGGACTTCAGTCTGCCATAGCCTGAAAGCTCAGCTCATGCTATGCAAGGCAGCTCACCTTATCTGTGCTTGGGTGCTCCATCAGCTGTGTGCCCAGCACTCAGAATCACAGACCAGATTCTCTATCCTGAAAGCCTGAGTACAAGAGGTAACAGAGAGACTCGCTCTGGAAGACTATGGCTTGAGTATTTCACAATCATTCTGCTCAAATGATGTATTTTAGACATTTATGCATGGTCTTAATCCTGATACAGGGCCTCTTGGGGCAATTTGGATTGATGTTAAATGCCACGAAGCTCTTCATAGGAGCAAGGCAGTGCTCATCCCTGCTAGGAAGGCCAGAATGCAGCCTCAGCACAGCCACTGGCCCTCCCTGAGGTGATATGGTCTGGTACACTACCACAAAAGCACCTGGACCCAAAGCAAAGATACCTCAGGGTTCCTCTAGAGCCGCGGTGACTCCTTCTGATCCACACTCGCATCTGAAACTCCAGTTTTGGGACTTCTATTTGTTGTCTGCCCGCTTCCTGGATTGATTGATTGATTGATTGTTATAGAGACAGGGTCTTGCTATGTTGCCCAGGCTGAACTCAAACTCATGGGCTCGGGTTATCCTCCCACCTCAGCCTCCCAAGTCATTGGGAGGTCTGCCCCTCTTGACCTCTTCCCTGACTCTGCCCTCTTCCCTCCCTGCATTGCTCCTCCACCCATTCCAGTCATTTATACCCTGATAGGTAAAAGAGGGCTTCTACTTTCATGGTCTCTCAAAGCACTGCTTTCCAACCACAGCCCTCAGCTGTGCCTCAGTTTGGGCCTATCAGGTCTACATCCACATACCCACCACCCCTAGACAGGTGACAAAAGTAGTGCTTAAGAAACAAATGTGCTTTTTTGCCTCCCCCACACAACTGACTGCTCTGGCTAATATCACTGCTACACACTTTGCTTTCACTAATTATTATTGCCTGCCCTCCAGAACTGCTTTTTTGCATACAAAGGTTTTTGTCCTTAGTGTTTTTTTTACACCTCTTCTTGGTATTATTATTATTGTTTTTTATTTTTTTATTTTTCGAGACGGAGTCTCGCACTTTGGCCCAGGCTGGAGTGCAGTGGCGCGATCTCTTGACTCACTGCAAGCTCCGCCTCCCGGGTTCACGCCATTCTCCTGCCTCAGCCTCCCGAGTAGCTGGGACTACAGGCGCCCGCCACCATGGCTGGCTAATTTTTTGTATTTTTAGTAGAGACGGGGTTTCACTGTGTTCGCCAGGATGGTCTCGATCTCCTGACCTCATGATCCGCCCGCCTCGGCCTCCCAAAGTGCTGGGATTACAGGCGTGAGCCACCGTGCCTGGCCCTCTTCTTGGTATTATTGATATTCCTGCAGCTAGACAGTACCCGGGAAGGAATGCACCAACTAGAAGGAGCTTTAATGAGCCTACTGTGTTATGGCTGGCATCAGCCTTCAGAGAGGTTTGAGCATAGGATGCCATCTAATTCCCCGCCAGCCCATTCATTCTATCCAACTAATGGGAAAACTAGAGGATTGCTGATAATAATAGCATCAGCAAAAATAGTTACCATTTATCAAGCATTTACTATGGGCCAAGTACTACGCTAAATGCTCTGCATATATTTTCTCACTTAATTCTCAAAAAATGCAATGAGGAGAATGCTATTTTATCTCTAGCTCACAGCTGAGAAAACTGACCTGCCAAAAAAGCCGCATAATGAATAAGTGATAGAGCAAAATTTTGAACGCAAGTTAATTTAAAGCCTGGGCATTCAGCCACTCTGCTGCCATTATCATACATCATCTGACTTCCTTCATGTCCCATCTCCCAACTTCTGTTTTTTATTTTCTCTTTTCCTGATTCTCCAGTTACCCACCCTAGCAGTGGAGGTGATATATATGAACTGCATGCCAAAGTGGGTGTAGACTCATAATGACAACATAATGACACCAACTGGACCATGGGAAATGGTGAAGGCAAGAGTAGTTATTTCAACTTGGCCCTTTGAAACAGAGACCCTGCCGCAAGTTATGAGGGGTTTAAGTATTTTCCTGTTTCATTTGCCCTTAGATCCCAAACACCTAGAACTGTGCCTAGCTCATAGTAGGAGCCCAAGAAATACCAGCATGGAAACCTGGAAAGCTGGGGTAAATCTGATGAAGAGCACAGGAGCCTTAGTAAATCCGGGTGATCTGAAACTGGCTCTTAGTTGAGCCAGATGATAGGATCTTAATGACAATTGTGCACCACTTCTCATTTCTTGCGACTCTTTGCAGGTTTGCTTCTTGCTGTCTTATTCCAACTAAAAAATTCTGTTTACTTTTCATGTATTTTCTCTACCTCAGAATTGTTGCTTATTCATAAATTCTGCCTTCTTATCACATGGTTCTGCTTCCTCATAGTTTTGGTTTGCTATAATCCTCCATGGCTCCACTCCATTGTATGCCATCCTTTCAGCTTCAGCTCCCATGGCTAACTGCTTCTTTCTATCCATGTTTCCCAATTCAAATCCCAGAAGGAGAGAATCTGATTGATCAAACTTACCTTTTCCACTCAAGCCCTGGTTTTTGGGAAGGCAGCCCCTAATGTCAAGGGCCAATCACTGGTCCAATCAGGAGCCATCCCTGGGCAAAGAACAACCTACCTCTGCTTCTCAAAGCAGGGGGCTCTGGGTGGGGCACTTTCATCTCAAAGAGGAAGTTGGGTGTGGCAGGCACTGTGTTGACATATCTCATTTCTGAAAGAGATAGCATTGTAGATCTGGACGTTTCATCACATATTCCCAGGAAAGCCCAGCCAAATGCAGCTGGTAAGTTGCTGAATGTGGAATTCCTCTTGGCCTTCCAACTCCTTGCACTCTTCCTTCTGGGACTACTTTGGTTTTTCAGTTTATTACCTGTTTGGAGTTGGCTTGTTTCTGGACTCTCTCTTCTGCTCAGGTGAGCAGACTTCTAACTGGAACGCCTGGCTCTTGGACAAGGTGAGTGTTTGGATCCAACTTTGGTTCTGCACCATTCTTTCAACTTGGATGACATTGCCTCACCTCTTGTATCCTTGTCCTCTCCCTTCTACTCAATCCACTCTGCTCTGGGTTATTATTTACCTGAGGGTGCCTTCCCTTCCCAGACCCACCAACATACTCCTGAGGGAAGAACATTCAAAAGCAGCTGGTGGCTTCAGTGAGATCAATTTTTAGAGGAATGATCGGGGCAGAAGCTAGATAGAAGCAAGTTGAGGAAGTGGAAATAGTGAGTGCAAGACACTTTTCTGAGAAGTTTAGATGAAAAGGAGGGGAAGAAAACAGCTATGTGTCAAGAGTTTGGTGTGTGTGTGTGTGTTTTATTTTTTTTGAAAGAATTTGCTTCTTATTATATAACACATGATTTTGTAAAACATTTTGAAAAAAACAAAAATTATAAACAATATGTTTACAATTGCCCATTAAACTACTACCTAAGTAATTACAATAGTTACCAATTTTTGAATACCTACTAAACAGAAGAATTATGCTAGGAACTTCATGAATTATTTTTCTATTTCTTGTGCAATACAATGTCCCAGATGGGTCAGAATTCAGACAGATATGGCTGTGATGCAGAATTAGACAATGTCTCTTCCCTTTAAGCAATGATTGGCATCCATTGATTTATAAGGGGGCTGAGAAGTTTGCTGGGGGCAAAATGGAAATATTTGCCTCAGTAGGGTCTTCAGCATTCATGGGCATGTCTGGAGACAGTTCCAGAGGTAGGCAGAGTGCTGGCAGGAATGGTGGGGCCCCTGGAGAGAGCACCGTTGGTTGAGGAAGGAGTTTGTAACGGTAAGACTGGGCTTTAGACCTGGAAGGTCGTGGTAAGTCTGACTGTCACAGGGAAGGGCCTAACCCAGCTTCCTTGCATGTGTCTTCCCAGAAGAAAACAAAGAAGGGCCTCTGAGTCATGGAAAGAGCCATGAAACTCTTTAATGCTCTAGGGCCTATCGCCCAGTAACTGGTAACTCAGTGTTATATTAAGGAAGAGAGCTTTTCTTTTCCCACTTTGAAAGAGGATGCTGACAGACATCACAGGGGCTATCATAGCCCTCAATTTCCCATAAAACCGGCACCACAGTGCCAGCTGTGATTGCAGAAAAAGGTTTTTATCCAAGTTGTGTTAAGGAAATAGTAGTTGATTTCAGTTAATTCAGTCATAACACTTTACCTTGAGCATTAATGCTGAAAAAGTCAACTCTCTTACTTCCTGTTTTTCAAAAGCATTATTGGCTAGGGTAACTGTGCAGGGCTCCACGCTGACACCGTTTGTGGACTTTTAGCTCACAGTGGTGCTGTCAGTGCCAGCATCTTGGTGTCTGGCTAACTATAACAATACACATGATGACAACACTGGCTTAAGAACACAGGTAAGATCTGTCCACCAATGACACCCAAATGTCTTTGTACAAAAACACCTACTCGATGAGGCCCTCCCTGACCACCTTATGTAAAACCGAGCAACCCCTCTGCCTTCCTACCCTCTGCCTACCCCGACTTTCTTTCCATAGCACTTATCATCATCTCATGTTTTGTCATTTTTGTTTCTTTTTCTTCTTTTTTAATCATCGTTTTTCCTGTCCCAAAAAGCAAATGCCAAGAAAGCAGTGTCCAGGTCTGTCTGTTTATTGTTGTGTCCCCAGAGCCCACATCAGTGACTCACACAGAGTGCTCAATATTTATTGAGTTAATCCATTTCATGAATTTCTCATAAATATTTGGGGAAGGATAAGAACTATGAAGATTTTTAATTAACATGATCACATTTGGATTTATGGCTCAGGAGAACCAAGGATATTTGCTTACATTTATACCACCCTTACAAGGTCCATACTCTAATATGGCCACTTTACAGGTGAGGAAACTGAGGATCAGAGTGAAAGCAACCTGCCTCAGCCCCCATAGATAATAACGATCAGAGCCAATATAAACTGGTGTAGTAAGTAAGAAGACAAAGTAGGTAGTATTGCTATAGGTAAAGCAAGAGCTAAGGAAAGCCTTAGTTGATATGGCAGAAATAGGAACAGAGAGAAAGGGACAGAAAAGGAAGAAACTGTGAAGCCTGATTAGAAATATGGAAGGCAGAATTCAATATACTCCTAGAAGCAGCCCATGAAAATAAAATGAAGAAAGAAGGATTGTTTTTCTAAGAGGAGGGTGGCTTCAATTTCTTTCAGAAAAGATTGGCTAACTGAAAACTAAGAAAGAAACAGACCAAATCCTTGTAGCTTCTAGCACATCTATGATAAAATTCTGTTAATTGGATTTCATACTTGGATTATAACTGCACAACACATGAGAGTAAAATGCCTTAAGACAAAAAGAGTAAAAATTGAGTCATAATATGGAGACGATACTATTCTGGCAATAGTATTCAAAGAATGGACCAGGGAGCAGTGCACAGCTTTGGGAAGCAGGGGTTGTCAACATTAGGACTCAGAGTTGTTAGTGATGAGGTTCCCAGGCAACATAAGAGACCCTTGAAAAAGGCTTTGGCTTAGGGAAAAAGAATTATAGGGGCCAGACGCGGAGGCTCACACCTGTAATCCCAGCACTTTAGGAGGCCGAGGTGGGTGGATCACCTAAGGTCAGGAGTCCAGGACCAGCCTGACCAATATGGTGAAACCCCGTCTCTACTAAAAAATACAAAAATTAGCTAGGCATGGTGGTGTGTGCCTGTAGTCCCAGCTACTCCGGAGGCTGAATGACTTGAACCCGGGAGGCAGAGGTTGCAGTGAGCTGAGATTGGGCGCCACTGCACTGCAGCCTGGGGCAACAGAGTGAGACTTCGTCTCAAAAAAAAAAAAGAATTATAGGACCCAAGTAAGAAGGTCTGGCTCCCTTGGCATTTCTCACCCCCTGGCCCATTAGCTGGTGTTGCAGACTCCACTGTGGTACTCCAAGGGGTTTTAGAGAAAGAACCAGGGCAGATGACCATCCAAATCAGAAGGGCCAGGTAGGATGGTCAGCCACACATGTGAGGGGCAGATAGGGAAACAGAAGATTAATGCATATGGGAAGCCCCAGGAAGCTAAATCCATCCCAGATCACACTGGATACTGGCTCTGTTGAGGCAGGTGGTGGGGGGTCAGCCTGGTGACAGCATATTTGTTCATTCAATCAATATTTACTGAATGCTCTTTATATTCTAGGCACTGTGCCAGACATTGGGCTAGGTGCTGGGAATTGAAATAATAAACTATTTCCTGATTTCTCTTCTCTCTTCTGGAGAAAGAATTGGATTAGAACAAGGTATGGTTCTCACTGGCACAGGGATTGGGCAAGGCCGTCTGCAAGAGGCAGACATCAGCTTGGGCAATGGGGTCAAGTTGGGGATGGCAGGCCCTGGCTGATACAATACTTATATTTTACCTGAAATCTGTGTTTATTTTCTATCTTGAACCTGGTATTGTTTATATTTGATAAGCAAATTTTATGTTTTAAGTAATTCCTAGACATACAGTTAGGACATTTTGCAGGGGAGGGCTTTTGATTTTTAATCCTAAAAGCATTAGTTTGTCTGTATTGCCGGGCTTGACAATCACATAAAATAAGTGTATTTCAAATCACTCAATAGGAGTGGCTGCAAATAGGGGAAAGAACATGATCTATTACTACTTTGGATTACTACTTTTTACTGGCAAACCATAAATCACAGTGGGGAAGCCACAGTGGAGTATAAGGAACTTAAATCATGGCAAGAGTGATTTAAGGTCAGTCAGTGCAGCAGATAATCTGGAGAGATGATCCCACTCATAACCCTTTAAGACATGACACTTGGTAAACTACCTAACTCATAAGGGTGTCCTGGCAGTGAACCTCCACACCTCCTGGTTGGGGTGTGTGCTCCATCTCACCCAGCTTAAGTAGGCCTGAAAGACCACCCTGTTCTCTCAGGCAAGAGTATTCCTCTTCATTACTGGAAGGGAATTAAAGACAAAGCTGGTCTAATCAATAACCGCAGGCCCTTGTCTCACTGAGAAGAATAAAAATGAATACGCAATTATTTGCCATTGTGGAATGTGTTTTCCCTAGTATCAATGCTGTATGTAATACTAAGATTTCTACAGCCTATTTAATATAGAATATATACATACACGCACATGCAAACACATACACACAGATATATATATATATATAGTTGCCTCTTGTATGGTATCCAGTCAAGTGTCTTTACTGTAACTGGAAATCAAAATTACATCAATAGAAAAAAATGCTACACCAGTAGAAAAGGTGGGGGGGGGGAATAGGAGAATGAAAAAGGGGAGGAGCAAAAATGAAAATTCACTTTTAAACAAATGTAACTTTGGCTATATGGTTACAGGTATAGGTTCTGGCTGAAAAGATTTCAATGTCTGCTTTAATGTAAATTATAAGTATTCCAGAAGACAGATAATTTTATTTTACTTTTTTTTTTTTTGAGAGGGGGTCTTGCTCTGGCCCCCAGGTTGGAGTGCAATGGTGCGATCTCGGCTCACTGCAATCTCTGCCTCCCAGGTTCAAGCAATTCTCCTGTCTCAGCCTCCCGGGTAGCTGGGACTACAGGCACCCGCCACCACGCCCGCCTAACTTTTGTATTTTTACTAGAGATGGGATTTCATCATACTGGTCAGGCTGGTCTCAAACTCCTGACCTAAGGTGATTCACCTGCCTCAGCCTCCCAAAGTGCTGGGATTATAGGTGTGACCCACTGCACCTGGGTGACAAGATAATTTTAGGAGCCACTTTAAAAAGTTTCCGGAACTGTAGTCTATTATTTCAGTCTCAGTCCCATACACCATGAAAAATTTAGGGCATTTCATTGCTACAAAGAATTTTAAAGCAGAATCAATCCATGTAATTAAATCTTAACATTTATTAAGTGCTTATTGTATATCAGGTACTTTTACTTTTCTAATCATTGTACAGTTATTAATTCATTCAAATCTTACAAAAGTCTATGAGTTATTGTTTCCATTTTACAGATGAGGAAATTGAGGCACAAATATTGCCCAAGATCTCACAGTTAGTGATTGACAGTAAGATTCACACTCAGACCATCTGACTCTGGAGGCCACACTTGTCATTCATGTTAATCTTACTTAACATGCTTCATGCTAACTACAGACTTAGTTATCTCCATATGCATCTTTCAAGTAGATGGCTTATCACAACAGCAATTAGACCTGTTTACATGTTTGGCGCTTATTTATTGAATGATTACCTACTACACACTGAAATTGGTTAAGTTTGTTTCTAAAACTGACAAGCTTTGTTTTAAAAACAATTCATCTTCTTCCGCTCTTTTTTTCACAAGAGGTAGTTGTTTGGATAGTAACCTTTTGAGAACCAAAAGAAGTGAAGGAGAGCTACTTTTGTGAGAATGAAAGGTGGAGGGTCATTCATTCAAGAACTTGTTTTTACCAGGTACCAGTTGTCAGTATGCAAAAGCAGCGAGGTATGCCAATGTAATTCATGTTCAATAAACATCATAAAATTTATTTCTATACATTAAAATCTTCCTGTGTAACAAAATGCATGTTTTATTTTTATCTGCCACTTTTCTTAAGTCAGTAGACAATTCCCTCTTCTTTCTCCCAGGCTTGATATGAGGTTAGCTTTTCACAATTGGTACTTCTGGGGGGGCAAAAAACAGGCAAAATAAGTGAATGGGAAAGCACTCAGACTTATTATTTATTAATTTGTGATATTCTAGCCTTTCAGTGACTCTTTTCATGCTATTTTTTCCAACTTCTGTGGGATGGGGAAAAAACTTATCCGGAGTGACAACATTTCTATTTTCCATTATTATTTCTTGCATAAGATATTCAAAAACAATTGTTTTGGCATCATCTCACTTCGAAGATAAAGAAAGCAATAGTAAATATCAGCCTGCATATTGGGAATTCTTCTAGAGAATATTATTTAGACTTCATGAAACAAAAGAGGAGCTAAAATTATGCTTTGTGTAAATCTCAGATAGTGGTTTTGGCTTAAAATTTGCTATCCCAGCACTTTGGGAGGCTGAGGTGGGCAGATCACGAGGTCAGGAGATCGAGCCCATCCTGGCTAACACGGTGAAATCCCGTCTCTACTAAAAGTACAAAAAAATGAGCTGGGCGTGGTGGCGGGCGCCGGTAGTCCCAGCTACTTGGGAGGCTGAGGCAGGAGAATCGCTTGAACCCAGGAGGCGGAGGTTGCAGTGAGCCGAGATCGGGCCATTGCACTCCAGCCTGGTGACAGAGTGAGACTCCGTCTCAAAAAAAAAAAAAAAAAAAAAGAACTTTCTGTTGTGTTAAAGTTAACTAGCGAGGAGACTCTTGATTCCTAAGAAATATTAACCTTATATCCCCAAATATATTTCATGTGCAGTTCAACAAATGAAAGTTAGGTGCTCTGAATAGGTTTTGGGGTTAATGAGTCTATTAGAATACAGGCTTTTTGTATAGCAGCCTCGGAGAGCTAGCCCAGCCAGGCCCAGTTTCTGCTGTTTCTCAAGCACAGGAGGCTGAGAGTAGAGAAAAGTGCTCTGTAAGAAGGCTGAGCCCCTCACTGGAGGTGGAACTACTACCCTACATGTTTTGTTTGTTTAGATGATACGCTGAGAACCAAATCTACCCTGTCAGCTTACTCTTCAAGAACAAGCCAAGCAACTGAAAACTGAGTCCACGCTCAGCTAAGTCAAAGCCCAGGGGATTACTGGCATCACCACCCACCCCACCTGGAGCATGACAATGTCTGTGAGAGAATAAGAGATGGGTGGTGTCACCACTATCTTTCTCTTTCTGTTCTCCAAATTATAATAATAACAGTCTCTTTTCCTCCTCTAAACATTTTTTATAAAGGAGGTTGAACTCAGTTGAAATATCTTGAAATTACTGTGGCTGGTTTACAAGCCACTCTGGAAAGTTATGCTCTGGCATAAATTTAGCAGCTATGTTTTACTGTAAAAAGAAACCCAGGGACATAGCTTATTAAGAAAATGTGGTCAAAGTGAGAATTTTCTTTGGTTTTATGAATAAATATAGATATTATATTACAAAATTAGATTTATATCGTTGAGCTTGATACTAGACAGTAAATATTATTTCTTAGGAAAAGGTTAATACATCATTAAATTTTAAAAGTTGAACACAAAATCTCTAACAAATTAAATTTAAATATTTCCATTTCAATATCATTGCAGACAGTTCATGGTAGTGAAGTACATTGAGAAAACTTGTTCTTTAAGAAAACAAACTTCTGGGTAAAAGATAGTAATATATCAGCAAAAAAAGATTTTTATCAAGAGGGTTGAAGGCTATAGCATCATCAAGGTAAAGATCAAATAGCATGGAGGCTAAAATAAACCTGTGCTTTTTTGAGCGGGTGGTCAATAGAAATTGGCTCTGTTGCTGGAGATCCTGAATTTTAAATTCTGGTGATCAGGCCAGTAATATGCTGATGAAGCAGAAATGTCACAGCATATTTTACCAAGTCAAAGACAGGCAACAGTTATGAGAGGGACATGGAGAACCTGGTAGAGCTCTGTGTACTATGCTGAATTAATAAATAGAGAACTAACTTAAGGTGGACAAAACTGCTGGGTGTCTCTCAGGCTTCTAATGTTTTCAAAATGTATTTGAAGACTTAAAGCCTTATAATAATAAGAAGAAGAGTAGTCCAAGTTCTGTTTATTTCCTTTTAAAAGGAGTCAACACTTGAGGAGACAATTCTGTACTCCCACAACAGGAAAAATGCATCCTTTTACCGTGTGAATAATTGAACCAGAGTCATTGCCCACTCTTCAGGAAATAGCTCATGTAAACTTTTGGCCGACCTGTGCTTCACAGTGCACTTACCTCTTGACATCCACCTCTGTAAACTTTTATTTGTATTACCAAATATTGACTGCAAACAAAAAAAAAAAAAAGGAAGAAAAAGGAACCTCCCTTATACAATTACAGAACGTTAGAGCAAAAGAGAACTGAAAGATGATCTTGTGCAGGCCACCATTTTATAGATGAAGAAACAAAAGCACAGAGTGACTTGCTAATGCTTCACCAAGCTGGCACAGCCTGGCCTAGAGCTACATTCCCCTGTGTCCCAGACCCACATGCCAGCACCAACATCATGGATCCTCTCTCTCTCTCTCTTTTGAGACAGAGTCTCACTCTGTTGCCCAGGCTGGAGTGTAGTGGTGCAATCTTGGCTTACTGCAGTCTCTGCCTCCCGGGTTCAAGAGATTCTCCCGCCTCAGCTTCTTCAGTAGCTGGGACTACAGGCATACTGCCACCATAGCCGGCTAATTTTTTTGTATTTTTAGTAGAGACGGGATTTCACCATGTTGGCCAGGCTGAAGATCCTCTCTCTTATTGCTTGATGAAAAAATGTATTAGGCACTGGGAGGATAGAAATTAAAGAGCCCCAATACTTGACATCTAGGAGCTCACAACCCAATAAGAAAAGTACACATGTAGACCACCCTCCAATATTTTACTGTACTCTGTACACTGTTGCTAGAATGATCTTTCTGAAAATACAAATTGTAATGTATCTAACCCTGTGTAAAACCGTGCAGTGGCTCCTTGTTGCCTGTAAGGTAAAGCTTTCCCCTTGTTCTCCAGCCTTCTGTCTAACTGGGTCTATGCTGATGCTCAGGATCCAGCCATAGAGAACCAATTGCTTTTCCCTAAATATAGCAGGCTTTTCCCTAAATATAGCAGGCCCTTTCATCCTGCCAGGCCTTTGTTATGCTGTTCTCTGCCTGGAATGACCTCCTCTCATTACCCTCCAGGAGGGTTATCTCTCTTGTAATAGATTTCCTTAGGTTTCTCTCCTTCCACCTCCAACCCCACAGACAGAATTAACCATTCCTTCCTTTGTTTATTTGTCCTGCCCATATTTCTCCTACAGCACCTATAGTGCTTTGTAACATTGATTTTTTTTTTTTTTTGAGACAGAGTCTTGCTCTGTTGCCCAGGCTGGAGTGCAGTGGCGTGATCTTGGCTCACTGCAAGCTCCGCCTCCTGGGTTCACGCCATTCTCCTGCCTCAGCCTCCCGAGTAGCTGGGACTACAGGCGCCCGCCACCATGCCCGGCTAATTTTTTGTATTTTTTTTTTTTTTTTTTTTTGAGACGGAGTCTCGCTGTCGCCCAGGCTGGAGTGCAGTGGCGCAATCTCGGCTCACTGCAGGCTCCACCCCCTGGGGTTCACGCCATTCTCCTGCCTCAGCCTCCGGAGTAGCTGGGACTACAGGCGCCCGCCACCTCGCCCGGCTAATTTTTTGTATTTTTAGTAGAGACAGGGTTTCACCGTGTTAGCCAGGATGGTCTCGATCTCCTGACCTCGTGATCCGCCCGCCTCGGCCTCCCAAAGTGCTGGGATTACAGGCGTGAGCCACCGCGCCCGGCCAATTTTTTGTAATTTTAGTGGAGACGGGGTTTCACCGTGTTAGCCAGGATGGTCTCGATCTCCTGACCTCGTGATCCGCCTGCCTCAGCCTCCCAAAGTGCTGGGATTACAGGCATGAGCCACCGCGCCCGGCCGATTGTTTTAAAATACATAAATGTACTTGCCATTTACACTTATGTCTTTCTCTACTAATTGAAGATAAGCTCCTTAAGAGCCATCTTTGTAAGGGCCATCTTTATCTTTGTACCCCTAGAATCTAGCTCAGTGCCTGGCTCAGAACAACTCCATTGAATGAACCATCCATACAGGCCCTTACATCATGCTATGGGAATGCAACAGAAGGAGCAGTGAACTGTGCTTAGAGGAGTTGCCTTGGAAGCTGAAGCATGTATACCAAATAGAGGAACATCAGGGCAGGGCAAGGGTTGGTTCATAGCTGGTCGCCAGAATAGAATGCTCAAAGGTACAGGGGCCTGAGAAGTGGTGGAAAGGTTGGCAGGTTTGGGAAATTTGAGGATACCTGAGAGGATGGACTGTGGGATGTGGTGGTTTGCTGTTATTATTCTTATTGTTAAACCAGAAGAAGAGGCTATGAGTTAGTCAGGGGCTGTGTGTTAAAAGGCCTGGCAATTCATGCTGAGAAAGGAGTTTTGATTATATTACAAAGAGCTAAAGAAAGAAGAGTTTTGAAGGTCAGTATTCAAGAGTAGGGATGATTGGATATGCCTGTCAGAGACAAAGGACAATGCAGTGACCAGGAGAGGTTGCTCCAGGGAGGAGTGGGACTGCATCTTAGAGTCTGGGTGGGGCATTGGTGATCTGAGGGTTCAGAGAACTGAGAATGGTCCAGGTGAAAACTGATGAGGGCCTGAGGCAAGGCAGTGGAGATGGAGAAAATGAGAATGATTGGAGAAATAAACACAGCAGTGGTGGAATGGTGACTGGCAATCAGCTGAAGATGGGGAATAAAGGGAAATGAGGAGTCAAAAATGATCCCAAGTGTTTATCTTGAATGTTTAAGCAGATGGCGTTGTCCTGATATGGAATGCAGAAAAATAACATCGAGTTGAGTTTGTGATGCTTTCGAGATACTTAAATGAAAATGTTGAGAAAGCAGTTGAAATTACATGTCTCATATTCAGGAAAGAGTTGAGGGCATGAGTCTCTCTAGGTAATAACTGATTCCATAGGACAGGATGAGAGCATCTGAGAGCATGTGAGGGCGAGAGAAGGTCTAGAATGAGGCCCTCGGTTAAGGAGGAGAGAGAGGAGAATGAGACAACAAAGAAATCCAATGTGGAGTCATGAGAGCCATAGAAAAAGAGTTTATTCACAGGGAAGAAAGAGTTTGTAGTGTTAAAAATCAAAGAAAGGATATAGATTGAAAAAAAGGTCCTGAAAGAACTGTAATATAAGGCTACAAACATACTCATTGGGGGCTGGAGGAAGTCCAACATAAGCCAGCCCCAGCGTTGAGCCAGTGAATCGGAGACAAAAGGCTCCCTCTCTTTTTTAGTCCCAGCCAGTTCATAAGCCTGAGGTTGAATTGCAACTATGATTTATGCTAAATAGCTTTATCTAATTAGGGCTGGTAAAATTGAAGTGGTTGGAATACCTCTGGCAAGAACTTGATAAAAATTTGAGAGTCTTTCACGTTAATTTTAATCTTCGTTTGCATGAAATGGGATGGTTAAGGAGAAGTAAAAGAAAAACATGAAAAGGAAGGCACAATAAGAAGCATTCATTCTTTAAAGGAAAATGGTGTACCAAAGAGTCGTCCCAGAGCTCTTCCTTCTCCTGCCTCCACATAGTCTAAGGTCTGTTTACAGGAAAAACCTAAGCTAGCATGGCCAATATAGGTTTTAATGGGTGAGCCAAAAAAAAAAAAAAATGCTTTCATGGCAAAAATACCAAAAGCAATTTCAATAAAAGCAAAAATTGACAAATGGGATCTAATTAAACTAATGAGCTTCTGCACAGCAAATGAAACTATCATCAGAGTGAACAGACAATTTACAGAATGGAAGAATATTTTTGCAATCTATTCATCTGACAAAGGTCTAATATCCAGAGTTTACAAGGAACTTAAACAAATTTACAAGAAAAAAAAAACCCCATTAAAAGATGGGCAAAGGACATGAACAGACACTTCTCAAAAGAAGTCATACATGTGGCCAAAAACATATGATAAAAAGCTCAAAATCACTGATCATTAGAGAAATGCAAATCAAAACCACAATGAGATACCATCTCATGCCAGTCAGAATGGCTATTACTAAAAAGTCAAAAAACAACAGATGCTGGCGAGGTTGTGGAGAAAAAGGAATGCTTTTATGCTGTTGGTTGGAGTGTAAATTAGTTCAACCATTGTGGAAGACAGTGTGGCAATTCCTCAAAGAGCTAGAGGCTGAAATAACATTTGACCTAGTAATCCAACTATTGAGTATATACCCAAAGGAATATAAATCATTATATTATAAAGATACATGCATGTTTATGTTCATTGCAGCACATTCACGATAGCAAAGACATGGAATCAACCTAAATTTCCATCAATGACAGACTGGATAAAGAAAATGTACATACATACCATGGAATACTACGCAGCCGTAAAAAGGAATAAGATCATATCTTTTGCAGGGACATGGATGGAGCTGGAGGCCATTATCCTCAGCAAACTAACGCAGGGACAGAGAACCAAACACTGCATGTTCTCACTTATAAGTGGGAGATGAATGATGAGAACACATGGACACATAGGGGGAACAACACATGATGGGGTCAGTCAGAGCGGGGTGTGAGGGGAGGGAGAGTGTCGGGAAGAATAGCTAATGGATACTGGGCTTAATAAGCAGGTGATGGGATGAATTGTACAGCAAATCACCATGGCACACATTTACCTATGTAAGAAACCCCCACATCCTGCACATATACCCCTGAACTTAAAAGTTGAAGGAAAAAAAAAAAGTAAAAAAATGCCATCATGATACAATTAGGCACTTATAAAAAATGTGTTCCAAATCCCTCAAAAGTGTTTTAGTAAGGGGCTTACTAAGTATGGAGATTTCAAATGTGGTATGTGGATGGTGCTAAAATTGAGAGTAAGCATTTAGAAATTTTTAGAGCAAATCGAGAATGCTGTAACATACAAGCACATTGTCAGTGGACTCATGTCAATGAGCAGGGTATGGACTGGTCTGGGTGTTGTGGAATTCTCATAGTGAGTCACAGGTGGCATGACCTGTGCCCTAGTCATACGCAGGAAGACACTTAGACCACAAGCTTGGAAATTAAAAAAAAATTAACCACACAGATAGTTTGAAAATCACTGCTTTAGATCACAACCTATTTGTAAGTTAAGAGGCCCTACAGCTCGTTTGGTGCAAGGAAGTTGACAGAGAGCTTGAGCATACACCAAAAAATTTAGATATAAAGTGACGGGAAATTTGAAGCCATTGTAGAAGATACGAATTGGAGATGGAACTACCCAAAATTACCTTCTATAAGGATCTTCTAGATTAAATGCAAGCTAACTTATTCTTAAAATTGTTTTGTTCATTATGATATGAACAGAGTCTATATCAGAACCTGGAACATGGCAGGCACTAAATAAATATTTTATGAATATTGAATTAGTTGTTCTAACAACATCGTGGAGAATAGCTTGAGAAGGGTAAAGGCTAGAATCAGAAAAAGTGGCTAGGAAGACTTTAAAGACTGTCTAGACATAGGTTGATGGGTGGATTAGCCTAGTGGATACAGAGATTCAGAAAATATGAATCTAAGAAATATTGGGAGGAACTTCCAGTTTTTCCCATGTCAGTAAGCACATGGACATTCATCAAAGTCCAAATCAGAAATGTGGGGTCATCCTTGACTCTTCTCTTTCTCCTTGCTCCTCATATTTGGTCACTCTCTGAATCCTAAATATCGCTACCCTGCCTTCTCCTGCTATTCACACTGCTTTAGTTCAAGCCCCACCACGTCCCTCCAGGACTTTGTTATAGCTTCCTTAAATGGTCTCCCTGCCCTGGGTTCTTCCCCATTAAGCTTTTCTTCCAAAATTGAAAATTCAGTGTTTTTCCTTTTTTGTGTGAAACCATGAAATGGCTCCTGATTTACCTTCTAAGCTTCAGCATACCTAAGCTCCATGGTAGGGCTGCTCCTTACCAGGCCTTGTGTCATCTGGCACTTGCTTTGCATGCCAGTGCATTCTTCTGCTCCTTACTTGGTGGTTCTTAAACCAGACCAACACTAAACAACTGGTAACCCCTGCCCCAAGGGTTTGCCATGTTATTTCATGCCTCTGTGCCTTTGCTTATGCTATTCCTTCTGCCTGAAATGCTCTCACTCCCAGCACCCTGGCTGCTTTTCCATCTGTATTCATTTCCTGTTGCTGCTGTAACAAATTATCACAAACTTACTCTTTTTGAGGTCAGAAGTCTGAAATGAGGCTATTTCATGAGGCTAAAATTAAAGCATTGGCAGACCTTCATACCTCCTGGAGCTGGAGGAGAGACACTGTTCTTTGCCTCTTCCAGCTTCTAACCACAGTTTTTGTTTTTGTTTGTTTGTTTTTGGTTTTGGCTGATGGTCCCTCATTGTCACATCTCTTTCTCTGACACTCCTGCCTCCTTTTTCTATAAGGACCCCTGTGATTACATCAGGTTCGTCTGAATAATCTAATCTTCCCATCTTCCTTAAACGTAGTCATATCTGCAAAGTCCTCATTGACATGTACGGTAACATTTACAAGTTTGGGATGTGGATATCTCTGAGAAGCCATTATTCTGCTTACTGCACCACCCAACCCCAATTAGTCTCTTAAAGCTCTGCTATCACTTTTTCTCTGAAACATGTTCTGCTCAGAGCTAATCACTCTCTATTTTGTGTCATATACATACTACCTTCACTGCATGGGTTGGCTTGTATTGCACATAATAACTTTTAAAACACATCTACCTCTCTATTATATTTTGATTTCTTGAGGGGACAGCTTATTTATCTTTGTATTACCAGCGGTAAGCATGTTACATGGTATATAGCAAGTAGTAGGAGCTAAATTATACTATTTAAAAATGAATGTCCCAGGCAGTGCAATGATCCATTTGAATGTTAACTAGACATGTAGGTTTAAATGGTGACTACAGTTGTGGTGCATTCCTAACTTTGCAGGGTCGTTGCCTACCACTCTCCCTGCCCACGCTTGTCTGCTTCCCCTCCAGTCACATGGCCTTTCTAACCTTCCTTGGTCATGCTGTTCCTATCCCATCCTCATCTCTCTGTCTGTAATGCCCTTCCTCCAACTTTTCTTTTCATAAATCCCTAATTCATTCTCAAAGCACAAATCAAAACTTTTTCCTTCTGCAATGCCTTTTATTTGTCTCAAGACAGAATTCATCACTTCCTCTTTTGAGTTGCTAAGACATTTTGTACAGATCTGTATTACATATTTCACATTGTGTTTTGCTTGGTTTTATATATGTATCTGTTCCATCACAAGAATGCACAAAAGCCATATCTTGTTTATATCAGTACTAGGCATATAGCAAGCACTCAATAATGTTTATGACCTTAAAGCGAACATATAAACAGATGAGAATGGAGGGGCAACAGAAAGGAACCAAAAGATTAAAAGAGTGCCTTTGATAAAAGATAAAGAGGAAGGAAGAGACTGAGAAGACCCTCAAAGACAGCATTCAGAAGACCCTAGAGGCAGAGTGTGATGAAGGCTGGAGTTAGAGTGGCTGACCTCTAATTAAAGAGGAGAATGTGAGAGGCAGCACCACATGCAGTGAGCTGCAGGCCTGAGAAAGAGAAAGGCTGTTGGATGTGACCACGAAGAGATCCTAATGGTTTTAGGAAGCATAATGAGAATGCCCAGTCAGGACCCTGGGTCTGCTCCTGTTTTTAGGTTAGGAGAGATTAGGTTAGGTTAGGATCTCCAGAGGATAAATGACTTGAGGAAAAGGAATATCACACCTCATATCCAATCAACTTGCTTGAATGCTTGAGGCCATGAACACCTCAGCACAGCTCCAAGTCAGTTTGGAAGGCTTGGTTCTTTCATCTGATACCACGACTTCAAAGTACTAGGAGATGTAGATGGTTCTCAGGGAATACAGAAGCCAACATAATGTATTCCCCTATAATAATCAGAGATTTTCATCAATAGGGCACAGTTGGCTGGGTGGTCCAGGCTCCTGAGGAACAAAGGCAAAATGTCTAAATCTGGCTTCAGAACTGAGAATAATTTCTCTTTCACGGAACTTTTCTGGATGATGATATTTCTCTATATAAAGCATTCTCTGACCCAGTGGACAAATATTTCTCACATCTCTGCCTGCCTTGAACCTTGCCCTCCTATCTTCCATCAACACTGCTGTCAGCTGTATTCTCCAACCTGTGTCTTGTTTGGCTAACCTGTATGGCCAACTGTCTGTCTTTACCTTTACAAAGCCTGATCTAGACAAACTTCTATGCTGGACATCTGCACTGATTTTCGCCCAAATCAATTGTCTAGCATCTATTTCTGTGATCTGCTTCTGCTGTGTCCTGAATCAGTCTGCTGTGGTCTGATAGGTTGCACATTCTCAATGGGAGTGAGAATTGATCTTGGGGGATAAAAAACAACTTAATTTTTTAAATGTACAAAGTGCAGATATACATACAATGCATAAACCGATATCACAATATATCTGCGTGTATTAGGGCTCTCCAGAGAAACAGAACTGATAGCATATATTATATATAGATACACAGAAATAGATTTATTACGAGAGATTGGCTCATGCAATTATGGAACCTGTGAAGTCCCATGATCAGCTGTCTGCAAATTGGAAGCCCAGGAAAGTTACTGGTGTATTATAACTCCAGTCCAAGCCAGAAGGCCTGAGAACCAGGAGAGCCAATCCTGTAAGTCCCAGTCCAAGTCCAAAGGCCCCAAAACCAGAAACACTACTGATATCCAAGGGCAGGAGGAGATGGATGTCCCAGCTCCAGAAGAGAGAGTGAACTTGTGCTTCCTCCACCTCTCTGTTTTATTCAGGCCTTCAAGGGATTGCTTGATGCCCACTCACACTGCCAAGGGTGATCTTTTATTCACTCTACCAATTCAAATGCTAACCTTTTCCAAGAACACCCTCCCAGACACACCCACAAATAATGTTTTACCAGTGATCTCAGCAATCCGTAGCCCACTAAAGTTGACACACAAAATTAACCATCACACTATGGTACCAAAATTTGATAGAGGAGAGCAATTTTTAAAAACATCGGAAAAGCCTCCTTAGGAAGGCAATAATGAAAAGAAAAGGGTTGAGAAATATTGTGATAGGTGATGAGGCTGCAATTCCTGTAACAGAAGGAACATAAGGAGACTGGATTGTGAGGAAATGGAGGTAGTCACAGTTATTTGACTGAGAAGTAGACTACAGAGAGAATTCCGATGAAGCAAACAAATTATGAGCACTTATTATGTGCCATGAACTGTGTGAAACCCTTTCACATTTGTTAGCAAAGAGCTTCTCCTTTAGTAGTAATGTACATATTCCTTGCAGAAAAAACAGTGACATTTTCCATTGAGACAGTAGCGCACCTATCTCTCCTCTGCTTCAGCAGCCTTTATGCTAATTACTGTTTTGGAAGTAACTCCTCATTCACTTTTTGCAACATAAGATAATGAGAAATACAGCCCAGATTTTGTTTGTAGAAGCTCCTTTCATGGCAGCCTTTCAACAGTTTGGGTAATTTAAAAGATGCAGTTGTAATCGTGACTAACTCATTAAGATGCTTGATGAGCATCTTAATGAGTTAAAAAACCTGGACATTTTTAACGCACTTTTGGAAAGAGGCAAGAAAAATATAAGAGTGGGAATAATCCAAGGAAAACATTTCAAGTCTTTGAACAATAGACCCTAGAATTTCCTTAGCTTGAGATAGGTTAGGACAAGAAAACAGAATGTTGCTTAAAAGAAGCCCAGTGATCATTTGTGTCTACTTGCACTTCTGGAATATGACTTTTGTTTGTTAGTTGGTTCATTTTGACTTAAAAAGTGTTTTTCGGCCAGGTGCAGTGGCTCACACCTGTAATACCAGCACTTTGGGAGGCCGAGGTGGGCAGATCACAAGGTCAGGAGATCGAGACCATCCTGGCTAACATGGTGAAACCCCGCCTCTATTAAAAATACAAAAAATTAGCCAGGTGTGTTGACGGGCGCCTGTAGTCCCAGCTACTCGGGAGGCTGAGGCAGGAGAATGGCATGAACCTGGGAGGCGGAGCTTGCAGTGAGCCGAGATCGCTCCACTGCACTCCAACCTGGGCGACAGGGGGAGACTCTGTCTCAAAAAACAACAACAACAACAACAACAAAACCCACAACATTTTTCTTTGTTCTCTCTCAGTACTCATTAAGAATTTACTACTGCGTCTTTAGATTTTATCTCAGGCAGATCAATGCTATGTATTTGTCCCCTGTACTTGATCCCTGTGCTTTCCTTCTCTCCTACTTTCCTACTCTTGTCATGAGTGCTGAGGCAGGGATGATGTTGGGGTGGAAAGCTGAAGGGTGAAGATGAATGAGCCACAGTGTCCACTTAGAATCTACAGCCAACTCTTGGCAGCTTATCCGTGGTAATTCTTGTTTCAGCTTCTTGTTGACTTTATCACCCACTCAATGTGCTTAATTCTATGATGGATGTTATCACCAGCTCTGTTTATTCACAATGCCAAGAACACCAGTGGAACAGGGAAATATTCAGGAAAACCCACTTTATGGTGTCAACTTGACCAGAAAACGAAACACAACTCCATCATTGCTTTATTGAATTTGGCATCGTTCTAGAAATAAACTATCATTTATATTTTGTCAAACAAAAAGAAGAGGAGAAGAGATTTCAAAAGCACTGCTTCTGGGGAGGGTCTGGATCAAAGGTAAATGTGTGACTTTAGGTGACAGAAAAGCATCTCCACTCAGATGCATCCAACTTTGAGGGGGCACTGACTACAGGACAGTAGAGACAAGGGACACTCATGAACAAGCAGCTTTTCCAATTCTGGGTCCTTTTCAAACTGTAGTATCAACATATATTTTTAAGTTTCATAAATTCTTGGAACATTAAACATATCCATTCAAACAGTTCTTTCAATATGGTGGATATTTGTAGGCTGCCCTGGAAATCAGAACACCTTGAATTTAATTCCTGCTATGACACTGGCTGACTCTGTAACTTTCACCTTTTTTAGTTCTCCAAGATGATATAAATAATGGAAAACATATAGGACTCTAAAATGGTTGCAACATAGGTTCAAATCTGACCCCTACCACTTGTTAGCTTGTCAACATTGGATAAGTTATTTGACTTCTTTGAGCATCAGTATCTTTATTTGTTAAATGGAGATAAAGATATCTTTCTTGCAGGAATGTTGTATGGATCTAATGAGATCATGTATGCAAAACACCCAACACATAGTTGTCACTTTATAAATGGCTGTTCTAGTAGCCATTTGCACAGAGATGGGGAAAGGCTAGGTGACAAAAGGCATGGGCATTCTGAGCTCATCAGTTGATAGGGCTTCCTTAATGCCATAGCTTTATTAGAGAAGGAGGAGGATACAGCCCAGCCACATAGGAACTCAGGCCTCTTTTATTT
This sequence comes from Homo sapiens, assembly GCF_000001405.40. Lineage (NCBI taxonomy): Eukaryota > Metazoa > Chordata > Mammalia > Primates > Hominidae > Homo > Homo sapiens. Next base: position 146,242,434 of record NC_000001.11, on the reverse strand, counting down.
CTGCAGGATCTGGTCACCACAACAATCAGAATGTGCAGGGGTAAGACTAAGGAAGAGAGAGAGAGGAAGAATGGATGGTGGGGGGGGGGCGGCTCTCTTCTTCCTAGCGGCAGAGAATCCCGCAGTATTCCTTCAGTTGCAGAAACTAAATGGAAGGCAAATGGCTGTCTGCTTGTGGTGCATGCACCAAGACAAACTACTAAAGTGTTTCCTGCCCAGTCCCCACAGGTGTTGCTTCTCAGCTTTGGATAAGTCCTCCAGCAAGTACTTTGTTGAAAGCGAGAAAGGCAGCTGCATAACTCTCCAGTCCACAGAGCTGACAAATCACTGTGTCATCAAAGAAGAGGGAATCATGGGAAATAGCCTGTGGTTCACCCTCTAAGGCAGGGAGTCAGGAGGCTGTGAGGTGGCACATTTGATTCTTGCTCATTAACATAGTTTCTCTTTGTGTCCTCCTCCTCCTCTTTGCCTGCTTGCCTGTTCCACTGGGTAAGCAGCAAGTGCCTACTCAAATCATTATTTATCAAATGTGTACTATGTTCCCAACATTCATTCAATACACCTATATTGAAAGCCTTTTATGAGAATAACAAAAATAACAAGATAGATTCAGAGTAAGATTCAGAGACTGAAGCAAGTCCGCATATAGTAATCACATGTTCAACTAGTTGTTAAGTGGTATATATAATACATAGAAACCAACCGTGGAGGACCTCAGGGAAAGGAGCCAGGAAGCTGAGGAAGGCTTTGGAGAGAAGATGACATTGGAGCTAGGCCTTCACCCAAAATTCCATAGGTGTTGGTCCATTTTGCATTGCTATAAAGGAATACCTGAGACTGGGTAATTTAAGGGGAAAAGGGGTTTATTTTGGCCAGGACTGGTGGCTCACATCTATTATCCCAGAACTTTGGGAGGCTGAAGCGGGTGGATCACTTGAGGTCAGGAGTTTGAGACCAGCCTCCCCAACATGGCAAGAGCCTGTCTCTACTAAACATAGAAAAATTAGCTGGGTGTGGTGGCACAAGCCTGTAATCCCACTTACCCAGGAGGCTGAGGGATGAGAATTGTTTGAACCTGGGAGGCAGAGGTTGCAGTGAGCGGAGCTTGCACCAGGGCACTCCAGACTGGGAAACAGAGCAAGAATTTGTCACGAAAAAAAAGAAAAAAAGAAAAAAAGAGGTATGTTTGGCTCACAGTTCTGCAGGCTGTAGGTGAAGCAGAGTGCTGGCATCTGCTTCTGGTGAGGGCCTTGGGAAGCTTACATTCATGCTGGAAGGCAAAGGGGAGCCAGTGTGTCATATGGCAAGAGAGGGAGCAAGAGGGGGGGGGTGTCAGGCTCCTTGTAAACAACCAGGTCTACTGTGAACTAAAAGAGTGAGAACTTGCTTATCACCAAGGGGATGGCGCTAAGCCATCCATGAGGGATCTGCCCTCAAGATCCAACACCTCCCATTGGGCCCCACCTCCAACATTGGGGATCACATTTCAACATGAGATTTGGAGGGGACACACATCCAAACCATATATCACTATGGGTCAACTATATCACTATGGATCCAGGGGAGGATGGGATAGGGGAGGGGAGGCAGCAAGGGCATTATAGGCAAAGGGAAGTGCACATATGAAGGTGAAGAGGACATGAGCCCACAGCATGTCTGGGGACTGGCTGGTAGCTTGATGTGCCTGGAACAAAGGCTATGCAATCCTGGGCAGCAGCAGGGGGAGAGGTAAATGTGGTCGGAATGCCAACGATTTTCCATGCCAGTCTGTCCAGTTTGGGCTTTAACTGTAGAGAATGGGGAGCCATTGGTGAGTTTTAAGTATGAAGTGATGGGTTTATACTTGTATTTTGGACAATCCTGTGGGCTTCAGAGTACTGAATGGACTAAAAGAGAGGCTAAAAGCTGGGAGACAGTTAAGAGCTCACTGAAATTGCCAATGATGTCAAATGCTGCAAACTCATCAAGGAAAATGAAGACTGAGAATGAGTTCATTGCATTTGACAGTTGGAGATCTTTGGTGACATCTAAAAGTAATTTCACTATAACGACTGAAGCAGAAGCTGGATTACTAAGCCAGTAGTTCTCAAAGTGTGGTCCCTAGATCAGCAGCACTGGCATCACTTGAGAATGTTATAAATGTAATTTATCTGGCTCAACCCACACCCCTTTCAAAACTTTGGGAATGAAGCCTAGCAATTGGCATTTTTACAAGTCTTCTGGATGATTCTGATAAATGCTAAAGTTTGAGAACAACTAGCCTAAATGACTCTTCATCTCTTCCCCAGACGTTCCTTACTCTGATGACACCTGAATTATTTGATATTTCCTAAGTAATCATTAATATGGTTTCTCAGTTATCTGCATAAATTGTTCCTGTCAGTCATGTGCAATATATGTACAGTCTCTGCCTGATAATATTGAACTCATTGTTCAAGGCCTAACTCAAATGTCACCTCCCTAGGAAGTCTCTCCAATTTCCTCCAGGCAGCCCCCCATGGATACTTGTGCACATATTTATGTCATAAAATGTATATTATTTGTTGTGTTGATTTGGTTTACTATCTTCCCTACTAACTAGAAGCTCTTCGGGAGTAGGGACTGCTTTATCGATCTCTATTTCCATATTGTTTTTACATCTTAAGTGCTCAATAAATGTAAGAAGAGGAAGCTGTAATAAATTGCAGAAATAAAAACAGAAAGGGACAAACCACTGTTTTAAGAGGTTTGGAAGTGAAAGATGAATTTGAAATAGAAATACAATAGAAAATGTGTGTGTGTGTGTGTGTGTGTGTGTGTGTGTGTGTGTGTGTGTGTGTGTCTGGAAGAAAACTGTTGGCTGAGGGATTAAGCCAGTAGAGAGGGAAAGATGAATGATGAGACAGTGGGAATCAGTGGGTATTGAATGCAAAATGGTCCTGGAGAAGGCAGAAGGGAATTAAATCAATGGCCAATGCTGAAGAATTAGCATTGAAAGAAGGAAAGACTCTTTTTTTCTGAGATACAACACAAGGAAGTAAAGGTGGGTACATAAGTGATGAGTTGTGAGGTTGAGATGGGAGATGGTAGGGAGTCCTTAGATGGCCTGTCAGTGTAGAAATGGTGAGGGCTAGGGAAGGTTTTGCAGGGGAGGTGATATTTGAACTAGGAGATGTCTTTAGTGAAGTAGGAAGTGAAGCCTTTTGCTGGGAAGAAAATGGGGAACAGAAAGAAGGAAAGAGGCTACAGCAGAGAGGTGAAGACTTGTAAATGCTAGGGAGGGGATTGGAGAACAACAGCAGGGGATTCTTTTGGGCTGATCCATCTCCCTGATTCAAGACAAAGAAAGAGTCCACTTATTCATCCAATTGTGATTGGCAATAAAAGAAGTATGGAGGGATTGTCCCCAAAGGCTGTCTTTGAAATAAGATGGACAACTTCTGGATACAGATCCCAATACTAATATAGAAAGTATTCTAGCTCTATATATTAATTAAGGCTGGAATATTTTGCAGACAATAACAATGCTATGTATGGCAACTATGTACAACAAAGGAAAATATTTATGGTATATGAATTGCCTAAGAAATCTGGATAAAAACTATATGTATGTCGGCCAGGTATGGTGGCTCACGCCTGTAATCCCAGCACTTTGGGAGGCCAAGGCAGGTGGATCACCTAAGGTCAGGAGTTCGAGACCAGCCTGGTCAACATGGTGAAACCCTGTCTCTAGTAAAAATACAAAAATTAGCCAGGCATAGTCACGTGCGCCTGTAATCCCAGCTACTAGGGAGGCTGAGGCAGGAGAGTCACTTGAACCTGGGAGGTGGGGGTTGCAGTGAGCCGAGATCGCACCACTGCACTCCAGCCTGGGCGACAGAGCAAGACTCCATCTTAAAAAAAACAAAACAAAACAAAACTATATGTATGTCTTGATTACAACTCTGTAAGAACATACATATGAAGAACAAATGAATAAAACACATGAAAATGCTATTAGTGGTGGTATTATAGGTCATTTTTCCTTTAAATTTTAAATTGATGTTTTAATGTTTATAATTAGTTGGCAATAAATAGAATTTTTTTTCCTTGCTGGCTTTAAAAAATTTACTAGGAACACTTAGAAGAGAGTATTTCAAAATAAAAAGTTGTAAGGTGAAAACAATCAGTAGAATTGTATGAACACCTCCCATATAAGGGACAGATGCCAGGAAAAGAAGTCCTTAAGTTGAGCCAGAGTTGGAAGCTGACAAGCAAGAGGTTGGATGCCACGATATAGAAGAGCACAAAAGAGGTATATGACCTAGCCCTTGACTCACAGTAAACTTGAGAGACTAGGCTTACAATAAATGATTCGAGGATAACTTATTCAGTTATCTAAACAACGGATGGGACTGGATCACTGAGGCAGTGACCTGTGGGCAGGCGGGACAATGCAGAGGTCAATTATGTGCCATCGGAGTTGATCAGATGGACCTGGGCTTAAATCCCTGTGCCACTGCTTAGCAGCTGTGTGATCTAAGACAACTTACTCAGGTTTCATTTTCTGCACTGTGAAGTAGAAATAATAATACCTTCTCATAAGCTGTTGAAGCATTACAAACAATAAAGCAGGTAAAATGCTTAATACAATGTTTGACACACAAAATTGCCATTATCGTTATTAACGCTTTATTGTTGCGTCATCTATGAGTATTTATGATGGAGGAAACTGATTTAGACTAGGGGCACATTGAATTCTTTGGAGGGACTTCAGGGAGGTATCTTAAGAGCCGTGAGAGAGTCTCAGGAGGCAGTGAAGACTCCCTCACTGCTGGAACAATGCTGTGGGCTCACCCTAGGCCTTCAGGAGGGGAGAGAGATGTGCAAGGAGGAACTCCATGGTGGTTCTTCTTTTGCTAGTGTTTGTGCTACTTCCCCACTTCTAAACAGGTGCATAGTACTCCATAGCACCCTTTCATCTTCCTTTCCCACTCTTCTGTTCTGTTTTTCTTCTCTTCAACTCTTCTTACTTCCCTTTTCTCCTCAAAACCAAGTGGTGGATGGGTAAGGAACTATACTATCTTTTGTGTGTTCTAACTTTGCCGTTTTTTTTTGTTGTTGTTGTTGTTGTTATTGTTTGTTTTAATTTTTGTTTTTTCTTGAGACAGTGTCTCACTCTGTCACCCAGACTGGAGTGCAGTGGTGTGATCACAGCTCACTGTAACCTCAACCTCTGGGGCTCAAGTGATCCTCTCACCTCAGCCTCCTGAGTAGCTGGGACCACAGGCACAAGACACATGCTAGGCTAATTTTTAAATTTTTCATAGAGATGGTGTCTCGCTAGGTTGCCCAGGCTGGTCTCGAACTTTTCGCCTCTTGTCTCAGCCTCCAAAGTGCTGGGATTACAGGGTGAGCCACTGCACGTAGCTCGGATATAATTGTTGAGTAGCTGAATAGGAGACCTAAGTCAGCCTTGAAAATCACCTGTTCCTGCTTATTTTCAGGGATCTCTTTCCTATTTGCCAATAAACACATTTTAGTGGACTAATCATGAATCGTTTTATGGTTGGCCTCACATTTAAAATGTTGGTGGTGCTCCTCCTGCCCTCCAAAGCCCTTTATGGAGCACATTAACAGAGCCCTGCCAGCGTTACAAGCTGGGCCCCACCTGAGGTTGTCTCCATTGCCCCCTCCACCCACTTTACTGGCCACAGAATGTTTGTGCTTTGGTGTTTTCATCAGTTGAGTTCCTTTTGCTCACCAAAGAAACACCACAAAAGACACTTTTGCCAGAAAACCTTTCTCCTCCCTTGCTTCAAATACATCACTTTACAAAGAGTGTTTTAATTAAAACAGCTTATAAAAGTTTATGCTTTGGATTTTTTTCCTCCCAGGGAAACAGTATTCAGGCTGCATAGAGTCATTCTACTTGGTGGGATGACTGTCCTAAAGATGTCCTTTCCCTAAGCCCAATTTCCCCACCAGAGAGAAGAGCCTGCCAGGGTTGTTAGGGCCGAGAAGATGGTCTCAGATGCAGCAGCGTGCTGGGCCCATTGCAGAGTGCTCAGTTCATCTTCTGGGTAGTCTGTGTCTGGTTTCATGCCAGGAGGGAGAGCTAAAGGGAAGCTACAGAAGCATCCACGGTTGGCAGGACTGTTGGACATTTGCGGCTTCAGCAGGGTCACCCTGTTTGGTTGAGCAGGTTGTTTCTGTACAAGGCAGCGAGCATCCAGGGTCTGAGTCAGGGACTGAGATCCAGACTGTGCCAGGCTTGACCTATGCCTGCCATGGGGCTGGGTATTAGTTTCCTGTGGCTACTGTGATGAACTGTCACCAGCTGGGTGCCTTAAAACAACACATTTCTTCTCTCACAGTTTTGGAGGCCAGAAGTCTGAAATCAAGGTGTCATCTGGGTTCTGGAGGCTCAGAGGGAGAATCTGTTCTTAGCTTCTGGCGGCTACCAGAAATCTTTTTTTTTTTTTTTTTTTTTAATCTTAAAAGTTGTCTTCTAACTTCAGCACTCAGAGTTTACATAAGTAAGCCTGGGTTTACCCTACCCACTTTTTCCCTTATTTTTAAAATATCTATTTCCCCAACCATTGTCTTTAGTAAGTACTCTAAAATGACAGTCATCAGCAGAAACGCAAGGATTCCAGGCCATAAGAGTTTGATCAAGAAAGGATTTTTTGAGGTAGCTATATCTTGCAAAAGAAACAGAGGTGTGAACTGTCTGCAGGGCTCTTCTCGGCAATGAGGTGTTCCTTCTGGATTCAGATATAGATCTTAATGGGGTAAACATTCTAGGTCTTACCACCATCTGTTCTTCTTTTTCTGCTTAGACTGTTAGTACCTGTTATAAGAGGAAAGGAGGCAAAAGTGTGAAAGAAAAATGGTTGGATCAGTGGTCTGAGAAAGAGGATAAAGTAGTCATGTGACATTATTCTTAACAGAGATTAGAATGATTAAAAACAAAAACAAGTTGGTATCCAGGATATTCAGGTACAACCACCCCTTACCTGCTGATTCCAATTTCACATTCCATTCCACATTGATGAATAATAATAATGATGTACTTTTAGCTTTGTCAGAAATCCTATCTGCATATTTATAAGGTCATTATGTTTAGTTGTTGCTGATACCTGGTCTGAGTCCAGCAATTACCACCTCTGTCTCTTTGCACACACTGGTAGACATACACACCACTGATTTGTACTTTCCTATAAAATTACTCTTCCCCTTTTTAATTAGAGTGTTTTCAGAAGCAAACCCTATCGTTAAGGCCATGTATGCTTCCATTATAAATACCTGTTTCCAGCCATTAATTATCTCCCAATGAATTACTTACTTAGAAGGAGATTTTTAATGCATTTTTTTTTTTTTTTTTGGAGACAGGGTCTCACTTTGTCACCCAGACTGGAGTGGTGGAGTGGTGTGATCACGGCTTACTGCAGTCTTGACTTCTCAGGCACAGGTGATTCTTCCACCTCAGACTCCTGAGTGGCTGGGACCATAGGCGTGCACCACCATGCCCAGCTAATTTTTGTATTTTTTGTAGAGTTAGGGTTTCAACATGTTGCCCAGGCTGGTCTTGAACTCCTAGCCTCAAGTGATCCTCCCGTCTTGGCCTCCCAAAGTGCTAGGATTACAGGTGTGAGTCATTGTGCCTGGCCTGTGCACACTTTTTATAATGGGATTTCTCTTCCTTACTTTTGATGTCCCCTCTCTCATACTTAGTTAACCATTTTGAATTCCACTTAGTAAGAAAAGTTTCCATTTTCTTTTTCTTCGGGGGACTTAGATATGATCTGCACCTAGATGGTAAGAAGATTTTCCATATTTTGAAGTAGAAACTTTCTGTATGCCTGAATCTTGCTGTCAAGAATGTCTTGGCTAATTATGAAGGAAGAATATAAGAATGTGAGTAAAAACAATTCAACAGTCCCTGAGAACAACGTCAATAAATATTCAAAATTGCATAACCATTTTAGTGACTAAAGCACTGAGACTCATCCAATAATACTGTGGTTTGATAATTACACAGTTGTGAATTTATGATACTGTTAAATTGGGGAGACATCTTGGTGCATACAGGTCAACCTTTTCATACATCATTATATACAAAAAGTACACACCTACTTAGGAATTGAAGTGTAATACCTCCTAGCATAAAATGCTTAAAAGAAGATTTTAAGGGAGTGATACAGTGAGCATTCCTATATGAATTTTCCTGCTTATCTCAAGCATAGCAGAAGATGTGAAATTTCTAGGTAAGTTTTTTTTTTTTTTTTTGACAGGGTCTTGCTCTGTCACCCGAGCTGAAATGCAGCAGTGGTAACATGGTTCACTGCAGCCTCAACCTCCTGGGATCAAGTGGTCCTCCCACCTCAGCCTCCCGAGTAGCTGGGACTAGAGACATGCATCACCATGCCCAGTTAGTTTTTTAATTTTTTGTAGAGACAGGGTCTCACTTTGTGGCCCAGCCTGGTCTTGAACTCCTGGGCTCAAGCCATCCTTCTGCCTTGGACTCCCAAAGTGTTGGGATTACAGGTGTGGGCCACTGTGTCCTTCCTTAACATAATAAAATTGAGATAATCACATTCATAAAAGGGCAAAACTATGTCAACAAGCCCACTGTATTAGTCTGTCTTCACAGTGCTGTAAAGAACTGCCCAAGACTGGGTAATTTATAAAGGAAACAGGTTAACTGACTCACAGTTTAGCATGGCTGGGAAGGCCTCAGGAAATTTAACAATCATGGCAGAAGGCAAAGGGGAAGCAAGGTACCTTCTTCATAAGGCAGCATGAAGGAAAATTAATGCAGGAGGAACTACCAAACACATAAAACCATCAGATCTCGTGAACTCGCTCATTATCAGGAGAACAGCATGGGAGAAACCGCCCCCATGATTCAATTACCTCCACCTGGTCTCTCCCTTGACACATGGGGATTACAATTCAAAATAAGATATTGGGTGGGGACACAGGCAAACTATATCGCCCATATTACAATTACTTACATTACTGATTCCCTTAATTAGAGCAGAGGTAATTAATTGGGTCTAGGCTCAGTGGAAGGGTCTGGCTGGTTCTTAATTCTCAGAGCTAGTTTGAATCTTGAGGTTAACGTCTTGCCTTCTAGAACTTGTCCTGTGTTTGGCTGAACTCTGTGAACCTTTCAGAAAGTAGGTCTTTATTGAGCACATACTCTATGCAAGGCAAAGAACCAACTACTGTGGAGTTTACAAACATGAATAAGGGGTAAGAAATGACTCTTGTCACATGGTTTACAGTCCAGCTGTGTGGGCCACCACAGTTCATATCTTTCAGGCTGGGGACTGGATGAGAGGAAAGTGGACTCAAAATTAATCCCAGTGCTCTCTACTTTCCCATATCCCTGTGCTTTATCTCTGTTGTAGTTATGTTATTTGTATGTTGGCCTGCCTCACTGCTCTGTGATCTCCAAAGAACAGGGACTAGGTTTTATTTATTTCTGCATTGCCGCAGAGCCTAGTATGTGCTTTATAGAGAACAGGCTCTCAAAAAAATTTTAAATTAAAAGAATGTATTCACTTGTTTATGTTTCCTAGTTACAGTGGGCCAGCTTGTTCTGTGCTAATATGGAAGTGACAAGAAACTGGTGTCCCTCTACGCAGAGGTCCCCACACTAAATATCATCTTGGATGTGCTTCACATTGTTGCACAAAGGTACAGTGGAGTGAGACTGAGTAAGAGGACAGAAATAGTGGGGGGTTTGTCTCAGCTCACTAATTACTTATTTAACCTTGGGCAAGATACTTAAAGCTCTATCTCAGTTTCTTCATCTGCAAAATGGGGATAATAATGACTGGGGTGCCTATTTCCCACGATTGTTTTGAGGATCAAATGAGATAATATAATTAAAAGTGTTTTTGGAAGGTCTAAATCACTGTGCAACTGCAAGGCATTATTAAAAGAAATCTTCCTTTTAATTCCTGCTTCCACAAACATCTCATCACATATCCTTGGGTTCCTGGGTTACATGGAGAGATTCGTGGTGTAGCTCAATCTATGTGTCATAGCTATCCCACAATCTCTTCTTCAACTTCTCCAACACACCAAGACATTCTTCCAGTCTTGCACTGCTCCCCAGTTTATATAGATATATATGTTCCTCATTCAGCATTTATGTAAAACATATATTATTGAGCACTTATGTGATAGAAACCGGGGCAAAACAGAAAATAAAACAGAGTTTTATTTTGAGAGTTTTTTACAGCTTGTCGGCTCTGAGAGGACAGACATGAGAACAAATAAGTGCCCAATTCTGCATTTATTTTGGAAGGCAGTTTTATGTGAGTTTAAATCAGTAAAGACATAGATGTATATTTTTAGTTTTGATTAAAACTAAAACAATTGGTAGCCCTTACTCATATTTTTCTATCATTAAAACTTATCTTTAAAAAATGTCTTCAGTCATATTTTTCCCTTACTTCCATTCATATTTACTCTTTACTTCTCTTGTCCTTACCAGAATGTATGCAGTAAGTTTTCATATTGTAACACATTCAACAAAAGTTATATGTGAACATAATAGCTGCTTTCTTTAAAACGGTTACTTTGAGAAACTGCATACCTATTTTTTTTTTTTTTTTTTTGAGACGGAGTTTCACTCTTGTTGTCCAGGCTGGAGTACAGTGGCACGATCTTGGCTCACTGCAATCTCTGCCTCCTGGGTTCAAGTGATTCTACTGCCTCAGTCTCCTGAGTAGCTGGGATTACAGGTGCTCGCCACCATGCCCGGCTAATTTTTGGTATTTTTAGTAGAGACGGGTTTTCAACATGTTGGCCAGGCTGGTCTCGAACTCCTGACCTCAGGTGATCTGCCCACCTCAGCTTCCCAAAGTGCTGGGATTATGACATAAGCCGCCACGCCTGGCCTGCACATTTATTTTAATAATGTTGTCATAGCTACAGTCGCTTCTAGAGTTGCTCTTTGGGGATAACTATCTTATATTCTTCTGAATATATTTTAATAGTGACAAAACTTATCTTTGCAGGTGATTTTTAAAATTTGTATGCAGCCAAGTCACTATGAATTATCTTTAGTGAGTAAAGAGGAAGATCGAACTGGTAACACTGTGGGTAAACAACTGAAAAATAATGTTATCTTTCTCTGAACATACTTGCACAAGACAAATTCCAAAAATATTTTGACTACGTTATTTTTGAAAAGGGTTTCCAGTATTTCAATGTGACTACTTTCACTAATGATACTTGCTTACCTAAAGTGCTTGTTAACATGCAGTTTTGGAACTTCATAGGTCTATGCCCATACTGACTTGTACTTGCTTAGTGTTGTTTTACATTCTAGTTCAACATCTATTATGTGATAGACACTGGGGATTAATAGGCTGTGGTCTTTGCCCATGAGGACCTCAAAACTTAGTTGAGAACACAGAAATACAAAGAGTCCTGTGTGAAAAATAAGTATCGGTGTTAAGATAAAGAAGCGGCAGTGGAAGACAGTGGAGGGACTGTCTGTTAGAGGGAGGAATTTATTGTGGTGTCGGCAAAGCCTTCTTTGGACTGAAGGATGAATTATGATTAGAAGTTCATTAAGAGGAGGAGGGAAGGGGACTACAGGAGTCATTCCAAGCCAAAGGAACAAAAGATACAGGGACAGAAACAGCAAGATATGTTTGGGGGAATCTCAAGTAATACTGTTATTGTGTGAAGTTCACAACAGGGGCAGGGAGGACAGGAGATGGGGCCCAATGACGAAAAGGCCTTGTATGTACCATGTTTAGAAGTTTGAATTTTATCCTATAGGAGTCAGGGAGAGGTTCTATGGGTAGGATTTCTCATCCCAACAGGATTGTAAACTCCCACATCCAATTAGTCACACCTCCATTTTTTTTTTCTGTTTCTTTAACATTGTCTCAGATTCATTCCTTCTGAAATCTACCTTATTAGTTCAGGTCTTCTTAAATTTGTGCCTGGACTGTTCACCAACTCTTGACTGGTCCTGGGGCTCCAGTTCACCTCTTGCTCCCAACAATCAATTTTCTACAGAATTATCAGAGCAATCTTCCTTTCCATCAATCTCAACTCTGTTCAAAAACTTTCAATAGTTTTATGTGACCTAAGAGGTAGCTGCCTCCCCACCCTTTCAGCTTGCCATTCAAGGCTGCATAATTTGGTCCCAACCCCCTTTCCGTCCTTGACTCCTCTCACTGCTAACAGAGACAGAACTCATTTACTTACTCTTCTGACTGTACCTTTGCTTTCACGAGGGCTCTTTCCCGGAATGATATGTCCATACAACTATTGTTGTTGTTCTTACTTTTAGCTCTTTTCTTAGAAGCCCACTTGTACCCAGGTTTGATCACACCCCCTACTCTCCTGCCCTGGAAGTAACTACTATTCTGGTTATAGTCTCTTAATATCTATATCTATATATATGCATCCACAGATAATGTGTAGTATTGTCTTGAAAAAAATATACATAAATGGTATACTTTGTCTCCCTCTGCGATTATTTTCACTGTCATTTAGTTTTTAAGATTTATCCCTATTGACATAAATAGCTATAGTCTTTTCAATTACTGTGTTGCATTTCATTTTATAAATATACCATACATTATTCATCCATTCCTCTAAGGGTGGGCATTTATGTTGTTTTCAAGGTTTTGCTATTACAGTGTTACAACGAATATCCTTAGCTTAGCTGGTCTCCTTGTCTTATACAAATTTTACTGACCTTTCAAGATCCTGCTTTCATCCCAGCTCCTCTGGGAAAGCCTTCCCTGAATCCCCCAGCCCACAGCGGCAAAGTCTTGGTACTCAAAGTTGCTTGTGCATCTTTGGTATCATCCCACTGCCAAGCACACAGCTACGCAAAGTAAGGCACTTAAGAAATATTCGCTACACGGATGAACAAATGAATGAATGAATGGGGCAGCACCACTCCGTGATGGCTCTATTCCTTTTTAATGGACTTTGGCGCCTTGGCCCACTTTCCTTCTTTGACAGCACTGGTCCTACTCCAGAGCATTCCTCTAGCTAGCAAAGCAGTGTGTGGATGTGTGGGTGTAGGTGGCGATACAGACCTCACTGGATGAGGACCGCCTCTCCCTGCAAGTTCACGATCCCGGCAAACTCCAGTGCTTGAAGTTCAGAGTCCTACCCCACCCCGCTCACCTCCACGCCCCTTCTGCACTGGTCAAGCCAGCGAGCCGCTGCAGCCCTGATCGAGTTAAGGCGCGGCGGCCCCCGGGGCCGCTGGAGAAGGATGCGGACGGGGCCAGTGACTCGTAGTAGATCCCTCCGCGCGGAGCTCGGGCCGGCGCTTCTTCCTGCGGGAAACCCCTGGGTGCCCAAGGCGGCGGGGCCGAGGCCGCGGCGACAGTGGGGCGGGGCTTGCGGTGGGAGGAGGCGGCTGAGGCGGAAGGACACACGAGGCTGCTTCGCTGCACACCCGAGAAAGTTTCAGCCAAACTTCGGGCGGCGGCTGAGGCGGCGGCCGAGGAGCGGCGGACTCGGGGCGCGGGGAGTCGAGGCATTTGCGCTGGGCTTCGGAGCGTAGCGCCAGGGCCTGAGCCTTTGAAGCAGGAGGAGGGGAGGAGAGAGTGGGGCTCCTCTATCGGGACCCCCTCCCCATGTGGATCTGCCCAGGCGGCCGCGGCGGCGGCGGCGGAGGAGGCGACCGAGAAGATACCCGCCCTGCGCCCCGCTCTGCTGTGGGCGCTGCTGGCGCTCTGGCTGTGCTGCGCGACCCCCGCGCATGGTGAGTATCGGGCTGAGGGGCGCTGTCCGCGGCGCCCGGGGCTGCCACCTGGGGCGACCCTTCTCCCCCTCGGTCCTTCTCTGTGTGGGAAGGCCAGGCTCGGCCGCCGGCGCGGAGCGAGGCCACTCGCTGGGTTCCCGAGAGTTTGGACATCGCCGGGGGCCCCTCCCGTGGTGCCCCGCCAACCGCCGGGGTTCCCCGCCAACCGCCGGGGTTCCCCGCCGCCTCTGCTCCCCGCGGCCCGGGACCCCTCACACGCCTCCTCGGCAGGAGGGAGGCCGGCAGCAAGTCTCAGAAACTCCTTTTTCGTAGTGCCAGGGTGCAGGGAGGTGGGCAGTTTTGCCCTTCAGGTTCCGCGTTTCCTGGGGTCGAGCGAGAGCCGACGGCGGGCCTCGGAGGGGCTGAGCGAAGGAATGCCAGATTCTGGCGTGGAGAGCGGGGGCAGGGCCGCCAAGCCAAACGGCCTGCACCTTCGCAGCCAGCCTCGCCTTTGCCAGGGGGCGGCACATGGGCCGGGTGTGTGGGCTTGGTTTGGATGGGGACGGGGTTTTGCGGCGCGCCTGAGTTTTGACACTCCAACCCCACCGAAAGTCCGGAGGAGCCGGGTGTGCTGCTCGCGTCTTTGAAAGGTGGAGGCAGGAGAAGTAGGGCAACTGGTGTGGCTGCATGCTGAGGCACATGATTTAAAAATCTCAACTGCTGTTATTCTTTCTGAGGCGCGGAGCTCTGCTGCTGTTTCAGGCTGTGTCCAGACCCAGGAATGTGGTGTGACGATCACCAATTCCTCCAACCTGGCAGCAGCATTTGCTGCTCCTTTGGCATGGCTGGGGGTGGGGCACGGGCGGGTGAGAAAAAGTGGATACGTCAATTCAAAGGGCTTCCTTAGAAAGCTTCTTTGTGGTTGGATGTTTCTAACACGGTTGGACCAAGGAAAGGGAATCAAATCATATCTTCCCCATCCCACCCACACTTTTAGATTCTACATTTCTTCAGACCCTTTAGTGGAAATAACTTGGGCTTTGGAGCCCTGCTCTGTAATCCTGGATTCAAATCCAGCTCTGCTATATGAACTCACCAATAAAATGGGAATGAAATTATCCAGCTAATAGGATTAATTAAAATAATGTATATTAAACGGATGACACTCCAAAGGTGTTCAGAAAGTCCTTTGAGGGCCGAGGCTGTGTTTTACTGCTTCTGAGATTGATGCTCCCAGTGGGATGGTGTCTTGTGCATATTTGTTGAACGGAAAGCAGCCCCTTCTTTTTCTGAGCCTAATCTGAATAAAGATTTTTACCTTCACCAAAAAACTAGTACATGAACTACATCTGTTTTCAAAGAAAAGGTTAGGAAGATGATGAGCTTCAGAAAAATATGGTCTTTGTTCATTGTTAACAGTCAGTCGACATGTCAATCGCAGATGTTTAAAAAGAGAACAAGGTTATTTATCACCCGAAAATAGTACTGGGTTGTTCAGCACCAACTAGATACTTCTTGGAAAGTTCAAATTTCGTACACGTCTAGGTCACTAAGAATTTCAGAAGTGGACCAGGAGGCTTTGTAGTGATGAAGCAGAGCTGTTGTTTCTGAAGCATTTAATAAAGAGCATATATGATGGTGTTTTTGCTTTTCCTTTTTCTTTGAGTGAAAGCTTTAAGTGTAGCTTTAGGATAGAGAGGAGTATAATCAATGAGACAGTCTGAGGGTAATAATCCTTGGTCTATCATTAACTTGTTTTGGTAAATAACTTAATCTTCATGATATGTAGTCTCCTCACCTATGAAGCAGGACTAAAGGAATAACCTGCTTTAGAGAATTGTAGGGAATAATAAATATGATTGTAAAGTGATTTGAAAAATTAAGTATTAAATAATATGTCAGAAATGGGATTACTCTGACACATAGGGCTTCTTTTATTATAGGATCTCAGTGCGTAAAACTATGCCCTCCACCTCTGCTCTGCTGAGGTGCTGCGATTATTAGCTAGCTTTTAGGTAGTCAAGTTGAGTGTTAGTCAAGTTGACTCAAAGGATAGGATTTAGATATTTTGATTTTTAGACAGGTGTTCTTTAGATGCTAAACTAATGCAGTAGAAGAGATTTAGAAGCCTGTTTCTTGGTACAAATCTTAAATCTTCTTAGAGTCTACAGTGAAGGCTTCTTGAATCCTCCTAATTTATTATTGTGTTTTGCTAAGGTACCAATTACAGCACACCCTTCTAAACTTTTGAGTGTTCCTGTGTTTGGCTTGTGGCCAATTGTTAATTTAAACATCACGGAGTTTCTAAGGCAAGGAGATGTTAGCAGTATGTCTGATTGTCTAAACAGCTATCCAGGACCATACTCTTGCTCCTTGTTTTCTTTTGCTTTGCAATGGGAAGTGACTCCCTGATTTTGCTGCCTGCTAGATAATTTCTCAGCTGAATTCTTCTCTTGCTTAAACAAAATCGGAGTAATTTTCTTTCAGATGGTGATGAAATTTAACCTAAAACTATTTTTCCTTTCACTTTCTTATTATTCCTTTTTTTTTGGTGTGGTGGAGAGGAGGAGGAGAGTGATTCCTAGTCTCTCTTATTTTTCTGAATGTTTAGATTTAAAAAATATTTACCCATAACTTCTTGGGATCTCTCTGCTCCATTCCCACCCTACTGCCTCTCCTGTAGGCTTCTATGACATAGAGAAGCAACTTTTGGTTCACCTGGATTGTAGTTGCTGACTTCAGGACCTTTAGAGAATGTTTAAATTCAGTGGGATATGCTTGGATGGTTCAGAGCAGCCTTACAATACATTTTAAAAATATCACACCCACAGAAATTCTATTTTGCCCACAAAATTTGCATTGATCTAGTTCCCACTCTGTGTTGCCATTCCTAGTGATCCTCCTCCCTACCTCTCCCATTATGGTAGAAAAAAACTCTGTGTCCTGGCTACATCAAAATCTGTTGGGGTGGATCTTGGACTCAGCACCCAGGGATTCTGATAAGGTAAGTTTGAGAATCCATATTTTTTCAAGGTTTACAGGTGATTCTGACAAGTAACTTGGTTGCAACCCACTGATTAAGTACATTTTTTTTTTACCTTCAGGTGTGTGTATGAGGTCTTTCTAAATTTAAGAAATTTCCATAACAAATGTAACCTTAGTCATTCCAGTGTTTAACACTTCTGACTCAAGAATTTTAAAATTGCTAACGTAAGAGATATAGAATATAATGTCATTTCTTCTGTTTATCTGGGTGCAGTATGTCTGCATTGACCCTTTAGAAGGGCTTCATATATTTAGATGATATAATAAATTCTCTACCTCTCCTTTTCCCTTTTCTTCTGTTATCTCTTTTTCCTTAAATGTCATTCATACATGTTGTTTTTTGACCCTTTATCTATATACGTCTGCAATGATTTTAGAGTAAAAAACTGCAAGGCGTGATTTGAATAAGGATATAAGAAATTTTACATCATTTTCTTTATATTGTGTTCACAGTCCATAGTTACATGCTTCCTTTCTTGATGTCTCAGTTCGAATGCCTAAATTTGAACTATTAATTTTCCTTCCACCCTTTCCTGATTTTCCTGTTTTTGTTTCCCCCCCTTTCTCTGCAAATGACTTGAAACCAAAAGGTCTTCTTTTCTTTCTTTGTCAGTCTACCATATGTGTAGTATTTTGGACAGATCACTGAACTAGGAGCCAGAAGACCAGAATTCTTCTCCAGGTCTGTTATTAATTGGTTTGGTGACCTTGTAGGAGAGCCACTGTTTTGGTCCTCCATTTTCTGATGTTCATTGTTCATGGTCACAGAGCCAATTAGAGTTGAGACTAGAATTCCTTTCTTCTGGTGTCCAGTGCCTCATTCACTGTCCACATTGCTTCCATCTCGTGTACAAATGCGCTTATGTGCACAAAAACTCTTATAACATCCTCAAGTGCTTATTGTTAATGCGTACATGAGGAAGGAATCGTGTATTTTCATTTATGTGTTTATTCTAATGCCCATACCCTACCCCTGTACCTGGCATGATGCCTTGGTATCTAATAGGCACACAATAAATACTTGTTCAGTCGAACAATTATTTTTAGCCACTTTCTTATTTTGGACAACTGTGGTACTCCTAGACATTTTAAAAATAGTATTTGCAGGAGTCATGCTTACCTTACATTTGGGGAAAAACCAAATTTTTCCCTTCCCCAGATGTTTCATTTAAACTTGTAATTTTGAATTTCTTTGTGTGTGGGGTTTCTTTCTTTCTTTTTCTGATCACTTCTGCAATTTATAAAGGTCACTTTGACTTTGGAATCTCACTTCAAAGGCACTGCCATCCACCCCCTGCCTCTCATTCAAGTTTGCTTCCACTGCTTCCTGTATTACTGTATTACTAGGCCAGCAATTTCTGTTATTTTGTCCAGAATAGCCACACCTTATTGTAATTTCATCATTTTGGGGACTAGTCATTTTTGGAATACTATTTTTAAAATTAGAGTTAACTAAGTTTATATTTATTTTGATAATTTTTTTTGAGATTTTTTTCATTGAGTTGGATATTGCAAACTTGTACTGGATTGAGAGAATATGTACATTTAGTAAAGTATATTTGCTTTTTTTTTTTTGAACCAAGAGAGTCCCCTGAACACCCTACTGACAAAAACTAAAGGTGAAATATGATGAATAAATATTTGAGAGAATCACATGGTGTTGAGTTGTCTCTGCCACATGATTTTGATCCTTGAGGGCCAGGTCTGTGCTACACACATTTCTTCTCTGTACTACAGAACTTGTCTGGCATGTGCCCCAAATTCAGAGTCAACTGAGCGGCAGGTCTTAGTCACAGCATCTGTGACTCCTGCTTTCCCACCTTTAGAACATTCTATAGGAGAGGCTGATGGTGAGTTGGAGTGTGTTTCTATGTTCTTTTTTCCTTTGAAGAGATAGGATCAGTTGAAAGCTGACCCCACCCACAGACTTTTTTTGCTATCTCTTTTAATTAATTAAGGAGTGGCTGAAATTTTCCTCTTTGTTGACTTATGCATTGGCGGGAACTTTAAAATTCATCTAGTCTTTCTGTCCATCCCATGCTGGATCTGATGTTTACAACATTCTAGTCAAGAGGTACCATATTTTCTCTCTTCTTGAACATCTCTTGTGGTAGACAGCTCTCCACAGCAGTTTATTCCATCTTTGGCCAGCTCTAATTCTTAGAAAGATCTTCTTATATTCAGCTGTAATCCATCTCCTCATGACTTGTCCTCATTGACATCTACTCAGAAATTTGTCTCAGAGTCCTGAGACCTGTGCAGGTGATAGGGACCCAAAGAGATGCTTGTCTGTAGACTTTACTGAGCTGACACCCAGCTCTCCATAAAAGGAGTCAAACCCAGTGAGGAGCATGTCTGGGGTGATTGCTCAGGTAAAGCATCTTAGCCCTACTTGTTTCATACCTCCCTGCACAGGTGGGCACTGGTGGGAGAATAACATTTATCAAGCAGTGTTTCCCTAACCTCTCTTATGATAAGAATAGCTCAGGTGTTCTCATGGAGATTCTGATTCAGTGCATCTGGAATGTCATCTGGGAATTTGTGTGTTCAAGAAATAGCCAGGTGATTCTTACATTAGGAAAGTTTTAGAATCACTGCAGAGTGAATCTGGGAAATCAAAGTGTTTGTTTTTGTTTGTTTGTTTTTTGAGAGTATTAGAGACAGGTTGCTTTGGCTAGATCCTGTGGTCATTTTTCCCCCTTGGAAATGCCTCCTACTTGCTGGCCTCACTTAGTACAGAGAAGAAAGCTGCTATGGTATAAGGTTAGTAAAGTTGTTTGTTTTGTCTTAAAAGAAATTTGCGAAATCCAGCATTTTCGGACTTCTGTTTGTGTTGTATGACTTTGTTGTAAGCCTCCTTATTCCTCCATTAGAATGTTACCTGAGATGTTAGAATGCATAGGAGTTCCACAGCCTTTTTGGTGTCCACTAAAGAATTCTGTCCTCAGCCGTTGCAAATGGTGCTTCCTTTGAGGATTTCTGCTTCATTAGCTCATGAACACATATTTGGTGTCGGCAGTTTCCCTCAGATGTGTTAGTGTGGAGAGATATAAAGGTCACTCATTTCTGGTGGTCCTGCTTTTGGGGTTTCTGGGCTGCTGCAGCAAATGAAATAAGGAAAGGAAAATAAAGGAGGAATCTAGGGCTTCTTGAGCAGAACAAAACAATCTGCAAGAAGGGGCACAGGATTGCTCCTCTCACAAAGACACTTGATAATACTGTCCTTGATAGGAAGAAGGAAGTGGCTTCAGATCTGAAAGGATATGCTCATAGGCTTGAGACGGGACAAACTGCATCACTGGTAGTGGTAGGAGGTTTGCCGTAGATCTGTTTTTTCTCCTGTCTCTCTTTTTTGAGGAGAATATTATCTGTATGGCAGAACATACATTGTGGTCTTAAAAAGGAGAGTAAAGCCAAGAAAGGGGGATGATAAAGCCATAGCTTGGAATAAGAAAAGCAAAGGAATTATTGTATTAATTTGTGTATGTAAATACATAGGTTTCCATGTAATTCACTGGTAGGATCACTAGCCCTTGGCACTAACATTTGCTATCTTTGTAGCTCTGCTGTCTTAGTGGTGTATTGGGGGAGCATTGTGGTGTGTTGTCACACTTAATTTGTGTGCTTCCCTTGGCATCATGTGGTAGCAAGTACAGGGTATTCTACTCTTCTAGATGTGTGGGAATCATTGACCAAGTAGAAAATATGGTCCTGCTCCCAAGGAGCTGACATCATCATGGAGACAAGACAGATAAGCACACAATTAGGAATATGAAATACAGTTATTTTATCATTTATCTATGCTCTCTGAAAGCAGTTTCCTGCAGTCAGGGTGACTCAGAGCTATAGGGTCTTGGGAGTAAACTTCAGGTCTTAATACCACCAGGGAAAGGCGACCTCCAGCTCACCCTTGCTGGGCTTGTCTGCTGTCGTGAGCTGTCTGCCATTTTCCTCTTTCTGTGTTGTAATTTAGAAGTATTAGAACTTGGCTTGGGGAAAAGACAAAAACCCCTTTGTCTGGTGAGGGTGTAAATATAAATTTGGCACATGTTGTGGTGTCTATTATGTCTGTTAGTGGGTTTGCGGCAAGAGAGAGTGCTGTGTTCTTAGTCCCGAATGCCAAGCCTGAACTAGGACAAGTTATGGTGGAAATATCTTCCTTGGAAGATGCAGTTCTCAGTGGCAGTGGCTGAAGGAACTTCTCGTCACAGCCAGGCAGTGACTGAAGTGTGGTGTGGACACACCCAGAGTTGCTGCCTCAGGTGGCATTGATTAATCATACTAATATCTCCCTCACCCTTTTGTACTTGTCTTGGCAAAACCCTGTTCTACTAGCTCCCCAATAGTTTGGCCTTTACTAGGTATGATTGAACAAGCTCTTGGGGGTTCACCTTAGTGTCCCTTGCCCCTCTCGCATTTCCAGCCAGCTACGTCGCTCCAGCCATGGTACCCCGGGTCCTCTGGCCAGGCAGTGAGGGGCTGGGTTTTTCTTCCCATTGGACTGAAGCACCTTTCCCTGGAGGCTTGCCTAGGGCAGTTTCTGGTCTCTGAGTCAGTTCCTTCTGCAGGATACTGGCAGCTGGCAGAACTCTGGGTTATTTGAATACATCAGCCAAACATCTTGCCAAGATGGACTCATTGTTGCATAACGACAGGTTGGATCTATGGGTGTTGCAGAACCTGTTTCTGGGTTAAGAGTAACTCTCTCACCTTTATTATATATGTTTATTCATATGATGAATGTATGTGTGTATTTTGTGAAGTAAGGAAAACATGATGATAATATTGTGGTTGGAGTTAGATACCTTATCCTAAATATGTTGTCTTTTTAACAAATAGCATTCCTTTAAAATACAGTTGTGCTTGATGAATAAGGTGTTGTACAAGAAGCTGTGGTTACATTCTAAAATAAACTGCCTTGTTCTGAGGCAGGCACGTTTTAAAATTGTTGTTTGCTTCTTTTTCATCTCTTTTTATTTTCATCTTTTTTTGTGTGAGAAGATTCTGGAAGTTTTTAAGCCTCAAATATTTTCAATAATCTATTTTAACGGGTACCTAGCAGGGAGAGGTTGTTCTATTGGTATACCTAACCAACATTCAAATAAGAATAATTGAATACTGTTTACTCACTAATCTATTCTGTTGAGTTTCTAAGTATGAATAATCACAAAACTAGATAGTGCTGATATATTAACTTCTCTAAATGGTAAATGTGGTAAGTAGCAAAGACATTTTTGTTTAATTCTCTCCTTACACATGCTTTGGTTCAGACGCTGTCAAGACACATTGAAGTTTGAGGACATGTGTATTTCGATTATTTTATTATATTTTTATTTGCTGTGAATATGGGTTTATTTATTTGCTAGATCTTCTTTAGTTAGAAACATTAAGGGCATTTACTTTATTACAACATTTAAAGTGCATTCTAATCTTCATGAGGAATTTTAGGTAAAAGACCGTATCCTGAGATTCATGCAAGTCTTTGGCATTATGTTACTATTTAAAGTAAGTAATATGTAGTGGCTTCTCTGACATATTCTTTCTAAGAGAGTTAAGGAAAATAGTTGTAACTAAAAGCAAACATTGAAACAGTTTAAGGTAGGTTTACGTAGCAACAGAATTATTCGTTATGTTTACAGATAATTAACTCATATTTATACTTTGCTGATTTTCTCTGGCACCTTTACAAGATTTTTTTATTTTTGTAATATAAAAAGTAATTATGTTTGAAAAAGTAGTTAAGGATGTTTGAAGAATCTAGAAAAGCATAAATAAAATGTCCACAATCATGCTGCCATTAATTTTTTGGTATACGTCTTTGGTTTTTTTACCCTTAGATTTAGAAAAGCTGTTGATTTATTTATATATATATATATATTTTTTTTTTTTAGTTTATGAACAGATCTACATATATATATATGCACACACACATAATATACTATTGTCAACACTAGGTTTTATTTTTAAAAATCTTTACCATTTGATAAGTGGTAAATATTACTTAATCTTAATATGCCTCTCTCATTACAGTGATATTGAATGTTTTTTCATATCATCAGTGGCGTTTGTATTGCCTTTTTTCCTACTTCTTTTGTAAATTGTGTCTTTTACTCATTTAATTATTTTCTTACTGGTTTGAAAAAGCTCTTTAAATATTAAGGGTGTTAGTCTTTTGTCTTAAATATGTCACAATATGTATGGAAATAATTAGCAGTATATAACATAACATCAAATTGCTACCAATGTTGATATAAAAATTGTTCATTTCATAGGTTAATTTTTTTTAATCCTTTGGTTTCTAATGATATTGGTTAATTCATTTGTTAACTGCTATTTTCTGTAGCTACTTGAAAGTTCTTATCTGACTGTATCGTAAATCAGCATGCTTTCAGCTGTATATGTCTAGGAAATTGACATTTACTTTAATACTTAATAAAAAAATATGTTGGAGAAAAGCAGTGTATTCTGGAGTCAAATACATGATTTTGGGTGGGTGACGTAATCGGCTACTGTCCTCCTTTTCTAGATAGCCAAGATTTTTGAAGCATTTAACATCCCTGAAAGGCAGGACTAATGCTATGTCTACCATGCACTGCTAATTCTGACACTTTGACCTAATGGATAAATGCCAGTACAGTGGGTCTAGCCAGTTAGCTTGGTCAGAGAACAAGATGACTAAGATTCTCTCCCCCTTTCCTCACCAAATTGATTAGTTGTAGGACAGAACTGACTGAAGCAACCTGTTGTTTTGGCAACCCATGGACACCACCTGTTTCTTCCATTCCTCCGTCCAGCCTCTCACTGCCCTAGTGCAGTGCTGTGTGCATAGTGGGTAGGAGATCAATGTTGTTGCTAAAGAAAGTAGCAATAAAGAAGAGTAGATTGCTTTTTTTCCAAGCTTTTGTGTTTTTAAGGCACCCCGCTGGTTTTGACATTCGTTGCTCCAGCTGAACTGCTCTATGCTGAAGCCCTGCAGGTCTCAAGTGTTTGGTTCAGAGTAATTTCAGGCCATATGAATGCTTTCTTAAGTATCATTGGAATTTACTGGGCTGGCTGTCTGCCAGCTATTACCATATTTAGCATGAAGAGACCTGGGGAATGAGGACATTTCTGATCAACCAAGGAAGGAAACCTATTTGAAGGATTACAATATTTTCTTTTTTTTTTTTTAATGGTGTAGTTCAGAAAACGCCAGTTAGACTGAGACTCAGATTTATGTCCACTGGTCTTTGTTTCTGTGCCCCATCCCAAAATTAATTTATGAATAGGAAAAGAGATTTGATAGTGAAGTTCTTTCTCACTCTGAAGTCTAATACTGTTTCTGGGAGGAAGTAAGAGAATTATTATGCCCACACTGTGCACTGAGAGGCTTAACCAGCAGGTGAAGCTGTTGATTAAAAACATAGGTTGATGAGTATTCTCATTTTTCTCCTTTGAAGCTTTCAGAAATTTTCTGCTTTGTCCTGGTCTAAATTTATTTTGGCCCAGCCCTTGTCTCCACCCTACATTTCAAACCAGTAGCCTTCCCTCTATGGCTCAACATTTCTCTGCCTCAGTTTTTTCCATTTTAAAGATGAAGATATTGTTTGGAAGGACCAGTAAATACAATTAATATAAAAATTGCTTCTGTAGAATCAAACAACCTCCAACATTTCTGTTGGAAATTTATAGTTTATAGAGTATTCTTACACAATGATCTCCTTTAATCCTCACAAACTTGGTGGAAATGGAGCCTCACAGGGGCTAGGTGACTTGTATACATTGTTTACCCCTACATAATAAGTGACAGAGCTGGTACTTAAACTTGTGGCTTGATTTTTCTTTTTTTTTTTGAGTTGGAGTTTTGCTCTTGTTGCCCAGGCTGGAGTGCAATGGCGCAATCTCGGCTCACCGCAACCTCCACCTCCCGGGTTCAAGTGATTCTCCTGCCTCAGCCTCCCGAGTAGCTGGAATTACAGGCATGCACCACAACGCCTGGCTAATTTTTTGTAGTTTTAGTAGAGACGGGGTTTCTCTATGTTGGGCAGGCTGGTCTCGTACTCCTGACCTCAGGTGATCCGCCCGCCTCAGCCTCCCAAAGTGCTGGGATTACAGGTGAGCCACCGTGCCTGGTCCTTGCAGCTTGATTTTTTAAACATCAGATTTTTTTTTCTTTTTTGATTTTTATTATTATGTGTCTGTCATTCTGCTAGGGGCTTTGCAAATATTGCTTTATTTAATTCATATGGCTATCCTTTGGAGTAGACAATATTTTTCTACATTATAGGTAAGGAATTTGGAACTTAGGTTCACAGCTTTGGATGTTGGCCTATGGTTAGTGAGGGGTGTAGCCAGGATTCAAACCCCTGTCTGGCTCTAGGGCCGCTGCAATAAATCATGGTGTTTTATGTACATTCATACACTTAACACTTTGCAACAACCCTAAGAGACAGGGGTAGGTATTTAGGGAAACTGGGGCTTCTAACTTGCACAGGATAATGCAATTAGTAAGTGGCTTAGTCGAGATTCAGAGCTAGATCTGTCTCCATAACCCTCACTCATTCCAGGATACTGCAGATGCCTATTTTTATGATATGTATAAGTAAAAATTAATTTAAAAAACTACCTTCTTTGAAGGGTCAGCCAGTTAGAACTCTTTTGTATCTTCTGAATAAGTAAGAAGTGGATGGACATTAGCTGACCGATACATTGATGGCTTTTAACCTTCTATCAGTTGATTTCCATTACCAGGACAAGCAAATATAATTTGGAGGGAAAAGAGGGGAGTTTCCATTAAGGATGAATCTTTAAGCCGAAAAGGGCCACAGTGATGAACTCTTCAGAGGACTGCTCTCAGGAGCAATGGCCCTTCTCCTCTGGGCTCTGCTTGGGGCATTCCTGTTTGTATTTATGGAGACATCTTTTTGAAAGGCAGATGCCAGCTTTGGTGGGGAGAAGGTTGGAAAACATACAAGCCTTGCTCTAAATTTACTAGCCCCGTGTCTTTGGGCTAGTTTCTGAAGCATGGTGTGCCTCAATTTTATTATTTTAAAAATAAAGATAGTAGCAGTATATTTTGGAGTTGTTATGAAGATAATATCAGTTAATAAATGTTAGATTCATTGGACAGTACCAGGCACATAGTTAAAGTGCAGTAAATAGTAGTTATTGTTGGTATTGGTGTTATTTTATGTTGCAGTACAGACTGGCTTCTTGGTGCATTCACTTTTCTTTAATCAAAAGTGGATGAGTGATTGGGAACCTTCATGAGGAAATAGGAACATCATCTTTGCAGCCTGTGGATTGTTCACTGGTTTCCTGTGATCTAATAATTATTTAAGGGTTTCATATTTGAGTCTTTTCCCTTAATGAGGTACACTTTCAGTTTGGGGAGATTTTATCTATAGGCATACCTTATTTTATTTTGTGTTCCCTTTTATTGTGCTTCACAGATTTTGTTTTATTTTTTACAAATTGAAAGTTTGTGGCAACCCTATGTCGAGCAAATGTATCAGCACCATTTTTTCCAATAGCATATACTCACTATATGTCCCTGTGTCAGTATTTTTTAGCAATAAAGTATTTTTAAACTCAGGTATATGCATTATGCTTTAGACATAATGCTGTTGCATGCTTAATGGACTAGAGTATACTGTAAACATAACTTTTGTATGCACTGGGGAACCAAAAAATTTCTGACTTGCTTCATTGTACTGTTTGCTTTATTGAGGTGAGCTGGAGCTGAAGCCACAATATCACAAAGGTATGCTTGTATTATGCAAGTTGCATTGATAGGTGTTAAATCATTTTCCCAATTTTTATTAACCACACATTTGTGATTGGATGTTATGTTTAGTAAAGATATTGTGATTTTCTGAGGTACAGCTTTGAGAACAGTATCAGGTCTAACACTCTTGTTTCCAAATTTCCTATGATATGACAAACATAATCACATGCCATCCAGTGTCACCATGCAGAGTACTAATGTGAAGCCAAAATACTTGGTGTTTTAATTAGCCTTAAAGCAGTTAATGAACTATCTCTGTTAGACATTTTGAAATAATAAAAATATCCCATTGTCTTTTATTACAACCTCAGGGGCTCCTGGAGATTTTGGGATCTTGTGTGGGGAACCACCCATCTAATCCATCCTTGTTTTAAAGAGAGAAAACCAAAGAAGCAAAGTGACTGGCCCAAGTACCTAGAGCTGGGTCAGGGTTGGGGCCAGAATCCAATCTCTTGACTTTTAGTCAAGTGATTTTTCCACTATGCTCAGTACTCAAATTATGTATCAATATGTCGGCCCTTGTTTTTTGAGGTCTGAAAAGGGTTAGTGCCAGTCAACAACAGTAGAGGAGTAGAAAGGGTGTTGGGATGGGAGAGGTGTGGCTATATTTAAAATTTCAATGACAGCAGTGAAAATAATTTGCCTGTGAACCTCTGCCTGTCCCTTTGGACTTCTTTGTAGTAGTTGAGACAGCCCGGCAGGTCTGGTGTCATTAGTGATTCAGAATTGGATTAACCTGGACTGGTGGAGTTACTTTCTCAGAAAAGGGCTTTATATTTTAACATTTGTTTCCCTTGACAGTTTGCTTCTTCTCAAGTTTTGGCAGCCTTGAACAAGTGGTTGTCAGGTTTTTATTTTGTTTTGTTTTAAGAAAAAATTCCAAATTTTATTTTGCCGATTTAGTAAGTTATCCTCTACCTGCCACTCCCTTCTGCTCCCTCTATAATTATTTCTAAGACTTTATTTTTCCATTGTGGGAACATTATGGAAGGTTTTCTTTTACAGTCTGAGATATTTATAATTATGTGTAAGCACACAGTTTATAGAATATGTAAATGGTCCATATGTTAACTTAAATACCCTTAAAATATTTTCCAATAATTTAAATCTTTCCATAAAAGTAGCTGAAGCTGCTTATAATAAAAGAGAAGTATACACGAAGGATAGCAGAATTTGGATGTAGTTAATATAGATAAATATGAATGTCACTTTGGAGGAACTGGAAGTATTTGCATGAATACTGATCAAGTCATGCCTCCTTGTTAATAGAGTGAACAAAACAGATGAATGTTTCTGTTTTCATGAAGTTTATGTGACTATCAGTAGCTTCCATATTCTGAGGGTTTATTATGTGACAGATGCTTGGGGACAAAATACTTTACTTGTTTCCTTTAGTCCTTAAAATAGATGTTAGGATTCTTGTTTACAGAAAAGTTAAGGAATGTTCATCCAGATCACCTAGCCAGTCAGTGGTAAAGAACAGTCACTGGAACCCCTCTTTCCTGATCCAAAGCCAACATACTTAACCATAATAAATAATGCCATTGTCTGGTGGAATCCTGTAGTCCCTTAGATAGTGTAATTTTGTATTTAATGTAAACATTTTGTGCACTAAACTGACTTACATTTTACTTTTTAAAACAATATTTTAATTCTGAATGAACATTTGCATAATAGGAGAATGATCTAAATTGCAAACTTCCATTTTGAAGAGTTGTAGTTCTTTTAAATCTTTTTGTAACTGGGAAGAAGAATGGAATTATGTTTGTTGTAATCCAAGGAAAGTTGGTTAGCATTCTTTCCTGTTACTTTTTGATCCCAAAAGAAATTCTTTAGTAGATTAAGACCAGGAATGAATGTGTGGATTTTTTTAAATAAAAAATTGAGAGAGATTGCAACTAGCAATTCAGAGCCAGATTTATGTTCAGAAATGTTTGATGCCAGCCGTTTTAGTTACAAATAGCTTTTTCTTGACTGTACAGTTGTGTTCTTATGGTACCATTCTGAAAGTGATGTAAGAGACCATGTAAAATGATTGGAATGCCTCAGCATCTGAACAATGCACATAGCCAATTATTAAAATTACCCAGTACTAACCTGTCTTGGCTTAGGAACTATGAAATTAACTGTGGGTAGCATTTCTACACATATCATTACAGAACAAGCATAAAGACAAGCTTGTTTTTTTCCTTTTCTGTGGATTTGTTTTTTCTTATTACCATATCTTTTGTTACTGAAAACTGGTGGTCATCTGTACTAATAGATAAGAGAAGTGTGTTTGACACCAATACCTAATCTTAGATTATCCCTGCTATTTTAAAACACAGTCCTTCGCCTGCATGCTCAGACATGTGGGTTCTTTCAAACATACTGGACTTCCTCCTTAGGTTTTAGTTGTGTTAGTCAATAGTTGAATGTTGAAGGAGAGGATGCCAAGGGATATTAAAGAAGGTAAAAGAGATAAGTGACAGCAAACATTATTTATTTTTAATTATCTCTCAGAATGACTTTTAGATACCCTTCCCTACTACCTTTTGATTTTTGCTTTAGCATAGCTGGTGAGTTTTGGAATCAGAGAGACTGGGCTCTGATTTGTACTAGCTAAGAATATTAGACAAGCCACTTAACTTCTTTAAGTCTCAGTACCCGTATTTATATAATGGGAATAATAGTAATATCTAACTTGCAGGATTGTTTGTAAAGATTGAAAGCAACATATTTAATTGTGCTTGCGTGGTTCTGGGCACAGAATAGGCACCCGAGTGTAGGGGCCCCTGAACTTTAAAGTTCATTACTTTCATGGTAATTCCTCCTTTGGAATATATAGCCTGGGAACATTTGTCTCTAGACCTTGTTTCAGTTTCTTTTAATGACTCCCTTTAGGCTCTGCTTCATGGCCAATGCAAGATTATGGATCACCTAAAGAGTAGACTAAAAGTACTATTGTCTAGTAACTTCAAGTTTGTAGGTTAACTCACTGTGAATCAAAAGCTTTTAAAAATCTTTTGTGTGGTCATAGTTTGTAGTGTCTTGTACCTCTCATCTCAGAAGCAATTGATTCATAGAAAAAATTATTTAGGATTTCAGATTAAAGATGAAGAACTCTTTCAATAAGAAGGAACTGATTTGGTTGGATTATTTGTTTCTTTCACCCCTGAGTTTTCATGGAAATCAGGTTTAAAAGGTTAGAAGCAGTTGGTTTTCAGCATTGGGAAAGCTTATCTGATCAGGCATGCGAAGTGGCCTATGTCGGATTTCTGAGCTAGGAAAGGCTAGGGGAGGTTGAGGAGATTATTGTACTTGTAATTCCTGAGCATGGTTGAGACACAAGGAGAGGATTGTGGAAATTGTTTTTAAAAAATTGTTGAAGTTAATGCATTCTTGGGTGGATTTGCAAAACAGAACAAAACAAAAAGTTGTTGAAGTTAGTTACACTGGTCTAACAACGTATACTTACCACCCCCATTTGGGCTGGAGGAATGGATCTAATAATAATATAGGTGTTTGTGATCTAATTTGAATCATGTAATCATTTATCATTTCTGGGTTAGATGGTAAGGATTTTCTGTTTCACAGATTTTTAGACTGGGAATTGTGCTATTATAAAATAATATTTTACATTAAATAATGCTATCTAGGTTGTAATCACCTTAATAGACATGATTTATTTGGGCCACAAATGAACTCTGGTAAGAATGGAGGGCTGGTTACATTATTTTAGTTTTACAGATGAAAATAATCAGTCTCAAATAGCTTAAGGGAATTCCTTTAGACCATATGGTTAGTATATGGAAAAGCCAGAGCTAGAACCCAGGTTCTGATTTCCAGAGCAGTTCTTATTTCATGATACCGCATAATTTTATAATGTCCCTAAATCCGAATTTCATTTCTCATGATGTGAAAGGATTCTCTTTATTTCTGTTTGGTTAGCTGCATCAGAGCATGACAGAAATGGAGCAGAATTTGAGTATTCTTTCCCCAGATGGGTCAGTTAGCTTTTCTTAAAGCTATTCTGTGCTTACATTGTTAATCAGTTGTCCCTGGTTCCTAGACAGGATGTTGATACATGTGAAATAGGCAGGAATATGTGTCTGACTCAGCTTAACTCATCACAACTTTCATATGTCCTGCTAGTGGGTCTATAACGTCACCCTCGTTTACAGGCGTTTTTAATTTTCTGATGTCTATTTCTTAGTATTTTTCCTCAGCCATTTTTAATGTCTCAAGCCATAGTTCTTCCTGAGTGGCCTGAAGTGATTTTGCTGCTCTTTAAAGCTTCCTTAAGGTTTTTCAAGAGCGTACAACATAGGCTGCTTCTAAGTGTATTTTTATTTCCTAGCTCTTAGCATTTCTCACCTTATCATTATAACTTTAAATTTAAACAGAATACAAATTGTGTACACAGATGGTGTGTCACTATTGCACTGTCACTTATGTAAGTGCAGTTTAGCATTTCTTCTTTCCTTTTAATCAAAATGAGGAAATAGAAAATGTTTTGTTATGGTAGTTTTACACATACACCCACAAGGAAATGTGTATCTAGAGTCTGTGGGAACTGTGACTGATACATTTCAGGGAATAAAATGTATGATGGCTAAAATTTTAACTCTGCCAAATGTTCACGGGGAAAGAAAAATTAACAAACTCACATTTTACACTTTATTTTAGCCTAGTCTCTGCCTTGTTTACATCTATATGATAATGAAGCTATACTTGTCTTTCCACAACAGTGTATTTTATAAGTTGTACCTTTTGTTTAAGGGAGCCTTCTTAACAAACTTTCTTTCAGTTGTCCAGTGTACAGAAGCTTACTGGAAGGAGTGGCCAACTAGTTAAAGGTTTGACACCTCAATATCAACAAAATGCCAAGTGGATCATTTTGACTCTCACAGCAATCCAACTGGACATTTGACCATGCCCCGTGGTCAGTGGAGAGCTTCTTCTCTGAAGGCCACTTTTATCTAGCACATCAAGGCTATACACCTCTTTCACTAAGAAGAATTTGACACTTTTATGTTGTGAGAGCTGAGATTCACCATTCTCCACCATCCTGAGAAGAGCTTTGATAGAAGGGCTACTCGTGAGGTACATAGATTATCTAAAATACATACAATTTTTTCATAGAAAATTATATATGTATTATAATTTTTATTCAAGACAGGTTGAAATTAATAGATTTCTTACATTCACTGCATTAAAGGAATATTTATGGCTTTGGTAATATTTTAAATTTCAAATTAAAAAATTTGAATATCTGAATTAAGTATCTCTGATTTAACTCTGTGTGTGTGTGCGTGTGTGTGTGTGTGTGTGTGTTGGGAGGAGGAATAGACCTTGGAATTGTTTTTTCAAAACTTTTTTTATAATAGTGCCTAATCTCAGTTGGCAAGGAATAGCTGTCCAGAATGCTGCATAGATCTAGTGAAAAGATTTAGGGAAGTTGTAACTAGTTTAATAACCATCTGTGGAGTGACATAGATTGACACACCCAATTACACAAGACCTGAGTCTGAGAACTGTTGATGTGCAATCATCCCATCAGCATCTGCTCGTCATTATCAACAACAATAATGGCTCAACTATTTCTTTGAGGCCACATGAAAAGACAGTGTACCCATAGCAAAGGATAAGTCAGACCTGAAAAAAACATAGCCCTCTGCATCCCCTTGTTCCCAAACTTCTTTTTAAACATAACCTTTTGTGAAGTTCTGAAAGAATTCATTTTATGTTTTCTTTTTATTAATTTTTCTTCTTAAATACCATGTCTTTCTGGCTGAAATCCTTGCCAAAACCAGGAAGGGCCAGTGTACTGTGGGTGATTTTTCTAATTCATTTCTTTGTCATTTGAAGCCTTCTGTGGCTTCATGCTGCTTTATGTGTGTGTAAATATTCAGTATCTTTTCTAGTTTACACTTTTGTCACAACTGCTATTAAGCCACCTATGGACACATTCTAATATAAATTATTTTGGCCACTGTGAGTGGGAGGGAAAGAATCAGTTCACAGGGATAAATTTGCATGTTGAGAAGATAATATATAATAGTTTGCAAAACACTTCTATGTACATTGTATCTTTTATAGAGACAAGGCCATGTTTTTATTTGTGGAGACTGAGACAGAGACCCCATGAGATCTAATGCAGAGTCACATGACTCCAAAGCCAGGTCTTCTATCTGCTCTTTGGTATATAACTGGATCATTATTCTATTGACAGAAATAAGGAATCTTCTTATTTTTCAAAGGCACCCTTTTGCCCTTGGAAGGTATATTTAGAAATCCTTTACCAGACTAGAAAGAAGACAGTTATATTTTCCTGCCTTTTGATAAAAAACAGTGTGTTTTTTCTAAATCTTGTTGTGTTTGACTAGAGTCTGATTAAGGTACCTTTTGGGAAATTAAGGTTCTATAGAAATTACTGGGCTCAATCTAGTGATACAAATATGTGTTGTTTGATTTATCAACACATTACAAACCTTAACTTTGGAGTTTTAATATCTGGTTATCTTTAATATCTGGTTATCTTCTTTCTGAAGTGTATGTACACAAAATTGATGCTAAATAAGGTCTTGTTGTTTTGGCAAATAGTGAAATGCAAGGTATTGGTAGATCAGTACTGTTATAACTTTGGTGCAAAGTTGCTGCATGCAGATTGGCTGTGGGACCTTGTTCATTTTTTGAGAACTAATGTAGAGTTTGAAAAAACACCGTAAGCCTGCATTCCAGAAGTTCTGGTATGGATAGTGTGAGCCCAGGGAATGTGCTTAGATAAAAGATCATTTAACAAATAGGTTTTGCATTTTTTTAGCAATCAGGCTTTGTGCTGAATATTAGAGTGGTTGTTTCAGAGAGTTTGCAGCAATTAGGCTTTATTGGTGCACTAAGGAGAAGCAGAGAGGAGAAGCAATTCTTGGTAACTTCCTTGGAAGTTGCAGCTAACTCTGAAAAGTCTGGGTTGAACTAGGTAAGTAACTAATTCCTAGAATCAATAAACTTTGCAGGAGTCCGTTTGATTGTACATGTAGCTCCCTGGAATTGCTATTGGTCCCTAAATCATCAGTTTGTAATGCTGGTTTTCAAACTTGAGTGCACATCAAGTTTTGGAGGACTTGTTAGAATACAGATTGCTGGGCTCACCCCCAGAGTTTCTGATCTGGTAGGTCTGGAGCGGGACCTGGTAGATTGCATTTCTAAAAAGCGTCCAGGTAATACTGCTGCTGTTTGGGAAAGTACACTTTGAGAGTCACTGGCTTACAGCAATCTCAAGGTGTTTGGATTTTTGGGCAGGGGTGCTGTGCAGGCGTTGCTGGGATCTCTTCACAGCACCTCCACTGCATAGAGGTGAGCCTCCAGATGTTTTCATTCATTCAACAAATATATGTACCTATTGTGTGCTGGGCACTGCTTAAGTTGCGAGGGGATATTGTGAAGAAAGTAAGCAAAACCCCTTTGTTTGTAGAATTTCAGTGAGCATAGTCCTGGGTTAACCTGACAACAGTCCTACTGTTTATTGATGCTTATAGGTGAGCCTATTTCTCTTTCTAGCTTTCTTCCACTTAATTTATTTTCTTTTGGAATTCTTGAATTTAATAATAATAATATTGATGTTATTAGTCATCACTATAACTTTTTATTGAGTATGTATTTTATGTCAGACACAGTGTGGCTAAGTGCTTTACATACATTATCTCATCTAATCCTTAGAAAAAACCCTGGTGTATTAGTCTTAATTTAAAAGATGTACTTTGGAAAGGTTAGTAGTTTAGCCAAGATTATGCAGCTAGTTAAAAGTGGTGCTGGGGCTGGGCTTGGTGGCTCACACCTGTAATCGCAGTGCTTTGGGAGTCTGAGGCAGGAGGATCGCTTGACACCAGGAGTTTGAGACTAACCTGGGAAACATAGCAAGACCCCATCTTTACAAAAAATAAAAAAATTAGCCAGGAGTGGGGGTGCACACCTGTGGTCCCAGCTACTTGGGAGGCTGAGGCAGGAGGATTGCTTGAGCCCCAGAGGTTGAGGCTGCAGTGAGCCATGATTATGCCACTGCACATCTGTCTGGGTGACAGAGCAAGATCCTGTCTCCAAAAAAAAAAAAAAAAAAAAAAAGAAAGTGGTATTGGGCCTGTCTAATTGCAAAGCCACATTCTTTACTGCATGCTTTAGTCCATTGTTTTTTAAACTGCAGATCATGACCACGAATGGGTCATGAAACCAATTTGGTAGGTCTCCAACAGCACTTTGGGGGAAAAAGGGGTAGAATAGAGAGTATCACATAGTATGGACAAGCATTGTTTCTTGAAATTTTTGTTTTTGCTATGCACGTATATATGTGAATATTGAGGTCTGGTACAAGATATATTTCTCACTGTAGGTCACAGTAAAACATGTTGGTAAGCTACTATTTTCTTGGCTATGGGACTATATGTCATCTAATCACTTTTTAAAAACAGATTACAAACTGTAGGCCTTAGAAAGGTAAGTAATTTTTCAGCTGGGCATGGTGGCTCATGCCTGTAATCCCAGAACTTTGGGAGGCCAAGGCAGGCGGATCACGAGATCAGGAGTTCAAGACCATCCTGGCCAATGTGGCAAAACCCCGTCTCTACTGAAAAAAATGCAAAAATTAGCTGGACATGGTGGCGTGCACCTGTAATCCCAGCTACTCAGGAGGCTGAGGCAGGAGAATCGCTTGAACCTGGGAGGAGGAGGCTGCCATGAGCTGAGATCACGCCATTGCACTCCAACCTGGGCAATAGAGAGAGACTGCATCTCAAAAAAAAAAAAAAAAACACCAAGGTAAAGTAATTTTTCAAGAGCACAAAAATAGTCAGTGGCAGTACAAAGACAAGATGACTGACTTTTTTTTTTTTTTTTGAGACAGGGCCTCACTCTGTCACCCAGACTGGAGGGCAGTGGTGCGATGTTGGCTTACCACAACCTCCACCTCCCAGGCTCAAGCGATTCTCCTGCCTTAGCCTCCCGAGTAGCCGGGATTACTGGGGTGTGCCACTACCACCCGGCTAATTTTTTTGTATTTTTAGTAGAGACGTGGTTTCACCATGTTGGCCAGGCTGGTTTTGAACTGCTGACCTCAAATGATCCACCTGCCTCAGCCTCCCAGAGTGCTGGGATTACAGGTGTTAGCCACTGTGCCAGGCCAGATGTCTGACTTTTTAGCCCTTGGTCCATTGCTTTATTCTTCACACCATACCACTTCCTTAGAAGTGCACCTGGGAATGCCTGGGAATTGAATTTTATCTTTCCACATGATGGCAGATATGCTATGGAACCTTCAGGGATGTCGGTGAAACCTGAAAAGGGAAGTTGAATCTCAGCCTGCTCTGAGTAGGTGAAAATTCTGCCTTGGATCCCCCAAAGTCTGCAGATAAAGATGTGACATTTCTCGTGTTCTGCTGTGCTTGAAGGAAAGAGGGTAATAATCTTAACAGTGCCAAGCTGTAAGCATGTTGCATATATTAACTTGTTTAATTACTAATTATTTTGATACAGCGGCCATGCCTGGGATATGAACTCAGCTGTTTTGAGTGAGAAGGGGCATCCTACCAGTGTGAGTTAACACTTCTCTGTACTCTCCCCGGTTCCTCATTTTGTTCCTGCTGAGTTCAGAGCTATGTTCCTCATAGCCTGGCTTACCTGTGGATGTTCTCAGCCTCATTTTCTTTTGCTAGATCATATATCTTCATTAGGTGGGTGATTTTGGTTTCTGTTACTTTTTCCTTAATATTAGTATATTGCTGATTTGGATCAGGGGCCAGGCTGTAGATTTTCAGCATGGTGAGGTGATAATACATGTTGGTCCCCCATGCAGAATGCTGCCTCTAGCACTTTAGCCAAAGGAGCTCTACAGTCTGTCCAGAAGTACTGGGGGACACTGGTAATAACCTGAGAACACTTACAGAGCCTTCCAGAAAGTGCCCTTTCACATCATATAAACAGATCATGGGAAGCTGAGGGAATGCAAAGTCAAGGCCTCATTGGAGAGCGGAAAGGAGGCTGAGATTGGTGGAGAGGAGTGGCTGTTACATTCTAATTAGAAGAATGACATGTGCAGGGCCATGAAGCAACTAAAGATGGGATGAAAAACTTAACTTGTGAATCGCAAAATTTGAGTAGGAAGGAGCTGGAAAGGCCTGGAAGTGCGAAGTGATTGGCCCTTGGTCAGATGGCTAGAAGATAGAGAGCCAGGCATAGAACCCAGAATCCAGGCCATCATTTTGTGGCCTCTTTTATCCTAATGACATGTTAGCCAGAGGTGTCTTCCAAAGCACCTGATTATAGGGAAGAATGAATGTCACTTACCCTAGAGTGAGTGAAATAGAGATGCCAGGAAGATATACCAGGTTTATCCAGTTTCTTTGCATTTTTCTGGCATACTGTATACTCTTGAGCGCATATGTATCCTACTTTGTGAAATCTGGGGGTAAAGCAGGACCCTTCAAACCCTTAAAAAATGTATACCCCAAGAAAAACATTTTTAAAGCATGAACGCTTCCTCAAGTAAATACATATTTATACATTATATAAATGTCTGGCTATTAAACCATGTATGCATATGTTAACTCTAAGTAAAGCTTATTATATGTTTTTTAGCCCATAAATATGGAGATGTTTTAAAATTTCTTCCAGTGCCCCAGTGGATGATCTTACACCTCCCGTGCTTCTGGGATACACACACCTAATTTTGCAGACCACTGGTCCAGAATGTAAATTGAAGAGTTTAATGTCTAAGATATTTGTTCTTTTGTTTGTAGCTTATCTTTTACTCCCCACATTTCAAATATCCGTTTGCAAAATAATTTTTGAGTTAAAATTTTCAATTAAAAAACTGTATCCTTGAGGTAGAAAAGATAAAGATAGAAGATATATGTGAATTAGGTTGTATCTCTCCTTAAGAGGGAATACTGTTTTTTATCTAAGGAGAACTAACAACCCTCCCTTTCATTGTCTGGGTTGGTATAAGTAAAAATCCTTGTTTGAAGTTATTAAGCCTTCCCACCCATATGATGATTAGTTTGGTTCATAAGCTAGAGTTAGGGCTTGGTAAAGGCTCCTTTTTTTTTTTTTTTTTTTTTAAAGTCTTTCCACCTTAACTAGCAAGTAAGCTAGAAATGACAGAGCAGTAGAAGGGGGAATCTACCAGAGTGTCCTACAGGACCTTGTTGAATGCTACTGCTGCATGCAAGGGTTGTGGATTTGGTGTGGGCCTTCTGCAGTATCACCCAAATTTGAGCAGTACATGTAACTAAAAGTAAGAAAAATAAATTAGACAGTTTATTTCATTTCAGACTTTGGAAGCCCAGGACTGTGGGGATTAGCTATTAGCTAAGACAATGATTCACTGAGCAAATGCAGTGAAAGATTCTTTTGTTACACTGATCATCATTTGTGGAGAGACTCTGAAGAAGGATAAAGCTCTGGCTGCATAGTCAAACCAGACCTACTACTCAAGGACATGCATACTAGATATGTAGGTGTTTCCAAATATTTTTTTCAGTTGTGGGGGTGCAAATCATTTCAATAGTAGAGTAACTCAGTTCATTACTGTTACTGGAAAAACAAGTTTAACCAAGCACATATCCTACTGAGGGTGAGTCAACAGTGTCATTTTAACATAAGAAGGACAGTACATGAAGTGAGTTATTCCAAGTCCTGTGGTTTTCCTACAGCTGAGCAAAGACAGCTGTTCTTTCGGAAGTGGGGCTCTAAAAAGAAGTTGCCCATCTCCTTTCTTTCTTGATTATAGCCTTTTAGTTTTCTTTTGGCCTGAGACATTTCAAAAATTCATTTCCTCCTTAGATTTCTATCACCAAATACCCTGAATTTTGATAATTTATTTATAGAGTATATTATTTATTATAGACTTATTATAGTTTAAAACTTTATTTTAATTTATCTCCCATTTCAAGATCCACGTTTGCTATATGTGTCAGATAATAAAAATGCCATAAGGAAAACAGAGGAGTGATCTTTTTTAATATGTCATTATTTTCTATAGTTCTTTAGTGGTATGGACATGGAATAAGGTGGCATTTTGTGGGACAGTATACCAAACTTAGTGATAAAATTTATACTTTTAATTTTGGAGGACAAAAGTCTTGTATTCTCAGCCTTGTGGATAAGACAGTGCTCTGAGCTGTCTGAGGTTTCCTAAATTGGGATTCAACATCATGAAGGGTATGTGTCTGGATAGTTTATTTGTTGGTTTGGGAAGGTGAGTTTTTGTCTTTTTTCCCCCTCTGAGTTGATTTCTTTAGTTGGAGAGAAGCAGACCAGATGAAGAAAATACTTTATCTCTTATGGCATTTTTGGTTTACCACATTAGTGATGACCCGTCTTCTCTGAGCAGCAGGCCATGCTTCTCTGTTCAGTAGTTCAGTTTTCACTAACTTAACTGCAGATGTGTTCTTGGAGGGATTTATTTCTAATCAATTGAATTATGGGTACTTGGATAAAATGATGATGGGTTACCTACTTTTAATAGGGCCGTCATTTTTAAGAGTAAAATCTTGTCAAGATAGGGTATATCATACTTATGATCTGGTTCCATCTCTAACTCCATAATTTCCTTTTGCTCCTGTGTTGCTACTCTATTATTGAGAAGAGATGGTATCTTGTCAGTGTCAATTTTACAAAGAAAAAATTCTAAACAATTTCAGTCATAGGGTAGTTTTTTTTTTTTCCTGGAGAAATAATGCATAGTGTAGTATGTTGAATCCTAGAGTTGGCAGGTTTTCAAAAGTGGAGTTCTTTTGTTGTGTAGGTAGGGGTGATGCTAGTCAATGGGTGTTAGTCATTAGGGCATGTGTATGAGTGGTAGTTCTGAGATACAGCATTGGCAGCCCCTCTTGTCCCTGGTTTTGTTTTTGATAAGCAAGTCCTGGTTTTGTTTTAATAAGCAGGTCATTAGCTGATCTTTCGTGTAAATGTTTTTGATGTGCATAGCTGGTATGTGGGTGGTTACCTACCTGAGAATGTTGTAGTCACAAATGTATATTATGGAAGTTTGCAGATTATGGTGGATATCAGGTTTTTCTAACTGCGTATTTACAGATGTAGTGAGTGAAAGGAATGTTGGGTCAGTAGGTAAAAGACTTGTGCTCTGGTCCTGGTTCAGACATCTTGATTTGTGTGACTTTGGGCAAGCCCCTTATTTCTTTGAGTTGCAGTTTCTTGTGTAAAATGGTGCTAATACCAATTTACATGCCTCATAGTGTTGTTGTGGGGATCAAATGAGATCACTGTTTATGAGCAGCCTTCTCAGGAGTGAGAAATAGAGGGTTGTGAGCTGACTTTCTGATTTGTTTGGCTGAGGTGTTCACACAAGCCATAGAATGCTTTGTAGGCTTGGGTGGAGGAATGTAGATGGAAATCAGCTGAAAATCCCTGCCTATTAGAAGCTGAGATGTTAATCCTAAATATATTCTATGGAGTACTATCAGATGCCTTGCTTTTCTTCATGATGCCCTATTAGCTTCATCTTCAGGTAGCATAGGTGCCTGTTACTCTCATTTTACTTGAAGAAACTGACCAGCCAACTGATTTAGGATATGGCTGGCTATCTTCTGGAACTCACATTAGAGTTACTCCTTGAGAGTAAAGTCTTGTATTTTCTGAAGGTTGCTGCTTTTGGGGTATTTTCCGTGGAGGTGGGTGGGCACACACAAAAACTCACTGTGCTCAAATTTATAAACTTGTTCTTCTTAACAATTTTAAAGCCAGATTACATTGGATTGGGGGAGGGGAGGATACTAGATTTAGTGTTTTTTAATATAAAACTTTGTATTTGAAACTTTATGTGGTAACATATATTTAGGCTCATAGCCAAAGTGATTACAATGCATTGGTTTTAATATTTTCAGTGAGGTAATGTGTGCTTTAGTGGGGAGGAGGAGAAATATTATTTAATCACCAGCACTACACTAATAACCACATTTACTAAATCCTTTGTCCCTTTGCTTGAACTGAGGGTTCCTTGCTTTTATACTGGTTTTCCAAAGGACTTAATCTTGTTAATGTGATGAGGTGATGATGGGAAGGACATTCCCACTGGGCCCGAAGTGGTGAAACTGGTAAAACTCCCTTTGTAAGTCCCTCTTGTTCAACATGAGTGTCACTCCCATGTCCCTAAAGTAGAACGGAGTTTTATTGAAGAGAGAATTTTAAGAGTGATAAACAAAAGAGATGGAAATATCTCCTGTGCCAGGTCATTGTTACCATTAAAGACTAGAATAAACTGTAATTTTGCAGATTTTCTTTTTGTCTTATGGGAAATTAAAGACTTGGTTATCCTCTCTCGGAGGAAGATAGAAAACTACTGGGCCTGCTCATTAACAGTTTAGCTTGGCTGACATTTTTCAAGCACTTACCATGGTATTATAGCTGGGCTGAAGCTAGGTGGAGCAGACCTCACTTAGGTGTTGCCTAGCTCCAGAATCTGTCTTCTGGTGGAATTCCCTTAGGCTTCCAGACAGGAGTGGCAACAAAGCAGATGAAATGGAAGGTAGGCCAGGGCATCTGCTCGTTCGCTCGCTCGCTTGCTCTTTCTCTCTTTCCCTTTTCTTTCCTTTCCTTTCCTTTCTCTCTCTCCTTTCTTTCTTTTGCTTCCTTCCTCTCTCTTTCCCTTTCCCTTCCTCTCTCTCTTTTCTTTTTTTCTTTCTTTTTTTTCTTTTCTTTTCTTTCTTTTCTCTCTCTCTCTTTCTTTAGCAGTTTATTACTCATTTGTGAGAATCAGGGAAGCACTGGGCTCAAGAAAGCCAATACCCCTTCTAGGGCTTACCCCCCATTTTAAAATTTAATATATTGGAATTTATATTGTTTCTTTTGATCCGAGATCTTCAGGCTGAAGCTGGAGAGAAATCTTTTGACCTCTCTAGAACAAAGAAAGCCTTTATCAAAGACAATGTAACTTTTTGAGTTTGCCAAATTAGGTGTTGCTGCAAATGGAGAAACCTAGAGTTCTCTTCTGTGCTTAAAGACACAAACATGGAAAGTTTTAAGTTCCAATATGGTCACTTAATATATACAAAATTTTCTGTCTTTGCTGTCTTTGTCATTCCAGCAACAACTGGATGAGCAAATAGAATGATTGTGAGCACTTGCAAACCAAATTGTGACTGTTAGTGTGTTGAGCTGCTTTTTTATTAAAATGACTGCTACAACTCTGCAGAAATCTGAGTAGTCTTAAAGATAAATTCTTGCTTGCATTTACAATAAAGAAAGAATATGAGTAATCAAAACGCTGATGGAGTTGGAGGACTGGCGTTTTTAAGAGGAACTGATTTGGACATTGAGATTATCAGCTCCTCATCAAATATCATTAAGTACACATTATTATTTTTTTCTGTTGACCAGGAGACCCAAGTTGTGTTGATGTGGGACATAGTTGTATGTCTGAAGAAACAAAGCAAGGGAGAATAAAATAAATAAAAATTGAAGTTCAGGAATATATATATATATATATATTTTTTTTTTTTTTTCTCAGGCAGAGTCTTGCTGTGTCACCCAGGCTGGAGTGCAGTGGCACAATCTCGGCTCATTGCAAGCTCCGCCTCCCGGGTTCATGCCATTCTCCTGCCTCAGACTCCCTAGTAGCTGGGACTACAGGCACCCGCCACCATGCCCAGCTAATTTTTTTTTTGTACTTTTAGTAGAGATGGGGTTTCACCGTGTTAGCCAGGATGGTCTCGATCTCCTGACCTCGTGATCCGCCCACCTCGGCCTCCCAAAGTGCTGGGATTAAAGACATGAGCCACCGCGCCTGGCCGTTTAGGGCTATATTTTATGTTTTCTTCTCCCTTTGGTATTTAATAAAGATTTGATATTTTTCTATTATCTGCTTTCCTCTGTTCCAAGGTTTTTGGCCTCAGGTGTGTTCTCTGGAAATGGCAATGATAGGCATTTATAATCTCCATATTTAGATATTTCCCTCACAGTGCTAGTTTCTGAGCTTATTAGAACCTAATGTTAAATGACGAGTTAATGGGTGCAGCACACCAACATGGCACATGTATACATATGTAACAAACCTGCACGTTGTGCACATGTA
The DNA here is from genome assembly GCF_000001405.40 of Homo sapiens. Classification (NCBI taxonomy): domain Eukaryota; kingdom Metazoa; phylum Chordata; class Mammalia; order Primates; family Hominidae; genus Homo; species Homo sapiens. The sequence continues at coordinate 146,199,855 of NC_000001.11, read as the reverse complement.
CCCTAAAACTTAAAGTATAATAATAAAAAAAAGAAATATCCTGGCTATGAGTCAAGGGTTTAGGACCTTTTGAGGCACTTGGGTTTAGACAATTCTCAGTGATGTGTACAGGAATTTGGGTACAGGAATACTATTCACAGGTGAACAGAGTTTGATTTTGGCTGAAGGCATATTATTTGATCCAGATAATAATATAAAAATAATCCAAATGTTAGGACCTTAGCTTCTGCGAACCCTGACTTGAGAATAGTTAGCCATACATGTAGTTGGACTTTATGTAGGACTAACCAATCTCCTCTGCACTATTTTTGCACAGTACATTGATTATGGTATCCCTGATGACCTCTGTCCCCATCCTTGTGAGTAGCCTTCATTGCTACCACCCAAGGATGTTTTAAAAAGGCTATGAGGAAGGATGCATGTAGGGAAATCTGAGGTTGTTCTTTGGATTTTCCCTGTTTTGTTTTAGGAAGTATCCATGATTTTATATAATAATATGTAGCAATCTTAGGTTTTTCCATTTTCATTTTTAACATAATTTTGTTATTCATTCTGTTTGGGTGTCTACCTCTAAATTAACAAACATGAGAAATTGTGTACTCCATTTAAAAAGTGTCCTGAGCAATTTAAGCTAAAAGAATATGTTGTTTCTTTTGTGTGTATAGCAAGAAGATTATATATATTTATAAATTTTTTTCCAGCAAGTGTACTTAAAAGCATGTACTTAAAATTAAGGACTTAAAAAAACTAAGCTGTACTTAACAAAATAATCTTTAGAAAGCTTTAAGGCCGGGCGCGGTGGCTCACGCCTGTAATCCCAGCATCACGAGGTCAGGAGATCCAGACCATCCTGGCTAACACGGTGAAACCCTGTCTCTACTAAAAATACAAAAAAAATTAGCCGGATGTGGTGGCGGGCACCTATAGTCCCAGCTACTTGGGAGGCTGAGGCAGGAGAATGGCGTGAACCCAGGAGGAGGAGCTTGCAGTGAGCTGAGATTGCGCCACTGCACTCCAGCCTGGGTGACAGAGCGAGACTCCATCTCAAAAAAAAAAAAAAAAAAGCTTTAAAAAGGGAGTTTACTAAAAGCACAGGAAATTGGTGACAGGCAAAATTTGTCTTGATAATAGTACAAATACAGATAGTGGAACAGAACAGATAATACAAGATATAAGACAAGACATGGAATAACACTTCATATTCACTTTCTTTGACCACTAAGCAGCACACAAATATATAGCACTTTTTGTAGAGAATAATTAAATTTCTAGATATGATACAGCTTCTTCCTCTCTGTTGGGTTTTATTACACTGAGATCCTGAACCTTTTGGACATGTAAACTGTGATCATGTTGGTCAGTGTCATTTGGATCTCGTTGGTGCTTATTGTTCTGCCGATGTGTATTAGTGAACCTACTCATGGGGAAGATAATACTATACAATGAATTTTCCCATTCAGTTGGAATTTTTTTATTACTCTGTTTTCTATGTTTTTCATTTAGATGTAAATTATTTTGGCTTCCATTCAACCTATTTCAGCTAGTTTTTACCATAATACACATGGCTTAAGATTTATAGGAGGCTAAGAGTGGAGAGTGTATCTTCATTCAAACAAATGGTAAGAAAGGAACTTTCAAAACTGTTTTAGTTTTGCAAAGATTAGAAAAGTACAATTCTACTTTCTCAACTTTTCATCCTTGTTAAAGGCCTGGAAATTTGCAGCATTTTTTTCTTTCTTATTTTACTTTTCTAATTTGTTACACAAAGTGAAATTCCACACATAAACATGCAAGCTGAAGGTTGGGTTTATTCATAGGTTTTGTCTTAATTATAGATATTTAGTTTATTGAATATCTTATTGAGTATTGAGTACCTGCTGTGGTCCAGGCATCTTCTTAGGTCCCAGGTGTACAAAGAGGAGCCAATTGTGGTTACTGCCTCTATGGAATTTGCCTAGAAGTGGGAGAGAGAGAGATGAGTGAGCCAGCACTTATAATACATCTACCTAGGATAAAATGGGAGCACAGAAGAGGAACATCTGTATCAGTGGGTCTCTGAGAGCTTCTTCAGGAAAATAATGCTTTATCTGTGATTTGAAATATAGTAGGAATTTAGCAAGATAGAGAAAAAGGAAAAGGAGGTAAAATATTTTTCAGGTAAAAGAATGTACATGGGTATAGAGGTGATCATTATTAGCAAATTGGCTACATCCTAATTTGTAAGTATTTGTGGATTTTTCAAACCTTATATTTCATGTAGAAGAGCTGAATGCATTAGTCTCATCTCCAAGATCCAGGTATTGAAATTTAACCCATGCATAAATTGAATTTTTTTCTGAAGTCTTTAATAAGAGAAAAATAAAAGGAAAAACTACACAGTGTATAGTAGATTTCAATATAGCACAGCAAACACTGATGAATTTTTTTTGCAATGAGTTCAATATTATAAAATAGAACAAAATTGGAGTTTTTAAAACCAAAAATTATTCTAGATTTATCAGCTAACTGGAATGATTTTTTTATAGTATGAAAAGTCTGTTAGTAATACAAAAAATATTCATTTATAAGTTGTTATCGTTGATTATATTTTCTTAAGGTATATTTTCAGTTTTTGAAAAGCAGTAATAATTTGCTATGACCCTATAGCCCAGTTCTTAATATCTGGATCTGATACTAGCATCTCTTAGGTAGAAAACACACTTTCTATATGATAATATCTGTAAAGAGCACATAAATCCTTGGAACACTATTAGGAAAACAAAATCGATTTATCTCTTATTGCTTTTTTTTGGTTTTTTTTTTTCCTTTTAATCAAGACAAATTTCAAGGAGGAAGACATGTTTCTCCGCTTCGTTTTTATTTAAATGTACCACTTGGGATTTGAAGCTTCCGCACTTCTTCTGTTTGTTTGGATTTTTTTTTCATGGCTTGATCCCAAAAAATGGAATACAAAATTTAGAGAAAGTTTTGTTTGAAATTGCAGGGCGCTATGAGAATTATTGCAAATCCCTGATGTCTCTTTGTCTGCCCTCAATTCTCCTATTTTTGGTAATAATGCAGGCAGTCATTTTAGAAAACTTTGCTTTGTTCATTTTACTGAGCCTCTTCCAGAGGCCATGTGCCAGAATCAACAGCAGCCAACCACAGCCAAGATCCTAGGGCGTAAACTCAGACTTCATCTCTCAAATATTGCTACTTGAAATTTGCATAAACATTGAAGAAAAAGTTAAAAGAGCCTGTATAACTCCTCTTCATGTATTTTAGGAGCCTCAGACAGTCAAGACATTAAAATACCTTCCGATTGAGCAGTGGGTCTAAGCACAGATACCACACTGCAGATAGGGAGAAGGATATGAAAAAAATCATGTGAGATAGACGACAGAGGCTTATTTGAAGAAGCTACAAAGCAACAAGTAATGCCAGTTTAAAACGATTACATGTTAATGCAACAAGTAAAACACATTGAAGGCTGCTCAGATTACACTGGCTGAAGTACAGACTTAATTACTCATGTTAGAGATTCCTAAAACAAAGGGAGGCTTTTAAGCCAGTGATATGTAGCTGGTATGATATTGAAAAGCATTGGAAAACCTAGGTAAATGCCTAGAGGAAATTTTAAGGAAGAGTCCATCAAGTCTGGATACCTTAGCCTTATCCTTAAATGAATAAATTTCTGAGGCGCTGGAGCTGGTTAAAATCAATGGCAGCTTGTTCTGTTGTTGGCAGTTTTGATGTATAATTGGGGCTGATAAACCTGAATAAATAAAAGAGCCTTGTCTGGATTGAGTTACAGTTAGTGCTAAACATCAAGGGTTCCTATTGTATTTCTTAAAAGTTCTTTTTGGAGTGATTCCAAGATTGGTATTAAGAGGGTATGCCAAGGGTATATATTGGCAATTTTTATTTTGTTTGTATTTATCTTAGAGTCATTTGGGTAGGTCACATTCTCTCTGCCCCTACTCCCAACTTCTCATTAGATTGTAAGGACCATGAGGACAGAGATTGTTTGTTTTATTTGTGCTTAGTTTTCATGCAGTGCCTAGTAGGGGACAATGCTGACAGTAGTTTCTCGACAAATATTAGTGGAACTGTATTAAAATTGAGTTTTTGCTCACATATATTGTTTATTTTACCTTTAGTGGATCACTTCTCCTTATGCCTTCAGTGCTATAGTTTTTTAAAAGAAGTATGTTAGTCTGTTTTGCATTGCTCTAAAGGAATACCTGAGGCTGAATAATTTATAAAGAAAAAAGGTTTATTTGGCTAATAGCTTTGCAGATTGTACAAGAAGTTTAGAGCCAACATCTGCTTCTGGTGAGGGCCCAAAAAACTTTCGTGGCTGAAGGTGAAGAGGGAGCAGGTATGTAACATGGCAAGAGAGGAGGGAGCAAGAGAGATGTCAGTCTCTTTCAAACAACCAGCTCACATGGTAGCGAGAACTCACTCATTACTGTGGGTGGGCACCAAGCTATTCATGAGAGATCTGCCCCCATAACCTGAACACCTCCCAGTAGGCCCCACCTTCAACATTGGGGATTATGTTTCAACGTGAGATTTGGAAGGGACAAAATAGCCAAACTGTATCAAGCACAAAGAAGATACAGAGATAGTCAATGGTGGAGCTAGTATTCAAACCCAGATTTGTCTGATTTCTGCATCCGTGCTTTCAACTGCTTAACTGCATTGCTTCAAATACTCAGAAAAGACGAAATGTTTTCCATATCCCAGGAACTTAAAAGTGAAAAAGCAGAGAGCTAGAAGACCCTGTAGTGCTGAATTGAGAGTCATGAGTGTTACAAGGATGGGGGGGGGTGGCCCTGTGAGGACCAGAACCCTCCAGGGGAAGCTTTCTGGGTGAGGCAAGAGGTGAACTGGGCCTTGAAGGAATGGGTAGAATTTAGATAGTAATGAGGAAGGCAGAAATCAGTGGAAGCACAGACATGCATGGAGGAATGGAACTGAGTTCAATGACGATCTATTCAGGAAAGAGGGCATAAACTGGGCAGAGAATGCAGTGGAAGTGGTGGGGAGTAATACTGGGCACGTAAGGTAAGCTCTGATCTGGAAGGCCAGCATGGGAGCCTAGACTGGTTAAAGTAAGAAATGGCTTGTCCTTGGAAGAAAAAGTGTCAAACTTGGTACTGTGTGAAGGTACTGCACAGACCTCCCAACTGGTTCTTAGGAGAGCCAAACTGAGGCTAAGTTCTGAGAACTAAGTAAGAACTGACAGCCATTGTAGGTTAGAAAGTAGTGGGGCAACATGTTACAAGTAGTGCTTCTGGAAGGTTAGATGCGGTTAGAATAAAATCATTGCCATTTTGGGGAGCTGGGAAAATGGATGTCTTCAGTCTAGTCTAAAAAGGGATGACTTGAATAAGCTTATATAAGAAAGAAAAGAAAAACCTTTTTACTCACTGGACCATTTCATAATCTTGACTTTTTTCAAACATAAATCTGTGTCATTTTTCTTATTTAAAACAGCTGAGCAGTTTACTCTCCTACTTAGAGCTGTGATCCTTATCATGGGCTCTTGTGATCTAACCCCAGCCTGCCTCCCTGGCCTCTGTCCTTGCTTAATAACCTCTAGCCATATGAACCTGGAATACCAGTCTAATTCCCACTTCAAGGCTTTTACACTTGTTGTTTCCTCTGCCTGGGGTGCTATTCCCTCATATCTTCATGACACTTGTTCATTTACATTGTAGCTCAAAGCATACCTCCTCAGGGAGGCCTTTCCTAGACACTATCTGAGGTACACTCCTGCACCCCCAGCCTTCATGATTGCTTTTTATACATTACTGGGTTTTGTTTCCAATGGAACTTATCGCTTATTACTGTCCTAAATTATTTTATTTATTAATTTTTTAGCCACCTTTCTCTTATAGAAATAAGGTTCCTGAGGACAGGGAGTTTATTCTGTATACTACGGTATCCCTGACATCAGGGCTTGTGCCTGCCGATAGTAGATGCTTTCTAAATATGTTCTGAATATTAGATAGCTAGTTCCCAAATGCACTGCACTGAAAGTGTATGAAAATTGGAAATTGGCTTCTAGATTTTTGTATTATATTGCCAAATGATGGAGTGATGAGATTGAAATCTACTACTTCTTTTTGCCTTTTTTTTTTTGGTGGAGTAGAGGAGGGCCTGCACAAACAGCAGATACACACACAGTAAATAAGATTTATTTCAGCCAGCAAGTATTTATTGACATGAAAATTGGGGTTAAATGTGACTCTTTGTGAGTGACTAGTTTCTTGGAGTCTATTAAAGCATCAGTTTAAACATCAATTCTCTATGGTATGATTAATGTTTCTTTTTTTACTTTATAAGCATGAAGCTGCCTTCAATTTTATTGTTAAATTTAAGTGTTTTACATTGGAAAAAAGTAAATTGAATTTTGAAATGAGGTCTGTCCCGGTCTCACTTTCATGGCTTCAGGTTATCAAAGTTTTAATTTCTCTTTGTATGGAAGATAATTATAGTATTCATTTTTGCTCCTGAGTAAAGCCACGAGTCTCAAGATTATTTTTCTTTTTTAAAAATTAGAATTGTCAGTTTATAGTTGTATACATTTATAGGGTACAAAGTGATGTTATAATTTGCTAATACAATGTAGAACAATTAAAAGGTAGGTAGTATATCCTTCATCTCAAATATTTAACATTTTTTGAAATTTACTCTCTTAGCAATTTTGAAATGTATAATACCCTATTATTAACTATATTCACCACACTATGCAATATATCTCAAACATATACAAAAAAATTCTTCTTGTGTAACTGTAGCTTTTTGTACCCATTGATCATCAGGCCCACAGCTTCCGTAACCACCATTTTCCTCTCTGCTTCTATGATTTTGATGGTTTTCAATTCTACATATAAGTGAGAACATGCTGTATTTGTCTTCCTGTGCCTTATTTCACTTAGCATAATGTTCTCCAATTCTATCCATGTTGTGTCAAATGACAGAATTTATATCTAAAGGTGGAATAGTATTCCATTTTATGTATCTACCACAGCTTTTTTTTTTTTTTTTTTTTTTTTTTTTTTTTTTTGAGATGGAGTCTCTCTCTGTCACTCAGGCTGGAGTGCAGTGGAGCAATCTCGGCTCACTGCAACCTCCGCCCCCCAGGTTCAAGTGATTCTCCTGCCTCAGCCTCCTGAGTAGCTGCGATTACTGGCGTGCTGTAATTTTTGTACTTTTAGTAGAGATGGGGTTTCATCATCTTGGCCAGGCTGGTCTTGAACTCCTGACCTCGTGATCCACCCGCCTCAGCCGCCCAAAGTGCTGGGATTATAGGCGTGAGCCACTGTGCCCGGCCTATCTACCACCTTTTATTTATCCATTCATCTGTTGATGGACACTTCCATAACTTGGTATGGGTGTACAGACATCTTTTCAATAAACTGATTTAAAATATCTGGGGTAAATACGCAGCAGTGGGATTACCAGATCATGTGGTGATTCTATTTTCAGTTTTTTGAGGAACGTCTGCACTGTTTTTCACAATGGTTGTACTAATTTACATTCCCATTAACAGAGTAGAAGGGTTCCATTTCTCCACATCCTGTTTATTCAGACGATATGTTATCATCTAAATCATCTAAGACCTCTATATTATATAGCTTTTGAGTATTTTTAAAAGTGGACACTCAAGCGTTCATATAGTCATAGTCAGTGTGTGGTTCCTCAGACCTGTGGTATCAACATCACCTGGGAATTTGTTAGGAATGCAGATTCCCAGGCTCCCTGCAGACTTAGTCAGAAATTGTGGGGGTCGAGTCTAACACTCTTTTTTAAAAAGCCCTCCAAGTGATTCCAATGCTTACTAAAGTTTGAGAACCGTGGCTCAGTAAATGCTAAAGGTTCAAGGTAGCATGATCCCACACATCAGCCAAGTGGCATTAATTATTAGCCTGGTAAGCCCACCTTCTTTTCAGTCACTGAGTTTGATTGGTTCACTAGGGCTAGGCTGTAAAGTTATTTGCTAGATTGATTGCTACATATTGACTTTGGGTTGTTTGTATTTCTCTGAACCTGTCACTGTAATGATTTGTCAGGACACTTAATAGGAACAGGCCGTGATTTTTGCACCCATGGCATTCTGAGTCATGGGTGGCTGGGTCATTATGTACTCCAGGTTTCTTCAGGCACTGGGCATGCCATTCATGTACTTATAAGGAGGGAGCTGTCGCTGGTGGATCACAGGGAACCTTTAGGGACATTTAGTTCGCTCTCAGCTTGGTACAGGTAGGGAAATTGAGCCCCCATGAAGTTGTGCTTTGCTTGCAGTTAGGGGTACAGACAGGATTTCAGGTCTCCTGAGTCCCTCCACTGCACCAGGATTCCTGCAGGGGGACAGAGCTACAGCTTTTTCTGTGCCTACAGGACATTCCTTTCCTACTGTGAGGGTTTTATTTATTTATTATTTTATTTAAAGAAAAAAAGTAAATAGAAAAAACCCCGGAAGTTCTCACTGAAACTAATAAAAGTGTCTAAAGAGAATGAAAAAATCAGTTTGAGAACTTTGGTATGGAGGAAATAACCTGACATTAACTGTTTTAATTATAGTTGTTGCATTGGGCTTATCAGTGTGGGAAGAGGGAGCATTTGAGCCTTACAGGGAAGTGGGATATGGACAACAAGATGACCCTCTTCCTGAATTTGCCTGTTTGGGCCTGCAGCCTGGTGACTCTTTGTGTGATCCCAACAGCTGTCATAGAGATGGGTTGGACTTTTACTGAGACCTGGGTCCTAGGCCCAGCACTGCCACCAGCTAGTGGCGCGATGCCCCGTAAAGAGGCCACTTATTCTCTCTGGCCTCTACTATTGGTAAATGGGTATAATAATATCCACCCTGCCAATCCTGAGAAATTTCAGGTAGTGGGAAGCAGTGTATCTTGGTGGTTAAGGGCAGAGTCTCTGGATTCAAATTCTAGCTTTCTAACTCACTGGCATGGCAGTAGGCAGGCCACTTATCCTCCCTGTTTTCTCACCTGAGAATGGGTATAATGAAATTTACTTCTAAGGGTTGTTGTGAAGATTGAATTAGTTAGCTAATTTATGTAAAGTACTTAGGATAGTGCCTGGTATTTAGTAAGTTCTATGTGTTAGCCTATTATTATTACTATTACCATTTAAAAATACTATTTCAAGGATGGGATGCATTTTCTGTAAACATGTTCTCAAATGATTCTACTACTGGATACAATACTGGGCTTTTATGCAGTAATTGTTGTTGGAGGAGTTGTTCTGACATCCAGCTTGCACCTGGGCTACTGGTTTCGTGGCCAGGGATGGCCAGGCCTAGCGTCTCTGATCTTGCACAATTTATGCATAGAGTGGTGTGGTTAGAGGAAACTTGGAGGGGGGAACTTCTCAGTTTTGCTTTCAGGTATTTATACATTAACTATCATAAGAGATGGACATCTTAATAACTTCCAAGAAAGAGTTCATGAGCTTCAATTTGATATTTATTGTTTGACTAGGTTTCTTTCTGTCTTACCTTTCCAGTTGTTAGGGTTCTTGATATGTATTTTGGTGATGAAAATTTCAACTCTAAAAGCTAAACAATCAAGATATTGTAATTATCCAGCAAGTGATTAGCAGATTTCGAGTAGACTTCTTCCATTCTTGGCTGAAATCAATGAAAATGTCTACTATTGCTGTTGTTTTTGTTCTTTTCTCTGAAAAGTCTGTTTTTGGGAGGGCCTGAGATGGTAAAGTGCCTTTTTATTGTCTCTTAAAGGGAATGGGGGAATCAACAGTTTGAGAATTTTTGTTTTATCTGTATGTATAAAATTGCCTTCTCCTTTTATTTCTTTTGATACTCTCTCTGCAGTCTCTATTCATGATCTACTCCCCATCTTTTTATGGGCCCCTTAAAGCTAGAGATTATGTTTATTCGTTTATTTATGTATTCCATTTCTCCTTTTTTCTGGATCCTAATTTTGTGCCTGGTGCATACTAGGCTCTCAATTTTAGTTTGTCGAATTACTGTTATTGCTGTTTCTGATTACTTCTTGAAGCGGTCTGTTTTAAAACTTCACCTGAAGGCTAAGTAATTCATCAGTATAATGGTGATCTATTATTTATCTAGCATTTTCCTAAACACTCATTGATGAATCCTTATAATACTCATCTGAAGTATCTAAATCCCAAGATGATGTGTCATGTCATAGATGGTATGGCTTTAATTTTTAATTGGGAGATGGAGATGTAACAGCTGGAGATACTGAAACACAGAGAAATAAGAGCATGATTCAAGACCACAAACGTGGTTATTGTTGGAAGATAGTTTTGGGATGGGCTTCTGTGCTAGAAGCCAAAACATAAAAAACTGATTAAAACTCTAAAAAGAAACCCAGATTAGGTGGGAATGAATGCTGATCTGGATTGGATTACACTTCTTTGGTGTCTGAGGGTTATGATTAGTGACTTACTTCTAATGTGCATTTGTTTTTATTTTTAGCATTGCAGTGTCGAGATGGCTATGAACCCTGTGTAAATGAAGGAATGTGTGTTACCTACCACAATGGCACAGGATACTGCAAGTAAGTTTTTCTCTTCATATATTTTCTTTTTGCGATAGAACACTGGACAAGATTTGATTCTACTCCTCTATTTTTAATGCTTCTGTGGAATGTTACTGGTTCTTGAGCTTTCCTGGTACAGATTTTGGTTGGGGGTGAGGATGGAAGGATGTGGATGCCAGATAATTGGCTAATAAGAACTTCTTACTATCTTACTGTTATCTTTCTCACTATGAAAAAGACTTTTCAGTGAGTGGCTAGTTAATGTATATGGGGTAGACCAGGCATGGTGGCTCATGCTGGTAATCCCAGCACTTCAGGAGGCTGAGTTGGGCGAATCACGAGGTCAGGAGTTCAAGACCAGCCTGGCCAACATAGTGAAACCCTATCTCTACTAAAAATACAAAAATTAGCCGGGTGTGGTGGCGCATGCCTGGAGTCCCAGCTACTCGGGAGGCTGAGGCAGGAGAATGACTTGAACCCAGGAGGCGGAGGTTGCAGTGAGCTGAGACCACATCATTGCACTCTAGCCTGGGTGACAGAGCAAGACTCCGTCTCAAAAAGAAATAAAAAAAAATAAAAAAATGTATATTAGATTCCCTTGTGTTTTTCAGATTAAGGAATACTCTTAGAGTCTCCCCTTAACATGTTATCTATTATCTTGTTTTTAAGTAAAACCAAATAGATATCAACTTTAATATTCGGCCCAGTATATGTGAATATTATATTCATATTTTTTTCTAGTGTAAAAAATCTAATTCTGAAAGTGAGACAGTGAGAGAGGAAGATGTGTGCATATGTGTAGATTGAGGGGGAGCAGGGGCTTTGGGTGTGTATTATTATATGGGGATAAAAGAGTAAGGATGAAGGAAAATGTAGGCTAGTTCTTGGCTTAAGAGCATTTTTTTTTCCTTTTTCTCCAACCATCTACTCTAGCCAAGACGTTTTGTTTGTTTGAGGAAGGCTGTGAGATAATTTCATAATAGCTTTTCTATGTTTCCTGCAAATAATTTTTTTTCTTCTGCCTCAATTGAAAATTTTTAAGAGGAATATGTATCCATTCTGTTTATTTCAGGGAAGATGCTGGAGAAATAAAATTTGGTAATATGAAATTTCTCTTCTTTTCCTTCATTTTTGTGAGGAGTAGTTCTTCTTTGCTTTGGTGGAGGTACTTGCTTAGTAAGCATTTTAAGTGAGTTTATCCAACACATTTTTATTTCTTACCAGGAATGTAATTACAACTTTTTTCCAGTGAGATCTGTTCTGACACCAGGATTTAGTTTTTTAATGTTATAAACAAGATTTTTTTTTCAAGTCAGAAATAATTTTCTTCACTAAAGTGAAAATTAAGCTGTGATGACAGTAAAGCTTAACAATAGGTTGTTTGGATTGGAATAAAGATAACATTGGAAATAAAGGTTTTATGTAGCTTATTATGGGCTGCTCATTTAGTTTTTCTAGCTGGGGGAAAAAAAAATGTGGTGCATTCTCCTCTAAGAATGGAGATACAACTGGAGATAATAAGGGAGGGAACTTAATACCTTAGAGTAGGCCACTGAAATCTTGTTTAGTCTTTTTGTGGCATTTGGTGCGTTAGTTGCTTGCTTTATTCTGTTATGCAACTCTTGTGGTAGTTAACCCCATTGCATTATGGTCATTTGTTGATGTGTTTCTTTTGCTAGAATGTGAGGTCTTAGTCTTATGCATTTTTTGCATAGTTAATGCCTAGTACAGTGCCTGGTGTAGTTATTGTTCAGCAATGTGTTTCTTAAACTAAAAGGTGCTAAGTAGATACCGTCATGCACATGTTTCTTATCTATTTATGTTAAATAAGAAGACACTGGTTCTCTCCTTTAAAAATTTCAGTGTGGCGATTCCTCAAGGATCTAGAACCAGAAATACCATTTGGCCCAGCAATCCTATTACTGAGTATATACCCAAAGGATTATAAATCATTCTACTATAAGGACACATGCACATGTGTGTTTACTTCAGCACTATTTACAGTAGGAAAGACTTGGAACCAACCCAAATGCCCAACGGTGATAGACTGGATAAAGAAAATGTGGCATGTATACACGATGGAATAGTATGCAGCCATAAAAAAGAATGAGTTAATGTCCTTTGCAGGGACATGGATGAAGCTGGAAGCCATCATTCTCAGCAAACTAACACAGGAACAGAAAACCAAACACGGCATGTTCTCACTCATAAGTGGGAGTTGAACAATGAGAACACATGGACACAGGGAGGGGAACATCACACACTGGAGCCTGTCAGGGGGTGGGGGGAAAGGGGAGGGAGAGCATTAGGATGAATACCTAATGCACGTGGGGCTTAAAACCTGGATGACGGGTTGATAGGTGCAGCAAACCACCATGGCACATGTATGCCTATGAAACAAACCTGCACATTCTGCACATGTATCCCAAAACTTAAAAGCAAAATTAAAAAAAAATTTATTTATTTCACATAGCATTCAGGGTGGTAATACCATACAGAGAGGCAAATTGGTTCTATTTGAAGATCATTCAACTTGGTGACTTATATATGGAGAATTTCAAATATGTTCTAAGTGTTCGCCTATATATTTTTGGTCTGACATGGGGAGAGAAGGTTTCTAGGGGAGACTAATCTCTGAGCACTTACCAGGAGAGGACACCTAAGGGTCACTGTTGGGAAGAAGTCCAATAGTTCTTTGTTGGACTGTTGGGCTGCTAGTCTCATACTCTCCAACCAAGGTTGGAGACCATCCTGGCTAACACGGTGAAATCCCATCTCTACTAAAAATGCAAAAAATTAGCTGGGCGTGGTGGCACGCACCTGTAATCCCAGTTACTCGGGAGGCTGAGGCAGGAGAATGGCCTGAACCCAGGAGGCGGAGCTTGCAGTGAGCCAAGATTGCACCACTGCACTCCAGCCTGAGCGACAGAGCGAGACTGTGTCTCCAAAAAAAAAAAAAAAGAAAATGGAGCTGCCTAAATTCTGTCCCTGGCTACTTGTTAATTGTTGATAGGATGGAATGCTTATGGATACAGTTCTGGGTATGTCCCTCAGATGTCTTTCCTGTTTTGAGGGAAACAAACTCCTTGAGAGAAAGAAAAAATTTGGTGAGGCCATCCTTTTGGGAGACCAAGATGAACAACAAAACTTGTATAAAGAGAGTGATTCCCTACCTCAGCAAAAGTAATATTAGCATATTTAGGAGTGGCAGGGTCAACATAAGTGGACAAAGAAAAAGCAAGAACAATATCAAGGCAGCCACGTCAATCATTCTACAGTGCTTTGCCAGCCTCCACAGAATTTTAAGCAAAATTTTATGCAAAAATAATGTGTACCTAGCAGAGCTTTCAGTGTATTTTCACCAACCTTACCTTTTTTTCTGTGGAGAAAGAAGATGATCTAGCTTGTTCAGTAAATATTATTTTCACAAAATAGAAAATAAATATTAAAACAGAAGATTTATAAAAATTCTATCAGGCATGCAGGGCATGTGATTATCTTTTTATTCATGCGATTGCTTAGTGGATTAAGAAAAGAAAGTTGAAGCCAAATTCCTTTTACAGGGCCAGCGTGGGGGTGAGTGGTGAGTGGTGGGATGGGAACTGGTAGAAAGTGTTTTAAAATAGAAGGAATCTGACTATCTGTTTAGACAGCATAATGCTACTGATTCAGCTAAAATATAATGATTGTTTATAGAAATTATAAAAATCCTTGATAAGATCACATTGACAGATGAAGATAACTACTTTTGAAGATTAGTTTTGTACTCAGCTCAACTGTTTTTTCTCAGTGTTAGGAGCCTAAGTACCCTATCAGTCTGTGATTAGATTTTGATGCCAGATTAGGAGAACTTGTATAATCTTGCATAAAACTCAATTATTGCTGTTAAATAACTACTGTCAAATCTTAATAAAGCCCTCTCACTACAGGGAGATAAGATATTTTATTCTTTCCCTTGTCCTACTGGGAGGTGTAAATATGTAATTAAATTTGATGTCATTAATCACTTTCAAGTTGTTTGCTTCAGATTTTCAAATATAAACCATTCTAAATCCCAATTTGATTAAAGATCATGGACAACTCAAGTTCACTAGGATTCTGGGGGTAGGTTAGGTTATGATTTGTATAATTGACAAAATATGTATTTTAAGGACATTTATTGTAGTTATTTAAAATCTTTGTCTGCTGGTTCTTAACATCTGGGTTGTCTATGGATGTGTTTCTGTTTCTATCACCTGCTCCTTCTTTGGACCATGGGTATGACTTCCCTTTACTTTACACATGTATGGTAGTTTTACATTACTTACTGGACATTGTGGGTGATAGATTTTAAAGTTTATCTCCCACTAAAGAATGTTGAATTTTGTCAAGATTGGCAGATCATCTTGATCCTATGGATGCTAGGTTTTAGGACACGTTAGGGTGGGCCTACTTCTGTTCTGCCCTTAGTCCGATGACACAAATCTTAGTCATGGGATAGGGCTCTTATTCCCAAGATGTGACCCTTCTAGGGGTTCAGTGGAAAGTGTGAGGGGCCTACCAAGCCCTGAGGTGTTCATTAAGCCCCTCTAAGGCAGAACTTGTCCTCCCAGCCCCAGGAGCCTTCTGCTCAGTCTTTTCAGCCGTCCAGCTCTTACTTTCTCTTGGGTTTCTGAATCTTATCTTGCTCATGCATAGTCAGGAATTATTTAAGGATTTGAGCAGAGTTGTATGCATACTTTGAAGCTACCCACTCTGTGGTTCTGTCTTTTCCAGGAATTTTTCTCCTCATATTCTAGCTGCTGTGACAGCTCCAGATACCTCTGACTCCTCAGTATCGCAGGACTTCCGTTTTCTGCTTGCACACTCTTCCTCTTCTGCTGCATGAACTGGGGTGTACCTTCACGATAAAAAAAAAACAAAAACAAAACTGTAAATGTGGGTTTCATATAGTTTGCTTCGCTTTTTCTGAGGCTTATATCCCTTCTAGTTTATGCCTGCTTTCAGTGATTCTCCAGTGCCTTTGATATTTTGTCCAGAGCAAGAGGGCTAGTCTGATATAAGTTACTCTGCAATTATTTTTAATGATGAAAATTGGAAATATAAAGGGGCCTTTCAGAATTTCATACATACCACTTGGTAAATATCTAACATAGTGTTTGTAAAACAGCAGAAAGTCACCGTGAGTTGTATACGTTCCTGTAGATGGGTGCTTGCATTTGAGAATGTCCACTTTTTGCTAAAGTGCTGATCTAAAAACTACACTTTAAGGTAAATTATTATAAATATAAAGTGTTATAAAATATAACTTTGTGTCACATTTTGTCTAAAACTTGTCTGCTAGCTGTAATAAACATTAAACATTAACAGCTAACAATTCTCCTTGCCAGGATTAGGCAGTCATGTTGGTGGTCCAGATTTCCTGAATCCATCCAAGAAAAACTAGAGCCATTGCCTTCTTTGTCTTCTTGGTAAATGTCTGTATAGTAAGTAGAGAGTAGAGACACTCATAATCCCTTAGAACTTAGCTTTTTATGGAGGATGCATTCGCAATGTTTCTGTTGTGGTGCTTCTCCCCCAAAAAGGCGTTTTCAGAAGTCATGGCTGACTCAGCATTTCCCCCTTTCCTTCACCTTCTTGTGAGTGCATTCAGGGAGGCACAGGGGCATTGTCAGATCAAAGAAATAGACAGGGAAAAATATCAACTGTTAAATTACTTTCTCTTTCTTCTCAGCTGAAACTGGTTCTGCCAGCCTAGTTCCTTCAAGTACGGTGCCTATTTAGCTGAACATTGTGTGTATAGTTTTTCTGGAAAATGATAGCAGAAGCTTGGCCAGTTTTCCATAGTTCATTTATCTTTTTAACATAAAACAAAGAATGCTGTTTTTTTGGCTCATTAAATACCTCTCATAGAGTAATCTTTTCTTAAAATGTAATATGTTCAGGTTTTATTAATTCAAGAGTTATTTATTGCATGCTATTTATGCGTACCACATATAATAGATAACTCAAGTCTGTGGTAGTAGTTGCAGTTAATCAATATTGTTATCATATTATTTCACACTTCTTTGGGAAGTCATAAAATAATTACCAGTTCATTAACTTGGGCTTCTTAGAGAGGTTCAGAGTAAAGCCAAGTATGAAAAAAACTGACTATAATGTGGCCTTCTGTACAGGGGCCACCAGTGAATGGCAGGGCTGGGACCATGGTGAGGCAAGTAAGGCACAGGCCTCTCTTGTGAAATTTAAGAGAGTGCCAAAAAACTCACTAATCAAAATAATGTTTGTATGTAGTTGTTCAAAAAATCAAAATTAATGCAAAATAAGTTGAAAATTATCAAAATTTTAAATAAGGAGATCAGTAGTACTGATTTTTTCTTTTGCCTTATGACCTAGTATGGTTCAGCCTGCACTGGTGAGTGGAGTAAGGGTCCTGGAAGATCCTTGACTGGTGACATGAAGAGGACATAGTTTTTTGTTGTTGTTTTTTTTTGAGACAGAGTCTCGCTCTGTGGCCCAGGCTGGAGTGCAGTGGCGCTTTCTTGGCTCACTGCAAGCTCCGCCTCCCGGGTTCATGCCATTCTCCTGCCTCAGCCTCTCAAGTAGCCGGGACTACAAGCGCCCGCCACCACACCCGGCTAATTTTTTGTATTTTTAGTAGAGACGGGGTTTCACTGTGTTAGCCAGGATGGTCTCTATCTCCTGACCTCATGATCTGCCCGCCTCGGCCTCCCAAAGTGCTGGGATTACAGGCGTAAGCCACCACGCCCAGCTGAGGACATAGGTTTTTTTATGCCAGATAGACTTAAGTTTGAGTCCTGATTCCTATTAACAATTGGATCTTTGGCAAGTTAAAGTCTATAATGCTAGCTAACATTATTGCGTATTAGGGTCTGTTCTCAAGTAGTTTACATGTATTTACTTTAGTCCTCATGTGAGAGAGAGACTATATGGAAGCTAAGAGAAGTTAAATAATTCACTCAAGATCCCATCACTCTGTAGCTAACCTGAGATATACTCGTGGAAAATGTACTGTCACGTTGAGTCTCAGTTTGCCTGTCAATAAAATGGGACAGAATTACCTGTTTTAAGTTGGTAGTTCAAATGGAACCTTCTGAAAAGGAAGTGTGGAACATTTGAAAGTATACAAAAAGGGGACTTTTCAGATCAGGAATATGATTAAAACACTGCTTTATGTAATTTCTAAATTTAAAGACAGTAGCATTAGGTAGGCCTGAGTACCTCATATCATTCTAGAACACTAAATCTGCATATAGTTACATGAGTGTACATGGGCCAGGTTTGGTGAATACTGCATTTCTGAGAAATGGCCTTTAACATGAAAGCTCAATGTAATAACTGTGGATGAAATAGAAGAAGAGGGCAGTGAAGGTGGGGATAGAGGATATTGTCTATTAAAGTGTGCTTCAGTAGAGAGAACTAATTTGAAACTTCTCCTTTCTTTTTACTAATGGAACAGGAGCAAGTCCAGACAGATTTATGCAGTTGTGAAATTGAGACAGGTTAAATTCAGTGATTTTTGATAAATGTTGTTGCCAGCACAAAAGTCACAAGTTGTTGAATATGGCACCTTACATTTGCATAGTGAGTTACAGATGCATAGGAGTATGTCCTGTGAGGCTTTTCCTTGTATTAGGACTTGAGATCTGGACCCTTTAACAGTACCATTCCTAAGTGATTCTTATTAATACTTATGTCCTATTAAAATCCTTTATCAAATATGATGTTTCCCTAAGGGGTCTTTTGTAAAGGAAGTCTTGGTTACTAGCATCTCCATCTGTGGCCCAGGCTTGAGTGCAGTAGAGCAATCATGGATCACTGCAGCCTCCACCTCCTAGGCTCAAGCCATCCATCCTCCTGCCTCAGTCTCCCATTTTTAAAACTTTTTATAGAGACACGGTCTCACATGTTGCTCAGGCTGGTCTCGAATTCCTGGGCTCAAGTGATCCTCCCACTTCTGCCTCCCAAAGGGCTGGAATTACAGGCCTGAACCACTGTGCCTGGCCAGTTAGTAGCTTCTTAACACATAGCAACATAATTTCCATACTATTTTCAACTAATTTTTATTCTTTCAGTTGGGACCTTTATATATTTCAGTGTTCAGTGAAGAAGTAGGAGAATCTGGTTCTTAGGCTCTGCCTATATCCTTTTACCTGTCTTGGGTAACTGCCAAGAAATTAAATCAACAAATTTTGGCCTGCAGTCTGGCATTAATAGATGTGAATTTAGCTAGGTTTCTTTCAACACAGTCTCCAGGTCAATCGTAATCTTATGTGAAGTTTCTTATTCAGGCATGTCTCGTTAGCACCATTAATTTCACACAGGAATTCTTTTTTTCTCCCTTTTTTTGTGACTAAGCAAAATGAGAAATATTTCTCTTTCAGGATATGGAGAGGCTTAATTAAATTCTTTAATTTTGTCTACATCTGCCCTTATGAATGATAGCAAAGGAATGGGGGATATCAGAATATGAGAAAAAGTAATCATCTAAAAATTTCCAAGCACTTTAAAATTTATTAAGCTAGCATAAATATGTGGGTGTGATAGAGGTTTTCATTAGGCCTCCTCTCAACATACAGTAGTTAGGAATGAAGTTTAGTGTCTCTCCGTCCTCCTGTCATATGTGTGTATGCACACGTGTGCACATGCGACTGTGTTATGCATTTTGTTTTCATATTTCTTTTAGTTGGGTTTTACCTTACAACCCAACGTAAGGTAAATTAAAATTTCTATTGGATTTCCGCACATTTTCTAGATCCTATTTATTCACTGTCAGTGACCTTCACTAGCACTTAGTCCTCTGAGTCCAAAAATGTATTGCCAATTCTTAGACTCCATCAGCCTTCTCCTATGAAAAAGTAATGCAGTTAATTTCTGCTCAAAATGCTCTTCTCCTAAACAGTCTTCTACTTGATCTTTATGAAAAGAGTTTTATGAAAGAAAAGTGAAAATAAAGACTAAGAAAGACATTATTTAAGTGATGGGTGATATTATTCAGTGAACACATTCAACTATAGCATTCTATCCAGTTTTTTGCCTTCACGTAAATATGAGGAGAAAGGTAGGTGTTAATAAGAAAATAATCTGATTAGGATTTATGTAGAATGGTAGCATTTAGGGTATTAAATCTGTATAGATTCAGGTCATTTTCCTGCAGTCACTGTCTATAATCCTGTGTGCTGAACACTGAAAGTTAGATGGACTCTGAAGCGCTATAGAATCCTCACTTTTCAAACAAAAGTTTAATTTTTATCACACTAGTATTTATTGAGCAGGCTACTATAACTGATCACTGTACTGGGTATTGTGAATAGACAGAAAAGCCCAAGAGGCCTGTGTTACCTGACTTCTTTATTCACAAGTATACGTACCCAGAGACTGTCTGACAGTGAATGCAGTTTCTCCTGCATAAGACATGGTGGCAGTCTTCTGAAGTCTTGCTGGGGAGATGAAGCATACAGAGATGTGTAAAATAAAACAGTTTGTAATATCCCAGTGTAGGGGCACAGATAATAACTATGGACACTCAGACAAAGGAACAAGTACTGTGGGACAAAAGAGTAAAATCAGAGGACTTTTGGTGCACTGCTTAGATCCTAAATCTTTGAATATTAGTGGTGCCTTAGAAGATGGATAGGTAGGAGAAGGGTGAGAGGAAGGGAGCTGAGGAGACTAGAAGGGACTGTTATTTCCTGGAATAATCATTACCAATTTCTTCATCACGTTTTCTTAATGACACGGTTTCAAACGTTTTCTTCATCTTGATTGCTGTCTTCTGTGTATATGCTGGTTTGTGTGAGGTTTTACTAAACCAGTATGTGGATTAATCTAGTTTCACAGTGACAGGTAAGTGATTTAGAAAATCATTCCTTTAGCACATGTTAACTTGAACGTTTGGAGGTAGAATGCCTAGAGTGAGGGTGAAGGAGAGGACCTGGGGACAGGAAGAGAGGGCAGCTGGGAGCAATTATGCTCCTTCCCTCAGACCTTTTTGGCCTTGACTCTTGATTCTTGTACTTCTACCAGACAGAGAGGCGGTAGGCTTGTGGCCATGTTTTGCGAGGAAAATCAGAATCTAAGAATCTCTAAGGCAAGAGCAAGAATGGATTGGGATAGGGGAAGTGATAGGAAAACAGAGGCACTAAGAAGAGGGTTGGTTTTCATGTACTGCATAGTTCATTCCCTTAGTTGAGAAATCAGGTATCTCAACCTCAGATATCTTCTGTCCAGCATATCGCTGGCCAGATCTGATTCATATGAGGGATCCAGAGTAAGGAAGCATCTGTTAGCCAAGTCTTTGGTTACCCCAAATTAGCTCAGGTCCTTTACTGCTTGTTTCCTCTGATTATATAGTACATATCCAAACCCTCAATTTTCCAGAATAAACTAGGTCTGCCTATTCTGTGTGGAAAACATTTGATGGTGGTTAAGATTCTCTTGCCTAGACGATGGTAGTGCCTTAGTCGTTTAACTGCCTGTCACTTTAAGATTTTGAAATACTGGTTCTTGTTGTGTAAGCCAGACACATCTTGAGAATATTTTACGGGGCAACTTGCCCTTTCTGAAACCTCAGTCATCCTGAAAAGTAACTCTGTACCTCCTTGACTTTAATTTTTCTGTCTTAATTCTATTTGTATACAATGTTTGTGGTGTCTGATTCTCTGTCTCGTATTGCTGAAACTCATGGCCTTGAATTTCTGGGTCACTCTTAAAAAATAGACATAACTTGATTACTAATGAAAAAGTGACTCATTTTCTTCCAGGCAAAGGCTGACACTGACTGTCACAGTTTGTGACAGAAGCAGACTCTCTAATTAGGAGACATCACCTATTCTTTTCTAAATTTTATAAGAATTGATGATAGCATCATGAGATGGGAAGTGAGTAAGATAAGCGTTTATGCTTGTAGAGAGGATGCATAAAAATGAAATCTGGATAAAGTTCTATCTGAATTTACCTTTTTAAGTGGTTGATTCCCTGTGAGCTTAAATTTAGTGCTTCTCTTCCCAGACCGTTGTCTTACATACACACTTCAGTCAGTTTTAGCCTTGTATAACTAATCAGCAGGTCAGATTCCATCGAGGCTGAAATACCTACCACCATTCTATGCTCAAGAAAACAGGCTCTCATGTTGGCCAGTTGTTTGGGATAGAAGATGGTTAGACCTTTCTATCCTTTTTAAACACAAGATTCTTTTTCATTCCCCTTATCTTGTTTAAATATATTGTTCCTTCTCTTTGGTTGTTCTTTGCTTTCTTATGCATCTGTGAGGGGCTAGCTGAAAGTGTGAGTTGTGGAACAATTCATTTACATAAGTGTATATTGAATTATCTGTGCACCTAGAGGGTGATGGGCACTGTGAGGGATATTAAAAAAGAGACACAGTACAGTTCTTACCCTAGGATCCCCTGCTTGGAGTGGGACAGTGGTCAAGACATATACAACCACAAACACCCAAACATTAACATCAACAAGCATCATTACATCCTTGGGTGGTATTGCCAAGGGACTTCAAAGGCCAAGATTATAGAGTCATCACACTTAGGAGGTCAAAGGGACTTTGGAAAGCACCTTTGTCACTCATTTTGTTTTATAAGTGAGGAGGCTGAGGTGTAATACAGCTAAGCGAATTAGCCTTTATTACATAACTCATTAGGATGTAGACTGGGACTAAGAGCTGTTTCTCCAGATCCCATTAGGCAATCTAAAGATTCTGCACTATTTCTTTTTCATTTTTGGTATCCAAATAGGTACAGTTGTTTTTGATCTAGGAAAATCCTTTTAGACTAAACAGTAAGCTTTTTAAATTACTCTGCTTTTAGATATTTTTTGGACTTCAGAACTTTGAAGGTGGTCATCCACCAACATTGGGGAATGGAAAGAAGGCTCCAACACTTTTCTTTCTAGAGATCTTCTTTAATTTTCAATGGCAGTCACTACAGAATCTAGCAGTTCATGCTATTGAGGCCACTTTGTAGGATTTTTTTTTTTTTTTAGTCAGGGCTCCAGGTCCCTGGTGGTTTATGTAGTCAGTCTTATCAACAACCGATGAAAGACCAATAAAAGTGCAAGAGGGAATGAGGACTGTGTGTGTGTATGTCTGCACATGCACACATGCCTCTCTGTGTGTGTTGGTTAACTTCATATTTGGTAGGTGGGAGGGAAGGTGATTAAAAAATAATCTACTTTGCATGGAGTTGGCCCAATTTGACTGATATAGGGGTGAGTGGGGGTTAAGAAGTAGTCTATATATCAGGAATCTTAATTAGTTTTGAAAATCCTTTAGGTAAATAGCTCAACCCAGTTGTTCCCAAACTTCAAGTGTATTTATAGGGTCTTTTTAAGGGGTAAAGATTCCACAGAGCCCTTCATTTTGACCTTTTGCTTCTGCACTGAATAGTCGAATGCCTTCTATATGCCAGTCATTGTGTTAGGCACTGGGAGTATGAGAATTAATAATTTTAGTCTGTTGACAGATAATCATAATAAGGGCTAATGAGTAACACAGGCTCAGGGTTATAAGAACAGAGGGGGTGTCAAGGCTGTTTTTCACAGGAAATAACATTTAAGTTCATACAATGAAATTTTAGGGCTTAGCCATGAGAAGGTGGGGAAAAGCATTTTGGGCTGACTGAACAGCGTGTACAGAGGTCTGGAAGTGAGAAGTAGTGTACTATAGCATTTTCTAGGAGCTGAAAGGCATTTAGCAAGAGTATAGCGCATAAAGGAGAGAGCTTGAGATGAAACAATTTCTCAGTGTGTTGTTTGAATACAATGTATACTGTCAAAATCTAAGAATTCAAGAATCATTTAATATATCTTTATGTTTTACTAGTCATAAAAGCATATACATATATTTAAATATGGACAAGATACTGTTTAGTAGTTTAGAAAGTGATTTATGAGGATTGCAATCCCTTGCAATAACTCCACAGCCCATACCTTGGGAACAACTGAGCTAACTCATTCAGTTTTGTCCATTACATCGAAGGGTGTTTTTTGTAAACTCATATGTCTAGAATGTGTTTGCCATGTTTTAATCACAAGTAGATATTTTCTCAGAGTCCAGTGCAGTGAAGTATGGTAAGATCCTGATTGTGTTCTGGAACACAGAGGAAAGACCACCTTCTGTTATAGCAACAACACAAGTCTTTTAACACTGTGTGCCCCTTCCCAATCTTTCAAGTGATGATTGAAGAGACTAGGTGCTCAGCTCAGCCTTTGAGTTCTGATAAATGAGCCCAGACTGTAAACTGGAAGATAAGGATGTTTGTAAAGTTCTTGTATAAATAAAGCATGGTTTCTCATTGCAGTGGTTACTGATTTCATAGTCTGAGTGAAGATGAATGATGCTGTGAATCAACAGCTTTAAAGTCCGTACCACTTCAGCTTCTTTTTGGTTTAGGTTTCTTAAAATCAGTGTGTATTTAATGCTTTATTCAGATGAGGGGGTGAAAAACCTAACACATGTAAACTAAGTGAGGTGGGGTTTCAGAGATAATTCCCAGCCTCACAATTCCTCATGAAGTTCTTTTCCTGTGGGAAACTTTTAATTTGGAAGCATGCAACCTAATGTGGGAACCAAGATTAACATTTTCTGAAATACTTCTACAAGAAAAGCAGAAATGGTCTGTCCAGGAAGCTGAATTTACATAGTAGAAAAATGAGCTGCCCTGCAGTATTTGGTAGTCTTTGTGTATTGGTTGTGATAAAAGTGTGTATGTGTGTGTGTACGTGTGTGAGAGTGAGAGATTGTATACTTGTCTTTGTTTCCTTCACATACAACTAGTAAGGCCCTAGAAAAACTACACTAGAAAGTGTGTTTTACCACAAGCGTCCCAGTTCTGGACACCAATCTATACACAAATACTTTTTTTTAAAGTTCTTTTTGTTTTTCCTTCTTGCTGAGTAAGCTATAGTATTTCCTTTTTTTTCTTTCTTTTTATTTGAGAGAAGGGGGGGTTGAGAGTAGAGTGGGAATGGCAAGAAGTAGTATGACAGAGCTTCTTCTCTTTTTTTCCCCTCTTTACCAGGAAGTTAACTAGAAGTCTTCATGCATGTTTTTAAAACAAAGTTGGTAATTAGCATAACCTAGTTAGTTACCTTTACACAGAGTGACAGAATTAAAAAGTTGACAAGCCCATCAGACCTCAGCCAGGAGGTACTGAAAGGAGGGAGACCAGTGAGTCTAGACCAATAGGTGGGTTAGGCCTCCTGAATGCCAGCCTAGAAGTTTAGACTTGATTCTATAGGCTCTAGGGTACCTACAAGTTTGTAGTCGCAGCCTTGGGAATTGAATGTTACATAGGAACTTTCACTGGTTCCAGCTAGCCTTGGCTGTTAGCAATTATTTTTATCTACTTTAACAGGGGGGACAGAGTAGGGGGGCAGGAAACTAAGCTGGCATTATGGTCACAGGAAAGAACAGACTGATTTGGAGCCTTTCAAACTGCAGACCTTTGTTACTGACCGATGCTTAATTTGGTTTCTGGGTTTTGTTAGTTTTTTCCCCTGCCCTTACCTCATTTACCTTAACGACAGCTCCCCCCTCTAGAGCTCAGCTAGGGCAGGCTGCCACTGTGGATTGGGGGGCCAAGAGGCCCAGTGCAAGAAGAAAGTGGGTTGAAAGCAGAGTTCTGTTTAAAGAATTTTCTGCTGGAAACTAGCCCAGAGGGAGTAAAGAGGAGCTTTAATGAGGAGCAGCTGCAGTGCCGACGCAACCCACATGAGACTTTTTTTTCCCCTTCGTTCCACATTCTGTATAGTTTTTTTAAAAATCATGACTTTGAAATAGCTGTTTTGTAAAGCATGCCTCTCTTTTTCTTCTTGTATGTGGTGGGATTTTGCTTTGTTGTTGTTGTTGTTGTTTCTTGAATGGCCAAATCCTCGTTTTAAAAAAAAAAAAAAAAAAAAAAAAGCTAAAGACAGAGCTGCAGCAAAGCCCTGGATGCAATTTGGCCTCACCCTGCTGATACAGAACATTCGGTGGAGAAAACAAGGGGAGAGAACACTGGCTTTTATTTGGAAAAGGGGCTTATTTCCTGCTCAGACTTCAGTCATCTTGGAGCTGACACAAGCTGCTACACTGTTTTAAGCTTTTCTGTAGACGAGTGGCTATTCACTTAGGAAACGTGAAAGAACAAATTTTTCTGTCCTGTATTACTAGAGAGACTGATCCTGAACTGCAGCCATTGCCAGATAGATTGGAATTGCTATTCAGATCCCAGCTTCGTTGAAATCTGTAAAGTGGCTACATGTAAACTAATCCAGGCTGCTAGTGAGATGTGAGGGTTGGGGTCTGGTTTTCATCTGCTTAAGTGAGAGGAAACTGTAGGGGTATCCTTCAAATGGAATGTTTTCTAGTTCCATTAGGAGGAATCCCTTGTTTTTCTCTGTTTTCTTCCTTCCTTTGCTTTTCTACATCCAACCCCATGCGTATGTTTGAACAGTAACAATGGAAATGTGGACCTCTCAATGTCAGAAATGACACTTTTTTTTTTTTGAGATGGGGTTCTCACCATGTTGCCCGTATTGCCTAGGCAGGTCTCGAACTTCTGCTCTAGCAATCTGCTCGCCTTGGCCTCCCACAGTGCTGGGATTACAGGTGTGAGCCACTGTGCCCAGCTGAGACTTTTAAAGAAAAAGTCATAAATATATCTTTATGGACCTGGTAAGTATTCAGATTAGTTTATAGAGTTTAAAATGGAAAAATGCTCCCCAAACCTTTCTCTGTATTCACAACCTCATCTGCGAAGTATGTTCTTTCAGAGTTCCAATGCTAGAGAAGAGAGAGTAAGTAGAAGTCACTGAGAGACATTGAAGAGACAGTTATGAAAATAATTAATAAACTCCCTACAGGAGGGAAACATTCATATAGTTTTGCGGATGAAAGGCATCTGTTAGATTTTTGTGGTTATTTTTTAGAATATACACCTTTAGTTCAAGTGGTAGACTATTTTCCAAAATGTGTGCTGGGTAGCTTAATGGAATTATAGATACGTAAGGGATGTTGGGTGTTTAGCCATGTTTTCACTCTCTAACCAAATTCAACTTTAGCCATCTCAAGAAGACAGCTATTTAAGCCCTTGTTTTCAAGCAGAGAACCTTACTTTCCACCAAGACTAACAGAGTATATTTTCTCCTTATACCACAGTTGAACAGGGATTTGCAAGTTGAAAGATCTCCTGCCTTAGGAAACAAGGGTCTGTTATTTCTGACTGTCTTAGCTATTACTCCCCTTTCTTCCCATGTCCATAATGCTGCTTAGCTTCCTGGGGTGTGAAGGATAATTCTATACCTCAGGATGACTATTAGGTTGATTTGGCCTGTTATTCTACCAGACAGATCACAGAGTAGAGATGGATTTTGTGGAACATTTGGATTGAGAGACTGACTTTATCCATCACATGAAATTTAGCCTGCTTTGGAACCAGCTGCTTAGTGGGGTTTATGTACTCAGGTATTCAGGGAACCTACACCAAGGGTTCAAGACAGGGTCTTCCCCACAAAAACTATCTAGATGGGAGTTTGAGAAAGGTACAGCAAAGACATAACAGTGGCTTAAATAAAGAAGAACCATACCAGCGGAGACAATGTAGTGCATGACATGGCACTACATCTGCTGTTGGAAGGATCAGAGACAGGTGGGATGATTTGTAGAAGGCTTACTATAGGACAGGTTTACAGCAGATTTTTGAAAAAAGGGTGGAAGAAAGGAACCTAAGTTGGAGATATACCAGAAGGGAAGCATGATGTTTCTCACTGGAAATTAAAAAGATTTCAATATAGGGGACAGTAAACAAGATTGTGGAAATAATATGGAGTGTTCGAGTTATGGATTACTAAAGAGTAAGATGGTTAGATGATTGGAATGGGACAGACAAGCAGATCAGAGATTGTAAAGAACTTGGATTTGAAAGGCTTGGTATTAATACTGTTGCTAGTTTCTGAGCAGAAGAATGACATGAAAATTATGCTTAGGAAAGATTATTCTTTTAGTCATATGCTTAGGTTCAGCAAGGAATTTCCAGACTGTCCTTAGGGAGAGGAGAGGTATGGATAGGATGCTGGTCCATTTAGGATGTTAGAGCTGATTGAATAAGTGCTAGTCTTGGGGCAAGACTTAGTCATACACTTTCAGTTAAGTACTGTTTCATTGCAAGGTCTAGGTGAAGATAGGGATATATTTGTAAAACTGGGGAAATTGCTAGATTCACAGATAACCAACTTTGGGTAGATCAGTTAGCTTTGGTGTCCTTCTCAGTGCTATAGGGGTTCAGACCATTTGGTTTCTGAGATCACTGCTGAAATTCTGTGATTGTATGAGTATAATGTAAAAGTTGTCTCAATCAAGGAAACTTGGAGTAAAGACTCAATATGATGGATTTAAAAGGAATGAATGATAGTTCCAATTATTGGGTTCAAAAAACATGTGCTACAAGTATAAGATGAGAAAAATAGGGTACACTAGTAGTTCATGTGAAATAAGGCTCTGAATATTTTAGCTGAGTGTGTATTCCATAGCACATAGTAGTATTTTGTGGCTTCTAAAAAAGTACACATATCCATTGGGTATGAGTCGGAGCGTTATTCTTTCTTGAACTGCGCTCTCACGATGCCTCCTCAGTTTAAGAACTTACTCTGAAATAGTAAAAGCATAGTGTCCAGATCAGGAGGTCATGGTTCAGCTCTGTGCTGCACTGGTAAGAACATGTGTTAAGCCTTTTTCCATTTTGAGCCTCACTTTTTAAAGAGGTTTTTGATGAACTGGAGTCATCCAGTGATGGGGAGGCAGGATAGCCTAGTGTTGAAGCACACGCACTCTAGAGTCTACTTGGGTTTGAATCCTGCCTCTTCCATCTACTAGCTGTGAATTTTTTTTTTTTTTGAGAGGGAGTCTCGCTCTGTTGCCCAGGCTGGAGTGCAGTGGCGCGATCTTGGCTCACTGCAACCTCCAACTTCTGGGTTCATGCCATTCTCCTGCCTCAGCCTCCTGAGTAGCTGGGACTACAGGCGCCCGCCACCACGCCTGGCTAATTTTTTATATTTTTAGTAGAGACAGGGTTTCACTGTGTTAGCCAGGATGGTCTCGATCTCCTGACCTGGTGATCTGCCTGCCTCGGCCTCCCAAAGTGCTGAGATTACTGGTGTGAGCCACCGCGCCTGGCCTAGCTGTAAAATCTTAATCTTTCTAAGCTTCGAGTTCCTCATATATAAAATGGAGATTATAATATAGCACTGGAGCGAGTAATACAAGAGACAATAGCTATCAAATGCTTAGCAAATATACAATACATAGTTAAGTACTTAGAAAATATGTTTTCAGTTACTTCGGGTATATACCTGGGAAGGGAGGCAGAAAATTTTGGTCATTCTGATTATTATTACTACTGTTAAGCATAGAAGCACCACTAAAAAGGTGAAGAAGCCTGGAAATAACCCTATACTGAGGAATATGCCAAACCATTGAATCCTGGAAAAAAGAAAACAAAAGGCCCACATAACTATCTTCAGATTCTTGAAGGGCTACGTGTAAGAGAAGCAGAAGGCTTGTTCTTTTTTGTTCTAGAGGGTAGAGATAACCTGGAAATTGTAGAGAGACAAAGTTTGTTCTTTTCAAAGTTAAGACATAATTTATGTATCATAAAATTTACCCTTTTAAAGTGTTTAATTTAGTAGACTTCAGTATTTCCAGAGTTATGAGACCACCACCATTATCTAATTTCGAAACATTTTTATCACCCTGAAAGAAATTCTCTACTGCTTAGTAGTCACTGTCTATTTCCCTTTCTTTACAGCTCCTGGCAACACTAATCTACTTTCTATCTCTACGGATTTGCATATTCTGGACATTTCATATAAATGGAATTATATAATATGTGGCCTTTTGTGTGTGGCTTCTTTCACTTAGCATGTTTTCAAGGTTCATCCATGTTGTAGCATGTATCAGAATGTCATTCCTTTTCATGGCCACATATTTCATTTATGGATATACCACATTTTATTTATCTGTTCATCCGCTTATAGGCATTTGGGTTGTTTCTACTTTTTAGCTATTATGAATAATGCTGCTATGAACATTTTTATTATCTGGGCATATGTTTTCAGTTATCTCGGGTATATACCTAGGAAGGGAGGCAGAATTTGAAGAATTAAGAAAGAGCTTTCTCACAGTGGAATCCACCCACATTGAAGACTGTTCTTTTGTTGAAGTAGTCAGCCAGTAATTTCACTTAACAAATGCATAGTGTTTACTATGTGCTGGATAGTGTTCTAAGTGCTTTACCCTTATTTAAAAATCCTATGAAGTAGGCACTGTTATTACATCTCTTTTACGACAGGGAAGTTTAGTACCTTGCCCAAGACTACACATTGAGTAAATGGTGGAGTTGGGATTGAAATCCAGGTGGTCTGGTTCCAGAGTCTGTACTCTTAAGAGCAGAACAATAATAACTCCAAGCATTTATTAAATTCTCAAGATTTATCCGGCACCATGCTACATGCTTGTATTCAAGCAGAGGCTGGTGATCATCTTTTAGAAATATTTTAGAAATGATTACTTAATTGGATAGAAATTAAATTTCTTGAATCTGAAGGTTCTGTTATTCCAAGGATGGCTGGAAATGGGGGAAAAGCCAGCAACAAGATGATGTCTGGCCTGAGGCTTTTAAGATGATCAGAATTTGTATCAAAAAGGAAACTGTGAACACGAATGATAAGTATTATAGGAATTCAGTTAACAAGTCTTGTCAGAATGTGGTAATAAATTATATACAACTTAAAGAGATGAAGTTACTTTAAATTGTGTGTGGAAGCCTTAGAAAAATTGAATAATTAAAGTTTCTTGGGAAGATGATCTCCTTTTACAAATGTTTAGTTTCAAATAGTGGCAGCACATATTAGGATAGAGAGATGACTTCTAGAAAACTGAACATATGGGACTGGAACAGTGTATTTTGGAGTCAGTTACAGGAAGGAAGTTGTTTAAAACCAAGTGAACAACAACAGTAACAAATGCATTTGAGAGAAAGAGCAGTGCAGTCCAGACTTAAACATTAGGGTGGCCATAATAGATGGGGAAGAAGGAGAAATCAGCAATCCAGACTAAGACTTCACTGGGTTTTGAGTTAGACAGAGGGAGGCATAGAAGCCAAGGTAAAATGATTAAAACGGTACATGGAGTGGTTAGCAATTCTCCCTATAGGAGAGAGAATTTCCTTATGAAGTTTCAGATGAGACCACTGAACTTGACTAGAGGAAAGTCATTGTTTTTAGAAAACAGTTTCTAAACAATAATTAGAATTAAAGTTTTGTTGCAGAGGGATAAGTAAGAAGTAGATGGAAAAGAAAGAGGAATATCTGAAATTAGGCTACAGTCATAGAAGGTTAGCTGTGAAACAATAATTTGGAAAGGGAAATGGGACCTCATGAAAGTGTGGGTTAAAAGAGACTTGTATATCTTCTAAGGTAAAAGTAAAGAACTAAGCTGATGTCCAGCCCTCTAAAACATTTTAAATAGAAATCAAACTTTATTAATACAGTAGGTCTAGTTTCACGTAAAGCAAATATATGGTTCTGTACACGGGCTTTAGGAGAGTAAGTCTGTTGTACCTCATATGTAAGTATTATCCCATTTAGAGGAAAACCCTAAGTCTTTCTTTACAGTGGCTTAAAGGCCCCAATTGATCCACATCCCAGTTACAGCTCTCATCTATTTTCTGCTGCTCCAGATATTCTTGCTGTTTCTCAAACACGCTAGGGCTGCTCTCTGTGTTATGGCCTTTGCATTTGCTGTTCCCTTTCTCATGAATGTGTTTTCCTAAGATACCTGCATGATTACTCTCACCTTATTTAGGTCTCAACTCAAGTATTGTCAGTGAAGGTCTTCTCTGATTTTCCTATTCTAAACTGAGATACTTCTCTTTGCTCACCCCACACCCTCATCCCCAGCTCCATTCCTTCCTGTTTAATTTTTTTTCACAGCACTTAACTCCATCTATTGTGCATCTTTTACTTAGTAATTTTGTTTTCGTCTTCCGCTATTAGAATGTAAACTCCAAGAGTGTAAGAATTTTTCTAGCACTGGAAAAATGCCTGGCACATAATAGGCATTTACTAATTGTTGTGTGAATGAACGATTATAAGTTTAATATTCTTTGTGGAAACTAATAAGGTTGATTTCCTATCAGAAACCGATCATTATTAATAAGCATATTGGATGGTATTTATAGAATTAGCCTTCATATGTTCTCTACTCAGAAGTTGGCAAACTTTTTCTGTAAAGTGCCAGAGAGTAATTATTTTTGCAGGCTTTGTGGTCTCATTACAGCTACTTGACTCTGTTGTTGTAGTGGAAAATCAGCCATAGACAATCTATAAATGAATGAGCATGGCTGTGTTCCAGTAAGACTATTTATGGACACTGAAATTTGAATTGTATATAATTTTGAAATGTCAGAAAATATCCTTCTTTTGTTCTTTTTTTCTAATCATTTAAAAATGTAAAAAACTATTCACAGGCCAAACAAAAACAGGCAGTGGTCCAAATTAGACTTGCAAACTGTACTTTGTCAATCTCTGGTTTTACTGATTTCTTAAATATATCTTAGGTTAAAACTTATTTTTCCATACTTGATAGGGAGCAACAATGTGAATTAAACTGTAGAAACAAATAATTCAGAAATACATCTGTTTAGCTTTAGAAACTTCCATTTTGCTTCATTTTTGTTTTCCTGGGAACCTTATATTTCCATTATATGTTTATGATGCTACCATTTAAATGACTTTGCATTCTCTTAGCATATGCCACATGATAGTGTTAGGGTGGTGTAATAGTTCAGGAGCAAAGCTGAGCAAAGCCCACCCACGTTTAAAAATTTGCCATTATTTAGAAGGTGCATAATTCCCATATGGGAGAATGAAGAGTCATCTAATAATGCCCAGAGGGCTGCACTGTGAGTGAGAATTGTGTTGCAGTTTTTAACATTCATAACACATTTCTTGAATAAGCTGCAAATGCTTTTAATAATATATCTCAGAGTTAATTTTAGCTATGCTACATTGGCACTTTTTGCTCCTCCACTTCAAAAAACCAACACAAGAAACTATTCTCAAATCAAGCTGTGATTTGGATGGGGCATTGTATTTTCCTCAATAAGCACAAAGAAGAGAGAAAAGATGTTTTCACT
Organism: Homo sapiens; assembly: GCF_000001405.40. Classification (NCBI taxonomy): domain Eukaryota; kingdom Metazoa; phylum Chordata; class Mammalia; order Primates; family Hominidae; genus Homo; species Homo sapiens. Next base: position 146,167,130 of record NC_000001.11, on the reverse strand, counting down.
TGGCAAAACTTTTTTTTTTGAGATGGAATCTCACTCTGTTGCCCAGGCTGGAGTGTAGTGGCACAATCTCGTCGGCTCACTGCAACCTCCGCCTCCCGGGTTCAAGCAATTCTCATGCCTCAGCCTCCCGAGTAGCTGGGATTACAAGCGTGCACCACCACCCTGGCTAATTTTTGTATTTTTAGTAGAGCCAGGGTTTCACCTTGTTGGCCGGGCTATTCTCAAACTCCTGACCTCAGATGGTCCTCACACCTCAGCCTCCCAAAGTGCTGGAATTACAGGTGTGAGCCACTGTGCCCAGCCCACTTGCAAAACTTTTTAACATTTATAAGGTTTTTTACATACTTGATTTTGTTCAGTTCTTAGAATAATCTCATGATGTAGGTGACCTTATTAACTATTTACAATGTGAGAAAATGGATAGTCAATGAAGATAAGTAACTTGTCCAAGGTCACAGCACCAGAACTCCAAACCAGACCTTCTGACCTTCTTGATACAGACTCCTCACAGTCACCTGCATGCCATCTTTGGTTTCAGTGCTATGAACTTTCTTCACTGCCTGTTGGTCTGTAGCTACACCTACTCATGAAGATGCCCAGAGCCTTAGCCGCTCCTTGCTCTGCCATGCTTATCTTATGCAGCTCTGGGAGGGGTGAAGAGGCTGTGGCCAGTTACCTCACTACCACTATAGCTATTCACCACCCTGTTTTCTCCTTTAGCCATTTTAGCTACTACACAATTCTTCTGGGCATTTTCTGTCTTAGTTCCCTAGTATCTGGCCTTCCCTCTTTTCTCAGTAACTGTGACCCCTGCTAGCTAGCCTTGCCAACCAATGGTTAATGAAAGGTCTTGGATATGACTGTCAAAGACAAAAGCACTCATGACCCCAATGTTTCAGGTCACAATGATTAGGAAAATCAGGACAACAAGGCTTGGGCACAGAAAAGCTGGTTTTTGAGAGGGGGATTTAGAGTTTGGTTTAAATGTGTAATCTTTGAGGTAATGGTGGAACAGCCTACTAGATTCAGTTTTCTAGTCCCTGAAAACTAAAACGAGGAATAAGTTGAATCACATATTTGGGGCACCAGCCAAATATATAGCAGCATTTATAGTTAGAATCAAAGTGTTTGTGTTTCTTAATTTAAATGCTTCTCAGAGATTCCATTTAAACAACTTCATTATGAAAATGGAGACTTACCATGCCTTTTTGATATTGTTCAGAGAAAATTGTCATAAATAATACACACAGTTTGAAATGGTTGTACATCTTATGAATCAAGGGGTGGCATGTAAAAAGGTTCCTCAGTGCCTCAATGTGGAAAATATCATAGAATGTTATTCTTCAATTGATTCCTTCCTTGACTTTGGTGTTTATATGGTATCTTAGATATTTTATGTTATTTTAATTATATTTTGTGTCTTTTTATTTGGTTAAAAATGCCTACTTAAATATTAACAGATTTTTAAATATCCCTTTGAACTCTTCCCCATTCCTGTACCTCCTTTCCCTTTTTCCGTTGTAATGTCAGCCACCTGAACATAACCCAGAAAACTAGGTATCATCCAATTGATGTTTCAGTGGAAATAAGAGAAAGAAGCACTTACTATTTCTCAATGCTTAATTGAGGAAAAGCACATGATATCTTACATATTTTAAATTGGAGGGGATAATAGGGTCAAGTTCATGCATTATATTGTGGACATCTTAATCCTATCAAATGGCTTAGTCAAAATGAGAAAGTTAATGAATTTAAGCAGACAAGTACGAACAGTGCTCTAAAAAAGGTGCTGTTACACCATCCCAACCTGTACACACATGAAAAAAAGCTGGGGTGCATTTTGCGTTTGAATAAGGGTCATGTTGACTGGCCATGGCAGACCCTGCTAGACCATACACCTGATACTCTGTCACCTGCCAGGACTCAAAAGGACATGGGAGTATGTGGTTAAGTTCTCTAAGGACTCTTTCTTCTAAAGGGAAGCAGTTTTATAGGTGGTCCTTGTAGGTCTGTTGATTCACAATCTCGTGCTTTCTTGATTGGACTGTATTGTTTTACTGTAATTTTTTGGACTTACAAGAAGTCAGGTGTTTTCATGGACTCTTCTCTTTTCCATACAGATGTCCAGAAGGCTTCTTGGGGGAATATTGTCAACATCGAGACCCCTGTGAGAAGAACCGCTGCCAGAATGGTGGGACTTGTGTGGCCCAGGCCATGCTGGGGAAAGCCACGTGCCGATGTGCCTCAGGGTTTACAGGAGAGGACTGCCAGTACTCGACATCTCATCCATGCTTTGTGTCTCGACCTTGCCTGAATGGCGGCACATGCCATATGCTCAGCCGGGATACCTATGAGTGCACCTGTCAAGTCGGGTTTACAGGTAACTAATGAGACCAAAGCCAGTGCTTTCCTACCTTCAGCAGATACCTTTATTTAGCATCTTTTAGATCATGGTGTCTGGCTCTTAAATGTCCCCCAGCTCTGGTGCACATTTAACATTATGATAAGGAACTGGGATGTTCCAGACAACTATCCCTAACTTCCTTTTAAGAGTTTCAGGGGGCAGAGAAAGAGAAAGAAAAAGGACCAAATACTTTGACTGCTTAAAGTATATATGTCAGGGCCAGGTGCGGTGGCGCACGCTTGCAATCCCAGCATTTTGGCAGGCCAAGGCAGGAGGATCACTTGAGGCTAGAGGTTTGAGACCAGCCTGGGAAACATAGCAAGACCCCATCTCTACAAAAAAACAAGAATAAAAATAAAACAAAATTAGTCATGTGTGGTGGTGTGCACCTGTAGTCCTAACTACTTGGGAGGCTGAAGTGGAAGAATTGCTTGAGCCCAGGAGTTTGAGGCTGCAGTGAGCTATGATCGCACCACTGCACTCTAGCCTGGGTGACAGAGTGAGACCCTGTCTCAAAAAAAAAAATATGTACACCAGGATGGGGAATCAGAGTTTACTTCACTAAAAGAAATAAGTACACTGTCACCAGAGGAAAAGTTGCTGATGTTATTGACTATTTGCTTTTAGAAATCTCCCTCCCTAGACATTCAGGGCACTGGCTTTTCTGGTTTTCTGAACCCTGTTCCTTTTGCTTCTTCATTACCTTGTTCTTATCCATTAAATGTTTGTGCTCCCTGGAGCACTGTTTTGCGCCCTCTTTTGAGCCACATCACAGCTCTCCCTAGGGAATTTCACTGTCTGTATTCGCCTCCACTGCCACTGTCTTCATTAGCTTGCTGATGAATCTCACCATCATTCCCTTAGCTCCACCCAACCCTGACATTCAGGCTCATGTTTCTAGTTATCCTTTGTATGTTCTCCTTGGAGATATTCTACAGGTACTTTCAGCTCACCTTGTTGACAGAAATACGTAGCAACCATGTACATCCCAAATACCCACGCTAGAAACTCCCTGTCCCTTGTTCTGACCTCATTTCAACTCAGTCACCCAAGCCAACCTCTGAGTTGCCTTTCACCTGTCTATTCCTCCCATTTCCTCTGCTACCCTGTAGTTGAAGGCCATGTTATCTCTCACCTGGGCTTCTGAAGTAGTTTCTGAATACGTTTTCTTGCCTTTATTCTCTCCCCATCTCATTCACCCATGATATTACTACATCTTTGATTATAAATGCAAATATTCTAACAATCTCACCTGCTTACAATGTCTAATATTTTTTCATCATCCGCAGAATAAACTGCAAACTCTTTTACATGACTTCCATAGCTCTCTACAGCCTAGACTTTACATCTTTTTATAGCCTGGCCTCCCCACAAGCATCTAGGCCTAGTCACACCAAATTCTCCTTATTTCCTGAAAATGTTGTACTTATTATTGCTTCCATACAGTTACACACCCTTTTGCCTGGAATGCCCTTTTCTACAACTGGTGATTGTCCAATGTTATTTAAAACTGTGTCTCAGTGACCCTTTCATGATTCCTTTAGGCAAATGGTCTCTAAGTTTTATTAGTTTTATGTATCACATTTTATTGTAATTTTTTTTACACATATCTCACCTGAATAGATTGTGGGTTTTTCTAGGTGGGTCTGAGCTTTATTCAAAAGTGTTTATTAAATTAGATGAGAAAAGGAGGAACATTCTTCATTTTTTCTCCTGCTTTAAGCACTAAACCAAGAGTTCTATAAATGCAATAAGCAAAAAAGTGAAAAATGTACTCAGAAGACTATACTGGATCAGTTAGTGTAGAATACTGTTATATTAATTTTTCATTGTATTAGGGTTCTCTAGAGGGATGGAACTAATGGAATATATATGTATGTATATATATTCCAACCCAAAGTGTCTTGGTGGCAATCTTAATATATATATATTGGCAATCTTTATATATATATAAAGGAGAGTTTGTTAAGTATTAATTCACATGATCACAAGGTCCCACAATAGGCTGTCTGCAGGCTGAGGAGCAAGGAGAGCCAGTCTGAGTTCCAAAACCGAAGAACTTGGGGTTCGATATTTGAGGGCAGGAAACATCCAGCACGGGAAAAAGATGTAGGCTGGGAGGCTAGGCCAGTCTCGCTTTTTCATGTTTTTCTGCCTGCTTTATATTTGCTGACAGATGATCAAATGGTGTCCATCCAGATTAAGGGTGGATCTGCCTTCCCCAGCCCACTGACTCAAATGTTAATCTCCTTTGGCAACACCTTCACAGACACACCCAAGATCAATATTTTGTATCCTTCAATTCAATCAAGTTGACACACTCAGTTTTAACCACCACAAATCTACCCCTTGTCAACTTGAACCCGTACACATCTCCTGAGATCACACATAATCTTCAAATAAAGACAATAATTAGGTCATAATTACACCTGATGTAGTACAACTATTCTTCATACATCCGGAAACACACTAGTCCCCAACTGAAACACTCTTACATAAAGTTAACGATACTTAAATGCTGATGTGAAGTCAATAAATCTTATGTCACATGATAAAGGAGAAAGGAAATAAAATGAAGATATTTTCTTAGTACAAGTGTGTGCAAGCACAGACATGTTTTTAATAAAAGAAGGAGGAAATACTGAGGACAATTACAGTCCTCATTTCTGCAGCTGGTCACATGGTAGTAGCTGGTATTGATGACTACCTTCTTCTACCCATTTTGTATTCCTTTTGCCTTCAGCAAACACCTCAGCAGGTTGTGTTTTTTTTTTTCCTGATGGAGAGGCCCAAACCATTTGTAGTCCCGCCTGGATTGGGCTGTTGTAGTTGCCCATTGACCTTAATCACAGGGCATGGTAATACTAAGAGACGCCCTAATGGATCTCCTGTATTCCATGAATACTCTTTCTTACCTCCGTTCTGGAGTAGTAGACTGATTTCATCTTGATAGCCTGGGTCTTGATAGCCTTGATGTCCCAGCCAACACTGTAACGCCTTTCTTAGCCTGTTTACTTAAAGGTAGGAACCCAAAGTGTCCTGGTGGCAATCTTAACTACCAGTTTAATGGAATTGTTGTTGTGTCTTCTGATGGCAGCGTTCCTCCCTCTGGAACTAAGACCTCTAGGCCAGCAGAACTTAATGTTACGGGAACAGGAAGCAAACATTTTGCTAGTGGATCACTAGGGGTGATGGTGAGTGGTACCACTTCCATTTCCACCCCTTGATTCCTGGACCTGTGAATCCTGGCTATGGGAGAAACAGTACCACATATTGGACGCTGATTCAGAGCATACACAGCCTTCTTGAGAACTTTGCCCCAACCCTGCAAAGTATTCTCACCTAGTTGGCATTGTAATTGTGACTGCAAAAGGCCATTCCACCGTTCTGCTTCAGGATGTTGGGGAACATGGTAAGACCAGTGAATTCCATGAGCATGAGCCCACTGCTGCACTTCTTTAGCCATAAAGTGAATGCCTTGGTCAGAGGCAATGCTGTGTGGAATACCATGACAGTGGATAAGGCATTCCATGAGTCCGCGGATGGTAGTCTTGGCAGAACCATTGCATGCAGGATAGGCAAACCCATATCCAGAGTAAGTGTTTATTCCAGTAAGGACAAACATCTGCCCTTTTCACAATGGAAGAAGTCCAACATAATCAACCTGCCACCAAGTAGCTGGCTGATCACCCTGAGGAATAGTGCCATATCAAAGGCGCAGTGTTGGTTTCTGCTGCTGGCAAATTGGGCACTCTGCGGTGGCAGTAGCCAGGTCAGCTTTCCACCGGCCCATCTTGTTTTCTGCACTGGGAAGGTGGGGCATGAGCACAAATGTTAGGACCTGAAAGGTGGTGAACTCTGCCTGGGCAGGGCAAAGCCAGAGGAAACTCTGGTGGAGGTCCGTAGCAGTCCTGATGTGCAAATCGGTCATCCAACCTGGGTGTAGGGGCGAAAGACTAATTGAACCATCTAGTAGCTGGTTCCCTCCAAAGTTTCCCTCGGGATAGCTGGCACTCTCGCAAAAACCCCACTCTTGGTACCAATTTACTGTATTAGTCCATTTTCACGCTGCTGATAAAGATATCCCCGAGACCGGGAAGAAAAGAGGTTTAATTGGACTTACAGTTCCATATGGCTGGGGAGGCCTCAGAATTATGGTGGGAGGCAAAAGGCACTTCTTTCATGGTGGTGGCAAGAGAAAATTAGGAAGAAGCAAAAGCAGAACCCCTGAGAAACCCATCAGATCTCATGAGACTTATTCACTCTCATGAGAATAGCACAGGAAAGACTGGCCCCCATGATACAGTTACCCCACTGGGTCCCTCCCACAACACATGGGAATTCTGGGAGATACAATTCAAGTTGAGATTTGGGTGGGGACACTACCAAACCATATCATTCATCAAAAGGTGTTGGTGGGGTAGAGGGTAGTTAGGATGATCCATGATCTCCATCATGATGATGATGGTATTGATGATGTAAGTCACTGAAAATATTTGGTGTTATAAGAATAATTTCTTCCTGATTGTCAGTTTTGAGTTGTTTTGCTATTAGGAGGCAAAGTAGGGGGGCATATACCCACTTAAAATATTTTAATTCTGGCTAGTGGAAATGACAGTAATGCCTTCTTCATAATTAAAATGTCACTCTGAAATGGTCCCAAATTAAAACTTCTTCCTTTGTTGTTAAGAAGGATCTCTTCTTGGTGTGTTCTGCAAGATTCTGATCACCTTTTTTTTTTTTTTTTTTTTTTTTTTTTTGAGATGGAGTATTGCTTTGTCATCCAGGCTGGAGTGCAGGGTGCAATCTCGGTTCACTGCAAGCTCCACCTCCCGGGTTCACGCCATTCTTCTGCCTCAGCCTCCTGAGTAGCTGGGACTACAGGCACCTACCGCCATGCCCGGCTAATTTTTGTATTTTTAGTAGAGATGGGCTTTCACCTTGTTAGCCAGAATGGTCTGGATCGCCTGACCTCATGATCCACCCGCCTCGGCCTCCCAAAGTGCTGGGATTACAGGTGTGAGCCACCACACCCGGCCGATTCTGATCATCTTTTATACATATGCTATTTTTGTCTATCACTTTAGGAATCATCACAGATCAAGGTCATCCTTTTGGTTTTTGTGATAGCGCTATACCTCAGTCAGCTTACTAGCTCATCTCCACTCAGAGATGAAGAAGCATAGGCAGCAAGTTAGTGCCTATACATAATATATATGGAAACCAAATTCAGGGTTGATTCTTTCTTTCTTTCTCCCTTCCTTTCTTTCTTTCTTTCTCTTTCTTTCTTTCTTTCTTTCTTTCTTTCTTTCTTTCTTTCTTTCTTTCTTTCTCTCTCTTTCTCTCTTCCTCTCTCTTTCCCTCTCTCTTTCTGTCTTTCTTTCTTCTCACTCTGTTGCTTAGTACAGTGGCGCAGTCTCGGCTCACTGCAACCTCCACCTCTTGGGTTCGAGTGATTCTTGTGCCTCAGCCTCCCAGGTAGCTGGGATTACAGGCATGCGCTATGAAGCCCGGCTAATTTTTGTATTTTTAGAAAAGATGGCGTTTCACCGTGTTGGCCAGGCTGGTCTCAAACTCCTAACCACAAGTGATCTGCCCACCTCAGCCTCCCAAAGTGCTGGGATTACAGGCATCAGCCACCACTTCCGGCCCGGGGATCTTTCTGTTTCAGTTGTGGGCATCACTCTGAAAATCACACTTGCTAGAAGTGAGCATTTATATCTCTTCTCCACTGTAAATAAGTGCCTCTTAGTGACATGAGTGGAAAGACAAGAAGAATTGCAGTTCCTTCATTTTCTGTCTTAGCTCCCTGAGATGTATATGCTGTGCCTAAATTTGTGTTATAGTTTTCTCCTTTGATTTGACATTCCTTGATAGGCAGAGAGCACTTTTCTGTGCTCATATGTCACATCTCGCATCTTTTTCCCTTATAGAAAAACTCTTGTGTCTCCCATTTACCTTTCTATGAGGTCAGAGATTTAGATACTTTCCTAGACAATCAACTGGAGTATTAACAAATTCAAGGAGTTCTCGCCATCCCATTACTGGGTATATACCCAAAGAATTATAAATCGTGCTGCTATAAAGACACATGCACACGTATGTTTATTGCGGCACTATTCACAATAGCAAAGACTTGGAACCAACCCAAATGTCCATCAATGATAGACTGGATTAAGAAAATGTGGCACATATACACCATGGAATACTATTCAGCCATAAAAAAGGATGAGTTCATGTCCTTTGTAGGGACATGGATGAAGCTGGAAACCATCATTCTCAGCAAACTATTGCAAGGACAAAAAACTAAACACCGCATGTTCTCACTCATAGGTGGGAATTGAACAATGAGAACACTTGGACACAGGAAGGGGAACATCACAAACCGGGGCCTGTCGTGGGGTGGTGGGACGGGGGAGGGATAGCATTAGGAGATGTACCTAATGTAAATGACGAGTTAATGGGTGCAGCACACCAACATGGCACATATATACATATGTAACAAACCTGCATGTTGTGCACGTGTACCCTAGAACTTAAAGTATAATAATAATAATAATAAAAATTCAAGGAGTTCTTATCTCTGTAGTTTAAATAATAAGCGACTTAGACTAATGACAACAAAAAGCCAGCCATGTGAATACCAAATTTACTAGTTCTGTGAGGATATTTTTTTCTCTTTCTCTTTCTGCCTCAAAGAATCTGCTTTGCTTCCCCTGGCATCATGATTTAGTTTTCAACCCGTCAGAGTCTTCCTGCTAGTGCTGGTACTTTCCTACTTGAGAAAGTCCACGGAATACCTTCGAGACCTCTGTCCTCCTGATGGCTTCTATTTCATTTGTTATATAGGGACCCAGAGGTCCTTCATCATTTTCAAACACATCAACAGATATTTATAGCAAGGCCACAATTAATAAAATGTTTCCCAGAATATATGTGTGTGTTACATTTAGAGGAAACAGAAGTAGTATTGACTTGTTTCTATCACCAGAGGTCTATTTAGTAACTATATTTTGTGGAAAATATCGATATATTTTATCCATTCAACAGACATGATTTGAGAGCATACCACGGAGACCCAACCCTGCCAGTGTGGCAGGTGGTATAATAGAAGAAAATAGCAAACTTGGTGTATCTGTCTTTGCGCACATGTATGTATGTGAGGGGCACTAAGGATGACTTTACAGAGGTTGGAACTTTTGAGTAGAGTTGCCAAGATAGGGAGAGTTCACTAGGAAAACAGAAGGGAAGTTGATTTTTTTTTTTTTTTGAAATGGAGTCTTGCTGTGTCGCCCAGGCTGGAGTGCAGTGGTACAATCTCGGCTCACTGCAACCTCCGCCTCCTGGGTTCAAGTGATTCTTCTGCCTCAGCCTTCCAAGTAGCTGGGATTACAGGTGCGCGCCACCATGCCCAGCTAATTTTTGTATTTTTAGTAGAGACAGGGTTTCACCATATTGGCCGGGCTGGTCTTGAACTCCTTACCTCATGATCTGCCTGCCTCGGCCTTCCAAAGTGCTGGAATTACAGGTGTGAGCCACTGCTCCTGGCCCGGAAGTTGATATTCAAACAGGAGCAGCATATGCAAAGACAGTGAGCTCTGAGAGAGTAGATGGATCCAGACTCCTATTGCTGATAGCGTCCTGCAGGATTGGGCTTCAATGTGACTAACCTACAATTGCCTCCAGGTGCTCCACCCACTGAGTCCTTGTGTCTCTGCTGAGGTCCTTGGAGAGTTACTGGAGAGGGCTCTGTGTCAGATGACCTTGAGGAGGCTCTGATTTAGCCTTTTGTAAAATGCAAAGAGTTGAGGTCTTCTCCACGCAAGAGCTCGCTGATGTCAATGAGGTATTGAGGATGGGGCCATCTCCTATTTCTGTGGCCAGTACTGAGTTTTGTTATCCTTCCTTTAGGTAAGGAGTGCCAATGGACCGATGCCTGCCTGTCTCATCCCTGTGCAAATGGAAGTACCTGTACCACTGTGGCCAACCAGTTCTCCTGCAAATGCCTCACAGGCTTCACAGGGCAGAAGTGTGAGACTGATGTCAATGAGTGTGACATTCCAGGACACTGCCAGCATGGTGGCACCTGCCTCAACCTGCCTGGTTCCTACCAGTGCCAGTGCCTTCAGGGCTTCACAGGCCAGTACTGTGACAGCCTGTATGTGCCCTGTGCACCCTCGCCTTGTGTCAATGGAGGCACCTGTCGGCAGACTGGTGACTTCACTTTTGAGTGCAACTGCCTTCCAGGTAAGGAGCTCCCTAGTGTCCCAGGATTAGGGGACAAACCCCTAGCACAGGAGGTAGTGGGTGTGGCTCAATTGCTTTTTTTAGGAAGCGCAAGGAAAAAGGGAAGTGAGAATTTTGTGTGGGGTGGGTTGCTAGTGAGGGAGGAGTTTTATGGGCCCACTGTGGTCCATAAACTGAGCAGGGGATAATTTAGCATGTCAGGGTTTATGATGATGAGTGGCTAGAAAATTGTTTATTGTCCCTTTTGTAGAAACAGTGAGAAGAGGAACAGAGCTCTGGGAAAGAGACAGGGAAGTCTGGAATGGAAAAGAACACGATGAGAATTAGACACTGGAAAATATGTATGTGTGGTTAATAAAGTGCTTTAAACTGAATTGACATTAACAGTGGGTGATCAACTTTACTATGTGCTTGTGCTTTTGCTTTTGATGGAGTAATTCATTGTTTTCTTATCCACCTAAATGCACCCAGCTGCCCTTGATTTTCTCTGGGCTACTGGCCTTCACAACCCTCTCCCATGTACCCTCTCTGACTTTGGGGTAACCCTCCCCTAACTTAAAGCTAGAGAATTCTGAAACTGAGGAGGGGATCCTCTGTTAATCAGTGAGCACTTTTTGATGAGCTGATAGATGATATATGAGAGACTATGCGTGGCACAATACTTTGTTACACTCTTCACTGATACAAGTGTTCTAGAGTGTACACACAACCCAAAGATAGAAATAAAAAGAGGAGCAGTGTCGGGGAGCTTGGGGCCTGGTGTTCCATGGAGAGGGAGAAAGGAACAAGCTTGACCAATTCATTCAACTCCTTATAAAAATGATGAGGAGGCTGAAAACCAAGAATTTTGATTGGGAACAGAATACAAGCAGCTGAATCAGATGAATTACTAAGCAACAAAGATCCTGTTTTTATACAAATATCCTTAGTACAAAAACAAAAGAAGGAAAACTGTAGGGGGGAGTAATGTGCTAAGTAAGCAGAATTGCCTCAAAAAGAAGTTGTTCTAGTTACTCTTTCAGAGTGGGAATCTTAGATTCTGGTATTGTGGATATGGTTCACATATAATGGGATTGTGTGTTTTATTTTGGAGGGATTAAAGGTCATAGTTTGGTCCTCAGTATAAAATCAACTGGTAATTTATTCATTTCATTTGGTAAAAATGTATTGACTGCCTGCTATGTTCTAGGCACCATGCTATGTATTTGGAATACAGCTATACAAAGCATTGTCACATAATTGAAATGAAAATTTTATATTATTTAAGTCACAAGAACAAGCTATTTAATTATATTACTTTTAGTTTCTCTTTTAATAAAGAATAGATAATGCTATCATTCTAGATACTAAATAAGTATTTTCTTAACATAATATTACTATCCACTTTATCTTGTAGAAGAAATAACTAAAATACATCTGTCTTCACTCCTGTATTTGTTTGCATTTTAAGGATTAAAGACAGAAATAGAAATGTAAACAACTTTATTTTGAAAATATTTCAACACTGCAAATATCTCTGGGTCTGATATTCTAGTAATCTAATTGGCTAGTAATTGATGTTAGTGTGATTTATTGTTGAAGGCTAAATGTGTTTTTCAGTTTCAAGAAAATTGCTTTTAATAATTGCCTAGAACAAGAGGTTGATTTGGCAGCAAGATGTTGACGGGAAGTTAGAGAAGTCAATAAAGGAAGTTTTTAGCTGAGAGAGAGTGATTATTCACTCCCATAGCCTCTGCATTGTTATCCATTAGCCACGATAAGAACCTTAGGGAATTCTGAGAGTGTGTCCAGGAAAGGATCTGTCAAACTAGAATAGTATCTCCTCCTTGAGAAAGGAAATAACCAAGGATTCCGCAGCTGAGAGGCTGCCAGGGCTAGTGAAATAGAGTAAGGAAATCTTGGCTGTCTCTTATTCTCTGGTTGTAGTTTAACGCAAGACACTTATTTACTCACTGATGGTGTGTGTGTGTGTGGGAGGGGAGATTAGCATGAGGGGTGGGAATGGGGAGATTCGATGAAGAGAAAACTAACATTTTTTTGGTGACTCAGGAACTGTGCCAGGTACTTCCATGCTTATTAGCTCAATTACACAAAAATCTTGGGACCAGGTATTATTTTTCAAGTCTTCCCACATGAAGTAACTGAAGTTTGGAGATGTTAAGTGATTCACCCAAAGTTGTACAGCTAATATGTGGTTAGGCTGGGTCCTGAAACCGAGGCAGTTTATTTTCAAAGCCTTTGCTTTGTGCATCTTACTGCGCCACATTGCACTGCACATCTGCTTCCTGAAAGCACTTTGTAGGTGTGTAAAACTTTTCGTTAAATGCTTTAAGCTGTTTGGGTTAAAAATATATGTTCATGTTATAAGAAAACCAAGACACTCCTAATTATAATCAAATAGTACTTGTTACATATCAATATGTGTGTGTGTGTGTGTGTGTGTGTGTGTGTGTGTGTGTGTGTGTGTGTGTGTATGGCGTTGTGCAGATGTTTAAAAGTAGTTACATAGACTAGTTCTTGCTTTTCAGGGTCCCATAATCTAAACCAGATGACTTCAGCTTTGGATAAATATATAGAAGGAAATTTAAAGAGAATTCAAAACAATAGATGATGCAGTGACACTGTGAATAAATGTTATTTATACAGTTTGTAAGATTTCATGCTCATTGTTCATATGTCCCAGGTGGAGTTCAGAAAATATTCTCTTCATTTCCACAAAGGGGAATAGTGCCTGGAGATGGTTTTCTTTTAAAAAGTCCTTTTCATAATGCAGTGCCCTTCCTTCCATTGCCCTTCATTCCATTGCTTCCCATGCTTGTCAAGAGACTAAAATGTTACTTATAGTAATAGTCACTATCTCAATGTAAATAGCACCCTTATTTGATGAGAATTATTATTTCAGTTCTAAAAATGGGGAAACAAAGTCAGCAGGAGGCAAAGTAGCTTGTTAAAGTATTCTGCAACTTTCAAATGGTTGCTTCCACTGCATTTCACGTCTTGGCACTTCTAATTGAGGGTTACTCTAACCACCCTATTTAAAATTGTAACTGTCCCCCACCCCCTTAATTACTAACCCTGGTCTACTTTTTGTTTTCTTTTTCTGTAACTCTTATCTTCTTACTATATAATTTATACTATATAATTTACTTCATTATGTCTATTGTTCATTGTCTGTCTTTTCCAAATTCTACTGCCTCTTACCCTCTCCAGAATGAAAACTAGTATCTTTGTTTTTGTTTACTGATGTAACCCAAACACCTACAAACAGTGCCCAGTATATACTAGGCCCACAAATATATATTGGCTGACTGACTGTATGGTTTAGTATCATGTCATAGTATTGAGACTGTAACTTTGGTCTTCTCATTTTCTTCTTTGTATTGTGCGTCCTAGACTTAGTTTGGCCTCTCCTTTTGTCCTTGTATACTCTAATACTGGATAAGAATTTTGGAGTCTTTTTCAACTCTGAGTCAGTGAATGCCACATAACTTAGTGACTATATTTAAATGGTTAATTTACAATTTTTTCCCTGCAAAGGATACTGTAGTCACTGTGAGTATTTTAGTATTATTGTAGGACTCAAGAGGGAATTAAAACTACAAAAATGACTCCTCTTGTATGACACAGAAAGAAATGTTTCTTCACAGAGGGAGGAGAAAAATATCTTCAAGAGAGAACTAATAGAATCAAATCAATGAACCATGTCTCATCTTTTTGGATAAGTAACTGTTAGTAATCCAGACACTTCATGAGCTTTCATTATGTAAAGTCTTTAGCAGAAGCTAAAGGAGGGGCACCAACCACAGTAATTTTAACTTAAGAACAAAATGGAGCATGAAAATAAATTATTAAATCATTTACTCCCACTATTTTTGGGTTAGGGCCAATAATGGGGAGAGAAAGAGGTAGACTAGTTTTGTGTTTGTGGCTATTTTAATAGAGTAGCACAAGTAATCAAAAAACAGTAGGCTGTTTTGAATTTACTGGCTGTCCCTTATGAGTTCACAGTTAGATTGGACTGTCCTCAATGTACTTTCTTTTTTTTCTTTCTTTCCCACATCTCTTTATTTCTCTGATTTTGTTTAAACTTCATAAAGAGCTCTCTGATCTTTCCTTTCCAAACAATGAAGGTTTATCCTTTGTAAACTACCTCTGTACTCCACAGGCTGATGATATGTGATATCCCTATATCATTAAAGTAAAGCCTAAGCACATTCTATGGCTTTTGTGTCTACTCTGTTGTTGCTGAGCTTATGAACTATTAGAAATAACTCCCTCTTGCATTTTCACACATGGGGAATGTGATGTTCTCTTGGGTATTATGCTAATCATATTTTGGCAGGTTTCTCTGGAGCAGATGCAGAAATGATCATACCACTTTCCAGGGTGTATTATTTTAGCTCCTTTGACTTGGGCCCTAAGTCTGTTTTACCTGATGTTCCTGAAAGATGTTCCTGATGTCCTTCACTGTTCTTTCATGCTGGATGTTCTTGCCTATGCTGCCTCCTCAGCTATCACCCTCTCTTCCCCTTTTTAATGTAGAACTCATTCTTAATGATTTGTCAAAGGCACCCTATTTCACTGAAATGCCTTCTATATTCCCTACCCTCCAAGTGGATTGTAGACCTTCTAAGGTCTTTTGACATCTGCATATCTCTAGCACAGCACTTATCACGGTGATTATTTATCTGTTCATCTTTCCAAGTAGACACTCTCATTTTAACTCCCTACCCTAGTCGCCAGCATCCCCAGCATAGTGCCTGTCATAAAATGGTGCCACAATGAAAATTTGAAAAATGAATGAACGTGATAAACATAGATGAGAATCCTATATTCTACAATTTTTTAAATGTACTGAAATTATTCTTTTTGAATCCTCCTATTTATTTCTGTGACTTCTTTGATGACAAAGTTAGAAAAAAGTGGAGGTCAGTAGGGAGATATGAAGGGACGCAGGTGGAAGCAGTGAGCCTGGGCGGGTGATGGAGTGGGAGATACGTGGCACAGGGGTCAGTGAGTTAATCTGGGCTCATTCAGAGAATGGAAGGTGTGTGCCAAGAAAACTGGTTGGATAGGGATAGGTCAGGGATTCCCTCTTGCATTCTCACACTTGGGGGCATGTGTCATTTTCTTTTCTTTTCTTTTTTTTTTTTTTTTTTTTTGAGACGGAGCATCGCTCTTTCTCCCAGGCTGGAGTGCAATGGTGCTATCTCGGCTCACTGCAACCTCCACCTCCCGGGTTCAAGCTATTCTCATGTCTCAGCCTTCCAAGTAGCTGGGACTACAGGTGCCTGCCACCATGCTCAGCTAATTTTTGTATTTTTAGTAGAGATGGGGTTTCACCATGTTGGTCAGGTTGGCCTCGAACTCCTGATCTCAGGTGATCCACCTGCCTCGGCTTCTCAAAGTGCTGGGATTCCAGGCATGAGCCACCATGCCTGGCCGCATGTGTCATTTTCTTGGGTGTTATACTGATCGTATATTTGCAGGTTTGCTTTTGTGACAGACTTCTTCTGGGGGAAAAAAAGTATCCTTCTATCTTTTTACTTTTGTCCAGTTCCAGGTATCCCTGTTTTTTTCTTCACTCTTCCTTCCTTGTTCATGGGAGTTTTTCTTGAGGACTTCAAGCCCAGCTTCGGAGAATCCTGGTTGTGTCATCTCATCTCCTTTCTGCTCTCTTCTCTACCTAGCCTTTCCACCCTCACACCTCCCGGGGTCTGAAAATGGAAAGATAAGGGTGTTTCCCTGAAAGTTGCTCTTCTGTGTGGGGATGACAGGTTCTAAAGACTCTTTTCTGGTCCCTGCCCTCATTGCCATGATTAATCAGTTAAGTGGCCCGAGGTTTTATAACAGCACAGTCTTAAAATGCTTCTCCCAAGTTTAATTTCTCTCCATTTGACCTTTTAAGGATGTGAATTGGCTTTAAGCAGTAGACTCCCTTTAGTACGGTGCTGTGAGCCTCTCAGTGAATCTGCTACATCCATTCCACCCACGGGTCTGGAAACTTGTCTGTTTACCTTTCCCTAAAAACCTAAGATATATTTTTAAGAAGTGCCTTGTAACTTTTCATATAGCCTTTCCCCTACTTTGGGTAGACTGTTTCTTACAGGAATTTGGTAGATCTTTCCAAAGAGAATTCTGTATCTGTATTTTTAAAGCATAAATCCTGTCAACTTTGGAGGAGAACTGATTTGGCTTGAGTTTTCTCAGACATGGGAACTTTTGACCTAAGTTTGTATTTTACATTGTTGAAAGGGAACTCCGGGATCCCAGAAAACATATGGACTGCAATTGGGTAAAGTTTCTGTTCCAGAAATGCCTCTTCTGGACATTTCATACAAATGGAAACATGCAGCATGTAGTAATTTATGACAGCTTCTTTCACTTAGCATGAGGTTTTCAAAGTTCATTGATGTGGTAGCATTTGTCAGTACTCTGTGCCTTTTTATGGCTGAATAATATTTTATCATATGGATTTACCACATTTTATCATTTTATTTATCCATCATCAGTTGATTGACATTTGAGTTGCTTCTACTTTTTGAGTATTATCAATAATTCTGTTATGAACATTCTTGTATAATTTTTTGGTAGACATTTATCTTCATATTTCTTGGATATATACCTAGGAGCAGAATTGCTGCGTCAGATGGTAATGCTGTTTAACCTTTTCAGGAACTGTCAGACTGTTCTGAAGTGGGTACATTATTTTACATTCCAACCAGCAGTGTATGAGAATTCCAGTTTCTCCACATCCTCATCAACAGTTGTTATTGTCTGTCTTTTTTATTATATTCATCTGTAATGTGAAGTGTTTATCTCATTGTGGTTTTGATTTACATTTCCCTGATGGTTGATGATTTTCAACATCTTTTCATATACTTATTAGTCATTATGTATCTTCTTTGGAGAATGTCTGTTCAGATCCTTTACCTACTTTATAATTGGTTTATCTTTTTAATATTGAACTGTAATAGTTTTTAAAAAATATATCCTAAATACAAGTCTCTTATCAGATAATATGATTTGCAGATATTTTCTGTCATTCTATGTACTGTCTTTTCACATTCTTGATGATATACTTTTCAGCCCAAATGTTTTTAACTTGATGGAATACAATTTATTTTTTCTTTTGTTGCTTGTGCTTTCAGTCATATTTGTGAAAACTTTGCTTATCCCACATTACAAAGATTTACTATTTCTAAGTGATTTATAATTTTACCACCTACCTTTAGGTCTCTGATCCATTTTGAGTTAATTTTTATGTGCGAGGAGGGAGTCTAACTTGATTCTTTTACATGTGGATATTTAGTTGTCCCAGGACCATTTGTTGAATTAAGTGCCCAGAACAAGTACATCTATATATAGAGAAAGTAGATTAGTGGTTGTCAGAGACTGTAAGAAGTGGGGAATTGGAGAGTGACTGCCCATAGGTACAGGCATGCTTTTTGGCATTATGAAAATATTCTGGAATTAGGTAGTGGTGATGGTTGCAGAACTTTTGGAATATGGTAAAAGACACTGAAATATATGCTTAAAAATGGTGATTTTTGTGATATATGAATTATACTATAGAACTAATAATAACAGTAATAAAGCAAGGTGTCTTTCCACATCTCCATGCCTTGTATTTTCATTAAAAAAAAAAAAAAAAAAAGCATTTCAGGGCCAGGCTCAGTGGTTTACTCTTGTAATCCCAGCACTTTTGGAGGCCTAGGTGGGAGGATCACTTGAGGCCAGAAGTTCAAAACCAGCCTGAGCAACATAGCAAGACCTTGTCTCCATGAAAAATAAAAAATTAGCCAGAAATGGTGATGTGTGCCTAGAGTTCCAACTACTTGGAAAGCTGAGGCAAGAGGATCGCTTGAGCCTAGGAGTTCAAGGTTGCAGTGATCTATAATCACCACTGCACTCCAGCCTGGGTGACAGAACAAGACCCTGTCTCAAAAAAAAAAAAAAAAAAAAAAAAAAGGCATCTCACTTTAATAGTAAGAGGCCAGAATATGATGCTGGCAGCATGTTGTGAGGAAATGTATTAGATGAAAGAAGTTAAATTCCAGTTCTCCTTTTTTCAGAAATGAGGTATAGGGGAGAGAAACACGTACTTTGAAAGAATTGACCCAGCTGAATTGGAAAATGTGGGAAGGGGATGGGGAAGAGGCTGCTCCACCTGAGATCTGGCTCCAGGACTTACAGCAAGGGGAACTTGGGCAAGTTACAGACTGTCTATGCCTCAGTTTCTTTATCAGCAAAACAGAATCATCCCATAAACTATAAGGTCGATGGTATCAGCGGGTCCCCAAACTGACTGCACATCTGAGTCATGTTAACAAACACATTCCAGGCCCCACCTGAGCCCTCTGAATCAGAATCCCTGTAAGGAGGATGATGAACTTGAATTTGCACTGACTTTCCCAGCTGTTTCTTACTCTGATCAACTTGGGGGTAGGACCCATTGAGCTGCATCACATCATTCCAAAGCCAAAACACAACAGCAGGACAAGAATATTTTCAAGGCAGTCTCTAAAGCAGAGGAGAAACTGTTGAGGGAACTTAGAAGTAAAGGAGATCTGGCTTGCTGGGCTCCATTTGAACTTTGAGTACAACAGAGACATGAGCCCTTCGGGACACATGCCTGAGGTAGTGACAATCCAACTTTGGAAGAGTGGAAGCCCTAGTTTCAAATTCAAGCATGCTTTGAGTATAAATTAAGTTTACCTCTTTTTGCACAGCAACATGGCCAATCTTTCCTAAGCTGCTCAGCTTACAAGAAAAGGAATCATACTGCTAAGAATTCAAACTTCAGCAGTCATAGGTAAGTAAGGAAGTCTTATAAACCTATTCTAGCCACCTAACCAGAAACTCGAAATTTAGCAGGTTCTTTCAGTTTCAGGACAGTTGTGTTCACTAGATCAGAGGCATTGAGACATGAAGAACAGACCCTTAAAAAGGGAAAGTGTTCCCTTCAGTTTGAGGACATCACTGGAACATTAGGGAAGTGGGAACACAGCTGCTCACTCTACAGTGTGGGTTGCCTTTGTGTCTGGAATGTGTCTGACGTCCTGATCCCTGTGCACATTTCAGGGAGCCTTGGGAGGACCCCGAATCACTGATGGAATTGCGCAGTGCATGGAGATGGCTCAGCAGGATGAGGGTAAATGCAGGGGCAAGTCCAGGCCATACTGAGAGACAATGAGTGGCGCTGATGAGGACAAAGATAAAATCAAAAGTTTGTGCTTCATCTTCAAAAACTCAAGCTGATAACAAACTTGGCCTGATGAGAAATAATAAGTATTTTTCTATTTACATGAGAATTTAATCTCAAAACAGAAATCAGAAAAATATGAAGTCCAGGGCATAAAACCTAAAACTATTGCTCATATTTATTCTTTCTAAATAGAGCAAAGTGTACAATCTTCTCCATAAGACATACATTGTGGTTATAAAAAGGCAAAAGTCTTAGTGAGAATCATTGGTATTCCATAGAAGAGTGAATTAAACACAGCCAAGGGAAGACCCACGTCTCATACTTCTCTTGTATATTCCAAAGTTCCAGGGAAATTCCAGGTGATAGAGGTTATTTCCCATACTGTTAAAGCAAGGTTTCAGACACTTCTGAATTTTGGTCCCAGTACTCTAGAAGGGCACACCTCTGTCCTGGAAAATAATACAAGAATGAATACTCTTCCCGTGACCCATTCTGGTCATTCTTCCAGCATCACAAAAACCAAAAAATGGAAATATGGCCAAATACGTGATTAGCTGTCCCTCATCTTCAGGTTTCTTATCTGTTACTTATAGATAATAGCATTACCTTAAGGATTATGATGAAGATACAATGTCCAAATATAAACACAGTTTTGAGCAAAATGCCTTGTACGAATTGGTCAATGAATAATTACTAAATATGTGAATATTTACTGGATTGTATGGATCCTATGAATAATTACTGAATAATTATTGTGATTGCTTTTATTGGCAGTGCTGAAAACTCATCCCTTTGTGACCTCAAGTAACCCATGACACTTTGTGAACCTGCAGTTTTTTCATTTAGAAACTTGACAGATTTTCATTCTGACACAGAATGTCAGGTCTCCCAGACCCTAGAAAATACATTGACTTAAAGCCTTTGATACATCTCAAAGCAGTATCCTTACAGTGTCACTGGAAGATGGTGCGGGCTGCAGAGAGGGATGCTTTCAAATGGGATTAACCAGTCCTCCTTCCTTCACTTCCACATGAATGCTGGGCAGCCCAGGGTCAACCCACTGCACCCTCAACTCAGGCAAGTCCAGCAGCCAATCTTAGGAGACCTGGGCTACAGAACAGTCTCTCAAGTTCCAGGCTCACAAAACCTAGGTGGGGATGAAAGCTGAGAAAGCGAAGAGGTGGTTCAGGGGATCACTCTTTCCTACTTGTTCCTCTCACCTCAAACTCACCTTCTACTGCACAGCAACACTGAGGATCGCCAACCAACCCTGACCATAACCTTGATCTTGCCATGTTCTGTTAGTGGAATGCAACCCAAAATCAATGGTGTTAGGTCATCTCAACAAAATATATATCAAACCATATTCCATAAGAACTGCTCGTGGCCCTGTTCTTTTCAGTATATGGGAAAACAAAATGGAAACAACAAAATAGCATCAGGTTTACAAAACTTCCCAAGATAGATGGTCACACATGTTTTCAGGAGACCTCTATATAAATGACTTTGATCACTTGATACCTTGAAAAGAGGTCTTGGGGCACTAGAATGACATCTATAAGTGACAAGTATAAAATGTAGTGCTCAGTGACATTAAAAAACAAATCAACCCACATAGAGGAAGAGCTTTGGACGTAGGGATGTCAAACTGGTCTAGAATGTAATGAAAACCCAAGAAGGTGCCCCAGTAAGAAAGAAGAAATCAATCTAACAATGGGATGCAGCAGCAAGAATACTGAGACAGGAAAGAAAATATTTTAAAAAAATGAATTATTCATTCACTTTCTAGTGGATACAGAAAAAACTGCAGAAGACCCGGAGGATATCAGGGCAGGCTAAAAGTTTGATATCTTACACCTGTGGAAAAGCCTTAAGCTCTGTTTTAACTGAGAGCAGGTGGGGTGACTTCATGACTACCATTAAGAAAATATAACCTGTTGGGAAACTGTTTCTGCCTTGATGATGTTGTACAGACAAGAGATAAACAGTGAGGAATATGCTTAGATGTATTGGGAAAGACACGGGTCTGTGGCATTGTCACAAGGGTACACGAATACTGAGAGTGAATGCTGAAGGAATGATCCCCATTGGTGGTGACCCTCAGGTGAGAGTAGGGTGCCTGTGTTTCAGCAAAGCCTGGGCAATTGGAATGCAGAGCTCCTAAGATTCCATGACACCCCCACCTTCTAATTCTGTTATTGCAACTGCAGACGGTTACCTGGCACGCTGGCCACATTCTGCCTCACTCTTATCAGAGTCTGAGCTACTGGCAGTGCTTTCAGCTCTGAGTTGAGGCACCTCGAACCTTGTTTTTGTGGTGAAGGATCCTAAAGTGCTGTGGGGAGTGATCACATTTTTCACAACAGTAAGTTAAGAATTTCAGTTACTGACATCCCTCAGTCCTCATTAAACCGATTTGATTTCACCAGTTTTTAACCCATCATATGTTTGGGTTTCTTCTCCCCAGTCCCTGACTCCACCTCTTCTGCCACAAACGTCAGCATGGTGGTATCAGCCGGCCCTTGGTCCAGTGAGAAGGCAGAGATGAACATTCTAGAAATCAACGAGACATTGCGCCCCCAGCTGGCAGAGAAGAAACAGCAGTTCAGAAGCCTCAAAGAGAAATGTTTTCTAACTCAACTGGCCGGCTTCCTGGCCAACCGACAGAAGAAATACAGTAAGATCTATAGGCTCACCATCATGAAAGTGATGAATGATATCCTGTCTTCTCTCTGAGACACTAAATGCTCTCTCCATCAAAAATAATTTCATCCTTCCTGTACTTCTAGGAAAACAGAAATGGGTATTTTAACATTTTGTTAAAGTTGGAAGACAGAGGTGCCAAAGTATTTAGCAACTTTCCATGTTTGCAATCAGATGGGGGTGGAACTAGAGTTAAACTCACAGTTATTGATTTCTAACACAGGCACAGAATGACCTGTTTTCTCCAAGGGGCTCAATCATGTTTTTAAGAATCCTCTCTGTACCATATAAGATCCTGCAGACAAATAACATCTAGTCTGTTGTTCTAAATGTCTAGGACTAGTGAACTTTTATTCAGTTCAAGTTTCTGTTGAGGCCCAACAGGCAAAGCTCTGTTCTAGTGACTCTGAGGGGAACTTGGTGATAGTAGCCAGTACCTGCTCTGAGGGGCTTCAAGGGGAGTCTGCTCCTAATAGAACCTGTGCTATCTATAAGTGACAGCATCAAGAGCAGGGAGTAGGGGCCGTGCAACGTGGCTCACTCCTATAATCTCAGCACTTTGGGAGGCTGAGGCGGGCAGAGCACGAGGTCAGCAGTTTGAGACTAGCCTGGGCAACGTGGAGAAACCCCATCTCCACTAAAAATACAAAAAGTAGATGGGCATCGTGGCGGGCAACTGTAATCACCACTAATCGGGAGGCTGAGGCAGAAGAATCCTTTGAACCCAGCAGGCAGATGTTGCAGTGAGCCAAGATTGCACTATTGCACTCCAGCATGGGTGACGGGGCAAGACTCGTCAAAAAACAAACAAACAAAACGATAAATAAATCAAAAATAAAAATAAAAAGCAGAGAGTACCTTGGTGAGAGTGAAGTCCTGCTTCCTGGTGCACAGGCTCTTGTTCCTAAAGAGGAAAGATCACACCGGAGAATGTGTGGAAGCAGCAGTGCAGTGTGCAAAGCAGGGACCCTCAGCCTGTCTCCTGGGCTCCATCCAAGTTGCTTGTCTTGTCTGTCCCTCAGTTTCCTCATCTGTTCAGAGGGTACTACAATAATACCTACCTCTGTAAATTGCTGCAATGAATTACCTGAGGTATTTCCTGTCAATCTCCTTGAACATTAATTGGCACAGTGTAAACACTATCTATTAGTTCTTCATTCTGATGTTTCTAAATTAACACAAACTAATCTTATGCTGTTTCTAAATTAACACAACTAATCTAAATCTTAATGCTGCCTCTCATACTAATAAAGTATTTGGGCATATTTCCTTCATGGCCTTATTGTCTTATGTCTCACACTTTATGCTTCAGATATGATTCTTAAAACCATATCTGAATATTGATTTAAAAGTGAAATATTTTTAAAGTCCTTGACATATTTGTCCTTGAAATACCCAGTAAAAGGGAAGCCATCAGTCCCATAGTCCTAGGGGCCTTCCCGACTGTACAAGAAATCACTACTTCATGCCCCAGTGCAGTGTTTTAGAGGAGAGGCTGCAAGGCTTGGGAAAGTGGCCCCGCATTCAGAGTCAGACCTCAGGGGCTGTGAGTTCTGACTCCACTTCGTTGTGGTTGAATCATCTTGTCAACTTCCTTGATGTGCCCTTGAGTTTCTCTTTTTTCGTCTTTAAATTTTGGAGGATCAGATGCCAGAAAGTCAGGAGACTGAAGAGTAAAGATGTGGAAATCCCTGTCTAGACCCTGGTACTGGGGAGAGTTTTGTCCTTGGGATGGACCTGGCTCCTGCCCTGTAGGCAGTGACCACAGCAGCATGTCCAGCCTTCCACTGAGGCAGGCGTGTCTGTCTTTTTTCAGAGTATGAAGAGTGTAAAGACCTCATAAAATTTATGCTGAGGAATGAGCGACAGTTCAAGGAGGAGAAGCTTGCAGAGCAGCTGAAGCAAGCTGAGGAGCTCAGGTGAGGGGACCCCATAGGGGGAGGCAGGCGGGTAGGTGTGTAGATCTCTGAAGTACAGCAGCTCGGCGGGGAGAAGTAAGAACGAAGCTGGGCCAGGGGAAGGGCAGAAATTGCCATGGCAGGCTCATGACACACAAATATTTATCAGAGAGCAAGGATAATAATAAGTTCTGTGTTGCAGTTGTTTCTTAGAGCCTTGTTTTCTCTTTTTCAAACAAGTAATTGTTGATGTGAAATTTACATAACACAAAATTCACCAAAGGAGTGGGAACCACCCAGCAGCATTCAGTATAATCAAAATGGTGTGCTATCGCCACCCCACTTACCCTTAGTGAGAATCACCTCCTGACTGACTGCGTCTTCTCATTCTTTCACTCAATCAATGTTGCCTCCTCGACCCTGTCCTTCTTTTCTTCTTTCATCTTTTCAATTCGCCCCATCTGCACCTGGCCTCATTTCTGTACGTGGCTTTGTATCTAGTGGCCGCAAGATGCACTATGTGTATTTTCACATGGAAATGTCCATGGCCAGAGTGAGGAACTGAAAGGATGTCTTTTTGAAACGGAATTAGGAAGACACCTACTTTTGTTTACAGAAGAGAAAGATGAATGGAACATCATCGAGGATCTTGCAGGAGCCCTCTCTGATAGAGGGAAAGCCTGTAGACCATTTTCTATTCTTTCTCTTGGCCACAGTCATTCCTTTCAACATGTGCTGACCTTCTGCTTGGAGGTCTCCTTGACGACATTGTCTCAGAAGTCTCTGTTGCAATATTTGAACGGATCACTCAACCCTTTCTACTCTTAAATTTTCTCTACCGTCTCACCTTAGGCAATATAAAGTCCTAGTTCACTCTCAGGAACGAGAGCTGACCCAGCTAAGGGAGAAGTTACGGGAAGGGAGAGATGCCTCCCGCTCATTGTATGAGCATCTCCAGGCCCTCCTCACTCCGGATGAGCCGGACAAGTCCCAGGGGCAGGACCTCCAAGAACAGCTGGCTGAGGGGTGTAGACTGGCACAGCACCTTGTCCAAAAGCTCAGCCCAGGTAAGGTGGCCATAGGCCCTGATGACCCAAAACCCCAGGCTTATGAGAGGCTCCAGACCTCCATACTTTCACAATGACAGTTGTATCAGTGGGGTTTTTTTCTACTACACCTATGTGGCCATGACATGATCAGGACTTCCTGGGTAAGAACAGAGATGGGAAACCCATGGGTTTGGAGGTCACAGTATTGCAAGTGTCCCTCCTTCCTTGATGGAAGGTGGTCTTTGGAGCAAGAGGCAGCATCTATCTAGTTTTAAAGGACAGGAAGGAGGCTGTGATGGAAGGGTGCTTGTTGGAGTGAAAAGAGCTCTGGGCTAAGAATGAAGGTTCCCAGGCTGTATTTTTGGCAATGTTCTTAGTAAGTGTCAGTGAGTGATTTATCTTTTCAGAGTTTCTCTCTCTCCATCTGCAAAGGCAGACAAATTGTCTCTTGCAAGGGTCTGAAGCATCCAAATATGGGAACACTTACGAATGCTTTTCAAAATGAGATGAAGCCCCTCTCCATGTGGTGTTGGAGAAGGCACTTGATGTGGGGGCATTTGGTGGTAGGAAGTGCTTCAGACTGGAGCACTCCCCATGGATAGAATGTCCCTGAATAACACAGCAGAAGCCACATGGAGGGCCTGTGCAGTCTCATGACGCATAGAGGACTGTGGGACAAGTTTGTCCTCTCCTAAGAGAAAGAATGAGGTTTGAAATGCGAACTGTGACAGGACACCAAGCCTGTTCCTGGGAATCAGATCTGTGGCAGGATGGGGGAGACAGCTGCCAAAGTCCAGAGAGAGGCTGCACAAGCCTCCAGTGATATGGGAAGCAAAAGGTCTTTTCGGTATTTGGCCACATCTTGATGGTGGCCCTCCACATCAGAAATGCATTGCCCGATGGAGCAGGAAACCATGCCAGGGCATTTTGTGAAAGATAAAACATGAGAGTTTTCAGTACAATGCTGAACCATACATAGATGTTCATGTCTCTGTGCACGTTGGGCTGGCTGTGCTTGCAGAATGTGAAGTGGGAAATATCTGAACGAACATTTTGTATTTCTAGAAAATGACGAAGATGAGGATGAAGATGTTCAAGTTGAGGAGGCTGAGAAAGTACTGGAATCATCTGCCCCCAGGTAACACTGAATACTCAGGAGCAAGTAATGGGTGGTAACGTATGAAAATGTCTAGGAGGCACACCCTCTCTGGCATCTATGATGGGCCAAATGCCCGCATTCCCTTGGCCACAGTATGTGAAATTGAACCCAGCTTAGACACAGGGTGCGGCAGCTGTCGTGTTTCTCTATGTGTGCCAAGTGTCATGTCTGTACCATGCAGGGATAGCTGAGTCTTCATCCTCCTCAGCTCCTATCTGTTCAGTGCACTGAACACCAGCTGCTCTCTTCCTCTCTGGCTCCCATGGCAGCCATGGTCTGTTGCAGAGAGAAGAGGATTGCCTGTTCCCTCTTTAAGGGAACCTCCGTTTTGCTTTCTGGAACCACTCTCTTAATGCCGCCTGTCAAAACCAGCTAGGACTCCCTGGGGTCCAATCCCTCTGTGTTTAATCTTCTGTCATCTCTGTCCCACCTGGCTCATCAGGGAGGTGCAGAAGGCTGAAGAGAGCAAAGTCCCTGAGGACTCACTGGAGGAATGTGCCATCACTTGTTCAAATAGCCACGGCCCTTGTGACTCCAACCAGCCTCACAAGAACATCAAAATCACATTTGAGGAAGACGAAGTCAACTCAACTCTGGTTGTAGACAGAGAATCCTCTCATGATGAATGTCAGGATGCTCTAAACATTCTCCCAGGTAGCCTCTATTTTCCTTGTGTCTCATACCTCTGTCTAGGCTATGGAAGATCAATTCTGAGGACAGGCTGTATATACACATATTGTTAT
Source organism: Homo sapiens (assembly GCF_000001405.40). Classification (NCBI taxonomy): domain Eukaryota; kingdom Metazoa; phylum Chordata; class Mammalia; order Primates; family Hominidae; genus Homo; species Homo sapiens. Next base: position 146,139,719 of record NC_000001.11, on the reverse strand, counting down.
TGTTTTAGTCAGAAACTAGGATGGAGCTAGGTGCTGTGACTCACACATATAATCACAGCACTTTGGAAGGCCCAAGTGGGACGATGACTTGAGTTCAGGAGTTGAAGACCAGCCTACACAATATGGTGAAACCCATCTTTACAAAGAATACAAAAAATTAGGCAGGCATGGTGCTGCACGCCTATAGTCCCAACTGCTCAGGAGACTTAGGTGGGAGGATGGGCTGAGATGATCCTCCCACTCTCATTCACTTCTGTCAGGCTAGACTCTCTCTCCTTTTCATTGGCTTGTCTTAGCTATTAATAAGTCTCGGCTGGGCGCAGTGGGTCACACCTGTAATCCGAGCACTTTGGGAGGCCGAGGCGGGTGGATCATGAGGTCAGGAGATTGAGACCATCCTGGCTAACACGGTGAAACCCCGTCTTTACTAAAAATACAAAAAAAAAAAAAAAAATAGCTGGGCGTGGTGGTGGGCGCCTGTAGTCCCAGCTACTCAGGAGGCTGAGGCAGGAGAATGGCATGAACCCAGGAACCGGAGCTTGCAGTGAGCCGAGATTGTGCCACTGCACTCCAGCCTGGGAGACAGAGCGAGACTCCATCTCAAAAAAAAAAAAAAAAAAAAAAAAAGTAAGTCTCTGACCAGGGGCGCTGGCTCACATCTTAATCCCAGCACTTTGGGAGGCTGAGGTGGGCGGAACACCTGAGCTCAGGAGTTCGAAACCAGCCTGTCCAAGATGGCGAAACCCCGTCTCTACTAAAAATACAAAAATTAGCTGGCATGTTACTTGGCGCTTGTAATCCCAGATGCTTGGCAGGCTGAGGGATGAGAATCGCTTGAACCCGGGCGGCAGAGGTGGCAGTGAGCTGAGATTGTGCCTCTGCACTGCAGCCTGCGTGACAGAGTGAGACTCCGTCTCAAACAAAAAACAAAAAACCAAAAAAGAAAAAAATTAAAAAAGCAAAATGAAATCTTTTGTGCTACACAGAAACATTGGCCACTCATGGGGTAAAAATCTCAGGGCCAAGCCTTGCTTTATAGAAACGTATAAGCAAGAAAAGTGTAGAAGTGTTTATGTCCTGGTTTCAAGGTGACTGCATAGCTAAGACAAGTTGACTTAAAGGAGATCAAGACTGGAGATGACAAGAGTGAAACCAGGGAAACATCATCTTCAAATAAGTAAACAAGGCTGCCAGTGACATCCCTCAGTCCTGATTAAGCCTATTTGATTTCACCAGTTTTTAACCCATCATGTGTTTGCCTTTCTTCTCCCCAGTCCCTGGCCCCACCTCTTCTGCCACAAACGTCAGCATGGTGGTATCAGCCGGCCCTTTGTCCAGCGAGAAGGCAGAGATGAACATTCTAGAAATCAATGAGAAATTGCGCCCCCAGCTGGCAGAGAAGAAACAGCAGTTCAGAAACCTCAAAGAGAAATGTTTTCTAACTCAACTGTCCGGCTTCCTGGCCAACCAACAGAAGAAATACAGTAAGATCTATAGGCTCACCATCATGAAAGTGATGAATGATATCCTGTCTTCTCTCTGAGACACTAAATGCTCTCTCCATCAAAAATAATTTCATCCTTCCTGTACTTCTAGGAAAACAGAAATGGGTATTTTAACATTTTGTCAAAGTTGGAAGACAGAGGTACCAAAGTATTTAGCAACTTTCCATGTTTGCAATCAGGTGGGGGTGGGACTAGAGTTAAACTGCCATTTATTGATTTCTGACACAGGCACAGAATGACCTGTTTTCTCCAAGAGGCTCAATCGTGTTTTCAAGAATCCTCTCTGTACCATATAAGATCCTGCAGACAAATAACATCTAGTCTGTTGTTCTAAATGTCTGAGACTAGTGAACTTTTATTCAGTTCAAGTTTCTGTTGAGGCCCAACAGGCAAAGCTCTGTTCTAGTGACTCTGAGGGGAACTTGGTGATAGTAGCCAGTACCTGCTCTGAGGGGCTTCAAGAGGAGTCTACTCCTAATAGAACCTGTGCTGTCTATAAGTGACAGCATCAAGAGCAGGGAGTAGGGGCCGTGCATGGTGGCTCACTCCTGTAATCCCAGCACTTTGGGAGGCTGAGGCGGGCAGATCATGAGGTCAGGAGTTTGAGACCAGCCTGGGCAACATGGAGAAACCCCATCTCCACTAAAAATACAAAAAGTAGATGGGCGTGGTGGCAGGTGACTGTAATCACCCCTGCTCAGGAGGCTGAGGCAGGAGAATCCTTTGAACCCAGGAGGCTGAGGTTGCAGTGAGCCAAGATTTTGCCATTGCACTCCAGCCTGGGCGACAGGGCAAGACTGTTAAAAATAATAATAATAATAATGATAAATAAAAATAAGAATAAAAAGCAGAGAGTAGCTTGGTGAGAGTGAAGTCCTGCTTCCTGGGGCACAGAGTCTTGTTGCTAAAGAGGAAGAAAGATCGCACCCGAGAATGTGTGGAGATAGCAGTGCAGTGTACAGAGCAGGGACCGTGGGCCTGTCTCCTGGGCTCCATCCAAGTTGCTTGTCTTGTCTGTCCCTCAGTTTCCTCACCTGTTCAGAGGGTACTACAATAATACCTACCTCTGTAAATTGCTGCAGTGAATTACATGAGCTATTTCTTGTCAATCTCCTAGAACATTTATTGGCACACAGTAAACACTATCTATTAGTTCTTCATTCTGCTGTTTCTAAATTAACACAAACTTTATTAGCATTTGGGCATATTTCCTTCATGGCCTTATGGTGTTATGTGTCACACTTTATGCTTCAGATATGATTCTTAAAATCATAACTGAAGATATGATTTAAAAATCAAAGATTTTAAAAATCTTTCGCATACTTGTCCTTGAAATTCCCAGTAAAAGGGAAACCATCAGTCCCATAGTCCTAGGGGCCTTCCCGACTGTACAAGAAATCACTACTTCATGCCCCAGTGCAGTGTTTTAGAGGAGAGGCTGCAAGGCTTGGGAAAGTGGCCCCGCATTCAGAGTCAGACCTCAGGGACTGTGAATTCTGACTCCACTTCATTGTGGTTGAATCATCTTGTCAACTTCCTTGATGTGCCCTTGAGGTTCTCTTTCTTCATCTCTAAATTTTGGAGGATCAGATGCCAGAAAGTCAGGAGACTGAAGAGTAAAGATGTGGAAATCCCTGTCTAGACCCTGGTACTGGGGAGAGTTTTGTCCTTGGGATGGACCTGGCTCCTGTCCTGTAGGCAATGACCACAGCAGCATGTCCAGCCTTCCACTGAGGCAGGTGTGTCTGTCTTTTCTCAGAATATGAAGAGTGCAAAGACCTCATAAAATTTATGCTGAGGAATGAGCGACAGTTCAAGGAGGAGAAGCTTGCAGAGCAGCTCAAGCAAGCTGAGGAGCTCAGGTGAGGGGACCCCATGGGGGCAGGCAGGGGCGCAGGTGTGTAAATCTCTGAAGTACAGCAGCTCGGTGGGGAGACGTAAGAGCTAAGCTGGGCCAGGGGAAGGGCAGGAATTGCCATGGCAGGCTCGCTACACACAAATATTTATCAGAGAAGAAGGATAGTAAAAATGTATGGGTTGCAGTTGTTTCTCAGAGCCTTGTTTTCTCTTTTTCAAACAAGTAATTGTTGATGTGAAATTTACATAACACAAAATTAACCAAAGGAGTGTGAACCACACAGCAGCATTCAGTATACTCAAAATGGTGTGCCATCACCACCCCACTTACCCTTAGTGAGAATCACCTCCTGACTGACTGCGGCTTCTCATTCTTTCACTCAATCAATGTTGCCTTCTCGACCCTGTCCTTCTTTTCTTCTTTCATCTTTTCAATTCGCCCCATCTGCACCTGGCCTCATTTCTGTACATGGCTTTGTATCTAGTGGCCGCAAGATGCACTATGTGTATTTTCACATGGAAATGTCCATGGCCAGAGTGAGGAACTGAAAGGATGTCTTTTTGAAACGGAATTAGGAAGACACCTACTTTTGTTTACAGAAGAGAAAGATGAATGGAACATCATCGAGGATCTTGCAAGAGCCCTCTCTGATACAGAGGAAGCCTGTAAACCATTTTCTATTCTTTCTCTTGGCCACAGACATTCCTTTCCACATGTGCTGACCTTCTGCTTCGAGGTCTCCTTGAGGACATTGTCTCAGAAATCTCTGTTGCAATATTTGAGCGGATCACTCAACCCTTTCCACTCTTAAATTTTCTCTACCGTCTCACCTTAGGCAATATAAAGTCCTGGTTCACGCTCAGGAACGAGAGCTGACCCAGTTAAAGGAGAAGTTACGGGAAGGGAGAGATGCCTCCCGCTCATTGAATGAGCATCTCCAGGCCCTCCTCACTCCGTATGAGCCGGACAAGTCCCAGGGGCAGGACCTCCAAGAACAGCTGGCTGAGGGGTGTAGACTGGCACAGCACCTTGTCCAAAAGCTCAGCCCAGGTAAGGTGGCCATAGGCCCTGATGACCCAAAATCCCAGGCTTATGAGAGACTCCAGACCTCCATACTTTCACAATGACAGTTGTATCAATGGTGTTTTTTTCCACTAAGCTTATGTGGCCATGACATGACCAGGACTTCTTGGGTAAGAACGGAGATGGGAAACCCATGGGGTTGGAGGTCACAGTATTGCAAGTGTCCCTCCTCCCTTGATGAAAGGTGGTCTTTGGAGCAAGAGGCAGCATCTGTCTAGTTTTAAAGGACAGGAAGGAGGCTGCGATGGGAGCAGGCTTGTTAGAGTGAAAAGAGCTCAGGACTAAGAATGAAGGTTCCCAGGCTGTCTTTTCGGCAATGTTCTTAGTAACTGTCAGAGAGTGAATGACTTGTCCTTCCTGAGTTTCTCTCTCTCCGTGGCAGACAAATTGTCTCTTGCAAGGGTCTGAAGCATTCAAATGTGGGAACACTTACAACTGCTTTCCAAAATGAGATGAAGGCCCTTGCCGTGTGATGTTGGAGAAGGCACTTTATGTGGGGGCGTTTTGTGGTAGGAAGTGCTTCAGACTGGAGCACTCCCCATGGATAGAATGTCCCTGAAGAACACAGCAGAAGCCACTTGGAGGCTTGAAATCTTCTGATGCATAGAGGACTGTGGGACAAGTTTGTCTGCTTCTAAGAGAAAGAATGAGGTTTGAAATGCAAACCGTGACAGGACACCAAGCCTGTGCCTGGGAATCAGATCTGGCAGGATGGGGGAGACAGCTGCCAACGTCCAGAGAGAGGCTGCACAAGCCTCCAGTGATATGGGAAGCAAAAGGTCTTTTCAATATTTGGCCACATCTTGATGGTGGCCCTCCAGATCAGAAATGCATTGCCTGATGGATCAGGAAACCATGCCAGGGCATTCTGTTAAAGATAAAACATGAGAGTTTTCAGTTGAACGGTGACCCATGCCTAGATGTTCATGTCTCTGTTGCACATTGGGCTGACTGTGCTTGCAGACTGTGAAGTGGGAAATACCTGAACGAACACTTCTGTATTTGCAGAAAATGACAACGATGACGATGAAGATGTTCAAGTTGAGGTGGCTGAGAAAGTGCAGAAATCATCTGCCCCCAGGTAACACTGAATACTCAGGAACAATTAATGGATGGTAACATATGAGGAATATCTAGGAGGCACACCCTCTCTGGCATCTATGATGGGCCAAAAACCCGCATTCGCTTGGCCACAGTATGTGAAATATAATCCAGCTTAGACACAGGGTGCGGTAGCTGTCATGTTTCTCTATGTGTGCTGAGTGTCATGTCTGCACCGTACAGGGATAGCTGAGTCTTCATCCTCCTCAGCTCCTATCTGTCCAGTGCAATGAACAGCAGCTGCTCTCTTCCTCTCTGGTTCCCATGGCAGCCATGCTCTGTTGCAGAGAGAACAGGATTGCATGTTCCCTCTTAATGGGAACCTCCATTTTGCTTTCTGGGACCACTCTCTTAATGCCGCCTGTCAAAACCAGCTAGGACTCCCTGGGGTCCAATCCCTCTGTGTTTAATCTTCTGTCATCTCTGTCCCACCTGGCTCATCAGGGAGATGCAGAAGGCTGAAGAAAAGGAAGTCCCTGAGGACTCACTGGAGGAATGTGCCATCACTTATTCAAATAGCCATGGCTCTTATGACTCCAACCAGCCACATAGGAAAACCAAAATCACATTTGAGGAAGACAAAGTCGACTCAACTCTCATTGGCTCATCCTCTCATGTTGAATGGGAGGATGCTGTACACATTATTCCAGGTAGCCTCTGTTTTCCTTGTGTCTCATACCTCTCTCTAGGCTGAGAAAGATAAACTCTGAAGACAGGCTCTATAAACACAAATTCATTTGAATAAAAAACTGTGATGGGTTTCTAAACAGATATCAGGGAGTTTGTTTGTCCTTCTCAGCTAATGTCATGACTTTGTCTGCCAGTCCCCAGTATCAAGTTACTCAACCCCAGGCAAGTGTGACAATCTCATAGTCACCTGAGTGCAGGAGGTGCACAGGCAGTATCTGTCAGGCCTCCTATCTTCGATTCAGTATCTCTTGTCATCTGTGATTAAGTCATCTGTCCCTGAACAATGTCCATGGAGTTTCTATGCCTGTTTAAGGAAGCTGGCAGCCTTGCCTTTGTATTTGGAAATATTGTTCCCCAGGCTTCACTGCTCTCAGCTTTCATCTGGATCTCCTTTAAGTCAGCTTGCTTAGCTGCACAGTCACCCTGAAATCAGGACGGAAACTTTTCTTCTTTACTTTGCTGATATATTTCCATAAAGCAAGGCTGGACCCTGGTTCTCCACCCTGTCAATGCAATGGCTGATCCAATGTTTCTTTGTAGCATCGTGGATTTTTTTTTTTTTTTTTTTTGCAATGGAGTCTTGCTCTGTCACCCAGGCTGGAGTGCAGTGGCACCATCTTGGCTTGGTGCAACCTCTGCCTCCCAGATTCAAGTGATTCTCCTGCCTCAGCCTCCTGAGTTGCTGGGACCACAGGTGCACAACATCACATCTGGCTAATTTTTGTATTTTTAGTAGAGACAGGGTTTCCCCATATTGGCCAGGGTAGTCCTGAACTCATGACCTCAAATGATTCACCTGTCTTGGCCTCCCAAATCACAGATTCTTTTTAAAGCAAGAGTTGTTCAAATTTATCTATCAGTCGTGTTTCATGTATAGATGCCTCTAAACATTTAATGTCCATGTTACCTGGTGATATAAGTCCGTATCGCAGCAACACTCTTAGAAAATTGTTTGACCAATTTTTGGAGATTTTTTTGGGGAAAAAATTTTGTTTAACTTTGACTCAGGCAGGGAATATGGCATTATGGTCTACACGTAGAGGGAGATTTTGGCCTGTGGGTCTGGAAAGCAGGGTCATCTAATTCTCACCAAAGTTAATCTAGGACACCCTAGAATATTCCTGTCAGAATCCTTATTCTTGCACTGAGAATAGTTATGTCCTTGTGCTATGACTGGACAGTGATTTGTTCATATGTGAAGTATGAATTGCTTAATGTGACCTGCTTCTCTGAATTTATTTACAGAAAATGAAAGTGATGATGAGGAAGAGGAAGAAAAAGGGCCAGTGTCTCCCAGGTAATGTTGTGGAATTGTTGGCTGTTAATTCAGTAGTGACATCTGGAGATTGTAGATTTAGGGAAAATGAGGAAGTGATGAATAGAACTATTTCTTCCATTCACCCAGCTACAAATTGTGCTGATTTACAATGTTGTATGTTATTTGTGGCACTTGTATTGGTTTTAATTTCATAGTCCTCTCAAGATAGGAACTTGCCATCAGATGAGCCAGGTGAACTAGCCAAACAGGGTTTTCTTGTTGATCTTTTCAAAAAACCAGCCCTGGATTCATTGATTTTTTGAAGGGTTTTTTGTGTCTCTATCTCCTTTAGTTCTGCTCTGATCTTAGTTACTTCTTGTCTTCTGCTAGCTTTTGAATTTGTTTGCTTTGCTTCTCTAGTTATTTTAATTGTGATGTTAGGGTGTCAATTTTAGATCTTTTCTGCTTTCTCTTGTGGGCATTTAGTGCTATAATTTTCCCTCTACACATTGCTTTAAATGTGTCCCAGAGATTCTGGTATGTTGTGTCTTTGTTCTCATTGGTTTCAAAGAACATCTTTATTTCTGCCTTCATTTTGTTATTTTCCCAGTAGTCATTCAGGAGCAGGTTGTTCAGTTTCCATGTAGTTGTGTGGTTTTGAGTGAGTTTCTTAATCCTGAGTTCTAATTTGATTGCACTGTGGTCTGACAGTTTGTTGTGATTTCCATTCTTTTACATTTGCTGACGAGTGCTTTACCTCCAACTATGTGGTCAATTTTGGAATAAGTGTGATGTGGTGCTGAGAAGAATGTATATTCTGTTGATTTGGGGTGGAGAGTTCTGTAGATGTCTTTTAGGTCTGCTTGGTGGAGAGCTGAGTTCAAGTCCTGGATATCCTTGTTAAGCTTCTGTCTCATTGATCTGTCTAATATTGACAGTGGGGTGTTAAAGTCTCCCATGATGATTGTGTGGAGTCTAAATCTCTTTGTAGGTCTCTCAGGACTTGCTTTATGAATCTGGGTGCTCCTGTATAGGGTGCATATATATTTAGGATAGTTAACTCTTCTTGTTGAATTGATCCCTTTACCATTATGTAGTGGCCTTCTTTGTCTCTTTTGATCTTTGTTGGTTTAAAGTCTGTTTTATCAGAGACTAGGATTGCAACACCTGCCTTTTTTTGTTTTCCATTTGCTTGGTAGATCTTCCTCCATCCCTTTATTTTGAGCCTATGTGTGTCTCTGCATGTGAGATGGGTTTCCTGAGTACAGCACACTGATGGGTCTTGACTCTTTATCCAATTTGCCATTCTGTGTTTTTTAACTGGGGCATTTAGCCCATTTACATTTAAGGTTAATATTGTTATGTGTGAATTTGATCCTGTCGTTATGATGTTAGCTGGTTATTTCGCCCGTTAGTTGATGCAGTTTCTTCCTAGCGTCAATGGTCTTTACAGTTTGGCATGTTTTTGCAGTGGCTGGTACCGGTTGTTCCTTTCCATGTTTAGTGCTTCCTTTAGGAGCTCTTGTAAGGCAGGCCTGGTGGTGACAAAATCTCTCAGCATTTGCTTCTCTGTAAAGGATTTATTTCTCCTTCACTTATGAAGCTTTGTTTGGCTGGATATGAAATTCTTGGTTGAAAATTCTTTTCTTTAAGAATGTTGAAGGTGCTGGAGAGGATGTGGAGAAATAGGAACACTTTTACACTGTTGGTGGGACTGTAAACTAGTTCAACGATTGTGGAAGGCAGTGTGGCAATTCCTCAGGGATCTAGAACTAGAAATACCATTTGACCCAGCCATCCCATTACTGGGTGTATACCCAAAGGATTATAAATCATGCTGCTGTAAAGACACATGCACACATATGTTTATTGCGGCACTATTCACAATAGCAAAGACTTGGAACCAAGCCAAATATCCAGCAATGATAGACTGGATTAAGAAAATGTGGCACATATACACCATGGAATACTATGCAGCTATAAAAAATGATGAGTTCATGTCCTTTGTAGGGGCATGGATGAAGCTGGAAACCATCATTCTCAGCAAACTATTGCAAGGACAAAAAACCAAATACCGCATGTTCTTACTCACAGGTGGGAATTGAACAATGAGAACACATGGACACAGAAAGGGGAACATCACACACTGGGGCCTGTTGTAGGGTGTGGGGAGGGAGGAGGGGTAGCATTAGGAGATATACCTAATGTTAAATGATGAGTTAATGGGTGAAGCACACCAATGTGGACATGTATACATATGTAACTAACCTGCACGTTGTGCACATGTACCCTAAGACTTAAAGTATTAAAAAATATATATATATATATACATACACACAAAAAATAATAAAGGAAAACTATACATATGGAAAAAAAAAAGAATGTTGAATATTGCTCCCACTCTCTTCTGGCTTGTAGGGTTTGTGCCAAGAGATCTGCTGCTAGTCTGATGGGTTTCCCTTTGTGGGTAATCCGACCTTTCTCTCTGGCTGCCCTTAGCATTTTTTCCTTCATTTCAACCTTGGTGAATCTGACAATTACGTGTTTTGGGGTTGCTCTTCTCGAGGAGTATCTTTATGGTGTTCTCTGTGTTTCCTGAATTTGAATGTTGGCCTTCCTTGCTAGGTTGGGGAAGTCCTCCTGGATAATATCCTGAAGAATGTTTCCCAGCTTGGTTCCATTCTCCCCGTCACTTTCAGTACACCAATCAAACGTAGATTTGGTCTTTCCACATAGTCCCATATTTATTGGAGGCTTGTTCATTTCTTTTTACTCTTTTTTCTCTAAACTTCTCTTCTTGCTTCATTTCACTAATTTGATCTTGAATCACTGATACCATTTCTTGCACTTGATCGAATTGGCTACTGAAGCTTGTGCATGCATCACGTAGTTCTCGTGCCATGGTTTTCAGCTCCATCAGGTCATTTAAGGTCTTCTCTACACTGTTCATTCTGGTTAGCCATTTGTCTAATCTTTTTTCAAGGTTTTTAGCTTCCTTGCGATGAGTTCGCACATCCTCCTTTAGCTCAGAGAAGTTTGTTATTACCGACTTTCTGAAGCCTACTTCTGTCAGCTCATCAAAGTCATTCTCCATCCTGCTTTGTTCCATTGCTGGCGAGGAGCTGCGATCCTTTGGAGGAGAAGGGATGTCAGGTTTTTGGAATTTTCAGCTTTTGTGCTCTGGTTTCTCCCCACCTTTGTGGTTTTATCTACCCTTGGTCTTTGATGATGGCGACCTACAGATGGGGTTTTGGGGTAGATGTCTTTTTTGTTGATGTTGATGCTATTCCTTTCTGTGTGTTAGTTTTCCTTCTAACAGTCAGGTCCCTCAGCTTCAGGTCTGTTGGAGTTTGCTGGAAGTCCACTCCAGACCCTCAAACAGGGATTTCTTGGTGTTGCCTATTCTCTCCCATGTGTTTAAATCCAGGGAGAGGTGTATATATTCTTTCTTCCTATTTGTTGGTAGTATGTTGGCTAGTATTTTTGCAAGAAAAGAAATTGAAAAAGTAAATATATTATATCAAAATATTGGGAAAATGGGGCCCTTAATACACAAGATCTGTGTCTGCACTGCGTCAAGAACTCTCTTCACTTGAATGCTGCATGTAAAATTCAACCCAATTTATGCAAAGTAGTTGAAGCCCTGTGTCAGTTCTCTGTGCTGCAAGTCATGATGGTAGTTTACAGGGAGAGTCCGGGTGCCCTGAGTTGGCTCATCTGTGGCAAATGTACTGAGCACATGCTGCCCATTTTTGCTCTGTCCCCAGAGCAGTCACCCTCCACCCTGTATTTAGAAGGATAGTTTTATTTCTCTTGAAGGAAAAATGCCTTTGGTTTCTGTGACCACTCCATTCTGTCTCCCATCAGATCATCTGGGAGGTTTTGTTGTCTAATGTCTGTTGGTTAAATCTTCTATCATCCCTGTCCTGCCTGGCTCATCAGGAATCTGCAGGAGTCTGAAGAGGAGGAAGTCCCCCAGGAGTCCTGGGATGAAGGTTATTCGACTCTCTCAATTCCTCCTGAAATGTTGGCCTCGTACCAGTCTTACAGCAGCACATTTCACTCATTAGAGGAACAGCAAGTCTGCATGGCTGTTGACATAGGCAGTGAGTACTCCATTGTGAAGGTGATAAAGCTCCAGTTCATGGCCCAGGTAGACCCCATAATCTTTGGGCCTTGTGCCCCTTGTTGGGCTGAGATTTGCCATCACCGTGGGCTGAACCTATATATCAATGTAGACTTCAGTCACTCTGGAGTCAAGTCTGAAGCACAGGCATGGGGTGGGTCAGTGAGCTTTACTCTCTTCCTAGTCTCAGGCCATGCCCGTGCCAACCTGGACTGACTGTCACGACATTAAACTCAAGGCAGGTGTGGCAAACTCACACCAAACTATGTAGCACATGCCCAGGAGTTGTCTGTCAGATCAGCTCATCTGAATTAAATGTCTCTTGCCAGCTACAAAATTCCTTATGAGTTTTGTTCCCAAAGCATGTCTGTGTGGTTCTTTACCTGCCCAAGGCCAGTGTCACCCTTGTCTACCTCTCAGTGAAAGATGTGACCCAGGTTTCACTGAATTTATTCCCATTTTCTGTGTCTTCTAAGTTCGCTTGTTTTAGCTCATCTGTCCGTCATGTTCCTGGTATGTTTTCTAGATAAATGGCTGACTTTTCACCCACAAAAGCCATAATAGCTGATGCTTCTGTGTAGAACCAAGTTTCATTTTGACTCAAGAGCTGGTACATTGCACCCCTTCATCAAATCTCTGTGTCCACAATCTCATAAACTATCAAATTCTGGGTATTTGATGAGAGAAAGCTTAATATTGAAGTATCTCTCCTATGAGGTGTTAGAACTATTTGCCTACAATTTATTGGGGAAAAAATTGCTCATTTGTGTACATAAACCTAGGACAGAGCACATAGGGAAGATAACATTCCAACACAGGGGAATTTTGCCCAAGGCTCATGAAAGAACCCAAGCCAGTTTTCTCAAGACTTGACCTCAGGCCTACTGGAATATTTCTCTGAAAGTCTCCTGTTCTCACACTGACAAGACTGATGTCCCTGTGTTAGGATTGGACAGAGGAATGTTTCTGTGTGCAAGGAAGAACTTAATGTAAGAGGGCACATCTGAATTTATTTGCAGGACATCGGTGGGATCAAGTGAAAAAGGAGGACCAAGAGGCAACAGGTCCCAGGTGAGTCTGAGAAATTGTGGACAGTTAATTTGATGTTGACACCTGGAGATGCCAAGTCCAGGGAAAACAGTACATCCTGAAAATAATGATTTTGTCTTGTCAGACAAGTCTGAATTATGCCTACTACATTGCTTTTTGGTTCTCATTAGAGTAAATGTTTAGGTTTCCATTTCTTCCTACCCTTATCATTTACTAACCTAGTGAAAGTTGACCATACCTCAAAAGCTGTATTCTCATGGTAACTGCCGGGAAACTTGAGCACATTTTATGCAAAATTATTGAGGACATGCTTTTCATGATCACTGTTCACTGTGTGTCCTGAGAGCACAAATACAGAGTGTCCTTTGACTCCCTCATCAGTGTGTCACCTGACCAATTGACTGAGCTCGCTCTGTGTGTGTGTGTGTGTGTGTGTGTGTGTGTGTGTGTGTCTTTCTCGTTCATCCTTTTCTACCTGGCCCTAGTCAATCCCAACATAAAGGCAATAATTTGTTACCTCATTAATGGATCTGTCCTTTTTCTTTTCAAACTCTTCCTTATGTTAGCCATGAAATCTAGCTGGGGCTGTGTGGTTTCTGATTCCCCCTGGCTTATTCTTTACTTTTTCCTACTTTTCCACGCTCAGCAGGGAGCTGCTGGATGAGAAAGGGCCTGAAGTCTTGCAGGACTCACAGGATAGATGTTATTCAACTCCTTCAGGTTGTCTTGAACTGACTGACTCATGCCAGCCCTACAGAAGTGCCTTTTACATATTGGAGCAACAGCGTGTTGGCTTGGCTATTGACATGGATGGTGAGTACCTTTCTATGAAGGTGATAAGGATCCACTGAGTCTTCTGGTTAGGGTCATATTCCTACTGCAAGTGGCCGTTACTGAGCTGAGAGATGTCATTGCCACAGGGAGGACCTATAGGCACATGTAGGTTGAATGAAACTCTAGTTCCACTTGGAAGCCCAGACAAGGGATGGGTCAGTGAGCAAGGCTCTCTTCCTAGTCTCAGGCCATGCCTGTGGCACCATAATCCTACTCTCAAGATGTTGGATCTGGGCAGATATGACAAATTCACACAACTCTGATTTTGTCTAAATTTTGTAGATCTTGTAGATTTCATCCTTTACTCTAATTTCAGCGTCTAAAATCCTCGCTACCATGAACAATCTGAGTATTTGATGAGACAGGGCTGAATAGTGCAGTTTTTCTCCTAGCAACCATTTGGGGGCATTTGCTTTAAATCGATTGGAAAAATATGGCATAACCATTTGCACAAACTTGGGACAAATGATATTTGGATAACGATCTACCAGAATAGGGAATTTTACCCACAGTTTCTGGGACAAAAACCAAGGAATCTCTGTGGTGATCAGCCTTCAGGCCTCCTGAAGAATATCTCTCACAGTGTCCTATTCTCATGCTGAGGAGCCTGAAGTCCCTGTGTGAGGATTAGACAGTGGATTGTTATGTGTGTAGGAGAACGAGCTTAATATGTCTGTCCATGTCTGAACTTATTGCAGAAATTGAAAAGTACCAAGAAGTGGAAGAAGACCAAGACCCATCATGCCCCAGGTAACTTTGAGCAATTATGGATGCTTAATTCTGTGTTGACACCTGGAGATGCCAGGTCCAGGGAAAACAAGAGTGTGTTCAATTTCATGTTTTCAACGAAGGTTGAATTACTCCTACTGACATTGCTGTTGGTTTTCATTGCAGTAGATGTTTAGGTTTCCATTTCTTCCTCCCCTTATCATTTACTCACTTACTATAGGTTGACCATACCTCAAAGGCTGTATGGCAACTGCATGGAATCTTGAGCAAGTTTATGGAAAATTATTGAGCCCACTCTTTTCATGATCACTGTTCGCTGTGTGTCCCGAGGGCACTAACTCAGAGTGTCCTTTGACCCCTTCATCAGTGTGTCACCCGGCCAACTCGCTGAGCTCACTTTCTCCTCTCTCTCTCTCTCTCTCTCTCCCTCTCCCTGTCTTTCTCTTTCATTCTTTTCTACCTGGCCCTGGTCTATCCCAACATAAAGGCAATAATTCATTACCTCGTTAATGGATCTGTCCTTTTTCTTTTTAAACAGTTCCTTATGTTAGCCATGAAATCTAGCTGGGGCTGTGTGGTTTCTGATTCCCCCTGACTTATTCTTTACTTTTTCCTACTTTTCCAGGCTCAGCAGGGAGCTGCTGGATGAGAAAGAGCCTGAAGTCTTGCAGGACTCACTGGATAGATGTTATTCGACTCCTTCAGGTTATCTTGAACTGCCTGACTTAGGCCAGCCCTACAGCAGTGCTGTTTACTCATTGGAGGAACAGTACCTTGGCTTGGCTCTTGACGTGGACAGTGAGTACCTTACTGTGAAGGTGATAAGCCTCCACCTGGTCTTCCAGATAGGGGTGATATTCCTGTTCCAAGTGCCCCTTACTGACCCGAGAGACGTCATTGCCGCAGGCAGGACCTATGGGCGCATATAGGTTGTAATGAAACTGTAGTCTCAGTTGGAAGCCTAGACATGAAATGGGTCAGTGAGCAAGGCTCTATTCCTAGTCTCCAGCCATGCCTGTGGCAACCTGAGCCCGCTCTCAGCACATTGGACCCAGGCAGATGTAAAAAATTCACAGAAGTATGATTTGGACTGAAGGGTTTGTAGATTTCCTCCTTCATTCTAATTTCAGTGTCTAAAATTCTTGCATCCATGAACGAGCTGGGCATTTGATGAGACAGGGCTGAATACTTTAGTTTTCCTCCTGGAAATCATCTGGGGCATTTTCTTTGAACTGATGGGAACAATAAAGCATAACTGTTTGCACAAACTTGGGATAAATGATTTTGGGATAACGATGTACCAGAATGGGGATATTTCACCCTTGGTTCTGAGATGCAAACCAAAGAATATCATGACCAGCTTTCAGGCCTCCTGAAGTATATCTCTCACATTGTCCTGTTCTCATGCTGAGGAGCCTGAGATCCCTGTGTGGGGATTAGACAGTGGACTGTTATGGGTGTAGGTGAATTGGCTTATTTTGTCTGTCCCTGTCTGAATGTATTGCAGGAATTAAAAAGGACCAAGAAGAGGAAGAAGACCAAGGCCCACCATGCCCCAGGTAACTGAGCAATTGTGAACAGCTACTTCTGTGTTGACATCTGGAGACTCCTGGTTCAGGGAAAACAGAGCGGGCTGACATTATCGATTACATCTCTTCAACCAAGCCTGAATTATTCCTACTAACATTGCTGTTGGTTTTCATTGCAGTAGATATTTAGGTTTCCATTTCTTCCTCCCCTTATCATTTACTAACCTACTGTAGGTGGACCAGACTTCAAAAACTGTATTCTCATGGTGACTGCATGGAAACTTGAGCACATTTTATGGAAAATTATTGAGCACAGTCTTTTCATGATCCCTGTATGCTGTGTGTCCTGAGGGCACTAACTCAGAGTGTCCTGTTACTCCCTCATCAGTGCGTCACCTGGACAATTCACTGAGCTCGTTCTCTCTCTCTCTGTGTGTGTGTGTGTGTGTGTGTGTGTGTGTGTGTGTGTGTGTGTGTGTGTCTATCTGTCTTTCTCTTTCATTCTTTTCCATTTGGCCCTGTTCTGTCCCAACATGAAGGCAATAATTTGTTACCTCATTAATGGATCTATCCTTTTAGTTTTTTAACCACTTCCCTATGCTACCCATGAAACCTAGTTGGGGCTCTGTTGTGTCTGATTTCCCCTGGCTTATTCTTTACTTTTTCCTCCTTTTCCAGGCTCAGCAGGGAGCTGCTGGAGGTAGTAGAGCCTGAAGTCTTGCAGGACTCACTGGATAGATGTTATTCAACTCCTTCCAGTTGTCTTGAACAGCCTGACTCCTGCCAGCCCTATGGAAGTTCCTTTTATGCATTGGAGGAAAAACATGTTGGCTTTTCTCTTGACGTGGGAGGTGAGTACCTTTCTATGAAGGTGATAAGAATCCACTGAGTCTTCCATATAAAGATCATATTCCTGCTCCAAGTGGCCATTACTGAGCTGAGAGATGTCATTGCCACAGGGAGGACCTATAGGCACATGTAGGTTGAATGAAACTCTAGTTCTACCTGGAAGCCCAGACAAGGGATGGGTCAGTGAGCAAGACTCTCTTCCTAGTCTCAGGCCATACCTGTGGCGCCCTGATCCTATTCTCATGACATTGGACCTGGGCAGATGTGACAAATTCAGAGAACTATGATTTTGACTCAAGGGTTTGTAGATTTCCTTTTTCACTCTAATTTCAGTGTCTAAAGTCCTCACAACCATGAACAATCTGAGTATTTGATGAGACAGGGCTAAATATTGCAGTTTTTCTCCTAGAAATCATTTGAGGGTATTTGCTTTAAGTTGATTGGAAAAATATGGCGTAACTGTTTGCACAAACTTGGGACAAATGATATTGAGATAACGATCTACTAGAATAGGGACACTTTACCCACAGTTTCTGGGAGAAAAACCAAGGAATTTCTATCATGACCAGCCTTCAGGCCTCCTGAAATATATCTCTCACAGTGTCCTATTCTTATGCTGAGGAGCCTGAGGTCCCTGTGTGAGGATTAGACAGTGGATTGTTATGTGTGTAGGGGAATCAGCTTAATGTGTCTGTCCATGTCTGAATTTATTGCAGAAATTGAAAAGAAGGGGAAGGGGAAGAAAAGAAGGGGAAGAAGATCAAAGAAGGAAAGAAGAAGGGGAAGAAAAGAAGGGGAAGAAGATCAAAACCCACCATGCCCCAGGTGACTTTCAGCAATTGTGGATGCTTAATTCTGTGTTAACACCTGGAGGCAACAGATTCAGGGAAACCAGAGTGTGTTTGATGACATGTTTTCAGCGAAGGCTGAATTACTCCTACTGTCATTGCTGTTGGTTTTCATTGCAGTAGATGTTTAGGTTTCCATTTCTTCCTCCCCTTATCATTTCCTAACGTACCATAGGTTGACCATACTTCAAAAGCTGTACTCTCATGGCCACTGCATCGAATTTTGAGCATATTTTATGGAAAACTATTGAGCTCACTCTTTTCATGATCACAGTTTGCTGTGTGTCATGAGGGCACTAACTCAGAGTGTCCTTTGACTCCCTTACCAGTATGTCACCTGGCCAATTCACTAGGTCACTTTCTCTCTGTCTCTGTCTCTGTCTCTGTCTCTCTCTCTCTGTCTTTCTCTTTCATTGTTTTCTACCTGGCCCTGTTCTATCCCAACATAAAGGCAATAATTTGTTACCTCATTAATGGATCTGTCCTTTTTCTTTTCAAACTCTTCCTTACGTTAGCCATGAAATCTAGCTGGGGCTGTGTGGTTTCTGATTCCCCCTGGCTTATTCTTTACTTTTTCCCACTTTTCCAGGCTCAGCAGGGAGCTGCTGGATGAGAAAGGGCCTGAAGTCTTGCAGGACTCACTGGATAGATGTTATTCAACTCCTTCAGGTTGTCTTGAACTGACTGACTCATGCCAGCCCTACAGAAGTGCCTTTTATGTATTGGAGCAACAGCGTGTTGGCTTCGCTTTTGACATGGATGGTGAGTACCTTTCTATGAAGGTGATAAGGATCCACTGAGTCTTCTGGTTAGGGTCATATTCCTACTGCAAGTGGCCCTTACTGAGCTGAGAGATGTCATTGCCACAGGGAGGACCTATAGGCACATGTAGGTTGAATGAAACTCTAGTTCCACTTGGAAGCCCAGACAAGGGATGGGTCAGTGAGCAAGGCTCTCTTCCTAGTCTCAGGCCATGCCTGTGGCGCCCTAATCCTACTCTCATGACATTGGACCTGGGCAGATGTGACAAATTCACACAACTCTGATTTTGTCTCAATTTTGTAGATCTTGTCGATTTCATCCTTCACTCTAATTTCAGCGTCTGAAATCCTCGCTACCATGAACAATCTGAGTATTTGATGAGACAGGGCTGAATAGTGCAGTTTTTCTCCTAGCAACCATTTGGGGGCAATTTCTTTAAATCGATTGGAAAAATATGGCATAACCATTTGCACAAACTTGGGACAAATGATATTGGGATAACGATCTACCAGAATAGGGAATTTTACCCACAGTTTCTGGGACAAAAACCAAGGAATCTCTATGGTGATCAGCCTTCATGCCTCCTGAAGAATATCTCTCACAGTGTCCTATTCTCATGCTGAGGAGCCTGAAGTCCCTGTGTGAGGATTAGACAGTGGATTGTTATGTGTGTTTAGGAGAACCAGCTTAATATGTCTGTCCATGTCTGAACTTATTGCAGAAATTGAAAAGTACCAAGAAGTGGAAGAAGACCAAGACCCATCATGCCCCAGGTAACTTTGAGCAATTATGGATGATTAATTCTGTGTTGACACCTGGAGATGCCAGGTCCAGGGAAAACAAGAGTGTGTTCAATTTCATGTTTTCAACGAAGGTTGAATTACTCCTACTGACATTGCTGTTGGTTTTCATTGCAGTAGATGTTTAGGTTTCCATTTCTTCCTCCCCTTATCATTTACTCACTTACTATAGGTTGACCATACCTCAAAGGCTGTATGGCAACTGCATGGAATCTTGAGCAAGGTTATGGAAAATTATTGAGCCCACTCTTTTCATGATCACTGTTCGCTGTGTGTCCCGAGGGCACTAACTCAGAGTGTCCTTTGACCCCTTCATCAGTGTGTCACCCGGCCAATTCGCTGAGCTCACTTTCTCCTCTCTCTCTCTCTCCCTCTCCCTGTCTTTCTCTTTCATTCTTTTCTACCTGGCCCTGGTCTATCCCAACATAAAGGCAATAATTCATTACCTCATTAATGGATCTGTCCTTTTTCTTTTTAAACAGTTCCTTATGTTAGCCATGAAATCTAGCTGGGGCTGTGTGGTTTCTGATTCCCCCTGGCTTATTCTTTACTTTTTCCTACTTTTCCAGGCTCAGCAGGGAGCTGCTGGATGAGAAAGAGCCTGAAGTCTTGCAGGACTCACTGGATAGATGTTATTCGACTCCTTCAGGTTATCTTGAACTGCCTGACTTAGGCCAGCCCTACAGCAGTGCTGTTTACTCATTGGAGGAACAGTACCTTGGCTTGGCTCTTGACGTGGACAGTGAGTACCTTACTGTGAAGGTGATAAGCCTCCACCTGGTCTTCCAGATAGGGGTGATATTCCTGTTCCAAGTGCCCCTTACTGACCCGAGAGACGTCATTGCCGCAGGCAGGACCTATGGGCGCATATAGGTTGTAATGAAACTGTAGTCTCAGTTGGAAGCCTAGACATGGAATGGGTCAGTGAGCAAGGCTCTATTCCTAGTCTCCAGCCATGCCTGTGGCAACCTGAGCCCGCTCTCAGCACGTTGGACCCAGGCAGATGTAAAAAATTCACAGAAGTATGATTTGGACTGAAGGGTTTGTAGATTTCCTCCTTCATTCTAATTTCAGTGTCTAAAATTCTTGCATCCATGAACGAGCTGGGCATTTGATGAGACAGGGCTGAATACTTTAGTTTTCCTCCTGGAAATCATCTGGGGCATTTTCTTTGAACTGATGGGAACAATAAAGCATAACTGTTTGCACAAACTTGGGATAAATTATTTTGGGATAACGATGTACCAGAATGGGGATATTTCACCCTTGGTTCTGAGATGCAAACCAAAGAATATCATGACCAGCTTTCAGGCCTCCTGAAGTATATCTCTCACATTGTCCTGTTCTCATGCTGAGGAGCCTGAGATCCCTGTGTGGGGATTAGACAGTGGACTGTTATGGGTGTAGGTGAATTGGCTTATTTTGTCTGTCCCTGTCTGAATGTATTGCAGGAATTAAAAAGGACGAAGAAGAGGAAGAAGACCAAGACCCACCATGCCCCAGGTAACTGAGCAATTGTGAACAGCTACTTCTGTGTTGACATCTGGAGACTCCTGGTTCAGGGAAAACAGAGCGGGCTGACATTATCGATTACATCTTTTCAACCAAGCCTGAATTATTCCTACTAACATTGCTGTTGGTTTTCATTGCAGTAGATATTTAGGTTTCCATTTCTTCCTCCCCTTATCATTTACTAACCTACTGTAGGTGGACCAGACTTCAAAAACTGTATTCTCATGGTGACTGCATGGAAACTTGAGCACATTTTATGGAAAATTATTGAGCACAGTCTTTTCATGATCCCTGTATGCTGTGTGTCCTGAGGGCACTAACTCAGAGTGTCCTGTTACTCCCTCATCAGTGCGTCACCTGGACAATTCACTGAGCTCGTTCTCTCTCTCTCTCTCTGTGTGTGTGTGTGTGTGTGTGTGTGTGTGTGTGTGTGTGTGTGTGTGTGTCTATCTGTCTTTCTCTTTCATTCTTTTCCATTTGGCCCTGTTCTGTCCCAACATGAAGGCAATAATTTGTTACCTCATTAATGGATCTATCCTTTTAGTTTTTTAACCACTTCCCTATGCTACCCATGAAACCTAGTTGGGGCTCTGTTGTGTCTGATTTCCCCTGGCTTATTCTTTACTTTTTCCTCCTTTTCCAGGCTCAGCAGGGAGCTGCTGGAGGTAGTAGAGCCTGAAGTCTTGCAGGACTCACTGGATAGATGTTATTCAACTCCTTCCAGTTGTCTTGAACAGCCTGACTCCTGCCAGCCCTATGGAAGTTCCTTTTATGCATTGGAGGAAAACCATGTTGGCTTTTCTCTTGACGTGGGAGGTGAGTACCTTTCTATGAAGGTGATAAGGATCCACTGAGTCTTCCATATAAAGATCATATTCCTGCTCCAAGTGGCCATTACTGAGCTGAGAGATGTCATTGCCACAGGGAGGACCTATAGGCACATGTAGGTTGAATGAAACTCTAGTTCTACCTGGAAGCCCAGACAAGGGATGGGTCAGTGAGCAAGACTCTCTTCCTAGTCTCAGGCCATACCTGTGGCGCCCTGATCCTATTCTCATGACATTGGACCTGGGCAGATGTGACAAATTCAGAGAACTATGATTTTGACTCAAGGGTTTGTAGATTTCCTTTTTCACTCTAATTTCAGTGTCTAAAGTCCTCACAACCATGAACAATCTGAGTATTTGATGAGACAGGGCTAAATATTGCAGTTTTTCTCCTAGAAATCATTTGAGGGTATTTGCTTTAAGTTGATTGGAAAAATATGGCGTAACTGTTTGCACAAACTTGGGACAAATGATATTGAGATAACGATCTACTAGAATAGGGACATTTTACCCACAGTTTCTGGGAGAAAAACCGAGGAATTTCTGTCATGACCAGCCTTCAGGCCTCCTGAAATATATCTCTCACAGTGTCCTATTCTTATGCTGAGGAGCCTGAGGTCCCTGTGTGAGGATTAGACAGTGGATTGTTATGTGTGTAGGGGAATCAGCTTAATGTGTCTGTCCATGTCTGAATTTATTGCAGAAATTGAAAAGAAGGGGAAGGGGAAGAAAAGAAGGGGAAGAAGATCAAAGAAGGAAAGAAGAAGGGGAAGAAAAGAAGGGGAAGAAGATCAAAACCCACCATGCCCCAGGTGACTTTCAGCAATTGTGGATGCTTAATTCTGTGTTAACACCTGGAGGCAACAGATTCAGGGAAACCAGAGTGTGTTTGATGACATGTTTTCAGCGAAGGCTGAATTACTCCTACTGTCATTGCTGTTGGTTTTCATTGCAGTAGATGTTTAGGTTTCCATTTCTTCCTCCCCTTATCATTTCCTAACGTACCATAGGTTGACCATACTTCAAAAGCTGTACTCTCATGGCCACTGCATCGAATTTTGAGCATATTTTATGGAAAACTATTGAGCTCACTCTTTTCATGATCACAGTTTGCTGTGTGTCATGAGGGCACTAACTCAGAGTGTCCTTTGACTCCCTTACCAGTATGTCACCTGGCCAATTCACTAGGTCACTTTCTCTCTGTCTCTGTCTCTGTCTCTGTCTGTCTTTCTCTTTCATTGTTTTCTACCTGGCCCTGTTCTGTCCCAACATAAAGGCAATAATTTGTTACCTCATTAATGGATCTGTCCTTTTTCTTTTCAAACTCTTCCTTACGTTAGCCATGAAATCTAGCTGGGGCTGTGTGGTTTCTGATTCCCCCTGGCTTATTCTTTACTTTTTCCCACTTTTCCAGGCTCAGCAGGGAGCTGCTGGAAGAGAAAGGGCCTGAAGTCTTGCAGGACTCACTGGATAGATGTTATTCAACTCCTTCAGGTTGTCTTGAACTGACTGACTCATGCCAGCCCTACAGAAGTGCCTTTTATGTATTGGAGCAACAGCGTGTTGGCTTCGCTGTTGACATGGATGGTGAGTACCTTTCTATGAAGGTGATAAGGATCCACTGAGTCTTCTGGTTAGGGTCATATTCCTACTGCAAGTGGCCCTTACTGAGCTGAGAGATGTCATTGCCACAGGGAGGACCTATAGGCACATGTAGGTTGAATGAAACTCTAGTTCCACTTGGAAGCCCAGACAAGGGATGGGTCAGTGAGCAAGGCTCTCTTCCTAGTCTCAGGCCATGCCTGTGGCGCCCTAATCCTACTCTCATGACATTGGACCTGGGCAGATGTGACAAATTCACACAACTCTGATTTTGTCTCAATTTTGTAGATCTTGTAGATTTCATCCTTCACTCTAATTTCAGCGTCTGAAATCCTCGCTACCATGAACAATCTGAGTATTTGATGAGACAGGGCTGAATAGTGCAGTTTTTCTCCTAGCAACCATTTGGGGGCAATTCCTTTAAATCGATTGGAAAAATATGGCATAACCATTTGCACAAACTTGGGACAAATGATATTGGGATAACGATCTACCAGAATAGGGAATTTTACCCACAGTTTCTGGGACAAAAACCAAGGAATCTCTATGGTGATCAGCCTTCATGCCTCCTGAAGAATATCTCTCACAGTGTCCTATTCTCATGCTGAGGAGCCTGAAGTCCCTGTGTGAGGATTAGACAGTGGATTGTTATGTGTGTTTAGGAGAACCAGCTTAATATGTCTGTCCATGTCTGAACTTATTGCAGAAATTGAAAAGTACCAAGAAGTGGAAGAAGACCAAGACCCATCATGCCCCAGGTAACTATGAGCAATTATGGATGCTTAATTCTGTGTTGACACCTGGAGATGCCAGGTCCAGGGAAAACAAGAGTGTGTTCAATTTCATGTTTTCAACGAAGGTTGAATTACTCCTACTGACATTGCTGTTGGTTTTCATTGCAGTAGATGTTTAGGTTTCCATTTCTTCCTCCCCTTATCATTTACTCACTTACTATAGGTTGACCATACCTCAAAGGCTGTATGGCAACTGCATGGAATCTTGAGCAAGTTTATGGAAAATTATTGAGCCCACTCTTTTCATGATCACTGTTCGCTGTGTGTCCCGAGGGCACTAACTCAGAGTGTCCTTTGACCCCTTCATCAGTGTGTCACCCGGCCAATTCGCTGAGCTCACTTTCTCCTCTCTCTCTCTCTCCCTCTCCCTGTCTTTCTCTTTCATTCTTTTCTACCTGGCCCTGGTCTATCCCAACATAAAGGCAATAATTCATTACCTCATTAACGGATCTGTCCTTTTTCTTTTTAAACAGTTCCTTATGTTAGCCATGAAATCTAGCTGGGGCTGTGTGGTTTCTGATTCCCCCTGACTTATTCTTTACTTTTTCCTACTTTTCCAGGCTCAGCAGGGAGCTGCTGGATGAGAAAGAGCCTGAAGTCTTGCAGGACTCACTGGATAGATGTTATTCGACTCCTTCAGGTTATCTTGAACTGCCTGACTTAGGCCAGCCCTACAGCAGTGCTGTTTACTCATTGGAGGAACAGTACCTTGGCTTGGCTCTTGACGTGGACAGTGAGTACCTTACTGTGAAGGTGATAAGCCTCCACCTGTTCTTCCAGATAGGGGTGATATTCCTGTTCCAAGTGCCCCTTACTGACCCGAGAGACGTCATTGCCGCAGGCAGGACCTATGGGCGCATATAGGTTGTAATGAAACTGTAGTCTCAGTTGGAAGCCTAGACATGAAATGGGTCAGTGAGCAAGGCTCTATTCCTAGTCTCCAGCCATGCCTGTGGCAACCTGAGCCCGCTCTCAGCACGTTGGACCCAGGCAGATGTAAAAAATTCACAGAAGTATGATTTGGACTGAAGGGTTTGTAGATTTCCTCCTTCATTCTAATTTCAGTGTCTAAAATTCTTGCATCCATGAACGAGCTGGGCATTTGATGAGACAGGGCTGAATACTGCAGTTTTCCTCCTGGAAATCATCTGGGGCATTTTCTTTGAACTGATGGGAACAATAAAGCATAACTGTTTGCACAAACTTGGGATAAATGATTTTGGGATAACGATCTACCAGAATGGGGATATTTCACCCTTGGTTCTGAGATGCAAACCAAAGAATATCATGACCAGCTTTCAGGCCTCCTGAAGTATATCTCTCACATTGTCCTGTTCTCATGCTGAGGAGCCTGAGATCCCTGTGTGGGGATTAGACAGTGGACTGTTATGGGTGTAGGTGAATTGGCTTATTTTGTCTGTCCCTGTCTGAATGTATTGCAGGAATTAAAAAGGACGAAGAAGAGGAAGAAGACCAAGACCCACCATGCCCCAGGTAACTGAGCAATTGTGAACAGCTACTTCTGTGTTGACATCTGGAGACTCCTGGTTCAGGGAAAACAGAGCGGGCTGACATTATCGATTACATCTTTTCAACCAAGCCTGAATTATTCCTACTAACATTGCTGTTGGTTTTCATTGCAGTAGATATTTAGGTTTCCATTTCTTCCTCCCCTTATCATTTACTAACCTACTGTAGGTGGACCAGACTTCAAAAACTGTATTCTCATGGTGACTGCATGGAAACTTGAGCACATTTTATGGAAAATTATTGAGCACAGTCTTTTCATGATCCCTGTATGCTGTGTGTCCTGAGGGCACTAACTCAGAGTGTCCTGTTACTCCCTCATCAGTGCGTCACCTGGACAATTCACTGAGCTCGTTCTCTCTCTCTCTCTCTGTGTGTGTGTGTGTGTGTGTGTGTGTGTGTGTGTGTGTGTGTCTATCTGTCTTTCTCTTTCATTCTTTTCCATTTGGCCCTGTTCTGTCCCAACATGAAGGCAATAATTTGTTACCTCATTAATGGATCTATCCTTTTAGTTTTTTAACCACTTCCCTATGCTACCCATGAAACCTAGTTGGGGCTCTGTTGTGTCTGATTTCCCCTGGCTTATTCTTTACTTTTTCCTCCTTTTCCAGGCTCAGCAGGGAGCTGCTGGAGGTAGTAGAGCCTGAAGTCTTGCAGGACTCACTGGATAGATGTTATTCAACTCCTTCCAGTTGTCTTGAACAGCCTGACTCCTGCCAGCCCTATGGAAGTTCCTTTTATGCATTGGAGGAAAAACATGTTGGCTTTTCTCTTGACGTGGGAGGTGAGTACCTTTCTATGAAGGTGATAAGGATCCACTGAGTCTTCCATATAAAGATCATATTCCTGCTCCAAGTGGCCATTACTGAGCTGAGAGATGTCATTGCCACAGGGAGGACCTATAGGCACATGTAGGTTGAATGAAACTCTAGTTCTACCTGGAAGCCCAGACAAGGGATGGGTCAGTGAGCAAGACTCTCTTCCTAGTCTCAGGCCATACCTGTGGCGCCCTGATCCTATTCTCATGACATTGGACCTGGGCAGATGTGACAAATTCAGAGAACTATGATTTTGACTCAAGGGTTTGTAGATTTCCTTTTTCACTCTAATTTCAGTGTCTAAAGTCCTCACAACCATGAACAATCTGAGTATTTGATGAGACAGGGCTAAATATTGCAGTTTTTCTCCTAGAAATCATTTGAGGGTATTTGCTTTAAGTTGATTGGAAAAATATGGCGTAACTGTTTGCACAAACTTGGGACAAATGATATTGAGATAACGATCTACTAGAATAGGGACATTTTACCCACAGTTTCTGGGAGAAAAACCGAGGAATTTCTGTCATGACCAGCCTTCAGGCCTCCTGAAATATATCTCTCACAGTGTCCTATTCTTATGCTGAGGAGCCTGAGGTCCCTGTGTGAGGATTAGACAGTGGATTGTTATGTGTGTAGGGGAATCAGCTTAATGTGTCTGTCCATGTCTGAATTTATTGCAGAAATTGAAAAGAAGGGGAAGGGGAAGAAAAGAAGGGGAAGAAGATCAAAGAAGGAAAGAAGAAGGGGAAGAAAAGAAGGGGAAGAAGATCAAAACCCACCATGCCCCAGGTGACTTTCAGCAATTGTGGATGCTTAATTCTGTGTTAACACCTGGAGGCAACAGATTCAGGGAAACCAGAGTGTGTTTGATGACATGTTTTCAGCGAAGGCTGAATTACTCCTACTGTCATTGCTGTTGGTTTTCATTGCAGTAGATGTTTAGGTTTCCATTTCTTCCTCCCCTTATCATTTCCTAACGTACCATAGGTTGACCATACTTCAAAAGCTGTACTCTCATGGCCACTGCATCGAATTTTGAGCATATTTTATGGAAAACTATTGAGCTCACTCTTTTCATGATCACAGTTTGCTGTGTGTCATGAGGGCACTAACTCAGAGTGTCCTTTGACTCCCTTACCAGTATGTCACCTGGCCAATTCACTAGGTCACTTTCTCTCTGTCTCTGTCTCTGTCTCTGTCTGTCTTTCTCTTTCATTGTTTTCTACCTGGCCCTGTTCTGTCCCAACATAAAGGCAATAATTTGTTACCTCATTAATGGATCTGTCCTTTTTCTTTTCAAACTCTTCCTTACGTTAGCCATGAAATCTAGCTGGGGCTGTGTGGTTTCTGATTCCCCCTGGCTTATTCTTTACTTTTTCCCACTTTTCCAGGCTCAGCAGGGAGCTGCTGGAAGAGAAAGGGCCTGAAGTCTTGCAGGACTCACTGGATAGATGTTATTCAACTCCTTCAGGTTGTCTTGAACTGACTGACTCATGCCAGCCCTACAGAAGTGCCTTTTATGTATTGGAGCAACAGCGTGTTGGCTTCGCTGTTGACATGGATGGTGAGTACCTTTCTATGAAGGTGATAAGGATCCACTGAGTCTTCTGGTTAGGGTCATATTCCTACTGCAAGTGGCCCTTACTGAGCTGAGAGATGTCATTGCCACAGGGAGGACCTATAGGCACATGTAGGTTGAATGAAACTCTAGTTCCACTTGGAAGCCCAGACAAGGGATGGGTCAGTGAGCAAGGCTCTCTTCCTAGTCTCAGGCCATGCCTGTGGCGCCCTAATCCTACTCTCATGACATTGGACCTGGGCAGATGTGACAAATTCACACAACTCTGATTTTGTCTCAATTTTGTAGATCTTGTAGATTTCATCCTTCACTCTAATTTCAGCGTCTGAAATCCTCGCTACCATGAACAATCTGAGTATTTGATGAGACAGGGCTGAATAGTGCAGTTTTTCTCCTAGCAACCATTTGGGGGCAATTCCTTTAAATCGATTGGAAAAATATGGCATAACCATTTGCACAAACTTGGGACAAATGATATTGGGATAACGATCTACCAGAATAGGGAATTTTACCCACAGTTTCTGGGACAAAAACCAAGGAATCTCTATGGTGATCAGCCTTCATGCCTCCTGAAGAATATCTCTCACAGTGTCCTATTCTCATGCTGAGGAGCCTGAAGTCCCTGTGTGAGGATTAGACAGTGGATTGTTATGTGTGTTTAGGAGAACCAGCTTAATATGTCTGTCCATGTCTGAACTTATTGCAGAAATTGAAAAGTACCAAGAAGTGGAAGAAGACCAAGACCCATCATGCCCCAGGTAACTATGAGCAATTATGGATGCTTAATTCTGTGTTGACACCTGGAGATGCCAGGTCCAGGGAAAACAAGAGTGTGTTCAATTTCATGTTTTCAACGAAGGTTGAATTACTCCTACTGACATTGCTGTTGGTTTTCATTGCAGTAGATGTTTAGGTTTCCATTTCTTCCTCCCCTTATCATTTACTCACTTACTATAGGTTGACCATACCTCAAAGGCTGTATGGCAACTGCATGGAATCTTGAGCAAGGTTATGGAAAATTATTGAGCCCACTCTTTTCATGATCACTGTTCGCTGTGTGTCCCGAGGGCACTAACTCAGAGTGTCCTTTGACCCCTTCATCAGTGTGTCACCCGGCCAATTCGCTGAGCTCACTTTCTCCTCTCTCTCTCTCTCCCTCTCCCTGTCTTTCTCTTTCATTCTTTTCTACCTGGCCCTGGTCTATCCCAACATAAAGGCAATAATTCATTACCTCATTAACGGATCTGTCCTTTTTCTTTTTAAACAGTTCCTTATGTTAGCCATGAAATCTAGCTGGGGCTGTGTGGTTTCTGATTCCCCCTGGCTTATTCTTTACTTTTTCCTACTTTTCCAGGCTCAGCAGGGAGCTGCTGGATGAGAAAGAGCCTGAAGTCTTGCAGGACTCACTGGATAGATGTTATTCGACTCCTTCAGGTTATCTTGAACTGCCTGACTTAGGCCAGCCCTACAGCAGTGCTGTTTACTCATTGGAGGAACAGTACCTTGGCTTGGCTCTTGACGTGGACAGTGAGTACCTTACTGTGAAGGTGATAAGCCTCCACCTGGTCTTCCAGATAGGGGTGATATTCCTGTTCCAAGTGCCCCTTACTGACCCGAGAGACGTCATTGCCGCAGGCAGGACCTATGGGCGCATATAGGTTGTAATGAAACTGTAGTCTCAGTTGGAAGCCTAGACATGAAATGGGTCAGTGAGCAAGGCTCTATTCCTAGTCTCCAGCCATGCCTGTGGCAACCTGAGCCCGCTCTCAGCACATTGGACCCAGGCAGATGTAAAAAATTCACAGAAGTATGATTTGGACTGAAGGGTTTGTAGATTTCCTCCTTCATTCTAATTTCAGTGTCTAAAATTCTTGCATCCATGAACGAGCTGGGCATTTGATGAGACAGGGCTGAATACTTTAGTTTTCCTCCTGGAAATCATCTGGGGCATTTTCTTTGAACTGATGGGAACAATAAAGCATAACTGTTTGCACAAACTTGGGATAAATGATTTTGGGATAACGATGTACCAGAATGGGGATATTTCACCCTTGGTTCTGAGATGCAAACCAAAGAATATCATGACCAGCTTTCAGGCCTCCTGAAGTATATCTCTCACATTGTCCTGTTCTCATGCTGAGGAGCCTGAGATCCCTGTGTGGGGATTAGACAGTGGACTGTTATGGGTGTAGGTGAATTGGCTTATTTTGTCTGTCCCTGTCTGAATGTATTGCAGGAATTAAAAAGGACGAAGAAGAGGAAGAAGACCAAGACCCACCATGCCCCAGGTAACTGAGCAATTGTGAACAGCTACTTCTGTGTTGACATCTGGAGACTCCTGGTTCAGGGAAAACAGAGCGGGCTGACATTATCGATTACATCTTTTCAACCAAGCCTGAATTATTCCTACTAACATTGCTGTTGGTTTTCATTGCAGTAGATATTTAGGTTTCCATTTCTTCCTCCCCTTATCATTTACTAACCTACTGTAGGTGGACCAGACTTCAAAAACTGTATTCTCATGGCGACTGCATGGAAACTTGAGCACATTTTATGGAAAATTATTGAGCACAGTCTTTTCATGATCCCTGTATGCTGTGTGTCCTGAGGGCACTAACTCAGAGTGTCCTGTTACTCCCTCATCAGTGCGTCACCTGGACAATTCACTGAGCTCGTTCTCTCTCTCTCTCTCTGTGTGTGTGTGTGTGTGTGTGTGTGTGTGTGTGTCTATCTGTCTTTCTCTTTCATTCTTTTCCATTTGGCCCTGTTCTGTCCCAACATGAAGGCAATAATTTGTTACCTCATTAATGGATCTATCCTTTTAGTTTTTTAACCACTTCCCTATGCTACCCATGAAACCTAGTTGGGGCTCTGTTGTGTCTGATTTCCCCTGGCTTATTCTTTACTTTTTCCTCCTTTTCCAGGCTCAGCAGGGAGCTGCTGGAGGTAGTAGAGCCTGAAGTCTTGCAGGACTCACTGGATAGATGTTATTCAACTCCTTCCAGTTGTCTTGAACAGCCTGACTCCTGCCAGCCCTATGGAAGTTCCTTTTATGCATTGGAGGAAAAACATGTTGGCTTTTCTCTTGACGTGGGAGGTGAGTACCTTTCTATGAAGGTGATAAGGATCCACTGAGTCTTCCATATAAAGATCATATTCCTGCTCCAAGTGGCCATTACTGAGCTGAGAGATGTCATTGCCACAGGGAGGACCTATAGGCACATGTAGGTTGAATGAAACTCTAGTTCTACCTGGAAGCCCAGACAAGGGATGGGTCAGTGAGCAAGACTCTCTTCCTAGTCTCAGGCCATACCTGTGGCGCCCTGATCCTATTCTCATGACATTGGACCTGGGCAGATGTGACAAATTCAGAGAACTATGATTTTGACTCAAGGGTTTGTAGATTTCCTTTTTCACTCTAATTTCAGTGTCTAAAGTCCTCACAACCATGAACAATCTGAGTATTTGATGAGACAGGGCTAAATATTGCAGTTTTTCTCCTAGAAATCATTTGAGGGTATTTGCTTTAAGTTGATTGGAAAAATATGGCGTAACTGTTTGCACAAACTTGGGACAAATGATATTGGGATAACGATCTACTAGAATAGGGACATTTTACCCACAGTTTCTGGGAGAAAAACCGAGGAATTTCTATCATGACCAGCCTTCAGGCCTCCTGAAATATATCTCTCACAGTGTCCTATTCTTATGCTGAGGAGCCTGAGGTCCCTGTGTGAGGATTAGACAGTGGATTGTTATGTGTGTAGGGGAATCAGCTTAATGTGTCTGTCCATGTCTGAATTTATTGCAGAAATTGAAAAGAAGGGGAAGGGGAAGAAAAGAAGGGGAAGAAGATCAAAGAAGGAAAGAAGAAGGGGAAGAAAAGAAGGGGAAGAAGATCAAAACCCACCATGCCCCAGGTGACTTTCAGCAATTGTGGATGCTTAATTCTGTGTTAACACCTGGAGGCAACAGATTCAGGGAAACCAGAGTGTGTTTGATGACATGTTTTCAGCGAAGGCTGAATTACTCCTACTGTCATTGCTGTTGGTTTTCATTGCAGTAGATGTTTAGGTTTCCATTTCTTCCTCCCCTTATCATTTCCTAACGTACCATAGGTTGACCATACTTCAAAAGCTGTACTCTCATGGCCACTGCATCGAATTTTGAGCATATTTTATGTAAAACTATTGAGCTCACTCTTTTCATGATCACAGTTTGCTGTGTGTCATGAGGGCACTAACTCAGAGTGTCCTTTGACTCCCTTACCAGTATGTCACCTGGCCAATTCACTAGGTCACTTTCTCTCTGTCTCTGTCTCTGTCTCTGTCTGTCTTTCTCTTTCATTGTTTTCTACCTGGCCCTGTTCTGTCCCAACATAAAGGCAATAATTTGTTACCTCATTAATGGATCTGTCCTTTTTCTTTTCAAACTCTTCCTTACGTTAGCCATGAAATCTAGCTGGGGCTGTGTGGTTTCTGATTCCCCCTGGCTTATTCTTTACTTTTTCCCACTTTTCCAGGCTCAGCAGGGAGCTGCTGGATGAGAAAGGGCCTGAAGTCTTGCAGGACTCACTGGATAGATGTTATTCAACTCCTTCAGGTTGTCTTGAACTGACTGACTCATGCCAGCCCTACAGAAGTGCCTTTTATGTATTGGAGCAACAGCATGTTGGCTTGGCTGTTGACATGGATGGTGAGTACCTTTCTATGAAGGTGATAAGGATCCACTGAGTCTTCTGGTTAGGGTCATATTCCTACTGCAAGTGGCCCTTACTGAGCTGAGAGATGTCATTGCCACAGGGAGGAACTATAGGCACATGTAGGTTGAGTGAAACTCTAGTTCCACTTGGAAGCCCAGACAAGGGATGGGTCAGTGAGCAAGGCTCTCTTCCTAGTCTCAGGCCATGCCCGTGGCGCCCTAATCCTACTCTCAAGATGTTGGATCTGGGCAGATGTGACAAATTCACACAACTCTGATTTTGTCTCAATTTTGTAGATCTTGTCGATTTCATCCTTCACTCTAATTTCAGCGTCTCAAATCCTCACTACCATGAACAATCTGAGTATTTGATGAGACAGGGCTGAATAGTGCAGTTTTTCTCCTAGCAGCCATTTGGGGGCATTTGCTTTAAATCGATTGGAAAAATATGGCATAACCATTTGCACAAACTTGGGACAAATGATATTGGGATAACGATCTACCAGAATAGGGAATTTTACCCACAGTTTCTGGGACAAAAACCAAGGAATCTCTATGGTGATCAGCCTTCAGGCCTCCTGAAGACTATCTCTCACAGTGTCCTATTCTCATGCTGAGGAGCCTGAAGTCCCTGTGTGAGGATTAGACAGTGGATTGTTATGTGTGTAGGAGAACCAGCTTAATATGTCTGTCCATGTCTGAACTTATTGCAGAAATTGAAAAGTACCAAGAAGTGGAAGAAGACCAAGACCCATCATGCCCCAGGTAACTTTGAGCAATTATGGATGCTTAATTCTGTGTTGACACCTGGAGATGCCAGGTCCAGGGAAAACAAGAGTGTGTTCAATTTCATGTTTTCAACGAAGGTTGAATTACTCCTACTGACATTGCTGTTGGTTTTCATTGCAGTAGATGTTTAGGTTTCCATTTGTTCCTCCCCTTATCATTTACTCACTTACTATAGGTTGACCATACCTCAAAGGCTGTATGGCAACTGCATGGAATCTTGAGCAAGGTTATGGAAAATTATTGAGCCCACTCTTTTCATGATCACTGTTCGCTGTGTGTCCCGAGGGCACTAACTCAGAGTGTCCTTTGACCCCTTCATCAGTGTGTCACCCGGCCAATTCGCTGAGCTCACTTTCTCCTCTCTCTCTCTCTCCCTCTCCCTGTCTTTCTCTTTCATTCTTTTCTACCTGGCCCTGGTCTATCCCAACATAAAGGCAATAATTCATTACCTCATTAATGGATCTGTCCTTTTTCTTTTTAAACAGTTCCTTATGTTAGCCATGAAATCTAGCTGGGGCTGTGTGGTTTCTGATTCCCCCTGACTTATTCTTTACTTTTTCCTACTTTTCCAGGCTCAGCAGGGAGCTGCTGGATGAGAAAGAGCCTGAAGTCTTGCAGGACTCACTGGATAGATGTTATTCGACTCCTTCAGGTTATCTTGAACTGCCTGACTTAGGCCAGCCCTACAGCAGTGCTGTTTACTCATTGGAGGAACAGTACCTTGGCTTGGCTCTTGACGTGGACAGTGAGTACCTTACTGTGAAGGTGATAAGCCTCCACCTGGTCTTCCAGATAGGGGTGATATTCCTGTTCCAAGTGCCCCTTACTGACCCGAGAGACGTCATTGCCGCAGGCAGGACCTATGGGCGCATATAGGTTGTAATGAAACTGTAGTCTCAGTTGGAAGCCTAGACATGAAATGGGTCAGTGAGCAAGGCTCTATTCCTAGTCTCCAGCCATGCCTGTGGCAACCTGAGCCCGCTCTCAGCACATTGGACCCAGGCAGATGTAAAAAATTCACAGAAGTATGATTTGGACTGAAGGGTTTGTAGATTTCCTCCTTCATTCTAATTTCAGTGTCTAAAATTCTTGCATCCATGAACGAGCTGGGCATTTGATGAGACAGGGCTGAATACTTTAGTTTTCCTCCTGGAAATCATCTGGGGCATTTTCTTTGAACTGATGGGAACAATAAAGCATAACTGTTTGCACAAACTTGGGATAAATGATTTTGGGATAACGATGTACCAGAATGGGGATATTTCACCCTTGGTTCTGAGATGTAAACCAAAGAATATCATGACCAGCTTTCAGGCCTCCTGAAGTATATCTCTCACATTGTCCTGTTCTCATGCTGAGGAGCCTGAGATCCCTGTGTGGGGATTAGACAGTGGACTGTTATGGGTGTAGGTGAATTGGCTTATTTTGTCTGTCCCTGTCTGAATGTATTGCAGGAATTAAAAAGGACCAAGAAGAGGAAGAAGACCAAGGCCCACCATGCCCCAGGTAACTGAGCAATTGTGAACAGCTACTTCTGTGTTGACATCTGGAGACTCCTGGTTCAGGGAAAACAGTGCGGGCTGACATTATCGATTACATCTTTTCAACCAAGCCTGAATTATTCCTACTAACATTGCTGTTGGTTTTCATTGCAGTAGATATTTAGGTTTCCATTTCTTCCTCCCCTTATCATTTACTAACCTACTGTAGGTGGACCAGACTTCAAAAACTGTATTCTCATGGCGACTGCATGGAAACTTGAGCACATTTTATGGAAAATTATTGAGCACAGTCTTTTCATGATCCCTGTATGCTGTGTGTCCTGAGGGCACTAACTCAGAGTGTCCTGTTACTCCCTCATCAGTGTGTCACCTGGACAATTCACTGAGCTCGTTCTCTCTCTCTCTCTCTGTGTGTGTGTGTGTGTGTGTGTGTGTGTGTGTGTGTGTGTGTGTCTATCTGTCTTTCTCTTTCATTCTTTTCCATTTGGCCCTGTTCTGTCCCAACATGAAGGCAATAATTTGTTACCTCATTAATGGATCTATCCTTTTAGTTTTTTAACCACTTCCCTATGCTACCCATGAAACCTAGTTGGGGCTCTGTTGTGTCTGATTTCCCCTGGCTTATTCTTTACTTTTTCCTCCTTTTCCAGGCTCAGCAGGGAGCTGCTGGAGGTAGTAGAGCCTGAAGTCTTGCAGGACTCACTGGATAGATGTTATTCAACTCCTTCCAGTTGTCTTGAACAGCCTGACTCCTGCCAGCCCTATGGAAGTTCCTTTTATGCATTGGAGGAAAAACATGTTGGCTTTTCTCTTGACGTGGGAGGTGAGTACCTTTCTATGAAGGTGATAAGGATCCACTGAGTCTTCCATATAAAGATCATATTCCTGCTCCAAGTGGCCATTACTGAGCTGAGAGATGTCATTGCCACAGGGAGGACCTATAGGCACATGTAGGTTGAATGAAACTCTAGTTCTACCTGGAAGCCCAGACAAGGGATGGGTCAGTGAGCAAGACTCTCTTCCTAGTCTCAGGCCATACCTGTGGCGCCCTGATCCTATTCTCATGACATTGGACCTGGGCAGATGTGACAAATTCAGAGAACTATGATTTTGACTCAAGGGTTTGTAGATTTCCTTTTTCACTCTAATTTCAGTGTCTAAAGTCCTCACAACCATGAACAATCTGAGTATTTGATGAGACAGGGCTAAATATTGCAGTTTTTCTCCTAGAAATCATTTGAGGGTATTTGCTTTAAGTTGATTGGAAAAATATGGCGTAACTGTTTGCACAAACTTGGGACAAATGATATTGGGATAACGATCTACTAGAATAGGGACATTTTACCCACAGTTTCTGGGAGAAAAACCGAGGAATTTCTATCATGACCAGCCTTCAGGCCTCCTGAAATATATCTCTCACAGTGTCCTATTCTTATGCTGAGGAGCCTGAGGTCCCTGTGTGAGGATTAGACAGTGGATTGTTATGTGTGTAGGGGAATCAGCTTAATGTGTCTGTCCATGTCTGAATTTATTGCAGAAATTGAAAAGAAGGGGAAGGGGAAGAAAAGAAGGGGAAGAAGATCAAAGAAGGAAAGAAGAAGGGGAAGAAAAGAAGGGGAAGAAGATCAAAACCCACCATGCCCCAGGTGACTTTCAGCAATTGTGGATGCTTAATTCTGTGTTAACACCTGGAGGCAACAGATTCAGGGAAACCAGAGTGTGTTTGATGACATGTTTTCAGCGAAGGCTGAATTACTCCTACTGTCATTGCTGTTGGTTTTCATTGCAGTAGATGTTTAGGTTTCCATTTCTTCCTCCCCTTATCATTTCCTAACGTACCATAGGTTGACCATACTTCAAAAGCTGTACTCTCATGGCCACTGCATCGAATTTTGAGCATATTTTATGGAAAACTATTGAGCTCACTCTTTTCATGATCACAGTTTGCTGTGTGTCATGAGGGCACTAACTCAGAGTGTCCTTTGACTCCCTTACCAGTATGTCACCTGGCCAATTCACTAGG
Source organism: Homo sapiens (assembly GCF_000001405.40). Lineage (NCBI taxonomy): Eukaryota > Metazoa > Chordata > Mammalia > Primates > Hominidae > Homo > Homo sapiens. The sequence continues at coordinate 146,103,023 of NC_000001.11, read as the reverse complement.
TCACTTTCTCTCTGTCTCTGTCTCTGTCTCTGTCTGTCTTTCTCTTTCATTGTTTTCTACCTGGCCCTGTTCTGTCCCAACATAAAGGCAATAATTTGTTACCTCATTAATGGATCTGTCCTTTTTCTTTTCAAACTCTTCCTTACGTTAGCCATGAAATCTAGCTGGGGCTGTGTGGTTTCTGATTCCCCCTGGCTTATTCTTTACTTTTTCCCACTTTTCCAGGCTCAGCAGGGAGCTGCTGGATGAGAAAGGGCCTGAAGTCTTGCAGGACTCACTGGATAGATGTTATTCAACTCCTTCAGGTTGTCTTGAACTGACTGACTCATGCCAGCCCTACAGAAGTGCCTTTTATGTATTGGAGCAACAGCATGTTGGCTTGGCTGTTGACATGGATGGTGAGTACCTTTCTATGAAGGTGATAAGGATCCACTGAGTCTTCTGGTTAGGGTCATATTCCTACTGCAAGTGGCCCTTACTGAGCTGAGAGATGTCATTGCCACAGGGAGGAACTATAGGCACATGTAGGTTGAGTGAAACTCTAGTTCCACTTGGAAGCCCAGACAAGGGATGGGTCAGTGAGCAAGGCTCTCTTCCTAGTCTCAGGCCATGCCCGTGGCGCCCTAATCCTACTCTCAAGATGTTGGATCTGGGCAGATGTGACAAATTCACACAACTCTGATTTTGTCTCAATTTTGTAGATCTTGTCGATTTCATCCTTCACTCTAATTTCAGCGTCTAAAATCCTCACTACCATGAACAATCTGAGTATTTGATGAGACAGGGCTGAATAGTGCAGTTTTTCTCCTAGCAGCCATTTGGGGGCATTTGCTTTAAATCGATTGGAAAAATATGGCATAACCATTTGCACAAACTTGGGACAAATGATATTGGGATAACGATCTACCAGAATAGGGAATTTTACCCACAGTTTCTGGGACAAAAACCAAGGAATCTCTATGGTGATCAGCCTTCAGGCCTCCTGAAGACTATCTCTCACAGTGTCCTATTCTCATGCTGAGGAGCCTGAAGTCCCTGTGTGAGGATTAGACAGTGGATTGTTATGTGTGTAGGAGAACCAGCTTAATATGTCTGTCCATGTCTGAACTTATTGCAGAAATTGAAAAGTACCAAGAAGTGGAAGAAGACCAAGACCCATCATGCCCCAGGTAACTTTGAGCAATTATGGATGCTTAATTCTGTGTTGACACCTGGAGATGCCAGGTCCAGGGAAAACAAGAGTGTGTTCAATTTCATGTTTTCAACGAAGGTTGAATTACTCCTACTGACATTGCTGTTGGTTTTCATTGCAGTAGATGTTTAGGTTTCCATTTCTTCCTCCCCTTATCATTTACTCACTTACTATAGGTTGACCATACCTCAAAGGCTGTATGGCAACTGCATGGAATCTTGAGCAAGGTTATGGAAAATTATTGAGCCCACTCTTTTCATGATCACTGTTCGCTGTGTGTCCCGAGGGCACTAACTCAGAGTGTCCTTTGACCCCTTCATCAGTGTGTCACCCGGCCAATTCGCTGAGCTCACTTTCTCCTCTCTCTCTCTCTCCCTCTCCCTGTCTTTCTCTTTCATTCTTTTCTACCTGGCCCTGGTCTATCCCAACATAAAGGCAATAATTCATTACCTCATTAATGGATCTGTCCTTTTTCTTTTTAAACAGTTCCTTATGTTAGCCATGAAATCTAGCTGGGGCTGTGTGGTTTCTGATTCCCCCTGACTTATTCTTTACTTTTTCCTACTTTTCCAGGCTCAGCAGGGAGCTGCTGGATGAGAAAGAGCCTGAAGTCTTGCAGGACTCACTGGATAGATGTTATTCGACTCCTTCAGGTTATCTTGAACTGCCTGACTTAGGCCAGCCCTACAGCAGTGCTGTTTACTCATTGGAGGAACAGTACCTTGGCTTGGCTCTTGACGTGGACAGTGAGTACCTTACTGTGAAGGTGATAAGCCTCCACCTGGTCTTCCAGATAGGGGTGATATTCCTGTTCCAAGTGCCCCTTACTGACCCGAGAGACGTCATTGCCGCAGGCAGGACCTATGGGCGCATATAGGTTGTAATGAAACTGTAGTCTCAGTTGGAAGCCTAGACATGAAATGGGTCAGTGAGCAAGGCTCTATTCCTAGTCTCCAGCCATGCCTGTGGCAACCTGAGCCCGCTCTCAGCACATTGGACCCAGGCAGATGTAAAAAATTCACAGAAGTATGATTTGGACTGAAGGGTTTGTAGATTTCCTCCTTCATTCTAATTTCAGTGTCTAAAATTCTTGCATCCATGAACGAGCTGGGCATTTGATGAGACAGGGCTGAATACTTTAGTTTTCCTCCTGGAAATCATCTGGGGCATTTTCTTTGAACTGATGGGAACAATAAAGCATAACTGTTTGCACAAACTTGGGATAAATGATTTTGGGATAACGATGTACCAGAATGGGGATATTTCACCCTTGGTTCTGAGATGTAAACCAAAGAATATCATGACCAGCTTTCAGGCCTCCTGAAGTATATCTCTCACATTGTCCTGTTCTCATGCTGAGGAGCCTGAGATCCCTGTGTGGGGATTAGACAGTGGACTGTTATGGGTGTAGGTGAATTGGCTTATTTTGTCTGTCCCTGTCTGAATGTATTGCAGGAATTAAAAAGGACCAAGAAGAGGAAGAAGACCAAGGCCCACCATGCCCCAGGTAACTGAGCAATTGTGAACAGCTACTTCTGTGTTGACATCTGGAGACTCCTGGTTCAGGGAAAACAGTGCGGGCTGACATTATCGATTACATCTTTTCAACCAAGCCTGAATTATTCCTACTAACATTGCTGTTGGTTTTCATTGCAGTAGATATTTAGGTTTCCATTTCTTCCTCCCCTTATCATTTACTAACCTACTGTAGGTGGACCAGACTTCAAAAACTGTATTCTCATGGCGACTGCATGGAAACTTGAGCACATTTTATGGAAAATTATTGAGCACAGTCTTTTCATGATCCCTGTATGCTGTGTGTCCTGAGGGCACTAACTCAGAGTGTCCTGTTACTCCCTCATCAGTGTGTCACCTGGACAATTCACTGAGCTCGTTCTCTCTCTCTCTCTCTCTCTGTGTGTGTGTGTGTGTGTGTGTGTGTGTGTGTGTGTGTGTGTGTCTATCTGTCTTTCTCTTTCATTCTTTTCCATTTGGCCCTGTTCTGTCCCAACATGAAGGCAATAATTTGTTACCTCATTAATGGATCTATCCTTTTAGTTTTTTAACCACTTCCCTATGCTACCCATGAAACCTAGTTGGGGCTCTGTTGTGTCTGATTTCCCCTGGCTTATTCTTTACTTTTTCCTCCTTTTCCAGGCTCAGCAGGGAGCTGCTGGAGGTAGTAGAGCCTGAAGTCTTGCAGGACTCACTGGATAGATGTTATTCAACTCCTTCCAGTTGTCTTGAACAGCCTGACTCCTGCCAGCCCTATGGAAGTTCCTTTTATGCATTGGAGGAAAAACATGTTGGCTTTTCTCTTGACGTGGGAGGTGAGTACCTTTCTATGAAGGTGATAAGGATCCACTGAGTCTTCCATATAAAGATCATATTCCTGCTCCAAGTGGCCATTACTGAGCTGAGAGATGTCATTGCCACAGGGAGGACCTATAGGCACATGTAGGTTGAATGAAACTCTAGTTCTACCTGGAAGCCCAGACAAGGGATGGGTCAGTGAGCAAGACTCTCTTCCTAGTCTCAGGCCATACCTGTGGCGCCCTGATCCTATTCTCATGACATTGGACCTGGGCAGATGTGACAAATTCAGAGAACTATGATTTTGACTCAAGGGTTTGTAGATTTCCTTTTTCACTCTAATTTCAGTGTCTAAAGTCCTCACAACCATGAACAATCTGAGTATTTGATGAGACAGGGCTAAATATTGCAGTTTTTCTCCTAGAAATCATTTGAGGGTATTTGCTTTAAGTTGATTGGAAAAATATGGCGTAACTGTTTGCACAAACTTGGGACAAATGATATTGGGATAACGATCTACTAGAATAGGGACATTTTACCCACAGTTTCTGGGAGAAAAACCGAGGAATTTCTATCATGACCAGCCTTCAGGCCTCCTGAAATATATCTCTCACAGTGTCCTATTCTTATGCTGAGGAGCCTGAGGTCCCTGTGTGAGGATTAGACAGTGGATTGTTATGTGTGTAGGGGAATCAGCTTAATGTGTCTGTCCATGTCTGAATTTATTGCAGAAATTGAAAAGAAGGGGAAGGGGAAGAAAAGAAGGGGAAGAAGATCAAAGAAGGAAAGAAGAAGGGGAAGAAAAGAAGGGGAAGAAGATCAAAACCCACCATGCCCCAGGTGACTTTCAGCAATTGTGGATGCTTAATTCTGTGTTAACACCTGGAGGCAACAGATTCAGGGAAACCAGAGTGTGTTTGATGACATGTTTTCAGCGAAGGCTGAATTACTCCTACTGTCATTGCTGTTGGTTTTCATTGCAGTAGATGTTTAGGTTTCCATTTCTTCCTCCCCTTATCATTTCCTAACGTACCATAGGTTGACCATACTTCAAAAGCTGTACTCTCATGGCCACTGCATCGAATTTTGAGCATATTTTATGTAAAACTATTGAGCTCACTCTTTTCATGATCACAGTTTGCTGTGTGTCATGAGGGCACTAACTCAGAGTGTCCTTTGACTCCCTTACCAGTATGTCACCTGGCCAATTCACTAGGTCACTTTCTCTCTGTCTCTGTCTCTGTCTCTGTCTGTCTTTCTCTTTCATTGTTTTCTACCTGGCCCTGTTCTGTCCCAACATAAAGGCAATAATTTGTTACCTCATTAATGGATCTGTCCTTTTTCTTTTCAAACTCTTCCTTACGTTAGCCATGAAATCTAGCTGGGGCTGTGTGGTTTCTGATTCCCCCTGGCTTATTCTTTACTTTTTCCCACTTTTCCAGGCTCAGCAGGGAGCTGCTGGATGAGAAAGGGCCTGAAGTCTTGCAGGACTCACTGGATAGATGTTATTCAACTCCTTCAGGTTGTCTTGAACTGACTGACTCATGCCAGCCCTACAGAAGTGCCTTTTATGTATTGGAGCAACAGCATGTTGGCTTGGCTGTTGACATGGATGGTGAGTACCTTTCTATGAAGGTGATAAGGATCCACTGAGTCTTCTGGTTAGGGTCATATTCCTACTGCAAGTGGCCCTTACTGAGCTGAGAGATGTCATTGCCACAGGGAGGAACTATAGGCACATGTAGGTTGAGTGAAACTCTAGTTCCACTTGGAAGCCCAGACAAGGGATGGGTCAGTGAGCAAGGCTCTCTTCCTAGTCTCAGGCCATGCCCGTGGCGCCCTAATCCTACTCTCAAGATGTTGGATCTGGGCAGATGTGACAAATTCACACAACTCTGATTTTGTCTCAATTTTGTAGATCTTGTCGATTTCATCCTTCACTCTAATTTCAGCGTCTCAAATCCTCACTACCATGAACAATCTGAGTATTTGATGAGACAGGGCTGAATAGTGCAGTTTTTCTCCTAGCAGCCATTTGGGGGCATTTGCTTTAAATCGATTGGAAAAATATGGCATAACCATTTGCACAAACTTGGGACAAATGATATTGGGATAACGATCTACCAGAATAGGGAATTTTACCCACAGTTTCTGGGACAAAAACCAAGGAATCTCTATGGTGATCAGCCTTCAGGCCTCCTGAAGACTATCTCTCACAGTGTCCTATTCTCATGCTGAGGAGCCTGAAGTCCCTGTGTGAGGATTAGACAGTGGATTGTTATGTGTGTAGGAGAACCAGCTTAATATGTCTGTCCATGTCTGAACTTATTGCAGAAATTGAAAAGTACCAAGAAGTGGAAGAAGACCAAGACCCATCATGCCCCAGGTAACTTTGAGCAATTATGGATGCTTAATTCTGTGTTGACACCTGGAGATGCCAGGTCCAGGGAAAACAAGAGTGTGTTCAATTTCATGTTTTCAACGAAGGTTGAATTACTCCTACTGACATTGCTGTTGGTTTTCATTGCAGTAGATGTTTAGGTTTCCATTTCTTCCTCCCCTTATCATTTACTCACTTACTATAGGTTGACCATACCTCAAAGGCTGTATGGCAACTGCATGGAATCTTGAGCAAGGTTATGGAAAATTATTGAGCCCACTCTTTTCATGATCACTGTTCGCTGTGTGTCCCGAGGGCACTAACTCAGAGTGTCCTTTGACCCCTTCATCAGTGTGTCACCCGGCCAATTCGCTGAGCTCACTTTCTCCTCTCTCTCTCTCTCCCTCTCCCTGTCTTTCTCTTTCATTCTTTTCTACCTGGCCCTGGTCTATCCCAACATAAAGGCAATAATTCATTACCTCATTAATGGATCTGTCCTTTTTCTTTTTAAACAGTTCCTTATGTTAGCCATGAAATCTAGCTGGGGCTGTGTGGTTTCTGATTCCCCCTGACTTATTCTTTACTTTTTCCTACTTTTCCAGGCTCAGCAGGGAGCTGCTGGATGAGAAAGAGCCTGAAGTCTTGCAGGACTCACTGGATAGATGTTATTCGACTCCTTCAGGTTATCTTGAACTGCCTGACTTAGGCCAGCCCTACAGCAGTGCTGTTTACTCATTGGAGGAACAGTACCTTGGCTTGGCTCTTGACGTGGACAGTGAGTACCTTACTGTGAAGGTGATAAGCCTCCACCTGGTCTTCCAGATAGGGGTGATATTCCTGTTCCAAGTGCCCCTTACTGACCCGAGAGACGTCATTGCCGCAGGCAGGACCTATGGGCGCATATAGGTTGTAATGAAACTGTAGTCTCAGTTGGAAGCCTAGACATGAAATGGGTCAGTGAGCAAGGCTCTATTCCTAGTCTCCAGCCATGCCTGTGGCAACCTGAGCCCGCTCTCAGCACATTGGACCCAGGCAGATGTAAAAAATTCACAGAAGTATGATTTGGACTGAAGGGTTTGTAGATTTCCTCCTTCATTCTAATTTCAGTGTCTAAAATTCTTGCATCCATGAACGAGCTGGGCATTTGATGAGACAGGGCTGAATACTTTAGTTTTCCTCCTGGAAATCATCTGGGGCATTTTCTTTGAACTGATGGGAACAATAAAGCATAACTGTTTGCACAAACTTGGGATAAATGATTTTGGGATAACGATGTACCAGAATGGGGATATTTCACCCTTGGTTCTGAGATGTAAACCAAAGAATATCATGACCAGCTTTCAGGCCTCCTGAAGTATATCTCTCACATTGTCCTGTTCTCATGCTGAGGAGCCTGAGATCCCTGTGTGGGGATTAGACAGTGGACTGTTATGGGTGTAGGTGAATTGGCTTATTTTGTCTGTCCCTGTCTGAATGTATTGCAGGAATTAAAAAGGACCAAGAAGAGGAAGAAGACCAAGGCCCACCATGCCCCAGGTAACTGAGCAATTGTGAACAGCTACTTCTGTGTTGACATCTGGAGACTCCTGGTTCAGGGAAAACAGTGCGGGCTGACATTATCGATTACATCTTTTCAACCAAGCCTGAATTATTCCTACTAACATTGCTGTTGGTTTTCATTGCAGTAGATATTTAGGTTTCCATTTCTTCCTCCCCTTATCATTTACTAACCTACTGTAGGTGGACCAGACTTCAAAAACTGTATTCTCATGGCGACTGCATGGAAACTTGAGCACATTTTATGGAAAATTATTGAGCACAGTCTTTTCATGATCCCTGTATGCTGTGTGTCCTGAGGGCACTAACTCAGAGTGTCCTGTTACTCCCTCATCAGTGTGTCACCTGGACAATTCACTGAGCTCGTTCTCTCTCTCTCTCTCTCTCTGTGTGTGTGTGTGTGTGTGTGTGTGTGTGTGTGTGTGTGTGTGTCTATCTGTCTTTCTCTTTCATTCTTTTCCATTTGGCCCTGTTCTGTCCCAACATGAAGGCAATAATTTGTTACCTCATTAATGGATCTATCCTTTTAGTTTTTTAACCACTTCCCTATGCTACCCATGAAACCTAGTTGGGGCTCTGTTGTGTCTGATTTCCCCTGGCTTATTCTTTACTTTTTCCTCCTTTTCCAGGCTCAGCAGGGAGCTGCTGGAGGTAGTAGAGCCTGAAGTCTTGCAGGACTCACTGGATAGATGTTATTCAACTCCTTCCAGTTGTCTTGAACAGCCTGACTCCTGCCAGCCCTATGGAAGTTCCTTTTATGCATTGGAGGAAAAACATGTTGGCTTTTCTCTTGACGTGGGAGGTGAGTACCTTTCTATGAAGGTGATAAGGATCCACTGAGTCTTCCATATAAAGATCATATTCCTGCTCCAAGTGGCCATTACTGAGCTGAGAGATGTCATTGCCACAGGGAGGACCTATAGGCACATGTAGGTTGAATGAAACTCTAGTTCTACCTGGAAGCCCAGACAAGGGATGGGTCAGTGAGCAAGACTCTCTTCCTAGTCTCAGGCCATACCTGTGGCGCCCTGATCCTATTCTCATGACATTGGACCTGGGCAGATGTGACAAATTCAGAGAACTATGATTTTGACTCAAGGGTTTGTAGATTTCCTTTTTCACTCTAATTTCAGTGTCTAAAGTCCTCACAACCATGAACAATCTGAGTATTTGATGAGACAGGGCTAAATATTGCAGTTTTTCTCCTAGAAATCATTTGAGGGTATTTGCTTTAAGTTGATTGGAAAAATATGGCGTAACTGTTTGCACAAACTTGGGACAAATGATATTGGGATAACGATCTACTAGAATAGGGACATTTTACCCACAGTTTCTGGGAGAAAAACCGAGGAATTTCTATCATGACCAGCCTTCAGGCCTCCTGAAATATATCTCTCACAGTGTCCTATTCTTATGCTGAGGAGCCTGAGGTCCCTGTGTGAGGATTAGACAGTGGATTGTTATGTGTGTAGGGGAATCAGCTTAATGTGTCTGTCCATGTCTGAATTTATTGCAGAAATTGAAAAGAAGGGGAAGGGGAAGAAAAGAAGGGGAAGAAGATCAAAGAAGGAAAGAAGAAGGGGAAGAAAAGAAGGGGAAGAAGATCAAAACCCACCATGCCCCAGGTGACTTTCAGCAATTGTGGATGCTTAATTCTGTGTTAACACCTGGAGGCAACAGATTCAGGGAAACCAGAGTGTGTTTGATGACATGTTTTCAGCGAAGGCTGAATTACTCCTACTGTCATTGCTGTTGGTTTTCATTGCAGTAGATGTTTAGGTTTCCATTTCTTCCTCCCCTTATCATTTCCTAACGTACCATAGGTTGACCATACTTCAAAAGCTGTACTCTCATGGCCACTGCATCGAATTTTGAGCATATTTTATGTAAAACTATTGAGCTCACTCTTTTCATGATCACAGTTTGCTGTGTGTCATGAGGGCACTAACTCAGAGTGTCCTTTGACTCCCTTACCAGTATGTCACCTGGCCAATTCACTAGGTCACTTTCTCTCTGTCTCTGTCTCTGTCTCTGTCTGTCTTTCTCTTTCATTGTTTTCTACCTGGCCCTGTTCTGTCCCAACATAAAGGCAATAATTTGTTACCTCATTAATGGATCTGTCCTTTTTCTTTTCAAACTCTTCCTTACGTTAGCCATGAAATCTAGCTGGGGCTGTGTGGTTTCTGATTCCCCCTGGCTTATTCTTTACTTTTTCCCACTTTTCCAGGCTCAGCAGGGAGCTGCTGGATGAGAAAGGGCCTGAAGTCTTGCAGGACTCACTGGATAGATGTTATTCAACTCCTTCAGGTTGTCTTGAACTGACTGACTCATGCCAGCCCTACAGAAGTGCCTTTTATGTATTGGAGCAACAGCATGTTGGCTTGGCTGTTGACATGGATGGTGAGTACCTTTCTATGAAGGTGATAAGGATCCACTGAGTCTTCTGGTTAGGGTCATATTCCTACTGCAAGTGGCCCTTACTGAGCTGAGAGATGTCATTGCCACAGGGAGGAACTATAGGCACATGTAGGTTGAGTGAAACTCTAGTTCCACTTGGAAGCCCAGACAAGGGATGGGTCAGTGAGCAAGGCTCTCTTCCTAGTCTCAGGCCATGCCCGTGGCGCCCTAATCCTACTCTCAAGATGTTGGATCTGGGCAGATGTGACAAATTCACACAACTCTGATTTTGTCTCAATTTTGTAGATCTTGTAGATTTCATCCTTCACTCTAATTTCAGCGTCTAAAATCCTCACTACCATGAACAATCTGAGTATTTGATGTGACAGGGCTGAATAGTGCAGTTTTTCTCCTAGCAGCCATTTGGGGGCATTTGCTTTAAATCGATTGGAAAAATATGGCATAACCATTTGCACAAACTTGGGACAAATGATATTGGGATAACGATCTACCAGAATAGGGAATTTTACCCACAGTTTCTGGGACAAAAACCAAGGAATCTCTATGGTGATCAGCCTTCAGGCCTCCTGAAGACTATCTCTCACAGTGTCCTATTCTCATGCTGAGGAGCCTGAAGTCCCTGTGTGAGGATTAGACAGTGGATTGTTATGTGTGTAGGAGAACCAGCTTAATATGTCTGTCCATGTCTGAACTTATTGCAGAAATTGAAAAGTACCAAGAAGTGGAAGAAGACCAAGACCCATCATGCCCCAGGTAACTTTGAGCAATTATGGATGCTTAATTCTGTGTTGACACCTGGAGATGCCAGGTCCAGGGAAAACAAGAGTGTGTTCAATTTCATATTTTCAACGAAGGTTGAATTACTCCTACTGACATTGCTGTTGGTTTTCATTGCAGTAGATGTTTAGGTTTCCATTTCTTCCTCCCCTTATCATTTACTCACTTACTATAGGTTGACCATACCTCAAAGGCTGTATGGCAACTGCATGGAATCTTGAGCAAGGTTATGGAAAATTATTGAGCCCACTCTTTTCATGATCACTGTTCGCTGTGTGTCCCGAGGGCACTAACTCAGAGTGTCCTTTGACCCCTTCATCAGTGTGTCACCCGGCCAATTCGCTGAGCTCACTTTCTCCTCTCTCTCTCTCTCCCTCTCCCTGTCTTTCTCTTTCATTCTTTTCTACCTGGCCCTGGTCTATCCCAACATAAAGGCAATAATTCATTACCTCATTAATGGATCTGTCCTTTTTCTTTTTAAACAGTTCCTTATGTTAGCCATGAAATCTAGCTGGGGCTGTGTGGTTTCTGATTCCCCCTGACTTATTCTTTACTTTTTCCTACTTTTCCAGGCTCAGCAGGGAGCTGCTGGATGAGAAAGAGCCTGAAGTCTTGCAGGACTCACTGGATAGATGTTATTCGACTCCTTCAGGTTATCTTGAACTGCCTGACTTAGGCCAGCCCTACAGCAGTGCTGTTTACTCATTGGAGGAACAGTACCTTGGCTTGGCTCTTGACGTGGACAGTGAGTACCTTACTGTGAAGGTGATAAGCCTCCACCTGGTCTTCCAGATAGGGGTGATATTCCTGTTCCAAGTGCCCCTTACTGACCCGAGAGACGTCATTGCCGCAGGCAGGACCTATGGGCGCATATAGGTTGTAATGAAACTGTAGTCTCAGTTGGAAGCCTAGACATGAAATGGGTCAGTGAGCAAGGCTCTATTCCTAGTCTCCAGCCATGCCTGTGGCAACCTGAGCCCGCTCTCAGCACATTGGACCCAGGCAGATGTAAAAAATTCACAGAAGTATGATTTGGACTCAAGGGTTTGTAGATTTCCTCCTTCATTCTAATTTCAGTGTCTAAAATTCTTGCATCCATGAACGAGCTGGGCATTTGATGAGACAGGGCTGAATACTTTAGTTTTCCTCCTGGAAATCATCTGGGGCATTTTCTTTGAACTGATGGGAACAATAAAGCATAACTGTTTGCACAAACTTGGGATAAATGATTTTGGGATAACGATGTACCAGAATGGGGATATTTCACCCTTGGTTCTGAGATGTAAACCAAAGAATATCATGAGCAGCTTTCAGGCCTCCTGAAGTATATCTCTCACATTGTCCTGTTCTCATGCTGAGGAGCCTGAGATCCCTGTGTGGGGATTAGACAGTGGACTGTTATGGGTGTAGGTGAATTGGCTTATTTTGTCTGTCCCTGTCTGAATGTATTGCAGGAATTAAAAAGGACCAAGAAGAGGAAGAAGACCAAGACCCACCATGCCCCAGGTAACTGAGCAATTGTGAACAGCTACTTCTGTGTTGACATCTGGAGACTCCTGGTTCAGGGAAAACAGTGCGGGCTGACATTATCGATTACATCTTTTCAACCAAGCCTGAATTATTCCTACTAACATTGCTGTTGGTTTTCATTGCAGTAGATATTTAGGTTTCCATTTCTTCCTCCCCTTATCATTTACTAACCTACTGTAGGTGGACCAGACTTCAAAAACTGTATTCTCATGGCGACTGCATGGAAACTTGAGCACATTTTATGGAAAATTATTGAGCACAGTCTTTTCATGATCCCTGTATGCTGTGTGTCCTGAGGGCACTAACTCAGAGTGTCCTGTTACTCCCTCATCAGTGCGTCACCTGGACAATTCACTGAGCTCGTTCTCTCTCTCTCTCTCTGTGTGTGTGTGTGTGTGTGTGTGTGTGTGTGTGTGTGTGTGTGTCTATCTGTCTTTCTCTTTCATTCTTTTCCATTTGGCCCTGTTCTGTCCCAACATGAAGGCAATAATTTGTTACCTCATTAATGGATCTATCCTTTTAGTTTTTTAACCACTTCCCTATGCTACCCATGAAACCTAGTTGGGGCTCTGTTGTGTCTGATTTCCCCTGGCTTATTCTTTACTTTTTCCTCCTTTTCCAGGCTCAGCAGGGAGCTGCTGGAGGTAGTAGAGCCTGAAGTCTTGCAGGACTCACTGGATAGATGTTATTCAACTCCTTCCAGTTGTCTTGAACAGCCTGACTCCTGCCAGCCCTATGGAAGTTCCTTTTATGCATTGGAGGAAAAACATGTTGGCTTTTCTCTTGACGTGGGAGGTGAGTACCTTTCTATGAAGGTGATAAGGATCCACTGAGTCTTCCATATAAAGATCATATTCCTGCTCCAAGTGGCCATTACTGAGCTGAGAGATGTCATTGCCACAGGGAGGACCTATAGGCACATGTAGGTTGAATGAAACTCTAGTTCTACCTGGAAGCCCAGACAAGGGATGGGTCAGTGAGCAAGACTCTCTTCCTAGTCTCAGGCCATACCTGTGGCGCCCTGATCCTATTCTCATGACATTGGACCTGGGCAGATGTGACAAATTCAGAGAACTATGATTTTGACTCAAGGGTTTGTAGATTTCCTTTTTCACTCTAATTTCAGTGTCTAAAGTCCTCACAACCATGAACAATCTGAGTATTTGATGAGACAGGGCTAAATATTGCAGTTTTTCTCCTAGAAATCATTTGAGGGTATTTGCTTTAAGTTGATTGGAAAAATATGGCGTAACTGTTTGCACAAACTTGGGACAAATGATATTGGGATAACGATCTACTAGAATAGGGACATTTTACCCACAGTTTCTGGGAGAAAAACCGAGGAATTTCTATCATGACCAGCCTTCAGGCCTCCTGAAATATATCTCTCACAGTGTCCTATTCTTATGCTGAGGAGCCTGAGGTCCCTGTGTGAGGATTAGACAGTGGATTGTTATGTGTGTAGGGGAATCAGCTTAATGTGTCTGTCCATGTCTGAATTTATTGCAGAAATTGAAAAGAAGGGGAAGGGGAAGAAAAGAAGGGGAAGAAGATCAAAGAAGGAAAGAAGAAGGGGAAGAAAAGAAGGGGAAGAAGATCAAAACCCACCATGCCCCAGGTGACTTTCAGCAATTGTGGATGCTTAATTCTGTGTTAACACCTGGAGGCAACAGATTCAGGGAAACCAGAGTGTGTTTGATGACATGTTTTCAGCGAAGGCTGAATTACTCCTACTGTCATTGCTGTTGGTTTTCATTGCAGTAGATGTTTAGGTTTCCATTTCTTCCTCCCCTTATCATTTCCTAACGTACCATAGGTTGACCATACTTCAAAAGCTGTACTCTCATGGCCACTGCATCGAATTTTGAGCATATTTTATGGAAAACTATTGAGCTCACTCTTTTCATGATCACAGTTTGCTGTGTGTCATGAGGGCACTAACTCAGAGTGTCCTTTGACTCCCTTACCAGTATGTCACCTGGCCAATTCACTAGGTCACTTTCTCTCTGTCTCTGTCTCTGTCTCTGTCTGTCTTTCTCTTTCATTGTTTTCTACCTGGCCCTGTTCTGTCCCAACATAAAGGCAATAATTTGTTACCTCATTAATGGATCTGTCCTTTTTCTTTTCAAACTCTTCCTTACGTTAGCCATGAAATCTAGCTGGGGCTGTGTGGTTTCTGATTCCCCCTGGCTTATTCTTTACTTTTTCCCACTTTTCCAGGCTCAGCAGGGAGCTGCTGGATGAGAAAGGGCCTGAAGTCTTGCAGGACTCACTGGATAGATGTTATTCAACTCCTTCAGGTTGTCTTGAACTGACTGACTCATGCCAGCCCTACAGAAGTGCCTTTTATGTATTGGAGCAACAGCATGTTGGCTTGGCTGTTGACATGGATGGTGAGTACCTTTCTATGAAGGTGATAAGGATCCACTGAGTCTTCTGGTTAGGGTCATATTCCTACTGCAAGTGGCCCTTACTGAGCTGAGAGATGTCATTGCCACAGGGAGGAACTATAGGCACATGTAGGTTGAGTGAAACTCTAGTTCCACTTGGAAGCCCAGACAAGGGATGGGTCAGTGAGCAAGGCTCTCTTCCTAGTCTCAGGCCATGCCCGTGGCGCCCTAATCCTACTCTCAAGATGTTGGATCTGGGCAGATGTGACAAATTCACACAACTCTGATTTTGTCTCAATTTTGTAGATCTTGTCGATTTCATCCTTCACTCTAATTTCAGCGTCTCAAATCCTCACTACCATGAACAATCTGAGTATTTGATGAGACAGGGCTGAATAGTGCAGTTTTTCTCCTAGCAGCCATTTGGGGGCATTTGCTTTAAATCGATTGGAAAAATATGGCATAACCATTTCCACAAACTTGGGACAAATGATATTGGGATAACGATCTACCAGAATAGGGAATTTTACCCACAGTTTCTGGGACAAAAACCAAGGAATCTCTATGGTGATCAGCCTTCAGGCCTCCTGAAGACTATCTCTCACAGTGTCCTATTCTCATGCTGAGGAGCCTGAAGTCCCTGTGTGAGGATTAGACAGTGGATTGTTATGTGTGTAGGAGAACCAGCTTAATATGTCTGTCCATGTCTGAACTTATTGCAGAAATTGAAAAGTACCAAGAAGTGGAAGAAGACCAAGACCCATCATGCCCCAGGTAACTTTGAGCAATTATGGATGCTTAATTCTGTGTTGACACCTGGAGATGCCAGGTCCAGGGAAAACAAGAGTGTGTTCAATTTCATGTTTTCAACGAAGGTTGAATTACTCCTACTGACATTGCTGTTGGTTTTCATTGCAGTAGATGTTTAGGTTTCCATTTCTTCCTCCCCTTATCATTTACTCACTTACTATAGGTTGACCATACCTCAAAGGCTGTATGGCAACTGCATGGAATCTTGAGCAAGTTTATGGAAAATTATTGAGCCCACTCTTTTCATGATCACTGTTCGCTGTGTGTCCCGAGGGCACTAACTCAGAGTGTCCTTTGACCCCTTCATCAGTGTGTCACCCGGCCAATTCGCTGAGCTCACTTTCTCCTCTCTCTCTCTCTCCTTCTCCCTGTCTTTCTCTTTCATTCTTTTCTACCTGGCCCTGGTCTATCCCAACATAAAGGCAATAATTCATTACCTCATTAATGGATCTGTCCTTTTTCTTTTTAAACAGTTCCTTATGTTAGCCATGAAATCTAGCTGGGGCTGTGTGGTTTCTGATTCCCCCTGACTTATTCTTTACTTTTTCCTACTTTTCCAGGCTCAGCAGGGAGCTGCTGGATGAGAAAGAGCCTGAAGTCTTGCAGGACTCACTGGATAGATGTTATTCGACTCCTTCAGGTTATCTTGAACTGCCTGACTTAGGCCAGCCCTACAGCAGTGCTGTTTACTCATTGGAGGAACAGTACCTTGGCTTGGCTCTTGACGTGGACAGTGAGTACCTTACTGTGAAGGTGATAAGCCTCCACCTGGTCTTCCAGATAGGGGTGATATTCCTGTTCCAAGTGCCCCTTACTGACCCGAGAGACGTCATTGCCGCAGGCAGGACCTATGGGCGCATATAGGTTGTAATGAAACTGTAGTCTCAGTTGGAAGCCTAGACATGAAATGGGTCAGTGAGCAAGGCTCTATTCCTAGTCTCCAGCCATGCCTGTGGCAACCTGAGCCCGCTCTCAGCACATTGGACCCAGGCAGATGTAAAAAATTCACAGAAGTATGATTTGGACTGAAGGTTTGTAGATTTCCTCCTTCATTCTAATTTCAGTGTCTAAAATTCTTGCATCCATGAACGAGCTGGGCATTTGATGAGACAGGGCTGAATACTTTAGTTTTCCTCCTGGAAATCATCTGGGGCATTTTCTTTGAACTGATGTGAACAATAAAGCATAACTGTTTGCACAAACTTGGGATAAATGATTTTGGGATAACGATGTACCAGAATGGGGATATTTCACCCTTGGTTCTGAGATGTAAACCAAAGAATATCATGACCAGCTTTCAGGCCTCCTGAAGTATATCTCTCACATTGTCCTGTTCTCATGCTGAGGAGCCTGAGATCCCTGTGTGGGGATTAGACAGTGGACTGTTATGGGTGTAGGTGAATTGGCTTATTTTGTCTGTCCCTGTCTGAATGTATTGCAGGAATTAAAAAGGACCAAGAAGAGGAAGAAGACCAAGGCCCACCATGCCCCAGGTAACTGAGCAATTGTGAACAGCTACTTCTGTGTTGACATCTGGAGACTCCTGGTTCAGGGAAAACAGTGCGGGCTGACATTATCGATTACATCTTTTCAACCAAGCCTGAATTATTCCTACTAACATTGCTGTTGGTTTTCATTGCAGTAGATATTTAGGTTTCCATTTCTTCCTCCCCTTATCATTTACTATCCTACTGTAGGTGGACCAGACTTCAAAAACTATTCTCATGGCGACTGCATGGAAACTTGAGCACGTTTTATGGAAAATTATTGAGCACAGTCTTTTCATGATCCCTGTATGCTGTGTGTCCTGAGGGCACTAACTCAGAGTGTCCTGTTACTCCCTCATCAGTGTGTCACCTGGACAATTCACTGAGCTCGTTCTCTCTCTCTCTCTCTGTGTGTGTGTGTGTGTGTGTGTGTGTGTGTGTGTGTGTGTGTGTGTGTGTCTATCTGTCTTTCTCTTTCATTCTTTTCCATTTGGCCCTGTTCTGTCCCAACATGAAGGCAATAATTTGTTACCTCATTAATGGATCTATCCTTTTAGTTTTTTAACCACTTCCCTATGCTACCCATGAAACCTAGTTGGGGCTCTGTTGTGTCTGATTTCCCCTGGCTTATTCTTTACTTTTTCCTCCTTTTCCAGGCTCAGCAGGGAGCTGCTGGAGGTAGTAGAGCCTGAAGTCTTGCAGGACTCACTGGATAGATGTTATTCAACTCCTTCCAGTTGTCTTGAACAGCCTGACTCCTGCCAGCCCTATGGAAGTTCCTTTTATGCATTGGAGGAAAAACATGTTGGCTTTTCTCTTGACGTGGGAGGTGAGTACCTTTCTATGAAGGTGATAAGGATCCACTGAGTCTTCCATATAAAGATCATATTCCTGCTCCAAGTGGCCATTACTGAGCTGAGAGATGTCATTGCCACAGGGAGGACCTATAGGCACATGTAGGTTGAATGAAACTCTAGTTCTACCTGGAAGCCCAGACAAGGGATGGGTCAGTGAGCAAGACTCTCTTCCTAGTCTCAGGCCATACCTGTGGCGCCCTGATCCTATTCTCATGACATTGGACCTGGGCAGATGTGACAAATTCAGAGAACTATGATTTTGACTCAAGGGTTTGTAGATTTCCTTTTTCACTCTAATTTCAGTGTCTAAAGTCCTCACAACCATGAACAATCTGAGTATTTGATGAGACAGGGCTAAATATTGCAGTTTTTCTCCTAGAAATCATTTGAGGGTATTTGCTTTAAGTTGATTGGAAAAATATGGCGTAACTGTTTGCACAAACTTGGGACAAATGATATTGGGATAACGATCTACTAGAATAGGGACATTTTACCCACAGTTTCTGGGAGAAAAACCGAGGAATTTCTATCATGACCAGCCTTCAGGCCTCCTGAAATATATCTCTCACAGTGTCCTATTCTTATGCTGAGGAGCCTGAGGTCCCTGTGTGAGGATTAGACAGTGGATTGTTATGTGTGTAGGGGAATCAGCTTAATGTGTCTGTCCATGTCTGAATTTATTGCAGAAATTGAAAAGAAGGGGAAGGGGAAGAAAAGAAGGGGAAGAAGATCAAAGAAGGAAAGAAGAAGGGGAAGAAAAGAAGGGGAAGAAGATCAAAACCCACCATGCCCCAGGTGACTTTCAGCAATTGTGGATGCTTAATTCTGTGTTAACACCTGGAGGCAACAGATTCAGGGAAACCAGAGTGTGTTTGATGACATGTTTTCAGCGAAGGCTGAATTACTCCTACTGTCATTGCTGTTGGTTTTCATTGCAGTAGATGTTTAGGTTTCCATTTCTTCCTCCCCTTATCATTTCCTAACGTACCATAGGTTGACCATACTTCAAAAGCTGTACTCTCATGGCCACTGCATCGAATTTTGAGCGTATTTTATGGAAAACTATTGAGCTCACTCTTTTCATGATCACAGTTTGCTGTGTGTCATGAGGGCACTAACTCAGAGTGTCCTTTGACTCCCTTACCAGTATGTCACCTGGCCAATTCACTAGGTCACTTTCTCTCTGTCTCTGTCTCTGTCTCTGTCTCTGTCTGTCTTTCTCTTTCATTGTTTTCTACCTGGCCCTGTTCTGTCCCAACATAAAGGCAATAATTTGTTACCTCATTAATGGATCTGTCCTTTTTCTTTTCAAACTCTTCCTTACGTTAGCCATGAAATCTAGCTGGGGCTGTGTGGTTTCTGATTCCCCCTGGCTTATTCTTTACTTTTTCCCACTTTTCCAGGCTCAGCAGGGAGCTGCTGGATGAGAAAGGGCCTGAAGTCTTGCAGGACTCACTGGATAGATGTTATTCAACTCCTTCAGGTTGTCTTGAACTGACTGACTCATGCCAGCCCTACAGAAGTGCCTTTTATGTATTGGAGCAACAGCATGTTGGCTTGGCTGTTGACATGGATGGTGAGTACCTTTCTATGAAGGTGATAAGGATCCACTGAGTCTTCTGGTTAGGGTCATATTCCTACTGCAAGTGGCCCTTACTGAGCTGAGAGATGTCATTGCCACAGGGAGGAACTATAGGCACATGTAGGTTGAGTGAAACTCTAGTTCCACTTGGAAGCCCAGACAAGGGATGGGTCAGTGAGCAAGGCTCTCTTCCTAGTCTCAGGCCATGCCCGTGGCGCCCTAATCCTACTCTCAAGATGTTGGATCTGGGCAGATGTGACAAATTCACACAACTCTGATTTTGTCTCAATTTTGTAGATCTTGTCGATTTCATCCTTCACTCTAATTTCAGCGTCTAAAATCCTCACTACCATGAACAATCTGAGTATTTGATGAGACAGGGCTGAATAGTGCAGTTTTTCTCCTAGCAGCCATTTGGGGGCATTTGCTTTAAATCGATTGGAAAAATATGGCATAACCATTTGCACAAACTTGGGACAAATGATATTGGGAAAACGATCTACCAGAATAGGGAATTTTACCCACAGTTTCTGGGACAAAAACCAAGGAATCTCTATGGTGATCAGCCTTCAGGCCTCCTGAAGACTATCTCTCACAGTGTCCTATTCTCATGCTGAGGAGCCTGAAGTCCCTGTGTGAGGATTAGACAGTGGATTGTTATGTGTGTAGGAGAACCAGCTTAATATGTCTGTCCATGTCTGAACTTATTGCAGAAATTGAAAAGTACCAAGAAGTGGAAGAAGACCAAGACCCATCATGCCCCAGGTAACTTTGAGCAATTATGGATGCTTAATTCTGTGTTGACACCTGGAGATGCCAGGTCCAGGGAAAACAAGAGTGTGTTCAATTTCATGTTTTCAACGAAGGTTGAATTACTCCTACTGACATTGCTGTTGGTTTTCATTGCAGTAGATGTTTAGGTTTCCATTTCTTCCTCCCCTTATCATTTACTCACTTACTATAGGTTGACCATACCTCAAAGGCTGTATGGCAACTGCATGGAATCTTGAGCAAGTTTATGGAAAATTATTGAGCCCACTCTTTTCATGATCACTGTTCGCTGTGTGTCCCGAGGGCACTAACTCAGAGTGTCCTTTGACCCCTTCATCAGTGTGTCACCCGGCCAATTCGCTGAGCTCACTTTCTCCTCTCTCTCTCTCTCCCTCTCCCTGTCTTTCTCTTTCATTCTTTTCTACCTGGCCCTGGTCTATCCCAACATAAAGGCAATAATTCATTACCTCATTAATGGATCTGTCCTTTTTCTTTTTAAACAGTTCCTTATGTTAGCCATGAAATCTAGCTGGGGCTGTGTGGTTTCTGATTCCCCCTGACTTATTCTTTACTTTTTCCTACTTTTCCAGGCTCAGCAGGGAGCTGCTGGATGAGAAAGAGCCTGAAGTCTTGCAGGACTCACTGGATAGATGTTATTCGACTCCTTCAGGTTATCTTGAACTGCCTGACTTAGGCCAGCCCTACAGCAGTGCTGTTTACTCATTGGAGGAACAGTACCTTGGCTTGGCTCTTGACGTGGACAGTGAGTACCTTACTGTGAAGGTGATAAGCCTCCACCTGGTCTTCCAGATAGGGGTGATATTCCTGTTCCAAGTGCCCCTTACTGACCCGAGAGACGTCATTGCCGCAGGCAGGACCTATGGGCGCATATAGGTTGTAATGAAACTGTAGTCTCAGTTGGAAGCCTAGACATGAAATGGGTCAGTGAGCAAGGCTCTATTCCTAGTCTCCAGCCATGCCTGTGGCAACCTGAGCCCGCTCTCAGCACATTGGACCCAGGCAGATGTAAAAAATTCACAGAAGTATGATTTGGACTCAAGGGTTTGTAGATTTCCTCCTTCATTCTAATTTCAGTGTCTAAAATTCTTGCATCCATGAACGAGCTGGGCATTTGATGAGACAGGGCTGAATACTTTAGTTTTCCTCCTGGAAATCATCTGGGGCATTTTCTTTGAACTGATGGGAACAATAAAGCATAACTGTTTGCACAAACTTGGGATAAATGATTTTGGGATAACGATGTACCAGAATGGGGATATTTCACCCTTGGTTCTGAGATGTAAACCAAAGAATATCATGACCAGCTTTCAGGCCTCCTGAAGTATATCTCTCACATTGTCCTGTTCTCATGCTGAGGAGCCTGAGATCCCTGTGTGGGGATTAGACAGTGGACTGTTATGGGTGTAGGTGAATTGGCTTATTTTGTCTGTCCCTGTCTGAATGTATTGCAGGAATTAAAAAGGACCAAGAAGAGGAAGAAGACCAAGGCCCACCATGCCCCAGGTAACTGAGCAATTGTGAACAGCTACTTCTGTGTTGACATCTGGAGACTCCTGGTTCAGGGAAAACAGTGCGGGCTGACATTATCGATTACATCTTTTCAACCAAGCCTGAATTATTCCTACTAACATTGCTGTTGGTTTTCATTGCAGTAGATATTTAGGTTTCCATTTCTTCCTCCCCTTATCATTTACTAACCTACTGTAGGTGGACCAGACTTCAAAAACTGTATTCTCATGGCGACTGCATGGAAACTTGAGCACATTTTATGGAAAATTATTGAGCACAGTCTTTTCATGATCCCTGTATGCTGTGTGTCCTGAGGGCACTAACTCAGAGTGTCCTGTTACTCCCTCATCAGTGTGTCACCTGGACAATTCACTGAGCTCGTTCTCTCTCTCTCTCTCTGTGTGTGTGTGTGTGTGTGTGTGTGTGTGTGTGTGTGTGTGTGTGTGTGTGTGTGTCTATCTGTCTTTCTCTTTCATTCTTTTCCATTTGGCCCTGTTCTGTCCCAACATGAAGGCAATAATTTGTTACCTCATTAATGGATCTATCCTTTTAGTTTTTTAACCACTTCCCTATGCTACCCATGAAACCTAGTTGGGGCTCTGTTGTGTCTGATTTCCCCTGGCTTATTCTTTACTTTTTCCTCCTTTTCCAGGCTCAGCAGGGAGCTGCTGGAGGTAGTAGAGCCTGAAGTCTTGCAGGACTCACTGGATAGATGTTATTCAACTCCTTCCAGTTGTCTTGAACAGCCTGACTCCTGCCAGCCCTATGGAAGTTCCTTTTATGCATTGGAGGAAAAACATGTTGGCTTTTCTCTTGACGTGGGAGGTGAGTACCTTTCTATGAAGGTGATAAGGATCCACTGAGTCTTCCATATAAAGATCATATTCCTGCTCCAAGTGGCCATTACTGAGCTGAGAGATGTCATTGCCACAGGGAGGACCTATAGGCACATGTAGGTTGAATGAAACTCTAGTTCTACCTGGAAGCCCAGACAAGGGATGGGTCAGTGAGCAAGACTCTCTTCCTAGTCTCAGGCCATACCTGTGGCGCCCTGATCCTATTCTCATGACATTGGACCTGGGCAGATGTGACAAATTCAGAGAACTATGATTTTGACTCAAGGGTTTGTAGATTTCCTTTTTCACTCTAATTTCAGTGTCTAAAGTCCTCACAACCATGAACAATCTGAGTATTTGATGAGACAGGGCTAAATATTGCAGTTTTTCTCCTAGAAATCATTTGAGGGTATTTGCTTTAAGTTGATTGGAAAAATATGGCGTAACTGTTTGCACAAACTTGGGACAAATGATATTGGGATAACGATCTACTAGAATAGGGACATTTTACCCACAGTTTCTGGGAGAAAAACCGAGGAATTTCTATCATGACCAGCCTTCAGGCCTCCTGAAATATATCTCTCACAGTGTCCTATTCTTATGCTGAGGAGCCTGAGGTCCCTGTGTGAGGATTAGACAGTGGATTGTTATGTGTGTAGGGGAATCAGCTTAATGTGTCTGTCCATGTCTGAATTTATTGCAGAAATTGAAAAGAAGGGGAAGGGGAAGAAAAGAAGGGGAAGAAGATCAAAGAAGGAAAGAAGAAGGGGAAGAAAAGAAGGGGAAGAAGATCAAAACCCACCATGCCCCAGGTGACTTTCAGCAATTGTGGATGCTTAATTCTGTGTTAACACCTGGAGGCAACAGATTCAGGGAAACCAGAGTGTGTTTGATGACATGTTTTCAGCGAAGGCTGAATTACTCCTACTGTCATTGCTGTTGGTTTTCATTGCAGTAGATGTTTAGGTTTCCATTTCTTCCTCCCCTTATCATTTCCTAACGTACCATAGGTTGACCATACTTCAAAAGCTGTACTCTCATGGCCACTGCATCGAATTTTGAGCATATTTTATGTAAAACTATTGAGCTCACTCTTTTCATGATCACAGTTTGCTGTGTGTCATGAGGGCACTAACTCAGAGTGTCCTTTGACTCCCTTACCAGTATGTCACCTGGCCAATTCACTAGGTCACTTTCTCTCTGTCTCTGTCTCTGTCTCTGTCTGTCTTTCTCTTTCATTGTTTTCTACCTGGCCCTGTTCTGTCCCAACATAAAGGCAATAATTTGTTACCTCATTAATGGATCTGTCCTTTTTCTTTTCAAACTCTTCCTTACGTTAGCCATGAAATCTAGCTGGGGCTGTGTGGTTTCTGATTCCCCCTGGCTTATTCTTTACTTTTTCCCACTTTTCCAGGCTCAGCAGGGAGCTGCTGGATGAGAAAGGGCCTGAAGTCTTGCAGGACTCACTGGATAGATGTTATTCAACTCCTTCAGGTTGTCTTGAACTGACTGACTCATGCCAGCCCTACAGAAGTGCCTTTTATGTATTGGAGCAACAGCATGTTGGCTTGGCTGTTGACATGGATGGTGAGTACCTTTCTATGAAGGTGATAAGGATCCACTGAGTCTTCTGGTTAGGGTCATATTCCTACTGCAAGTGGCCCTTACTGAGCTGAGAGATGTCATTGCCACAGGGAGGAACTATAGGCACATGTAGGTTGAGTGAAACTCTAGTTCCACTTGGAAGCCCAGACAAGGGATGGGTCAGTGAGCAAGGCTCTCTTCCTAGTCTCAGGCCATGCCCGTGGCGCCCTAATCCTACTCTCAAGATGTTGGATCTGGGCAGATGTGACAAATTCACACAACTCTGATTTTGTCTCAATTTTGTAGATCTTGTCGATTTCATCCTTCACTCTAATTTCAGCGTCTCAAATCCTCACTACCATGAACAATCTGAGTATTTGATGAGACAGGGCTGAATAGTGCAGTTTTTCTCCTAGCAGCCATTTGGGGGCATTTGCTTTAAATCGATTGGAAAAATATGGCATAACCATTTGCACAAACTTGGGACAAATGATATTGGGATAACGATCTACCAGAATAGGGAATTTTACCCACAGTTTCTGGGACAAAAACCAAGGAATCTCTATGGTGATCAGCCTTCAGGCCTCCTGAAGACTATCTCTCACAGTGTCCTATTCTCATGCTGAGGAGCCTGAAGTCCCTGTGTGAGGATTAGACAGTGGATTGTTATGTGTGTAGGAGAACCAGCTTAATATGTCTGTCCATGTCTGAACTTATTGCAGAAATTGAAAAGTACCAAGAAGTGGAAGAAGACCAAGACCCATCATGCCCCAGGTAACTTTGAGCAATTATGGATGCTTAATTCTGTGTTGACACCTGGAGATGCCAGGTCCAGGGAAAACAAGAGTGTGTTCAATTTCATGTTTTCAACGAAGGTTGAATTACTCCTACTGACATTGCTGTTGGTTTTCATTGCAGTAGATGTTTAGGTTTCCATTTCTTCCTCCCCTTATCATTTACTCACTTACTATAGGTTGACCATACCTCAAAGGCTGTATGGCAACTGCATGGAATCTTGAGCAAGGTTATGGAAAATTATTGAGCCCACTCTTTTCATGATCACTGTTCGCTGTGTGTCCCGAGGGCACTAACTCAGAGTGTCCTTTGACCCCTTCATCAGTGTGTCACCCGGCCAATTCGCTGAGCTCACTTTCTCCTCTCTCTCTCTCTCCCTCTCCCTGTCTTTCTCTTTCATTCTTTTCTACCTGGCCCTGGTCTATCCCAACATAAAGGCAATAATTCATTACCTCATTAATGGATCTGTCCTTTTTCTTTTTAAACAGTTCCTTATGTTAGCCATGAAATCTAGCTGGGGCTGTGTGGTTTCTGATTCCCCCTGACTTATTCTTTACTTTTTCCTACTTTTCCAGGCTCAGCAGGGAGCTGCTGGATGAGAAAGAGCCTGAAGTCTTGCAGGACTCACTGGATAGATGTTATTCGACTCCTTCAGGTTATCTTGAACTGCCTGACTTAGGCCAGCCCTACAGCAGTGCTGTTTACTCATTGGAGGAACAGTACCTTGGCTTGGCTCTTGACGTGGACAGTGAGTACCTTACTGTGAAGGTGATAAGCCTCCACCTGGTCTTCCAGATAGGGGTGATATTCCTGTTCCAAGTGCCCCTTACTGACCCGAGAGACGTCATTGCCGCAGGCAGGACCTATGGGCGCATATAGGTTGTAATGAAACTGTAGTCTCAGTTGGAAGCCTAGACATGAAATGGGTCAGTGAGCAAGGCTCTATTCCTAGTCTCCAGCCATGCCTGTGGCAACCTGAGCCCGCTCTCAGCACATTGGACCCAGGCAGATGTAAAAAATTCACAGAAGTATGATTTGGACTGAAGGGTTTGTAGATTTCCTCCTTCATTCTAATTTCAGTGTCTAAAATTCTTGCATCCATGAACGAGCTGGGCATTTGATGAGACAGGGCTGAATACTTTAGTTTTCCTCCTGGAAATCATCTGGGGCATTTTCTTTGAACTGATGGGAACAATAAAGCATAACTGTTTGCACAAACTTGGGATAAATGATTTTGGGATAACGATCTACCAGAATGGGGATATTTCACCCTTGGTTCTGAGATGCAAACCAAAGAATATCATGACCAGCTTTCAGGCCTCCTGAAGTATATCTCTCACATTGTCCTGTTCTCATGCTGAGGAGCCTGAGATCCCTGTGTGGGGATTAGACAGTGGACTGTTATGGGTGTAGGTGAATTGGCTTATTTTGTCTGTCCCTGTCTGAATGTATTGCAGGAATTAAAAAGGACGAAGAAGAGGAAGAAGACCAAGACCCACCATGCCCCAGGTAACTGAGCAATTGTGAACAGCTACTTCTGTGTTGACATCTGGAGACTCCTGGTTCAGGGAAAACAGTGCGGGCTGACATTATCGATTACATCTTTTCAACCAAGCCTGAATTATTCCTACTAACATTGCTGTTGGTTTTCATTGCAGTAGATATTTAGGTTTCCATTTCTTCCTCCCCTTATCATTTACTAACCTACTGTAGGTGGACCAGACTTCAAAAACTGTATTCTCATGGCGACTGCATGGAAACTTGAGCACATTTTATGGAAAATTATTGAGCACAGTCTTTTCATGATCCCTGTATGCTGTGTGTCCTGAGGGCACTAACTCAGAGTGTCCTGTTACTCCCTCATCAGTGTGTCACCTGGACAATTCACTGAGCTCGTTCTCTCTCTCTCTCTGTGTGTGTGTGTGTGTGTGTGTGTGTGTGTGTGTGTGTGTGTGTGTGTGTGTGTGTGTGTGTGTCTATCTGTCTTTCTCTTTCATTCTTTTCCATTTGGCCCTGTTCTGTCCCAACATGAAGGCAATAATTTGTTACCTCATTAATGGATCTATCCTTTTAGTTTTTTAACCACTTCCCTATGCTACCCATGAAACCTAGTTGGGGCTCTGTTGTGTCTGATTTCCCCTGGCTTATTCTTTACTTTTTCCTCCTTTTCCAGGCTCAGCAGGGAGCTGCTGGAGGTAGTAGAGCCTGAAGTCTTGCAGGACTCACTGGATAGATGTTATTCAACTCCTTCCAGTTGTCTTGAACAGCCTGACTCCTGCCAGCCCTATGGAAGTTCCTTTTATGCATTGGAGGAAAAACATGTTGGCTTTTCTCTTGACGTGGGAGGTGAGTACCTTTCTATGAAGGTGATAAGGATCCACTGAGTCTTCCATATAAAGATCATATTCCTGCTCCAAGTGGCCATTACTGAGCTGAGAGATGTCATTGCCACAGGGAGGACCTATAGGCACATGTAGGTTGAATGAAACTCTAGTTCTACCTGGAAGCCCAGACAAGGGATGGGTCAGTGAGCAAGACTCTCTTCCTAGTCTCAGGCCATACCTGTGGCGCCCTGATCCTATTCTCATGACATTGGGCCTGGGCAGATGTGACAAATTCAGAGAACTATGATTTTGACTCAAGGGTTTGTAGATTTCCTTTTTCACTCTAATTTCAGTGTCTAAAGTCCTCACAACCATGAACAATCTGAGTATTTGATGAGACAGGGCTAAATATTGCAGTTTTTCTCCTAGAAATCATTTGAGGGTATTTGCTTTAAGTTGATTGGAAAAATATGGCATAACTGTTTGCACAAACTTGGGACAAATGATATTGGGATAACGATCTACTAGAATAGGGACATTTTACCCACAGTTTCTGGGAGAAAAACCGAGGAATTTCTATCATGACCAGCCTTCAGGCCTCCTGAAATATATCTCTCACAGTGTCCTATTCTTATGCTGAGGAGCCTGAGGTCCCTGTGTGAGGATTAGACAGTGGATTGTTATGTGTGTAGGGGAATCAGCTTAATGTGTCTGTCCATGTCTGAATTTATTGCAGAAATTGAAAAGAAGGGGAAGGGGAAGAAAAGAAGGGGAAGAAGATCAAAGAAGGAAAGAAGAAGGGGAAGAAAAGAAGGGGAAGAAGATCAAAACCCACCATGCCCCAGGTGACTTTCAGCAATTGTGGATGCTTAATTCTGTGTTAACACCTGGAGACAACAGATTCAGGGAAACCAGAGTGTGTTTGATGACATGTTTTCAGCGAAGGCTGAATTACTCCTACTGTCATTGCTGTTGGTTTTCATTGCAGTAGATGTTTAGGTTTCCATTTCTTCCTCCCCTTATCATTTCCTAACGTACCATAGGTTGACCATACTTCAAAAGCTGTACTCTCATGGCCACTGCATCGAATTTTGAGCGTATTTTATGGAAAACTATTGAGCTCACTCTTTTCATGATCACAGTTTGCTGTGTGTCATGAGGGCACTAACTCAGAGTGTCCTTTGACTCCCTTACCAGTATGTCACCTGGCCAATTCACTAGGTCACTTTCTCTCTGTCTCTGTCTCTGTCTCTGTCTGTCTTTCTCTTTCATTGTTTTCTACCTGGCCCTGTTCTGTCCCAACATAAAGGCAATAATTTGTTACCTCATTAATGGATCTGTCCTTTTTCTTTTCAAACTCTTCCTTACGTTAGCCATGAAATCTAGCTGGGGCTGTGTGGTTTCTGATTCCCCCTGGCTTATTCTTTACTTTTTCCCACTTTTCCAGGCTCAGCAGGGAGCTGCTGGATGAGAAAGGGCCTGAAGTCTTGCAGGACTCACTGGATAGATGTTATTCAACTCCTTCAGGTTATCTTGAACTGACTGACTCATGCCAGCCCTACAGAAGTGCCTTTTATGTATTGGAGCAACAGCATGTTGGCTTGGCTGTTGACATGGATGGTGAGTACCTTTCTATGAAGGTGATAAGGATCCACTGAGTCTTCTGGTTAGGGTCATATTCCTACTGCAAGTGGCCCTTACTGAGCTGAGAGATGTCATTGCCACAGGGAGGAACTATAGGCACATGTAGGTTGAGTGAAACTCTAGTTCCACTTGGAAGCCCAGACAAGGGATGGGTCAGTGAGCAAGGCTCTCTTCCTAGTCTCAGGCCATGCCCGTGGCGCCCTAATCCTACTCTCAAGATGTTGGATCTGGGCAGATGTGACAAATTCACACAACTCTGATTTTGTCTCAATTTTGTAGATCTTGGAGATTTCATCCTTCACTCTAATTTCAGCGTCTCAAATCCTCACTACCATGAACAATCTGAGTATTTGATGAGACAGGGCTGAATAGTGCAGTTTTTCTCCTAGCAACCATTTGGGGGCATTTGCTTTAAATCGATTGGAAAAATATGGCATAACCATTTGCACAAACTTGGGACAAATGATATTGGGATAACGATCTACCAGAATAGGGAATTTTACCCACAGTTTCTGGGACAAAAACCAAGGAATCTCTATGGTGATCAGCCTTCAGGCCTCCTGAAGACTATCTCTCACAGTGTCCTATTCTCATGCTGAGGAGCCTGAAGTCCCTGTGTGAGGATTAGACAGTGGATTGTTATGTGTGTAGGAGAACCAGCTTAATATGTCTGTCCATGTCTGAACTTATTGCAGAAATTGAAAAGTACCAAGAAGTGGAAGAAGACCAAGACCCATCATGCCCCAGGTAACTTTGAGCAATTATGGATGCTTAATTCTGTGTTGACACCTGGAGATGCCAGGTCCAGGGAAAACAAGAGTGTGTTCAATTTCATGTTTTCAACGAAGGTTGAATTACTCCTACTGACATTGCTGTTGGTTTTCATTGCAGTAGATGTTTAGGTTTCCATTTCTTCCTCCCCTTATCATTTACTCACTTACTATAGGTTGACCATACCTCAAAGGCTGTATGGCAACTGCATGGAATCTTGAGCAAGTTTATGGAAAATTATTGAGCCCACTCTTTTCATGATCACTGTTCGCTGTGTGTCCCGAGGGCACTAACTCAGAGTGTCCTTTGACCCCTTCATCAGTGTGTCACCCGGCCAATTCGCTGAGCTCACTTTCTCCTCCCTCTCTCTCTCTCCCTCTCCCTGTCTTTCTCTTTCATTCTTTTCTACCTGGCCCTGGTCTATCCCAACATAAAGGCAATAATTCATTACCTCATTAATGGATCTGTCCTTTTTCTTTTTAAACAGTTCCTTATGTTAGCCATGAAATCTAGCTGGGGCTGTGTGGTTTCTGATTCCCCCTGACTTATTCTTTACTTTTTCCTACTTTTCCAGGCTCAGCAGGGAGCTGCTGGATGAGAAAGAGCCTGAAGTCTTGCAGGACTCACTGGATAGATGTTATTCGACTCCTTCAGGTTATCTTGAACTGCCTGACTTAGGCCAGCCCTACAGCAGTGCTGTTTACTCATTGGAGGAACAGTACCTTGGCTTGGCTCTTGACGTGGACAGTGAGTACCTTACTGTGAAGGTGATAAGCCTCCACCTGGTCTTCCAGATAGGGGTGATATTCCTGTTCCAAGTGCCCCTTACTGACCCGAGAGACGTCATTGCCGCAGGCAGGACCTATGGGCGCATATAGGTTGTAATGAAACTGTAGTCTCAGTTGGAAGCCTAGACATGAAATGGGTCAGTGAGCAAGGCTCTATTCCTAGTCTCCAGCCATGCCTGTGGCAACCTGAGCCCGCTCTCAGCACATTGGACCCAGGCAGATGTAAAAAATTCACAGAAGTATGATTTGGACTCAAGGGTTTGTAGATTTCCTCCTTCATTCTAATTTCAGTGTCTAAAATTCTTGCATCCATGAACGAGCTGGGCATTTGATGAGACAGGGCTGAATACTTTAGTTTTCCTCCTGGAAATCATCTGGGGCATTTTCTTTGAACTGATGGGAACAATAAAGCATAACTGTTTGCACAAACTTGGGATAAATGATTTTGGGATAACGATCTACCAGAATGGGGATATTTCACCCTTGGTTCTGAGATGTAAACCAAAGAATATCATGACCAGCTTTCAGGCCTCCTGAAGTATATCTCTCACATTGTCCTGTTCTCATGCTGAGGAGCCTGAGATCCCTGTGTGGGGATTAGACAGTGGACTGTTATGGGTGTAGGTGAATTGGCTTATTTTGTCTGTCCCTGTCTGAATGTATTGCAGGAATTAAAAAGGACCAAGAAGAGGAAGAAGACCAAGGCCCACCATGCCCCAGGTAACTGAGCAATTGTGAACAGCTACTTCTGTGTTGACATCTGGAGACTCCTGGTTCAGGGAAAACAGAGCGGGCTGACATTATCGATTACATCTTTTCAACCAAGCCTGAATTATTCCTACTAACATTGCTGTTGGTTTTCATTGCAGTAGATATTTAGGTTTCCATTTCTTCCTCCCCTTATCATTTACTAACCTACTGTAGGTGGACCAGACTTCAAAAACTGTATTCTCATGGCGACTGCATGGAAACTTGAGCACATTTTATGGAAAATTATTGAGCACAGTCTTTTCATGATCCCTGTATGCTGTGTGTCCTGAGGGCACTAACTCAGAGTGTCCTGTTACTCCCTCATCAGTGTGTCACCTGGACAATTCACTGAGCTCGTTCTCTCTCTCTCTCTCTGTGTGTGTGTGTGTGTTTGTGTGTGTGTGTGTGTGTGTGTGTGTGTCTATCTGTCTTTCTCTTTCATTCTTTTCCATTTGGCCCTGTTCTGTCCCAACATGAAGGCAATAATTTGTTACCTCATTAATGGATCTATCCTTTTAGTTTTTTAACCACTTCCCTATGCTACCCATGAAACCTAGTTGGGGCTCTGTTGTGTCTGATTTCCCCTGGCTTATTCTTTACTTTTTCCTCCTTTTCCAGGCTCAGCAGGGAGCTGCTGGAGGTAGTAGAGCCTGAAGTCTTGCAGGACTCACTGGATAGATGTTATTCAACTCCTTCCAGTTGTCTTGAACAGCCTGACTCCTGCCAGCCCTATGGAAGTTCCTTTTATGCATTGGAGGAAAAACATGTTGGCTTTTCTCTTGACGTGGGAGGTGAGTACCTTTCTATGAAGGTGATAAGGATCCACTGAGTCTTCCATATAAAGATCATATTCCTGCTCCAAGTGGCCATTACTGAGCTGAGAGATGTCATTGCCACAGGGAGGACCTATAGGCACATGTAGGTTGAATGAAACTCTAGTTCTACCTGGAAGCCCAGACAAGGGATGGGTCAGTGAGCAAGACTCTCTTCCTAGTCTCAGGCCATACCTGTGGCGCCCTGATCCTATTCTCATGACATTGGACCTGGGCAGATGTGACAAATTCAGAGAACTATGATTTTGACTCAAGGGTTTGTAGATTTCCTTTTTCACTCTAATTTCAGTGTCTAAAGTCCTCACAACCATGAACAATCTGAGTATTTGATGAGACAGGGCTAAATATTGCAGTTTTTCTCCTAGAAATCATTTGAGGGTATTTGCTTTAAGTTGATTGGAAAAATATGGCGTAACTGTTTGCACAAACTTGGGACAAATGATATTGGGATAACGATCTACTAGAATAGGGACATTTTACCCACAGTTTCTGGGAGAAAAACCGAGGAATTTCTATCATGACCAGCCTTCAGGCCTCCTGAAATATATCTCTCACAGTGTCCTATTCTTATGCTGAGGAGCCTGAGGTCCCTGTGTGAGGATTAGACAGTGGATTGTTATGTGTGTAGGGGAATCAGCTTAATGTGTCTGTCCATGTCTGAATTTATTGCAGAAATTGAAAAGAAGGGGAAGGGGAAGAAAAGAAGGGGAAGAAGATCAAAGAAGGAAAGAAGAAGGGGAAGAAAAGAAGGGGAAGAAGATCAAAACCCACCATGCCCCAGGTGACTTTCAGCAATTGTGGATGCTTAATTCTGTGTTAACACCTGGAGGCAACAGATTCAGGGAAACCAGAGTGTGTTTGATGACATGTTTTCAACGAAGGCTGAATTACTCCTACTGTCATTGCTGTTGGTTTTCATTGCAGTAGATGTTTAGGTTTCCATTTCTTCCTCCCCTTATCATTTCCTAACGTACCATAGGTTGACCATACTTCAAAAGCTGTACTCTCATGGCCACTGCATCGAATTTTGAGCATATTTTATGTAAAACTATTGAGCTCACTCTTTTCATGATCACAGTTTGCTGTGTGTCATGAGGGCACTAACTCAGAGTGTCCTTTGACTCCCTTACCAGTATGTCACCTGGCCAATTCACTAGGTCACTTTCTCTCTGTCTCTGTCTCTGTCTCTGTCTCTGTCTGTCTTTCTCTTTCATTGTTTTCTACCTGGCCCTGTTCTGTCCCATCATAAAGGCAATAATTTGTTACCTCATTAATGGATCTGTCCTTTTTCTTTTCAAACTCTTCCTTACGTTAGCCATGAAATCTAGCTGGGGCTGTGTGGTTTCTGATTCCCCCTGGCTTATTCTTTACTTTTTCCCACTTTTCCAGGCTCAGCAGGGAGCTGCTGGATGAGAAAGGGCCTGAAGTCTTGCAGGACTCACTGGATAGATGTTATTCAACTCCTTCAGGTTGTCTTGAACTGTGTGACTCATGCCAGCCCTACAGAAGTGCCTTTTATGTATTGGAGCAACAGCGTGTTGGCTTGGCTGTTGACATGGATGGTGAGTACCTTTCTATGAAGGTGATAAGGATCCACTGAGTCTTCTGGTTAGGGTCATATTCCTACTGCAAGTGGCCCTTACTGAGCTGAGAGATGTCATTGCCACAGGGAGGACCTATAGGCATATGTAGGTTGAATGAAACTCTAGTTCCACTTGGAAGCCCAGACAAGGGATGGGTCAGTGAGCAAGGCTCTCTTCCTAGTCTCAGGCCATGCCTGTGGCGCCCTAATCCTACTCTCAAGATGTTGGATCTGGGCAGATGTGACAAATTCACACAACTCTGATTTTGTCTCAATTTTGTAGATCTTGTAGATTTCATCCTTCACTCTAATTTCAGCGTCTACAATCCTCGCTACCATGAACAATCTGAGTATTTGATGAGACAGGGCTGAATAGTGCAGTTTTTCTCCTAGCAGCCATTTGGGGGCATTTGCTTTAAATCGATTGGAAAAATATGGCATAACCATTTGCACAAACTTGGGACAAATGATATTGGGATAACGATCTACCAGAATAGGGAATTTTACCCACAGTTTCTGGGACAAAAACCAAGGAATCTCTATGGTGATCAGCCTTCAGGCCTCCTGAAGACTATCTCTCACAGTGTCCTATTCTCATGCTGAGGAGCCTGAAGTCCCTGTGTGAGGATTAGACAGTGGATTGTTATGTGTGTAGGAGAACCAGCTTAATATGTCTGTCCATGTCTGAACTTATTGCAGAAATTGAAAAGTACCAAGAAGTGGAAGAAGACCAAGACCCATCATGCCCCAGGTAACTTTGAGCAATTATGGATGCTTAATTCTGTGTTGACACCTGGAGATGCCAGGTCCAGGGAAAACAAGAGTGTGTTCAATTTCATGTTTTCAGCGAAGGTTGAATTACTCCTACTGACATTGCTGTTGGTTTTCATTGCAGTAGATGTTTAGGTTTCCATTTCTTCCTCCCCTTATCATTTACTCACTTACTATAGGTTGACCATACGTCAAAGGCTGTATGGCAACTGCATGGAATCTTGAGCAAGTTTATGGAAAATTATTGAGCCCACTCTTTTCATGATCACTGTTCGCTGTGTGTCCCGAGGGCACTAACTCAGAGTGTCCTTTGACCCCTTCATCAGTGTGTCACCCGGCCAATTCGCTGATCTCACTTTCTCCTCTCTCTCTCTCTCCCTCTCCCTGTCTTTCTCTTTCATTCTTTTCTACCTGGCCCTGGTCTATCCCAACATAAAGGCAATAATTCATTACCTCATTAACGGATCTGTCCTTTTTCTTTTTAAACAGTTCCTTATGTTAGCCATGAAATCTAGCTGGGGCTGTGTGGTTTCTGATTCCCCCTGGCTTATTCTTTACTTTTTCCTACTTTTCCAGGCTCAGCAGGGAGCTGCTGGATGAGAAAGAGCCTGAAGTCTTGCAGGACTCACTGGATAGATGTTATTCGACTCCTTCAGGTTATCTTGAACTGCCTGACTTAGGCCAGCCCTACAGCAGTGCTGTTTACTCATTGGAGGAACAGTACCTTGGCTTGGCTCTTGACGTGGACAGTGAGTACCTTACTGTGAAGGTGATAAGCCTCCACCTGGTCTTCCAGATAGGGGTGATATTCCTATTCCAAGTGGCCCTTGCTGACCCGAGAGACGTCATTGCCGCAGGCAGGACCTATGGGCGCATATAGGTTGTAATGAAACTGTAGTCTCAGCTGGAAGCCTAGACATGAAATGGTTCAGTGAGCAAGACTCTCTTCCTAGTCTCAGGCCATACCTGTGGCGCCCTGATCCTATTCTCATGACATTGGACCTGGGCAGATGTGACAAATTCAGAGAACTGTGATTTTGACTCAAGGGTTTGTAGATTTCCTTTTTCACTCTAATTTCAGTGTCTGGAGTCCTCACTACCATGAACAATCTGAGTATTTGATGAGACAGGGCTAAATATTGCAGTTTTTCTCCTAGAAATCATTGAGGGTATTTGCTTTACGTTGATTGGAAAAATATGGCGTAACTGTTTGCACAAACTTGGGACAAATGATATTGGGATAACGATCTACTAGAATAGGGACATTTTACCCACAGTTTCTGGGAGAAAAACCGAGGAATTTCTATCATGACCAGCCTTCAGGCCTCCTGAAATATATCTCTCACAGTGTCCTATTCTTATGCTGAGGAGCCTGAGGTCCCTGTGTGAGGATTAGACAGTGGATTTTTATGTGTGTAGGGGAATCAGCTTAATGTGTCTGTCCATGTCTGAATTTATTGCAGAAATTGAAAAGAAGGGGAAGGGGAAAAAAAGAAGGGGAAGAAGATCAAAGAAGGAAAGAAGAAGGGGAAGAAAAGAAGGGGAAGAAGATCAAAACCCACCATGCCCCAGGTGACTTTCAGCAATTGTGGATCCTTAGTTCTGTGTTAACACCTGGAGGCAACAGATTCAGGGAAACCAGAGTGTGTTTGATGACATGTTTTCAACGAAGGCTGAATTACTCCTACTGTCATTGCTGTTGGTTTTCATTGCAGTAGATGTTTAGGTTTCCATTTCTTCCTCCCCTTATCATTTCCTAACGTACCATAGGTTGACCATACTTCAAAAGCTGTACTCTCATGGCCACTGCATCGAATTTTGAGCATATTTTATGGAAAACTATTGAGCTCACTCTTTTCATGATCACTGTTTGCTGTGTGTCATGAGGGCACTAAGTCAGAGTGTCCTTTGACTCCCTTACCAGTATGTCACCTGGCCAATTCACTAGGTCACTTTCTCTCTGTCTCTGTCTCTGTCTCTGTCTCTCTCTCTCTGTCTTTCTCTTTCATTGTTTTCTACCTGGCCCTGTTCTATCCCAACATAAAGGCAATAAATTTTTTTTTTACCTCATTAATGGTTCTATCCTTTTTCTTTTCTAACCACTTCCTTATGTTGCTTCTGAAATCTAGCTGGGGCTCTGTGGTGTCTGATTTTCCCTGGCTGCTTCTTTAGTTTTGTCTCCTTTTCCAGGCTCAACGGCGTGCTGATGGAAGTGGAAGAGCGTGAAGTCTTACAGGACTCACTGGATAGATGTTATTCGACTCCGTCAATGTACTTTGAACTACCTGACTCATTCCAGCACTACAGAAGTGTGTTTTACTCATTTGAGGAACAGCACATCAGCTTCGCCCTTTACGTGGACAATAGGTTTTTTACTTTGACGGTGACAAGTCTCCACCTGGTGTTCCAGATGGGAGTCATATTCCCACAATAAGCAGCCCTTAGTAATCCGAGAGATGTCATTCCTGCAGGCAGGACCTATAGGCAAGTGAAGATTTGAATGAAAGTACAGTTCCATTTGGAAGCCCAGACATAGGATGGGTCAGTGGGCATGGCTCTATTCCTATTCTCAAACCATGCCAGTGGCAACCTGTGCGCAGTCTGAAGACAATGGACCCACGTTAGGTGTGACACGTTCACATAACTGTGCAGCACATGCCGGGAGTGATCAGTCAGACATTTTAATTTGAACCACGTATCTCTGGGTAGCTACAAAATTCCTCAGGGATTTCATTTTGCAGGCATGTCTCTGAGCTTCTATACCTGCTCAAGGTCATTGTCATCTTTGTGTTTAGCTCATCCAAAGGTGTTACCCTGGTTTCAATGAACCTAACCTCATTCTTTGTGTCTTCAGTGTTGGCTTGTTTTAGCTGATCCATCTGTAACACAGGAGGGATCCTTGGCTGAGGATTGTATTTCAGAACCACCAACTGCTCTTGACAATTGTTAACCCGCTAGACTCCTTTGGTTAGAGAAGCCACAGTCCTTCAGCCTCCAATTGGTGTCAGTACTTAGGAAGACCACAGCTAGATGGACAAACAGCATTGGGAGGCCTTAGCCCTGCTCCTCTCAATTCCATCCTGTAGAGAACAGGAGTCAGGAGCCGCTGGCAGGAGACAGCATGTCACCCAGGACTCTGCCGGTGCAGAATATGAACAATGCCATGTTCTTGCAGAAAACGCTTAGCCTGAGTTTCATAGGAGGTAATCACCAGACAACTGCAGAATGTAGAACACTGAGCAGGACAACTGACCTGTCTCCTTCACATAGTCCATATCACCACAAATCACACAACAAAAAGGAGAAGAAATATTTTGGGTTCAAAAAAAGTAAAAAGATAATGTAGCTGCATTTCTTTAGTTATTTTGAACCCCAAATATTTCCTCATCTTTTTGTTGTTGTCATGGATGGTGGTGACATGGACTTGTTTATAGAAGACAGGTCAGCTGTCTGGCTCAATGATCTACATTCTGAAGTTGTCTGAAAATGTCTTCATGATTAAATTCAGCCTAAACGTTTTGCCAGGAACACTGCAGAGACAATGCTGTGAGTTTCCAACCTCAGCCCATCTGCGGGCAGAGAAGGTCTAGTTTGTCCATCACCATTATGATATCAGGACTGGTTACTTGGTTAAGGAGGGGTCTAGGAGATCTGTCCCTTTTAGAGACACCTTACTTACAATGAAGTACTTGGGAAAGTGGTTTTCAAGAGTATAAATATCCTGTATTCTAATGATCATCCTCTAAACATTTTATCATTTATTAATCCTCCCTGCCTGTGTCTATTATTATATTCATATCTCTACACTGCAAATTTGGGGTCTCAATTTTTACTGTGCCTTTGTTTTTACTAGTGTCTGCTGTTGCAAAAAGAAGACATTCTCTGCCTGAGTTTTAATTTTTGTCCAAAGTTAATTTTAATCTATACAATTAAAACCTTTTGCCTATCACTCTGGACTTTTGGATTGTTTTTTACATTCAGTGTTATAATATTTGATTATGGTGATTGGTTTTGGTGGGTACTGATGCGAATTAATAAAAACATTTCATTTCCATGTTTATTTTCTAATCTCTTCCACATTGTAGGCTATGTTTACCATATGTAGCAGAATGTATTTACATTTCTTGGTTCTAGTCATTTGTATTCTTCGTGAGTGTGAGTGTGTGTGTGTGTGTGTCTGTGTGTGTGTCTGTGTGTGCCTTTGGCATTTAGGAAGGGTTGTATAGCTCATGTTAAATATTGCACTAAAAATGTTTTTGATGGTTTTCCTCCCTTTGGACTAGACACACTTCTAATATTTGGTTTATAGTTTTAAATTATAACTTTCAGCATCAAATATTTCCATACAACAGTCAATTACATGATGTGTTTTCTTTTTCCTACCTCCTTTACCTGCCACTTCTCATAATAGTATTTGAACCTAAACATATACCGGTGACATTCTGTGATTATCATCTTGCCCCTACCTTGGTTTTTGGTTTAGATCCACATTGAAATATATTAACGCTCATGAGCTATTCAAAAGTGAATGTCACAGTCGTCACTTGCTGAGTGGTACTCATCCTTAACAGAGTCCTCATGAGGGAATCAGGTCTCGCTGAGTTTAGCATGTTTAATAATCTTTTCTCACGGTCTCGATACATGGATCGCATTACTAGATATAAGGTGCTTGCCCAAAATGATTTTTCTGGAGTTTTTAGGAGATATTGTCTTCCTTGGGGGACATACATGGTGTATGTTCTCATTGTGGGATTCTATTTTGTTCTACCAGGACCTCTAATTTCTGCCAGTTACTTCATTCATTTGTTCTCTTCACCATGAGTCTCCAGAGGATACTTCCATGGTCCGTGCCTCCCCATCTCCCAGCAATTCTGCATTTCCAAGATTGGCACCTCTGGTCCTCTGCACGGTGAAGCCCCTTCCTTTCAATTCCCCAGTAGCCAGTGCTCTAATCCACCAGGTCTCAGGCATGATCTATGTTTCTCCACACTCGCTTTCTGAGGAGAGTTTTGCCTGGGTTCTATCATGAACAGGCCCTCCCTGCTGTCCTGGCCTCTATTTGCATAGTGTTTCCTGCTCCCTCTGCCGTCGTGTGGCTCCCAGACCTGGCTAAAGAAAATCACCTGAGGGCCACAGTGTTCCCTAGCCCTGGTGTTTAGGGCAGGATTATGGGTGAGATTTTTGAGTCTCTAAGTTGACCCCTACAGCTCTGAAGTGTATGTTGAGAAATTCAGCTGTTATCATCCTAGGTGGACTTGCTCCCTCCTATCCTCCTACTTCAAATGCAGAACTTCAATCGTTTACAAAAGAAGACTGAATCGTATAATAGAACACACCCTTATTCATTGGCTGGCTTCACCAATCTCATGGCTGAACTTGTAAAAATACAATCTTAGCCACATACCTATGAAATGTATATGTGTGTATATATATATACATGAATTTGCTTCTGAGATTATGGAGGCTGAAATTCCCAAGATGGAAGGAAAGCTGGATACCCAGGAAAGCATTTGTTTCCCATTAGGCCTCTTAATTCTCTCCTGGCCCTTGATTGATTGCATGAGGCCCACCCCTATTAAGGAGGGCAATCTGCTTCACTTAGTCTGCCCATCCCAATGTTAATCGTATCTGAAAGACTCTCTGGAACACAACCAGAATCATGTTTGGCCAAATGTCCTGGCACCCTGGTGCTCGGTCACAGTGACAAGTACAAGTAACTATCACACATGCCCTTTGTCATATTGGTGATTTCCACTGTTTTTCTCCCAAACTGCAGCTTATATTTGTTCTCTTAATACTGTTGAGCAAAAACTTTTAATTTTTATAAAGTCGAATTTATCAATGTTTTCTTTAATGGTTTGTGTTTATTGATAATAAAGAACACTTTGCCTAACTCTGTGTCATGAAGATTTTGTCTTATATTTTCTGCTATACTTTTTCTAGTTTTATAGTTTATATTTAGTTGCATAATCCATTTTGAGTTAGTTTTTGAGTTAGTATTGAGGTTCAGGTGAATTTTTTTCCTTTGGGGATAAAAAAAAACAAATTGTGTAAAAAAAAGTTGTTTCTAAACAATTTGTTGACAAGAGAATGCCTTCTCCACTGAATCATATTTGCACCTTTGTCAATCCATTGGGTGGTTGAGACTGGTGAGAGGACTGTCCTGGTGTTTGGACAGAGAGACAGGGCATGAAGTAGGGTGGTTCTTATGGGAAAAATTAAGGAAGACACATTTTTCCATGAGGAATAGGAAATCCCCAAGCACAATTGGTGGTACCCTCTACCAGCATGTTGTAGCACATTCATCTCTGCTCTACCTGTCCTGCTGCAAAAGCTTGGGTGTGCATAGACACTGAGGTTGAGTGGTGTCTTTGGGCATTTTGAGCATTGACACCAAAGTTCCAGCATCAAATCTTAGAATATCAAGCAGCCAGATGGATCACCTGAGGTCAGGAGTTCACGACCAGCCTGACTAACATGGTGAAACCCCATCTCTACTAAATACAAAAAAATTAGCCAGGCATGATGGTGCATGCCTGTAATCTGAGCTACTTGGGAGGCTGAGACAGGAGAATCGCTTGTGTACCTGGGAGGTGGAGGTTGCAGTGAGCTGAGATCACACCATTGCACTCCAGCCTGGGCAACGAGAGCAAAACTCTATCCCCCCGCAAAAAAAATAAATAAAAATAAAAGAATATCAAGCAGCCAAAGAAGCAGGAAAACATGACACATAATGAAGAATCTAATAATCTAGTTGAAATTGACAGACATGTTGGAAATAGAAGAAAAGGACATTACAGCAGTTAGTATAATTGTATTTTAATTAAATGGGGAGGTTGAAGATTTTTTAAATATCAAATTCTGTAGATAAAAAGTATGATTTACAGTCTGAAATGGAAGAAGGCAGTGGATTAAACATTGCAGAAGAGAAGATTATTGAACTAGAAGGAATAGAAGTTGAAACTAACATAAATGAAACACACAGTAACAAATGACTTGAAAACATAAAAACACCATCGGCATCAAAACTTTAAACGCCCCAGTATAGGGCTAAATGGAATCCCTGAAGGGCGTGTAGTGGAGAAGAGAGACAAAGATATTTAAAACATACTGGATGAAAGATTTAGAAGCTCCATGGAAACCATAAACTTCAAATATTACAGAAATATGATTATTCTAAGAACAAGAAACATGAAGAAAACTTCACCAAGGAACGCCTTAATCAAATCCATCAAAACCAGTGATAAAAAGGAAATCCTAAAAGGAATAAAAAGGGAAAGAACATGTTACATACAGAGCACTAAATATAAGGATGGCATAAGATTTCACATACAAACAAGAAGTTTGCAATAAAGAACTTAAAAAAAGAAAAACTGTCACCTACAATTCTACACCTGGCCAAATTATCTTTTAAAAATAAACATGAGAAAAAGTATTTTTGAACAGAAAACAAAATGATCTCAATTTGCAGATGGTGTGATCCTATGCATAGAAAATCCCAAATAATACCTACAGATGCAAACACACATACATGCACACAGAGGCCAGACACACACACACACACACACACTCACATACACACACTACTAGAGTTAATAAGTGAATTCAGCAAACTTTCAGTAAACAATCAGTTGTGTTAGCAATGAACAATCTGAGAAGAAAATTGACACAATGATTTCATTTATAATAGCACTTGTAAGAATAATATGCCTGGGAATAAATTTGTTCAAGAAGGTGCCGTACTTGTACACAGACAACTACAGAACATTGCTCGAGGAGATTCAGGAAGACCTAAATCAATGGACAGACATCTTGTGTCCATGGGTTGGAAGTTGTAACATGGTTAAGATAAAAATACAACTCAAAGCAACCCACAGATTCAATACAATCCTATCAAGAAGTGGCCTTTTTTACAGGAATGCCTAAGAAGAACTTCATATTCCTAAAAAATAGTGTGTCCCCCCAAAACAAAAGCAATCTTGAAATGCAAGAAGAAACATTTTCTATTCCAAAGGTCTTTAACTGCTCTAAGCAGTACTTGGTAGTCTTCAATATATAGGCTTTCATATCTCTTTTTTTCTTCTTTTGTTTCTGCACAGGATCTCACTCTTTCACCCAGGCTGGAGTACAGTGGCACAATCACAGCTCACTGCAGCATGGAATTCTCAGGCCTATGACATCCTAGGGCCTCATCCACTGATTCCTGGGACTACAGGCTCACACCACCAAACCCGGGTAATTTTTCTGATTTTCAGTAGAGATGAGGGCTCACTATGTTGCCTAGGCTAATTTCAAGCTTCTGAGATCAAGCAACCCTCCTGCCACAGCCTTCCAAAGTGCTGGGATTCGAAGCCAAGCCTGGCTGGCTTTCATGTCTTTTCTATGTAGTTTATGTTTCTGGATGCCATTGAGAGTCTGGCTGGCTTTCACATATTTGCTATGTCGTTTATATTTCTTGATGTTATTGTAAATGTTTATTAAAGGAATCTTTTAAAAACTTTGTTTTGGCCAGGCGCGGTGGTCCACGCCTGTAATCCTAGCACTTTGGGAGGCCGAGGTGGGTGGATCATGAGGTCAGAAGATCGAGACCATCCTGGCTAACATGGTGAAACCCCATCTCTACTAAAAATACAAAAAAAAAAAAAAATTAGCCTGGCGTGGTGGCGGGCGCCTGTAGTCCCAGGTACTTGGGAGGCTGAGGCAGGAGAATGGCGTGAACCTGGGAGGTGGAGCTTGCAGTGAGCCAAGATGGTGCCACTGCACTCCAGCCTGGGAGACAGAGTGAGACTCCATCTCAAAAAAAAAAATTGTATTAAAATTATATATTTAAGGAATTACATATATATTTATATATATATAATACATATCCTTAAACTATATATATTTAAGGAATACAACCTGAGGACTACATATACATATACATAATGAACTAATGCCTACTAGGTGAGGGGCTGCCTTGTGAGCAAACCCAAGGTCCCTGGCTTATGAAGCCTTTGTCTAGAAGGAGGGAGGGATCAGCAAGGTGGGCACGCAGCAGGTTCTGTCTTTGGTGTGGGCATCTGCCCACTCGGGTCTCTGGCAATACTAACCAGGCTTCACGATGGGTGAGGTGAGCTAGGAATGGGAAAGTGGATGACTTCAGATCCAGAGACTGCAGTTGTCACCTGGGGACCTGGCGTAGGCGTGGAGGAGTCTCCCACTGACTTGGCCCTGGGTCAATGCCCAAACATGCACAAGGACGGGACTCTCGGCCTCAATGCTTTAGGAGCCCCCAGTCTTCTAAAGAGGGTTTGTGGTGGGGAACAATGTTCAACAAAACAGAAGAGTTATGGGTGCTCTAGCTTGGCAACGGAGAATACTTCCTTGTGCTACTAAATGCCAATATTTGACAATTACGGATGACACAATTGAGCAACAGCATTCACTGTTTAACAAGCAGTGTCTCTGGAACACTGGGTTAGTGCTGTCAGATGTTGACTGAAAAGTCAGTGGTTTGAGCCCATCCAGTCATATTAATGTTTCTAGCTGACGTGACCTTCCATCTGAAGAGTCTCTTCCTTGGACCAAATATCTCTTAAAGCTTCTCTTCTTCTTGTCTCTTGTCTATTTTCTAAGGTGCCTCTTTGTTGCTTGGGGCAAAAAAAGTCCATTTTTAATCCACACCCAACAAACATCTACCCTTACGTATCCGGTTTTTAGGGTTTTGAGTTTGTTGTTTGTTTTCTCAGCTTCTCATATTTGGAATACTGGAAATTCCTAAAGTGGAGAATGACAGAACGTGAATCACAGCTATGGTGAAGCCACAGGCTCTGGATGAAAAACCTAATCTGCCAGGGTTTGAAGTTAAACACATTAATCTTCTGTGCCTCCATTTCTATCTGTCCAATGGGATAAATCAGAACACTTAGGTTGTCCAGTGTTTAAATGAGCAGTGCAGGAAAAGCATGGAGCCAA
Organism: Homo sapiens; assembly: GCF_000001405.40. Lineage (NCBI taxonomy): Eukaryota > Metazoa > Chordata > Mammalia > Primates > Hominidae > Homo > Homo sapiens. The sequence continues at coordinate 146,058,797 of NC_000001.11, read as the reverse complement.
TGCCTGTCACGTAGTAATTGGTCCACACGCATGAGCTCCTATCAGCGCCATGGTCTCCAGCATTTCCATCAGGTTTTGATCTTTGAAATGTCCTTCTTGATATGAATGGATCATTCCTCAAACATTCTCTAACCGATGGCCATGAAATTGCTCCAATGTGTATTATTACAAATACAACTGCAGGGACCAGACTGACACATGTATCTGTCGTGCATCACTTGTCTATTTCTCTGTAGACACCTGGAGATGGAATTGTCAGACCAAAGTATTTATACATGTTTGATTTTGCTAATTTCTGTCTAAATTACTGTGAAAAGAAGATATAACAGGTCATACCTTTAACATTTTTTGAGAATTCTTTTTTCTCCATCTTCTGGCCAAAACTGGGAAGTACTTGCCTACCATTTCCTCTGAACTCACTTTTGCCAACATTTGTGTAGTCATACAGTGGGATCACATTGTATGCAAGACATCAAACTCAAATCCTTAAATGAAAGCGATTAACATGACTGTGTAAAAATTTATCTTCAAAATACAATGAATACATATATACACATACTTATATGGGAAAGGAATTATTTTATTTGGATACTTTATCAAAGTTATATATATTTGAAAATTTGTTTAGTAAAATAGCAGTCCCCTTGTGTACTCCCAGAGTTTCATCACATAGAAGCAATTATTTCGTTATTTATCTCCTTATGTCTAAATAGATATTATTACTTTTTGATTTTCAAGTTTAGGCACTACCTCTCCTTCACATACTTGCTCATCACCACCACCCCCAAACACGCCTCTCACCACCTTACCCTCCAACACGTTTGTGTCCTCGTTTGCTGGGTCAATTGCTACATTGTTATAACTTGTATATTTTATTCAGAGTTCAGTCACATTGGATATACATAGCAGGAATGAGAGGCCAGTATCTTCAGGGACTCTCTCTCAAGTAGATAAGCTTCAGAGATTTTTGTAATCTTTGGTCACTCTCTCCATCTTTTTCGTATTCCAGGTAAGTACTGGATCTGATGGGCCCAGCTCAGGTCAGGCACTCTCTCCTTGAGCAGGGGAGAGCGGGACATCTTCATGTGTAGTACCAGGAAGACACTGTCCAAAGAGGGACAGGTAGTTCTAAGACAGAAAAGTCTGTCTGGGGTACAGGTAGGCAAAACAAGGACACACACACAAAAATTAGTCTGTTCTGTGAGGGGAGCATGCAGTAGAGGGTGGATTCAGAGTGGGAGGGGAGAGTTTTGAGAGATATGGGCCATGGATATCACTCTGTGGGCCGGAGCCACACAAGACGGTTGGGGTCTCTCAGGGGCAGGGAGCTGAGGAGGATCTGCCCTCCCCAACCTGGGAGACTGGTGAGGGGACTGTCCTGGTCACCAGACAGAAATGGGGTCTGGGCCAGGGCAGTTCTGGTGGGAAAGAAAGAACAGGACATCTCCTTAAGGAAAGGTCCTGAGTCAGGTCTTGGCAGGGAGGGAGGTTACCTTGCCCATTGGCAGCTGAAGATGGTTGGCCAGATGAGGGCACTGAAATCCATGTCCTCTAAACTTGTAGTTCAGTAAAAGAACGACAGCAGTAAAGGGTCTTTAGGAAGAGGAGGTGGAAGACCTGATTTGGGTTGGGGGCTCCAAGAAGAATGTCTGCCTTGCTGTGCAGAAGCCTCTGCATAACCTCCCTGGTCCCCTTGCTCAGTCTCCTGGCCAGACCCCTGTGAGCCCTGGAAGTGCACAGTCAGCTTAGCCAAGGCATCTCCAGCTGGGACTCATCCCTGGGCATTTCTGTGGCCTTGGGTTCCCTGGCCTCCTCCAGGCCCTGTCTTGCAGGCAATCGTCCTGCTAGGGAAGGGGGAAAGGAGGCTACTTGACAGTTAACTCTGAGCAGCTCCACAAGGTCCTGACTTAGCTCCTAGTCACTTGCAAACCTATATACCCCCATCTCATCCCCCAAACGATGAAAAGAAACTTTGCAGGACTCATGCCAGACAAATAGAGTGGGACCGTTCTGTAGAGCCAAGTTCTCAGGACATCAATAAGAGATGGAAACCACCTGCTGGAAGGTGCCACAGTGGGAACTTTGGGGCCAGGGAGCAGTCACTGAACTGTCAGGGTGAATCCTGGCTCCTGGCCCTCACACACCCTTTCTCCCCCTCCCTCCTTCTCTCCTCCCTCCTGTCTGCTCTTTCCCCTCTCTCTCCTGAATCCCTCAGGTACCTTCCATGGGCCCTGACCCCTCCTTTTCAGAGGCTCCAAAGTGAGCCCTCAAAACACTTGGTAACCTTGGACACTTCCAAAACTGGAGAGACTTGACCACAGCATTTTTATGAGCTAGGAAGGTCCTCCAGAGCTCTTGCCTAAATTTTTCTGCTGATGAGAAGAGAACAAGAGTTTCCATCTGATCTGGTCCTAAGGCAACTTCTCCTTGGAGCAGAGTCTGGGCAGGAAGAAGGGGGTTGCCCAGGACCCTGGACTTGCCCCTCCCAGCTGCTCTGCTCCTCTCCCCTTCACTGCGGGAGGCTGGCCAGGGATCAGGAACCTCCGTTCTCCACAGATGCTGGGATTCCAGGCTCAAATCTAAATATTGGCTGATTTAGGAGGCGAAGGGAGGCAATTCCCTGGAGGGAGGTGTCAGGATTTGGGACAAGAGCAGCATCTAGTTGTCATCCACAGAGACCCCAAGGACAGGAATCCACTGGTAGCCGGTTGGAGGGGATCCCATGAAAACAAGATGAAACGCGCCATTAGTACTGGACCCAAGATCAGGAGATGAAAAACTGCACTGTCCTAAGGGATGAAAGAATTAGGGAATCCTGGAAGTAAAGTTTTTCATATAGGTCATTTCTTCCAAAGAGACATAGGGCAATGGCCCAATGACATGAACAAAAGAAAACTCGGGGTCTAGGATTGAGGGGAGGCAGCCTTTTTAGTGGAGACCTGTGACCTGGAGGCCCAGGGTCACCCTGAGAGGGGAGGGGTCTTGCTGGTCGCTGGGTCCGGGACTCCAATTGCACACAGCCAGTGGCATGGAGGGTCTGTGACCACGATTGGGCAATTTCCCCCATTCTGCTTATGGAGCAATAGAGAGGAACCTCACTGGAATTATACAGAAAGGTCCCAGTGAGACTTGAACTCTGATCACTGTATTCAGAGTCCAAAGTGCTCACCATTACACCATGGAACCTCACACTAGCTTATAACTGGAGGTAACTGAGTTCATACTTAGCAGCCATAGTTCCCACACACCTATGTTAAGGCATTTCTTCTGATCCCTCAAGCAACACCAAGGAAGGTGGACCTGCGAGAGAGGAGTCATCCTCTTTCTTTCTTTCTCTCTGCCCTCTCCTTTGATCAACTTTTATCATTTCATTTGCACCTCAGAAAATGAGGCAAAATCCAGTTTGGGCTTAGGGCCAGAGAAGAGCCCTTGAGGCCTCCCTCTGGAAAACATACTCTCTCAGTTTACCAGAGTTTCCTGTACCAAGGGGAAATTTCCGCAAACAGTAGTGTTATATTCTTTTTGCCTTCCCTCTTTTCCCTTTGCCCAGGGAGGCCAGATGATTGTGAGAACAGGACTTGGGACTTCCTGTGTGTCTTGCCCCCTTCCTCCATGTGATAAATAATGGCTGACACCAAGCAAGTGGGATTGGGAGGCAGGGAATCTTTCATTTTCTTCTTCATATACTTCTACGCATTTGTTTGGTTGGTTTTGGCAAGATTTTCTCACCAGAAATGGAGATTTGTTGGATTTAAAATAAAAAGTAATCAGCCATGTTTTACATTTCTATAAAACACTCAAACCAGGCCATACTCCCCTGCTGTGCCTCAAAATCAACCATAAACTGTCGAGGTCAGGAGGCAGGGCCCTCACACTTAAGCACAGTGTGTTTCCTCAGAATTGGCCAAGTTGATGCCACTCCAATTTCTCAATATACCACAACCCATTAATTGCGGTTTTTAAAAGTGTACATGTATTTTTACCAAAACCCCAGGGCTTCAGTGTTCTCAGCACACAGAAAGACAATCATTGAGACATTGAGTATTGCTGAGGAAGAAGGCTTTAATCAGGTGCTGCAGCTGAGTAGACAGGAGATGAGTCTCAAATCTGTCTCCCTGATTGACTAAAGTTAGGGGTTTATATAGCGCAGAAGAAAAGTTAACTGTGTGTGGGAAAAGAGGAACTAGAGAGGGGTGAGGAAGCACTCGTGATGAGTGAGGGGACTGGCATCTCATTGTCTGGATGCTGTGATTGGCTGAGTTTCGGGTCTCTGATGCTTTTTGAGAGGCCTGAGAGTCCTTTCCTGAGGAAGGAACTCAGATAAAACAAATGTAAGTTTGTTTTATAGAATGGCTTGACCTCAGGAGTTTGAAACCAGCCTGGGCAATATGGTGAAACCCTGTCTCTACCAAAATACAAAAAGAAAAAGAGGGTTGCTTCCAAGATGGCTGAATAGGAACAGCTCCGGTCTACAGCTTCAAGTGAGATAGACGCAGAAGACAGGTGATTTCTGCATTTCCAACTGAGGTACCTGGTTCATCTCACTGGGACTCGTTGGACAGTGGATGCAGCCCACGGAGGATGAGCCAAAGCAGGGTGGGGTGTCGCCTCACCCGGGAAGTGCAAGGGGTTGGGGGATTTCTTTTTCCTAGCCAAGGGAAGCTGTGAGTGACTGTACCTCGAGAAGCAGTACACCCCTGCCCAAATACTGTGCTTTTTTCCACTGTCTTTGCAACCGACAGACCAGGAGATTCCCTCTTGTGCCTGGCTCGGCAGGTCCCATGCCCATGGAGCCTTGCCTGCTGCTAGCACAGCAGTCTGAGATCAACCTGTGACACTGGAGCATGGCAGGGGGAGGGGGTTCTGCCACTGCTGAGGCTTGAGTATGTGGTTCTATGGTCACAGTGTAAATAAAGTGGTAGGGAAGCTCGAACTGGGTAGAGCCCACTGCAGCTCAGCAAGGCCTACTGCCTCTAGATTCCACCTCTGGGGGCAGGGCATATCTGAATAAAAGGCAGCAGACAGCTTCTGCAGACTTAAACGTCCCTGCCTGACAGCAGGGACTGCTGTCATAATCATTATGATTATGAATCATAATCATGAAGACAATCTGTATTCCAGAATAGTAAGGGAACCTATTCCATCAGGGAGCCAACTGAAAACATCAAATCCCAGTTCACACCCCAGGGTGTGGTGTCATGCACCTGTAGTCCCAGCTACTTGGGAGGATTAGTAAGGAGGTTTGCTTGAATTCGTGAGGTCAAGGCAGAAGTAAACCCTGATCATGCCACTGTACTCCAACCTGGGCGACAGTGAGACCTTGTCTCAGAAACAAACAAACAAACAAAAAACCCCACAAAACCAAACAACAACAAATTGTCACCTCATTCTGAAATGACAGTGGCAAACATCACTTTGCTATTTGAAAATTAAAAGAAGCCGGGCGCGGTGGCTCACGCCTGTAATCCCAGCACTTTGGGAGGCCGAGGTGGGCGGATCACAAGGTCAGGAGATCGAGACCATCCTGGCTAACAGAGTGAAACCCCATCTCTACTAAAAATACAAAAAATTAGCCGGACGTGGTGGCAGGTGCCTGTAATCCCAGCTACTGGGGAGGCTGAGGCAGGAGAATGGCGTGAACCCGGGAGGCGGAGCTTGCAGTGAGCCGAGATAGCCCCACTGCACTCCAGCCTGAGCGAAGAGCGCGAGACTCCGTCTCAAAACAAAAAAAAAGAAAATTAAAAGAAAAACACTCCCTCTTGCTATCAACCTGCCCTCTTGCTCTAACTTGTCTGACCCATGGTTTAAAATGCCCAAAAGCTGATGTACTCAAATTATAGTACACTTACCTGTTCTGCACCAGCATTTACTTTTGTCTGGAGGAGATCACCATGCATGGTCCTATACATGTCTAATGGCATGGAATGATGAAGGGTAGTGTCTTTTAGGATAGTTGGATACATATATATATATATATATATATATATATATATATATATGCGGAATGCTACATCACAAGAATAAGAATGTGAAAAGAACCAGTTTCTTTTGTAATCCTAAACGTTCTAGTCTGAGAATTAAAAGCCATTGTTCGAAGAAGGGTGCCCAGGGTCCAGCTGGTCGCCGAAAGCTTGCTCCGCAATACAGGCTAAGGACCAGCTTCTTTGGAAGAGAACAGATGAGGGAAGCAGGAGAGAAAAAAGGGAGAGGCAGACGTCACTTCCCCTTGCCGGCTCCGGCAGCGGGTTGGTCGGCTGAGCGGCAGAAAGGCAGACGGGGACTGGGAAAGGCGCTGTCGGTGACATCACGGATAGGGCGACTTCTATGTAGATGAGCCAGCGCAGGGGCTGCTGCTTCGCCACATGCTGCTTCGCCACGAAGGAGTTCCCGTGCCGTGGGAGCGGGTTCAGGACCGCTGGTCGGACCTGAGAGTCCCAGCTGTGTGTCAGGGCTAGGAGGGCTGGGGGGGAGGGGGGTGTGCGCGGGGCAAGTGACCGTGCGTGTAAAGGGTGAAGCGTGTGAGGCTGCCGGCGGGGCGGAGGTGCAATAACTCATACTTACCTGGCAGGAGAGATACCCTGGTCACGAAGGTGGTTTTTCCAGAGCGAGTCTTATCCATTGCACTCCGGATCTGCTGACCCCTGCAGTTTCCCCAAATGTGGGAAACTTGACTGTATAATTTGTGGCAGTGGTAGACTGCATTCGCGCTTTCCCCTGTATTTTTGTCGTTTTAAAAATAGGTTTTGTTTGCTGCAGAAACGCATACTGGGCGTCAGCGTAAGCTGAGAATCAGGTCTTTGTTCCCATCTGTAACTTCACTGAAACTAAAAATTTGGGACATCGTGGTTCTCACGTTTGTAATCCCAGCAATCTATGAGGTACGTCGATAGGTTATGTTTATGTTAATATCGCTCGACCTCAGGCGTGTGTGGGCAAATATAGTGAACCCGTCTCTACTAATCTCTTATCTTTTTTTGTTGTTGTTCTATAGAAATAAAACTAAGCTTTTCTTTTCCCTATGGGATTAACAGCAAACAGTCCGCTGGAGTGTATGGCGCGATCTCGCCTTACTGCAACCTTTGCCTCCTGCGTTCAAGCTATTCTCCTTCCTCAACCAGAGAATACTCAGCCTCCCGAGTAACTGGCATTACAGGCTCAGGCAACCAAAAAATTAGGTCCGGCTAATTTTTTGAATTTTTAGTAGAGACATGGTTTCACCGGGCCGGGCGCACTGGCTCGCGCCTGTAATCCCAGCACTTTGGGAGGCGGAAGCGGGTGGATCATGAGGTCAGGAGGTCAAGACCATCCTGGCTAACACAGTGAAACCCCATCTCTAATAAAAATACAAAAAAAAAAAATTAGCCGGGTGTGGTGGCACGTGCCTGTAGTCCCAGCTACTCAGGAGGCTGAGGCAAGAGAATCGCTTGAACCCGGGAGGCAGAGGTTGCAGTGAGCTGAGATCGCACCACTGCACTCCAGCCTGGGCGACAGAGTGAGACTCCGTCTCAAAAAAAAAAAAAAAAAAAAAGAGTGACAGGGTTTCACCATGTTGGCCACCCTGGTCTTGAACTCCTGACCTCAAGTTTTCCGCCTGCCTCGCGGCCTCCCAAAATGTTGGGATTACAGGCCTGAGCCACCGCACCTGGCCTGTTTACAGACTTTACAGACACATTTTGTTTACAAGCTTTACAGGTACAGTTCAATTGCGATTAGTGTATATTATGTTTGGCCCAAGACAAGTGTCTTTTTTTTTTTTCCAGTGTGGCCCAAGGAAGCCAAAATTTAGACAACCCTGCTCTAGAGGGTTTGATTCATGGTTCCACTGGGTTATGCTTATTGCCTATAATTCCATTTGATATTTTCCAAATTTGATTTTTTAAAAAGCGTTTTCCTGAAGCACCCTAAAGCTTTCCTAATAATATGAGAACTTAAACCAGATTGGATGTGACAAAACCCTGCTGGAATCCTGCAACTTCTAACCTTAATGTTAGATCAAGAAGCAAAACACCCACCAGTCCAAGGGTCAGGGAAGCTGAAGATCATGCCTGAGCTGTAACAACGCCCTTCCCAGTATACAAAAGAGTGTAACAGCCACTCGAATTCTATCTTCCAAGTGTCTCCTGTTGCCCAGGCTAACCTAGAGCTATCTAAAGATGGCAAATCTGGGAAATGTGCATTCAGCTTGGCAAAACTGATACATTACAAATCCACCACAGTCCACTTCTTCTCAAAGTGGCATCAATGTACATCTTCCTCCTCTTCTTTTTTTCCTCCTCTTCCTCTTCTTTTGCTTCTTCCTCCTCCTTTTTCCTCCTTGTAAAATCATACTTAAGGTTCAAATAAAGACAATATGAAAATCATACTTTTTCTCATTCAGTGAAAATATGCCAACCCTTTCCCCAACAGGATAAAGTCTTTGTCTTTGAATGATGTTCACTCCTTTTTTAGCTAGATAGATCACATTCCATATTTGCTTTCCTGTAACCTAAATATTGAGATTTCTAAAAGTTAATTATTAATGAATGTGCTAGCTAGGGTGATGGAAGAGGAGAATTCTCAAGAAAAGTTTTGGTTAATATACACCCAAATGTATTCATCTCAAAATAATGAAGAAATACTCATAACTATTACAAGTCCTGATTTCTGCAACTGGCACTGGCACTAGCTGGTATTTGTAACTATCTTCACATCTTGTACCCACAGCCAGTTCCTTTGGGCCTGGGCCGGTGGACGTGAGCGTGGGAAGGACAAGAACCCGCGGTGCCCCCCACCGCACTATCCTCGGGTCTCCAGAGGTGGGATCCACCGGGCAGGGGCCTTTGCTGGATTCTAAACCGGCTCTGGGGATACAAGAACAGCTGCCTTTGAGAAACAGTTCAGGTCTCTATATTCCAGACTTCCTAGTAGGACTAAACGCTTAACGTTCACACGGGAATTCATGGTTCTCCTAAAACCCTGCGGTGGAATGCCTTCCTTCACCAAGCATTTATTGGGCACCTACTAGGTGCTAGGCTGGCTCTGGGCGAAGGGCTGCAGCCTGTGCAAACTCCAGGTCCCTGTCCGGTGGATCCCACCTCTGAGGGCCCGAGGGTGACGCGGTGAGGACACCACGGGTTCTGGTCCTTCCCACGCGCGCGTCCGCTAGCCCAGGCCCGGCGGAAATGACTGTGAGCTCAAGGTGTGAAGCGGGGCTAAGAATGGGAAAGCGAGTGACTTCCGCCGGAGAAGCTGCAGTTGTCGCCTGTAGAGGGGCCGGCGACTTTTGAGACGGTGAAGAGCAGGCGGGGGAACCAGTGAAGAGCAGACGGTGAGGAGCAGGCGGCCGTTTGGCCGTTGGAGTCCCCCAGCTGACTCTGCCCGGGTAGAACGTCCAAAGTGCCCAAAGACTCGACTCTTGGCTTCAATGTCTCCCGTGTTCTGGGTTTCTGGAGTGCGCGGGATTGGACAGGCTACAAACATATGAGATTATCTACGGCCAGAGGTTAAAATGCCATTTCTGGTATCAGCAAATCTAAACCATTAGAGTCTCTGTGGCGCCATCGGTTAGTGCCTTCGGCTGTTTGAACCGAAAGGCTGGTGGTTCAAGCCCACCCAGAGATGGTACCTTTTACTTAGGCAAGATTCACGCTTTCTGTTTAAAGACTTTAATCCTGGGAATCTTCCGGACCTCTACTAGCTTTAAATTCGATGCCAAAATACGCTGTGCGAAGGCTCAAGTTCCATGGAAGTTCCTAAAAACAAGAATATTTCAGCAAAAGTAATTTTTCAATAGAGCCTGAGCCTGGGGCTTCAGAGCTTACTCCAGAGCCACTGCACTTATTTCATCACTTCCTGAAGCTGGGTTTTTACAACTGCACATTCCTGGAAATCCAAAACTCCCAATAATTGAAAACAAGAAAATCCCAGTCTTCACTTGTGGTGAAGCCTCAATTTCCAGGTTGAAATCTTGGTTGGTTCATGATGTGACTTTTAAAACGTTACTGAATTTTCTGTATCTCTATTTCTTCATCTATAAAAACAGAAAAAAAAAAGTGCTTCCCTTTCCTGGGTGTGGTGGCTCATGCCTGTAATTGCAGCAGTTTGGGAGGATGAGGCGGGCAGATCACCTAAGGTTAGGAGTTCGAGACCTGCCTGGTCAACTTGGTGAAACCCCATCTCTACTAAAAATACAAAAATGAGCTGGGCGTGGTGGCAGGTGCCTGTAATCCCAGCTACTTGAGAGGCTGAGGCAGGAGAATAGTTTGAACCCAGGAGGCAGAGGTTGCAGTGAGCCAAGATTGCGCCACTGCACTCCAGCCTGGTAACAGAGCCGACTCCATCTCAAAAAATAATAATAATAATAAATAAATAAACAATGCTTCTCTCATGGATTAATCTAACATTTGTGAATCCAAAAGTATGTGAGACAGGTCTCAATAAATTTAGAAAGTTTACCTTGCAAGGTTAAGGTGGCACCCATGACACAGTTTCAGGAGGTCCTGGCAACATGTGCCCAAGGTGGTCGGGTACAGCTTGCTTTTATTCATTTTAGGGAGACAGAATACATCGATCAATACATGTAAGATTTACACTGCTTCAATCTGGAAGGGCGGGACAACTCAAAGGGTGGGGGGCTTCCAGGTCATAGATTTAAAATTTTTCTGATTAGCTATTGGTTGAAAGAGTTCTTATTCCAGAAGGGAATTTCTGGGTTAGATAGGGGGTTGTGGAGACCAAGGTTTTACCATGCAGATGAAGCCTCCAGGTAGCAGGCTTCAGAGAAAATAGATTGTAAATGTTTCTTATCAGACTTAAGGTCTGTGTTGATGTTAATGCTGGTTGGCTTTTCCTGAGTTCCAAAAGGAAGGAGGGTATAATGAGGCATGTCCAACTTCTTCCCATCATGGCCTGAACTAGTTTTTCAGGTTAACTGTGGAATGACCTTGACCTAGAGCAGGGGTCCATTCACATGGCTGGGGGGCCTTAGAATTTTATTTTTGGTTACACATTTGATGAGAAATACACATAAAGCATTTGAGCACCTAATAAATGTTCATTAAACGTTAGCTGCTATAATTATTTTCAGTGGCATCATCATCACCACTTTCATATTTTACCTCAGGCTTTTAAACAACTGCTTATCTTTTTATGGTATGGATGAACCAGTATATATTTAAATGGCCCTCAGCTAATGGACACAAAATTGTGTCTAATGCTTATTCTTATAAAAAATTATTCAGAGAACATCCTTATACAACTATCTTTCATCATTTGTGCAGGGATTTCTTTTTTTTTTTTTTTTTTTTTTTTTTTTTTTTTTTTTTTTTTTGAGACGGTGTCTTGGTCTGCTGCCCAGGCTGGAGTGCAGTGGTACGATCTCGGCTCACTGCAAGCTCCGCCTCCCAGGTTCACGCCATTCTCCTGCCTCAGCCTCCAGAGTAGCTGGGACTACAGGCGCCCGCCACCAGGCCCAGCTAATTTTTGTATTTTTAGTAGAGACTGGGTTTCACTGTGTTAGCCAGGATGGTCTCGATCTCCTGATCTCATGATCTGCCTGCCTTGGCCTCCCAAAGGCCTGGGATTACAGGTGTGAGCTGTGCAAGGATTTCTTAAAACACACTTCTAGAAATAGACTTCCCTGGTCAAAGTATTTGTGCCTTTCCAGTTTTTCTAATTGATGCTTAATTGACCTCTAAAGAAGTTGGGCCTAGTCATATTCCCACATCCTAAGAGAATGCTCCTTCCTTGGCCACACTATCTGACATTTAATAGCAGCACAAACTCTTCACTTTTGTTTGGGGAATATTATTGCTTGCAGGTCTCACACATAGCACTGAATCTTACAGGTAAGGAGCTGGTGCTACCCTGTTCTCCTTTGTTCTCCTGACCCCTGAGAATTCTGGGAAAGTGGTTCACAAGAGAGACTTGAGGTTGGATTCACCTGACTGTAAAAGTGCTGACAATGGGTGTTCCCACTGTTCCTGTGACAGAGAGCCCAGGCTTCAGCTGCTGAAGAAGAACTCAGACCTAACCCTCCAGGGCGGGACCTTTAATTTGGCACAGAGTTGGTCCTTAGCCAAATAAAAATTGAAAAGGGGAGATTTTAAATTTTCATCTAATTAAGACTTTATATAATGGATCTTTTTCTTATTGTGGCAACAAGAGGAGAGATTGCATTCTTGGGCTTTTATTGTTGGAACTTAATAATACTGGCTATTCTACTGCTCTTGTGGAATTGTTTGGTCTATGCTGGTACATGGTACTTGCTATGAAACACTGTCTGGTGAGCTGGATAGGCAAGTAGCTAAAGAAAACGTCATAAGAAACAGAAATAGGAGTTGAGTCCAATCTCTCTCCTGCACTGCAAGATTCTGTTGCAGTGGTACCTACACCTATTGCCATAGCACCCCCCAAATTTTCTTTAAAGCTAAGAAAATAGAAATAGAGGATGGATTCTCAAATAGATATACCTAGAGTTAGTTAAGTAAAGTCTGATTTTGATTCTTTCAGAGGTTTGGATGTCTTAGTTATCTCAGGCTGCTGTAACAAAATACCATCTACTGGGTGGCTTAAACATTTATTTCTCACAGTTCTGGAGGCTGAGATGTCCAAGATCAAGGTGCCAGCAGGTTTGGTTCTTGGTGTGAGTCCTCTTCCTAGCTTCTAGATAGTGATTTTTTTTTTTTTTTTGTACAGTATTTACCCTGGCAATAATAATCTTATTTTTCCATTTGGTTAGTTTTTCATGTATTTATTACTTAATACTAGCCAATTTCTCCCCAGCTCTGTAAATCTCCCCTCAACACATAGAAACACAAAATCATTTTGATTGGTTTGCCTGCTTGTATGTTTGTTCAAGAAATTTTTCCTGGCCCAGCGTGGTGGCTCATGTCTGTAATCCCAGCACTTTGGGAGGCCCAGGCAGGTGGATCACCTGAGGTCAGGAGTTCAAGAACAGCCTGGCCAGCGTGGTGAAACCCCGTCTTTACTAAAAATACAAAAATTAGTCGGGCATGGTGGGGGGCGCCTGTAATCCCAGCTACTCGGGAAGCTGAGGGCAGGAGAATCACTTGAACTGGGCAGGCGGAGGTTGCAGTGAGCCAAGATTGCACCACTGCATTCCAGCCTGGGCAAAAGAGCGAGACTCCTTCTCAAAAAAAAAAAAAAAAAAGAAAGAAAGAAAAATTTTTCCTGGCACATTTCTATCTGTTCCGTTCTGGATGACTTGCTCTTCAGGCTTATCCCACAGCTGTTATCATAATATCTCTCTTTACTGCACCATCTTGGGATTTCCATCGCCTCTCTCTTTTGTTAGATCCCCTGCTTCATGGATCTCAAGGGGGTTCATTCTTCACTCACTTCTTCCTTTTGATGATGCATATCCTCCAAAACCTCCTATAAAGTGGTTACCTTAGAAATAAACTTTTTGAGACACTGCATGTCTGAAAATGTCTATTATACCCATACACTTAATTGATATTTTACTAGATAGAGATACATAGAGATAGGTTGAAATAATTTCTCTCAAATTTTTAAAAGCACTGCTTTTTTTTTTTTTTTTTTTTTGAAACAGAGTCTCGCCTCGCTCCGTCGCCCAGGCTGGAGTGCGGCGGCGGGATCTCGGCTCACTGCAACCTCCACCTGCCGGGTTCAAGCGATTCTCCTGCCTCAGCCTCCCCAGTAGCTGGGATTACAGGCACCCGCCACCACGCCCGGCTAATTTTTTAATTTTTAGTAGAGATGGGGTTTCGCCATGTTAGCCAAGCTGGTTTTGAGAGGAGAGCACTCCTCATATTGTCTTATACTTAATTTCTTGTTTGCTGAAAAAGTGGAGGTTGAAAGAATGGGCAGAAGTGAAAATCGTGGTCAGACAACCGGGCGCCACATTTCGGGCCTTGTTGTTAAAATTCAACCCCTGACCTCACCACTTGCGCTGTCTATAAATTCCAGACATTGTATAAAAACGCATTATGAAACTCCCTTTTCTGTTCTGTTTCGTTCTGATTACCGGTGCATGCAGCCCCCAGTCACGTACCCCTCGCTTGCTCAATCGATCATGACCTCTCCCTCCACCCACAGCCCCTTTAGAGTTGTGAGCCTTTAAAAGGGACAGGAATTACTTATTCGGGGAGCTCCGTTTCTAGGACGTGAGTCGGCCGACGCTCCCAACTGAATAAAGCTCTTACCTTCCACAATCCGGTGTCTGAGGGATTTTGTCTACGACCTCTCCTGCTACAGTTTCAAACTCCTGACCTCAAGTGATCCGCCTCCCTCGGCTTTGCAAAGTGCTGGGATTACAGGCGTGAACCACCGCGCCCGGCCCTTGTTGTTTACTGTTTCCCTATAGTCTTTTTTTTTTTTTTTTTTTTTTTTTGAGACGGAGTCTCGCTCTGTTGCCCAGGCTGGAGTGCAGTGGCACAATCTCGGTTCACTGCAACCTCTGCCTCCTAGGTTCAAGCGATTCTTCTGCCTTAGCCTCCCAAGTAGCTGGGACTACAGGCATACACCACTATGGCCAGCTAATTTTTGTATTTTTAGTAGAGACGGGGTTTCACCATATTGGCCAGGCTGGTCTCGAACTCCTGACCTCGTGATCCGCCCGCCTCGGGCTCCGAAAGTGCAGGGATTACAGGAGTGAGCCACTGCGCCCGGCCTACTGTTTTCCATAGTCGTTTCTGAGAAAGAAAAAGTAACCCTTTTCTGCTCTCAGCTAGAGCTGGTCTGATAAACACCTAGGCCATGATGTTCTCCGGTTCAAACTAAAAATTTCACAACACCAATATCAGACAAAGCTACCCTCTCACCAAGATGAAAGAAAGACTATTTCACAATCATATTTGAGCACAAACAGAACACTGTTCAAACCATAATATGATCAAACATTCCCCTTTCCCAGCTACTAATAGTGACTGTTAATTCTTTTATTTTTTATTTTTTTGAGACGGAGTCTTGCTCTGTCGCCAGGCTGGAGTGCAGTGGCGTGATCTCGGCTCACTGCAACCTCTGCCTCCCGGGTTCAAGCGATTCTCCTGTCTCAACCTCCGGAGTAGCTGGGACTACAGGCGCCCACCACCACACTCAGCTAATTTTTGTATTTTTAGTAGAGACGGGGTTTCACCATATTGGCCAGGCTGGTCTCGAACTCCTGACCTTGTGATCTGCCCGCCTTGGCCTCTCAAAGTGTTGGGATTACAGGCGTGAGCCACTGCACCTGGCCTTATTTTTTATTTTATTTTATTTTTTTGAGACAGTCTCTGTCACCCAGGCTGGAGTGCAGGGACGTCATCTCAGCTCACTGCAACCTCTGCCTCCTGGGTTCAAGCGATTCTCCTCCCTCAGCCTCTTAAGTAGCTGGGATTACAGGCATGCCCAACCATGCTCGGCTAACTTTTGTATTGACTGTTGATTCTTTACCAATTATGTGTTTAGTTCTGCAACCATTCCTCCCACTTTCTAGATAAAAATATCGAGATTCCCAGGGGAAGAATTGTCCCACAATTTCCCCATAGTGTTTGCTGTCTCCTCTGTTGCAATGAGCCAATATACTCAGATTTGACTATAGGTTTGTTCCTGATGGTTATAGACTGGAGCGCCTCAACACCGTAGAGAAGATGGATGCCGTTCTGATTCTTTGTTATTTGCCTTAAACTGTTCTCCCAGCTCCCCTCCCAAAAGCTTATAGAATCTTCTACCTGTTCCTACTATTCTGAAACTTCATGATCTATTTTCATCCACCATGCTGGGTACACAGTGTGCTCTTTCAATATAGGAATGTATATTTTGGAGGTATCATTCCAAAGATGTTTATGCATATACAGTTAAAGGTATATATTTATTTCCTGCAACTACCATCACCCTTTTGATATACTTTTGCTGCATAATAAACCATCCCAAGCTTATTGACTTAGAATAACAATAAGTTATTATTTTGTGAAGGCACCAACATTTGCCCAAAGCAAGTCACATAGCCAATCCCAGATTCAAACAGAGGAGAAATAGACTCTCTTGATGAGAGAAGCTGGAAAATATAACCAACATTTTTTTCTTTTTCTTTTTTTTTGAGACGGAGTTTCGCTCTTATTGCCCAGGCTGGAGTGCAATGGTGCAATCTCAGCTCACCGCAACCTCCGCCTCCCAGGTTCAAGCTATTCTCCTGCCTGAGCTTCCCTAGTAGCTAGGATTACAGGCATGTGCCACCACGCCTGGCTAATTTTGTATTTTTAGTAGAGACAGGGTTTCTCCATGTTGGTCAGGCTGGTCTCGAACTCCTGACCTCAGTGATCCGCCTGCCTCGGCCTCACAAAGTGCTGGGATTACAGGCGTGAGCCACCGCGCCCGGCCATGACACAAAGTTTAAAAGAAAAATTTTTTAAAATTTTTTTTGGTCAGGCGTGATGGCTCACACCTATAATCCCAGGACTTTGGGAGGCCAAAGTGGGTGGATCACGAGTTTGAGAACAGCCTGGCCAATATGGTAAAACCCCATCTCTACTAAAAATACAAAAAAATTAGTCGGGGGTGGTGGTGCGCACATGTGGTCCCAACTACTGGAGAGACTGAGGTGGGAGAATCACTTGAATCTGGGAGGCGAAGGTTGTAGGGAGCCAAGATTGTGCCACTGCACTCCAGCCTGGGCGACAGAGATTCAGTCTCCAAGAAAAAAAGTTTTTTTACTTTTATAGATATTGTCATAAGGCACCCTGTAGAACTTGTACCAACTTATCCTCCATTCACAAGGTATATTAACCTTCCCGCCGGGCGCGGTGGCTGAAGCCTGTAATCCCAGCACTTTGGGAGGCCAAGGCGAGCGGATCACAAGGTCAGAAGATCGAGACTATCCTGACTAACACACTGAAACCCCGTCTCTACTGACAATACAAAAATTAGCAGGGCGTGGTGGCGGGCGCCTGTAGTCCCAGCTACTCGGGAGGCTGAGGAAGGAAAATGGCGTGAACCCTGGAGGCGGAGCTTGCAGTGAGCCGAGATCTGCCACTACACTCCAGCCTGGGCGAAAATGCGAGACTCTGTCTCAAAAAAAAAAAAAAAAAAAAAAAAAAACCCTCTCCAACATAAACTTTAGGAAAATTTACCATTAGTTTGGGCACAGTGGCTCAGGCCTGTAATCCCAACACTTTGGGAGGCTGAGGTGGGCATATCGCTTGAGTCCAGGAGTTTGGGACCACCCTAGGCAATACAGTGAGCCCTCATCTCTACAAAAAGTTAAAAAATCAGCCAAGCATGATGGCAAGCGCCTGTAGACCCAGCTACTTGGGAGGCTAAGGTAGGAGGATCAGCTGAGCCTGAGGGAGGTGGAGGTTGCAGTGAGCCAAGATCATGATACTGCCCTCCATCTTGGGTGACAGAGCGAGATACTGTCTCTAAAAAAAAAAAGAAAGAATTCCTTGGATATTTCTCCTTGGTATTTTCCTTTTGAACTTTATAATCATATTGTCTAGTTTGAATAAAAAAGAAAAAATTCTTTGGACAGTTTTATGAAAATCATGTTAAATTCAGACACCAAGTAAAGGAGAGGTGCTGTCTTTATGATGTTGAGTCTCCTATCCAAGAATATGATACACCCTCGGTTAATAGGGAAGGAGGCTGCCCTAATGCAGTGGTTCCCAAACTTGAACATTCCAAACTCCCTAGAGAGCTTGTTAAGTAACAGATTGTTGGGGCCACCCTCGGGGTTTCTGATTCCATAGGTCTAAGGTGGCACTCAATAGTTTGCGTTTATCTCAAGTTTCCAGGTGATACTGAAGATGATTGTCCTGGGACCACACTTTGAGAATAACTGGTCATTTTGGAGATGGTTGGTGGACTATATGTAAGTGAGACTAAAGCATATTTACACTCTTAAAAAATAAAAAGTACTGGTAAATGATCCTTAGGGAAAGGAGGTGGAAGATCTGTAGGAGGAGTTGAAAAGGAATGTTCAGGCCGGGAGCGGTGGCTCATGCCTGTAATCCCAGCATTTTAGGAGGCCAAGGCGGGCAGATCACCTGAGTTCAGGGGTTCGAGACCAGCCTGGCCAACATGGTGAAACCCTGTCTCTACTAAAAATACAAAAATTAGCTGGGCTTGATGGCGGTCGCCTGTAATCCCCAGCTACTCGGGAGGCTGAGGAGGGAGAATCGCTTGAACCCGGGAGGCGGAGGTTGCAGTGAGCCGAGATCGGGGCACTGCACTCCAGCCTGGGTGACAGAGCGAGACTCTGTCTCAAAAAAAAAAAAAAAAAAAAAAAAGAATGTCTCTTGAATGGTGCCAATCTTGGCTTCCACCCACCTGGCAAACCAACTTAACCTACGCCAGCAAAAGCAACAGTTAAAGCTAATTTAGCAGGAACAAATGTAAGGCAAACAACTCCAGGCTTTCGGGAACAGAAAAAAGTTCTCCGGTGGATCAATAACTAATTCAAAGTAGTGGACCCAGCACTCTGGAGTGGCAGCCTATATTCATCAAATAAGACTGCAACTGTTAACTCCCTACTCGCTGCCCTACCCGTTCGTCTTTGCTCCTCCTTTTCTTTGCTCTTCCGCTTCTCTCCTCCGCCTCCTCAACTTCTTTTCTAGAGCCCTCTCCTCTTTTTCCTGACCTTCCTAAAATGGTTGTATTTTACAGCCCTTTGCGGCTGATGAAGGCTTCAAAACCTAAAAAGCAAACAGATGCTCCCTAACACCTAGCTGAGAATATTTTAACTCACTACAAAGGCCTTTCAAAACCCCATTCAAAATTTCCCACCAACAAGAAGAGAACCAGTATTTCCCTCTGGAGCCGTCCTAAGGCTGTTCTCCCTGGAGCAGTGTCGGAGCGATTTTGGACTCTTCTCAGAGCTGCTCAGCTTGTCTGCCTTCGCCCAGTTGAGAAGCCCATCGTGGATTCGAAGTATGTGGTCACTACAGACACTAGAATCCCCAGATTCCTCTTTTCTTTTTTTTTTCTTTTTTTTGAGACCGAGTGCAATGGCGTGATCTCGGCTCACCGCAACCTCCGTCTTCCAGGTTCAAGCAATTCTCCTGCCTCAGCCTCCCGAGTAGCTGAGATTACAGGCATGCACCTCCACGCCCGGCTAATTTTGTATTTTTAGTAGAGAAGGGGTTTCTCCGTGTTGAGGCTGGTCTCGAACTCCTGACCTCAGGTGATCCGCCCACCTCGGCCTCCCAAAGTACTGGGATTACAGGCGTGAGCCACCGCGCCCGGCCCAGATTCCTCTTTTCTTGATGAATTTGGGGTGAATGGAGATGATTTCTGGAATCAGTTACCGTAAAAGGACAGTAGCCGCTGTGGCGATTTAGAAGTTCATGTTTCCATGGTAGCTAAGCGAGAGGGTTAAATAAAAACACAGCGCCCAACGTGGGGCTCGAACCCACGACCCTGAGATTAAGAGTCTCATGCTCTACCGACTGAGCTAGCCGGGCACTGATTACTGGCGTCTTCTTATATGGAATCATTTTCCACTGACGGAGCGGTTGTATGATCTAATTGCATATTATTGCGTGTGAAAGAAGTTTCAGGACCTAGGACTGGTGGACACGGCAGTAGCCTTTTCATAATAGCTTTTTGCCATGAAGGAATTCGGGGTTTAGAGAGCGATGGGGGCTGCAGAGAGCCAGGAAGTCTCGCGGAGGACTCGGGAATCACGAGTCCTGCCTGAAACCTTAGTGTTTTCCGCACATTCCTTCCACTGAGGGAACCTCCTCACCCACTTCAGAGGAGGGTGCGAAAGAGCCCAAGGAAACTCAGATGAGAGGCGCAAAGACCTCTCTGCAAAGCATTTTAATTCTCCATCCTGGAAGAGGCACTGAGTTCCAGAGTCACAAGGGAAGGGTTCTCTCCTCTGCTCAAGTGAAGGCCAAAAGAACAACCGTGGTCCCAGCTCCGTGGGCCTCCATATCGCTCTAAAGCTTCCCGCCTGGGCTGCTTAGCACCTTGGTGGGCGAGCCGCAGTGTGAGCCAACTGGAACTATTGTTGTTTGAGACAGGGTCCCGCTCTGTCGCCCAGGCTGGAGTGCAGTGGCGCGATCATAGTTCATTGCAGCCTCTACTTCCCGGGCTCAAGCGATGCTCCCACTTCACCCTCCCTAAGTAGCTGGGACCAAAAGCGCCCGCCACCATCTTAAAAATTCTTTTTCTGGCCGGGGGCGATGGCTCAAGCCTGTAATCCCAGCACTTTGGGAGGCCGAGGCGGGTGGATCACGAGGTCAGGGGTTCGAGACCAGCCTGACCAACATAGTGAAACCTCGTCTCTACTAAAGATACAAAAATTAGCTGGGCGTGGTGGCGGGCGCCTGTAATCCCAGCTACTCAGGAGGCTGAGGCAGGAGAATTGCTTGAACCCGGGAGGCGGGGGTTGCAGTGAGCCGAGATCGCGCCACTGCACTCCAGCCTGGGCGACAGAGCAAGACTCTGTCTCAAAAAAAAAAAAAAAAAAAAAATTCTGACATTGTGGGGAGGCGTCTCAAGCTGGTCGCGAACTCCTGGGCTCCAGGGATTCTCCCGCCTCCGAGACTTCCCAAAGCTGCTGGGATTACGTAATGGCGCGAGCCACCACGTCGGCCTGGAGCTATTGTTATTCACCGAATCTGTGGACTGCACTTCCGCGGGGATGCCTTAAGCGAAGGCAGAATTACAAGCATGTGTCACTCTTTTAAAAGTGTTAATTAAAAAAAAAAAAAACCGCCACCCCAGCAAGTTAGAACCACCTGCCGTGACTCGGATTCGAACCGAGGTTGCTGCGGCCACAACGCAGAGTACTAACCACTATACGATCACGGCGAGCCACTAACCAGGCGGCGCGCTACAGCTGGATTTAATGCCTCTTGAAATAGGAATGGCTATTTCGTGCTACTTTTATTTGGCCAGTCCCTGACGTCCGCATCAATCAATTCCAAACTTTTTCACTCTGCAACCTTGAAGCTCCGACACCTGAATCAGTTTCTTAGACTCTAAATCCCTCGATGCCAGCGATAGCACCACCCGCTCCGCTGGGCGGCGGCGGGCCAAGGTCCTGACTAGAGGGCAGAAAGCGTCAGCTGCAACCCGGGACCACGCCGCCTCTCGCCTCTCTCCTCTCACCTCTCTGCCTCCATTTCCCTCTTCCCCCTCCAAGGAATCAAGCTGCTTCGCCCAGGGATGAGAGGGGCAGCCTCGAAGGATTTTTCAAATTACATCTGCAGCCTGTACCACGGAATTGAGGTTTCTCTTCCCAGAATGGTGGAACCGGAAGAAAAACGGAGCTAGTGAGCTGGGGAGGGGATGAGAGCCCCGTCTTAATTTCTTGCTTCCCTCACAGGTACAAGAAGCGCTGTGTACTCTCTGGCATTGTGGGAGCTTGTGCTGACTTCCTCATCTTGACTCATAAATATATCAGAGCCACCTCTGCCGATTCAGAAAAACAAATCCAACCAGCCTCTATTTCAGACACTTCCTTAGACCCCTAGGAGAGTTATTGTTAACTTCCCTAGACCCCTAGGAGAGTTATTGTTTGGACGCCAGCGGCCGAACCCATCAGACGGGCTAGGCGCGCACGTGCAGTTACCAAAATACAGATGTTTACTGTGGGAGGGACAGACCATACTGGTGCAGACCTAGGACACAAAAGTGGTCAAAACTCTTTTCCTGTGTTCCCTACTTTGCTCGGTTTCCAGGCCTACTCAGTCTAAAAAGCTGAAGAGAAAAACTGACACTGCGTTGGCCGGGAATCGAACCCGGGTCAACTGCTTGGAAGGCAGCTATGCTCACCACTATACCACCAACGCATCTGAAATACGCTTGATTCCTTTAGAGTATCAGAACTAAATAATCAGGTTTGTCTTCCCGTTTATTTCTAGGCTAAGCAATTTAGACTGCAGGAAAAACCTACAAGAGGAAAATTAAAAGGAAGCTCTCTGGAATTTCTCCTATTAAAAATTCTGTAGTAGTATCTTGTTTCACAGCTTTAAGAAAAGTCAATTCTAGTTTCCTGGACATTTATTCCACACATGCGCAAAATTACATATGTACAAGACCGTATATGACAGCATTTTTTTTTCCAAAGAGCAAAGGGCTAGAAATAACCTAAGTGTCTATAATAGGAAGCTGGCTAAACTAATTATGGAAAATCCATACAACGGAATGCTATGTGCCAGAAGAAAGAATGAGGAAGTTCTTCATGTCTAATCTGTAAGTACTTCCAAAATATACTGTTAAATGGAAAAGGCAAAGTGCAGAAAGTGTGTATAGATTACTTCCATTTGTACAAGGGGGAGAGAATGTTTAAATATATATACGTATGTATATATGCATGTACTTGCATTTGCATAAAACATCTCTAACATCATGAAGAAACTTAACAGCGGTTACTTCATTAGAGAGAAAATAAATGGTAGAGGTGAAAGGTTTATCAGTTCTGCCCTTTTGTATATTTGAATCCTAAACCATGTAAATATATTACCTTTTCGAAAATCCAGTAATTAAATTGAAAGAAAATACGTTACTGAAGGATATTTATTTCCACTGCAAAGTGTTAGAAATACATTGTTAACCTTAAAAATAGCTGGTGTTGGCCGAGCATGGTAGCTCACGCCTATAATCCCGTCACTTTGGTAAGGCAGAGGCGGGTGGATCACCTGAGGTCAGGAGTTCGAGACCGGCCTCACCAATATGGTGAACCCCGTCTCTACTACAAATACAAAATTAGCCGGGCGTGGTAGCGCAGGCCTGTAATCCCAGCTACTTGGGAGGCTGAGGCAGGAGAATCGCTTGAACCCGGGAGGCGGAGGTTGCAGTGAGCCGAGATCGCGCCACTGCACTCCAGCCTGGGGCAACGACAGCGAAACTCCGTCTCAACAACAACAAAAACAGCTGGTGATAAAATAGTATTATAGCATACTTCCACTTTGTTTCAAAACCTAGATATTGAGTGGTCTTCGGGTGATAGAATGGTGAGCGATTTCTTTATTTGTGTTTTTCTACATTTTCTGTATTTCAGTTTTCAGTGGGATGGGGAAGATTGACTAGCAGATAACGTTTATTTAAAAGATCCTGAGAGAAAGCAGTAAAAGAAGATGTTACTCTTTCCCTGACCGGGAATCGAACCCGGGCCGCGGCGGTGAGAGCGCCGAATCCTAACCACTAGACCACCAGGGAAGCTGCTAACCCTTCCCGGTTGCAGCTATATGATTCTACTAAGTGCTGCGGTTCGTGCCTGTAACTGCTAAACACTGAAGCCAAAGTGGCCAGATTGCTGGAGCTCCTAGTTCGAGACCAGCCTGGGCAAAGTGGCAAACCCGGGCTCTATCAAAAGCACAAAAAAATTAGCCGGGCGTGGTGGCGCTTGCCTGTAGTCCCATCTACCCGAGAGGCCGGATCGCTTGAGCCTGGTAGGCGGAGGTTGCAGCGAGCCGTGATCGTGCCACTGCACTCCAACTTGATGACAGGGCCAGAGCCTTCCTCAAAAAAAAAAAAAAAATTACATTATTCTAACTAAAAGTTTATTTCCACTTATTCTTTTTCATATTATTTTTCACTGCCTAGATTCTGAGATTCTTGCATACTGGGCCTTTCCTATGTTGGGGCTTCTTCCCGGTACTTCTTTCCTGCAGTAGAAAACATTGTGAAAGAATTCTCCAGCCCGGCTCTCAGAGCCTAGGGAGCATCGTGTACACGTGATTACAGTCCCCAAGACCAGAGACCAATGTCCGGAGAGAAGAGGGTGAGACAGAGAGGAAGCTCACCTCCTTGTAGTTGCAGTGATTTCCGAAATTGTGAACATTAGAAAAGTAGAGACCCAGCTACGTCTTTGCCAAAAACAACCAGGAACTTTTCCTTAAGGAACATAAAAGACGTCATGCGAGTAACACTAGGAGATCCTGGGCCCACTGTACCTTTTTTCATGTCGTGTGAATTGTAGGCCAAACTGTTAAAACAAATATTACAGACGAGTGAAAATCACTCAGCCTAGAGGTACTTGGTGCTCAGCAGGATCTGAGCTCAACTCACTAGTGGGAGACTAAGAGAAACTCAGGGCCTTTAACCTTTAAAAATTACGAGGTCCCGGGCGCGGTGGCTAATGCCTGTAATCCCAGCACTTTGCGAGGCCGAGGCGGGTGGATCACGAGGTCAAGAGATCGAGATCATTCTGGCCAACATAGTGAAACCCCGTCTCTACTAAAAATACAAAAAGTAGCCGGCGTGGTGGCGGGCGCCTGTAGTCCCAGCTACTCGGGAGGCTGAGGCAGGAGAATCGTTTGAACCCGGGAGGCGGAGGTTGCAGTGAGCGGAGATTGCGCCATTGCACTCCAGCCTGGGCATCAAGAGTGAAACTTTGTCTCAAAAAAAAAAAAAAAAAAAAAAATTATGAGGAAGCCGGGCGCAGTGGCTCAGACGCCTGTAATCCCAGGACTTTGGGAGGCTGAGGCGGGTGGATTACCTGAGGTCAGAAGTTCGAGACCAACCTGGCCAACATGGTGAAATCCTGTCTCTACTAAAAATACAAAATTAGCCAGGCGTGGTGGCGCTTGCCTGTAATCCCAGGACTTTGGGAGGCTGAGGCGGGTGGATTACCTGAGGTCAGAAGTTCGAGACCAACCTGGCCAACATGGTGAAATCCTGTCTCTACTAAAAATACAAAATTAGCCAGGCGTGGTGGCGCTTGCCTGTAATCCCAGCTACTCGGGAGGCTAAGGCAGGAGACTCGCTTTAACCCAGGAGACGGAGGTTGCAGTGAGCCGAGATCACGCCATTGCACCCCAGCCTGGGCAACAAGAGCAACACAAAATAAAAATTGCGAGGAAGGAAAAGAGGGAGTGAAGAGAAAGAAAACTGGGGTGCATGCATTAATGTGTTGCAAGCTAACTTTATGAGCGAGAAAAGAAAGCAAATGCGGGCTGGATACAGTGGCTCAAGCTTGTAATCCCAGCACTTTGGGAGGCTGAGGCAGGTGGATTGCTTTGAGCTTAGGAGTTTGAAACCAGTCCGGGCAGCAGGGTGAAATCCTGTCTGTACCAAAAATTACAAAAAAAAAAAAAGAAAAAGAAAGAAAGAAATCTTAGTGAATTGTGTTTGCCATATTGTACTTTCAGCTTTTCTGTAAGCTTGAAGTTTTAAAAAATAAAAGGTTAAGAAAAAAATGAAACAATCAAAAGCCTCCCCTTCTGGTCTTTTTTGGTCAGATGACCCCAAGTGATGAATTCTGTGCCCATGAGTTCAAGCAGAAATTTTTAAAAGCAACCCCACTCCCCAAACACACTCTTACATCAGAAAATATTTTTGATAATGAATTTAAAAACTGAAAGATTGAATCATCAATGGTGTCTGTATATCAGCAAGGCCTGACAGAAAAAAAAAATGGATGGTGAGATACAGAGTTTGGGGGGATTATCATAGTTGTTGTTTTGAGACACGGTCCCACTTTGTTGCCCAGACTGTAGTGCAGTGCTGAGCTCCTACCTCAGCCTCCTGAGTAGCTGGGACTACAGGTTCCGGCCACCACACTCAGCTAATTTTGTGTCTGTGGTAGCAGAGATACTAGGCCTCACCATATTGCCCAGGTTGGTCTTAAACTCTTGGGCTCAAGCCATCCTCCCACCTCGGCCTCCCAAAGTGCTGGGATTACAGGCATAAGCCACGAAGCCTGGTCTTGTTTGGCTTCCAAAGTATCAATGTTAAAACGTTGTTCAAGAAACGTTGTTTAAATCTTCCACTCATCCAGTCTCCACTTTTCTATGGGTTTAAATGCCATAAAATAGGAAGACGAGTAACTAAATGCTAGACATTTATTTTCACAAAGACAACAAGAATCCTGTTGTCATGTCACCAAGGAGCCTAACAGAGCCCACTTCCTTTTACTCCAGCTGTTTTCACTGGACCAAGGCTGAAAAACAAAAAGCATCTAACCTTCAGAACAACATCTCAGGATCTTACCCAGAGTGGGGACAAGGCAGCAGAATTTATTTTTCTATGTTGCAGAGGAAATCAGCCTCCTGTTTTGGTCAACAGTACTTTTTCATCAATTATTCTGCCACCTGCTGGTAATTTTTTGTTAAGGACAGACCGAGGAAGGACAGACAGTATGAGCTATGGGAGCTAGCCACTTGTCTCAACATCAAAGTACCAGAAGGAATCTGGTCAAAGCACCAAGACAGGATTAAGCCTCCTCTTCTTGCCGGTAATGCATACCTAAAGTGGATGAGGAAGGAGTGTGGCTCATTTGCTTCACTCTGAGTTCTATTTTCCTTTTTTTTTTTTTTTTTTTGAGACAGAGTCTTGCTCTGTCGCCCAGGCTGGACTGCAGTGGCATGATCTCAGCTCACTGCAACCTCCACCCCTGGGTTAAAGCGATTCTCCTGCCTCAGCCCCCTGAGTAGCTGGGACTACAGATGCCCATCACCATGCCCAGCTAATTTTTGTATTTTTAGTAGAGACGGGATTTCACCATATTGGCCAGGCTGGTCTTGCACTCCTGACCTCAGGTGATCTGCCAGCCTCAGCCTCCCAAAGTGCTGGGATTACAGGCATGAGCCACCGCACCTGGCCTATTTTCCTTTTTAAAAACATTTACAGATCATGTGCCAGACGAGGTATTGAAAATCTAAAAATACACCTAAGCTGGGTGTTGTGGCTCATGCCTGTAATCCCAGCTACTTGAGAGGCTGAGGCACAAGAATTGCTTGAACCCCGGAGGTGGAGGATAGGGTGAGCTGAGATCATGCCACTGCACTCTAGGCTGGTGATAGTGCGAGACTCTGTCTCCAAACAACAGCAAAACACTTAAAGAGCTGAAAATCTAGTGTAAAACCAAATAAACAAGTGAATAAAAGAGAATGGATCAGGGAGGATTGAGTAGATGTGATCTTCCCTCGTCCTCCTCCCTGGACATTATATATAAGACAACCCTAAGAAGACTGAAATGTGGAGAGAAGGAGGTAGACCAGCTAGGAGCCCCAGAAACAAAGGCAGGACACAATGCTGATTTCTGTGGACTTTCTTTTTGCCTCATATATGCCATACTTGGAGCTAAAGAAACCAGCAACCTGGAAATCCCAATAGGAGCAGCCTAAAAATTCCCTAACAAAAGCCTGTTCTCTCTAGCCAAAGGATCAGGAATGAGGCAGTCTAGCAAAACAGAAAACTTTTAGACAATAATTGCACTATTCCAGCCAAATGCCACAGAAACAAACTGTGGCTTGTCCTCTCCTATTCTGGCAAAGACTGAATGGGGTGCCTAGACTTCCACCACCAGCAAGTCTATTAGGAATCATCCCTCTCTTTCCTGTTGGGGTGGTAGCAGAAGAAACTTAATAGAGAGTCAGGACTTTCACCCAAACTCAGTGAGTGGTAATGAGGCTACCCCCTAAGGAAAGAATCAGTGAACTGAAAGAACAGTAGAAATTACTCAATCTGGGTCAGGCGCAATGGCTCACGCCTGTAATCCCAGCACTTTGGGACACCAAAGCAGGCAGATCACTTGAGGCCAGGAGTTCAAGACCAGGCTAGCCAACATGGCAAAACCCTATCTCTACTAAAAATGCAAAAACAATTAGCTGGGTGTAGTGGCACACACCTATAATCCCAGCTACTTGGGAGGCTGAGGCTTGAACCTGGGAGGCAGAGGTTGTAGAGAGCGAAGATCGTGCCAGTGCACTCCAGCCTGTGCAACACAGTGAGACCCTGTTTCAAAAAAAAAAAAAAAACAACTCAATCTGAAAAACAAACAAAATAGACTGGGGGAAAAATGAGCAGAGAGCCTCAGGGACTTGTGAGATTATAACAAAAGATTTAGGCCAGGCACGGTAGCTCACGCCTGTAATCCTAGCACTTTGGGAGGCCAAGGCGGGCAGATCACCAGGTCAAGAGATCAAGACAATCCTGGCCAACACGGTGAAACCCCATCTCTACTAAAAATACAAAAAATTAGCTGGGCGTGTGCCTGTAGTCCCAGTTTCTGGGGAGGCTGAGGCAGGAGAATCGCTTTGAACCCGGGAGGCGGATGTTGCAGTGAGCCAAGATCGTGCCACTGCACTCCAGCCTGGCAACAGAGCGAGACTCTCTCTCAAAAAAAAAAAAAAAAAAAAAAGATTTAACATTTGCGACAGCAAATTTCCTGGAAGGAGAAGAGGAAGAGAACACGACAAAAAAAGTACCAAAGGATTTGGTACAGGGATAAACCTACAGATTCAAGAAGCTGAATGAACTCCTAACAGGATAAACCCAGACTACTTCAGGCCAAGACACATTGCAATAGTTTGGATGTTTGTCCCCTCCAAAACTTATGTTGAAATGTGATCCCCAATATTGGAGGTGGGGCCAAATGGGAGGTGTTTGGGTCATCAGGGTGGATCCCTCATGAATAGATTAATGTCCTCCCTCACCAGCAAATATGTTCTCACTCTTAGTTCCTGCAAGGGCTGGTTGTTAAAAAGAGCATGTCACCTAACCTCTTTTCTTTCCTCTTCTCTTGCCATTGATCTCTGCCCAAACCAACTTCTCTTCACCTTCCACTATGGTTGGGAGCAATCTGAGGCCCTTGCCAAATATAGATGCCCAATTTTGAACTTTCCAGCCATCAGAATCGTGACCCAAATAAACCATTTTTCTTTATAATTACCCAGCCCTCAGGTATTCCTTTATAGCAACACTAAATGAACTAAGACACACATCATAGTCAAACTGCTGAAGGCTAAAGACAAACAAAAAATATTGAATGCAGTGAGGGGAAAGCAATTTGAATAAAAGCAGATTTCTCTCTCTTTTTCTTTTTACTTATTTTGTTTTGTTGGGTTTTCTCCCATGTTCAACCAAGTTAGAAAGCCATTTTCTCATCAGAAGCCATGGAGGCCAGAGGGAAGTGGCACAAAATTGTTCAAGTGCTGCGGAAAAAGACTGTCAACTCAGATTGCTATATCCAGTGAAAACATCCTTTAAAAATGAAGGGGGTATGATTCAACAACAAAAAGACAAATAACCCACTGAAAAAATAAATATGTGAAAAAATGCTCAATGTCAACTGGGTGCGGTGGCTCACGCCTGTAATCCCAGCACTTTGGGAGGCCAAGGTGGGCAGATCACTTGAGGTCAGGAGTTCAAGACCAGCCTAGCCAACGTGGTGAAACTATACTAAAAATACAAAAATTAGCCGGGTGTAGTGGCACACACCTGTAGTCCCAGCTACTCAGGACGCTGAGGTAGGAGAATTGTTTGAACCCGGGAGGCGGAGGCTGCAATGAGCCAAGATTGTGCCACTGCACTCCAGCTTGGGGGACAGAGTGAGACTCAGTCTCAAAAAAAAAAAAAAATGTTCAATGTCATTAGTCATTAGGGAAATGCAAATAAAATCACAATAAGATAACACTTCACCACCAGAATGGCTATAATTTTTTAAAATGGAAAATAACAAGTGTTAGGATAGGGAGAAATTTGAATCCTCTTGTATTGCTGGTGGGAATGTAAAATGGCACACCTGCTGTGAAAAACAGTTTGGCAGTTCCTCAATAAGCTAAACATACAACTAAATATAGAATATGATTCAGTAATTTCACTCCTAGGTATATACCCCAAAGAACTGAAAACAAGCACTTAAAAAAATACTTGTACATGCATGTGGATAGCAGCACTATTTATAACAGTCAAAAAGTGGAAACAATCCAAATTCCATTAATAGATGAATGGCTAAATAAACTGTGGTATATAAATACAATGGCATATTATTCAGGCATAAGAAGGAATGAAGTATTGATACATACTACAACTTGTATAAGCCTCAAAACATTATGCTCAAGAAGCCAGACACGCCGGGCATGGTGGCTCACACCTGTAATCCCAGCACTTTGGGAGGCTGATACAGGTGGATCACGAGGTCAGGAGATCAAGCCCATCCTGGCCAACATGGTGAAACCCCATCTCTACTAAAAATACAAAAAAAAAAAAATTAGCTGGGCATGGTGGTGTGTGCCTGTAGTCCCAGCTACTCGAGAGGCTGAGGCAGGAGAATCGCTTGAACCTGGGAAGTGGAGGTTGCAGTGAGCAGAGATTGCGCCACTGCACTCCAGCCTGGCCACAGAGCAAGACTCTGTCTCAAAAAAAAAAAAAAAAAGCCGGACACAAAAGGTCACATAGTGTATTATTCCATTTATATGAAAGTCAAGAACAGGTATTAATAAATCTAGAGAGACAGAAAGCAGACTGGTGATGGCCAGAGGCTGAGGACTGACTGGCTAATAGGTACAGGATTTCCTTTCAGGGTGATGAAAATGTTATGGAACTAGATAGTGGTGATGTTTTGATGGTTGCACAACATTTTATTTTCTTTTTTCTTTTTCTTTTTTTTTTTTTTTTTGAGATGGAGTCTCGCTCTTGTCACCCAGCCTGGAGTGCAGTGGCACGATCTCAGCTCACTGCAACCTCCGCCTCCTGGGTTCAAGTGATTCTCCTGCCTCAGCCTCCCGAATAGCTGGGATTACAGGCACATGCCACCACACCCGACTAATTTTTCTTATTTTTAGTAGAGATGAGGTTTTGTCATGTTGGCCAGGCTGGTCTTGAACTCCTGACCTCAGGTGATCCGCCTGCCTCAGCCTCCCAATATGCTGGGATTACAGTCATGAGCCACCGCGCCCGGCCGACAAAATTTTCAATGTACTAAGCGCCACTGCATTGTATACATTAAAATAGTTAAAATTGTGAACTTTATGTTGTGTGTATTTTACTACAACAAAAAAATAATGAAGGGGGCCAGGTGCAGTGGCTCATATCTGTAATCTTAGCACTTTGGGAGGCCGAGGCAGGCGGCCGGGAGGTGGAGGTTGCAGTGAGCTGAGATCATGCTACTGCACTCTAGCCTGGGCAACATTGAGCATTGAGTGAGTGAGACTCCATCTAAAAAAAAAAGAAGAAGAAAGGAAAATCCTAGCAGGATTTTCTACAGATACAGACAAGATTATTACTATTACTATTATTATTATTATTTCCTTCGAGATGAGGTTTCACTCTGTCACCCAGGTGGAGTGCAGTGGCGGGATCTCAGCTCACCACAATCTCCACCTCCCAGGCTCAAGCGATCCTCCCACCTCAGTCTCCAGAGTAGCTGGGACCACAGGCGCATGCCACCACATCCAGCTAATTTTTTTGTATTTTTGGTAGAGACAAGGTTTCACCATGTTGGCCAGGCTGGTCTTGAACTCCGGAGCTCAGGCGATCCACCCACCTCGGCCTCCCAAAGTGCTGGAATTACAGCATGAGCCACGACCTTGTTTTAAAAATCTGTAACTTTAAGACAAGAGACCGGGCGCGGTGGCTCACGCCTGTAATCCCAGCACTTTGGGAGGCCGAGGCGGGCGGATCACGAGGTCAGGAGATCGAGACCATCCTGGCTAACACAGTGAAACCCTGTCTCTACTAAAAATACAAAAAATCAGCCGGGCGTGGTGGCGGGCGCCTGTAGTCCCAGGTACTCGGAAGGCTGAGGCAGGAGAATGGCGTGAACCCGGGAGGCGGAGATTGCAGTGAGCCGAGATCACGCCACTGCACTCCAGCCTGGGCGACAGAGCGAGACTCCGTCTCAAAAAAAAAAGACAAGATTATTCTAAAAGTTATATCAAAGGCAAAGAAGCGGACATAGCTAAAACAATTTTTAAAAATAATTAAATGAGGTTGGGCGCGGTGGCTGACACCTGTAATCCCAGCACTTTGGGAGGCCGAGGCGGGCAGATCACTTGAGGTCAGGAGTTGGAGACCAGCCTGGCCAACATGGCGAAACCCCGTCTCTACTAAAAATACAAAAATTAGCCAGGCGTGGTGGTGTGTGCCTGTAATCCCAGCTATTCGGCAGGCTGAGGCAGGAGAATCACTTGAGCCCAAGGCAGGGAGGTTGCAGTGAGCTGAGATCATGCCACTACACTCCAGCCTGGGCAACAGAGGGAGACTGTCTCAAAAAAAAAGAAAGAAAGAAAGAAAGAAGGAAAGAAAGAAAGAAGGAAGGAAAGAAGGAAGGAAGGGAGGGAGGGAGGAAGGAAGGAAAGAAAGAAAGAAAGAAAGAGAAAAAGAAAGAAAGAAAAGAAAAAAGAAGAGAAAAAGAATTACATGAATTAAAGACTGTGTGGTATTGGCAGAGGGATAAATATACAGATCAGTGAAACAATATAGAAAACCCAGTAGTAGACCCACACAAATATACCCAACTGATTTTTTTTTCTTTTTTTTCCAATGAGAAAATGCTAAAACAAGCAAAACTTCATGAAGGGACATCTCATCAAAGACGATATACAGATGGCAAATAAGCTCATAAAAATATTTTCTACATCATTAGCCATAAGGGAAATACAAATTAAAACCCAAATTAGATATCATTACACACCTATCAGAATGGCTAAAAAATTGTTGACGACATCAGCCAAGTGCAGTGGCTCACACCTATAATCCCAACACTTTGGAAGTCTGAGGGGGCAGATCACTTGAGGTCAGGAGTTTGAGACCAGCCTGGCCAACATGGTAAAACCCCACCACTACTAAAAATACAAACAATAGCCTGGCATGGTGGTGCACACCTGTGGTCCCAACTACTTGGGAGGCTGAGGTGGGAGGATCCCTTGAGCCCAGGAGGTGGAGGTTGCAGTGAGCTGAGATCACACCACTGCACTCCAGCCTGGGTGACAGAGTAAGATTCTGTCTCAAAAAAAAAAGAATCTTTGTTGGTAAATTCCTTCAGGTTTTGATGTGTTTGAAAATGTTTTACTTATTTTTAATTCTGGAATAATATTTTAGCTGAGTATGGAAGTCTAGGTTGGCAGTTACTATCTCTTGGCTTATCAGAGCCACACCACAACTGTATTCTCAACAAAAGAGAGATGACACACCACTCTGCTACCACAAAAATGACCAGATAATCCCCTCTTCAGACTAACATGAGTAACTAATGCTTTTTTCTCTTTACCAATTTGGGTTATAATCCTCTTGCTTCCTAGGTAAGAATTATTTAGACACCCAATCACTGAAACGCCCCCACTTCTTAACAGTATTCAATCCCAAATTAGTCCTCATTCAGAGTTTTAGAGACTAGGAAAAAACAAACAAACAACAAAATCAGCCCTCACTATTCTAAACTGTAGTTCAGAAATATCCAACAGAAGCTGAAACTCTATAAGAGGTTCCTTTTAACCTCTCCTTAGGGAAATGGTCCCATAATTCCTTTGGGGCATTCTCTCCCTTGCTACAGCAAGCCAGTAGATTTAACTTTTTTGACTACAGATTTGTTTCCAGTGGTGTTTAGTTAATGAGCTTTGACAAAGATAATGGTCAAATTTCTCCAATATCAATTGACTATGTGAAGAATATACATATATATACACACACACACACACACACATATTTGTGTGTGTGTATGTAATATATACATATTTATATAAGAACATATTGGCAGGGCGCAGTGGCTTATGCCTGTAATCCCAGCACTTTGGAAGGCCAAGGTGGGCGGATCACTTGAGCCCAGGAGTTCGAGACCAGCCTGGCCAACATGGCAAAACCCCATCTCTACTAAAAATACAAAATTAGCTGAGTGTGATGACACATGCCTGTAATCCTAGCTACTCAGGTGGCTGAGGCATGAGAATCACTTGAACCCAGGTGGCAGAGGCTGCAGTGAGCCGAGATCTCTGGGTGACAGAGGGAGACCCTGTCTCAAAAGAAAAAGAAAAGAAAGAACGAACCCAGGTCATTTGTCCTGTAGAGTATTCACAAAGTCTGAATTTGCACCTTTGAGTTACCACTTAATGTCTCCTGTATTTCCTGTAAATTAGTAGTTAGCTCTAATCAGATTCAGACTGGTTTGTTTGTTTGTTTGTTTGTTTGTTTGTTTTTGGTATGGCTACTTCATGCAAGGTGGAGTTATGTACTCTATGATCAGGAAAACATGTTTATCTCTGTTTTCATGATGAATAACAGCCACTGTTTTTTTGTTTACGTAGAGATGGGCTCTTACTATGTTGTCCAGGCTGGTTTTGAACTCCTGGGCTTAAGCAATCCTCCCACCTCAGCCTCCCAAAATGCTGGGATTACAGGTGTGAGCCACTGTGCCCTGCCACAGTCATTGTTGACCATTGCCTAGATATATTAATTCATTTGGATTTACAAAATGTTGATATTCTAATTATATTATCCCTTCTTCAATTATTTACTGGAATGCTTCTATAAAGAGAAATTTCCCCCTCATCTTGAGATACAGTTCCCAAAAGAAAACCAGGATAAATACTTGATTCTTTCCAATTACCAGCAGTTTTTAAAATAATGAGTTGATCTGCCAGCATTCTCCAACAATGACCAATGGGTTTGTATTTTTAAGTATCATTGTGAATTCATGGATTTAAACATATTTTATGAATTTCAATCCATTGCAGATAGTATCCATTTTGATACTTAAATTGCCCCATCTTTGGCCAATGGGAACTATTCTAGTTGGCTCCTAAGTTCTTTTATTACAATCCTAACACTCTTTGAAAGCTTCCTTGCCTATCTTGGACAATACCTGCCCCAAACCTGAAATCAGCCACTTATCCAAGGAGTTGTTTGTTGGTCCCTTTTAACAGAAAATGGTATTTACATAGCACAATTTGAGTACTAGAGGTGTTTATTTTTACTGGATCATTGTTTCCAGGCCTTTTTAGGGTAAAGCTAGGAAAATTTTAAGGATAAAATAAACCATGAGTTCAGAGTTATATTTGCAATTTAAATTCAGAATTACGGAGTTTTCTCTTAACTTCATCAATCGTAAATATGTATCTCTTTATTCCACCCCAAAAATTCTGGTTCTCAGAGACACTAACATTATTAATCATTTGTTTTATCTCATAACTAAAATAATCTCAGAATAACAATACCAACACTAACACCATAATATGGCTATTTAAAAATATTTTTGCATTTATTTTCTGGCATTATAGTATATCCCACTTAGGCTGTCATAGTCAAATTATTATGTTTTAAAGTCACTTGAATAGTTTGGTTAGAAGCATTTTACATTTCTATAATGAAACTGCTTGTGATATGGCCTCTAATGGTTGAGAAATATTTGTCATATATATATACCTGAGAAGTATATATTTGACAAAAATATTTGTCATATATATACCTGAGAAGAGTGCTATGAGGGCCTCTAGACTCTGTATTAAAATAGAGCCAACTGGTAAAGATGGCTTAGTGATTGTGTTGGTTATTACTGAGTGTCAATTTGATTGGATTGAAGGATACAAAGTATTGATCCTGGGTGTGTCTGTGAGGGTGTTGCCAAAAGAAATTAACATTTGAGTCAGTGGGCTGGGAAAGGCAGATCCACCCTTAATCTGGGTGAGCACAATCTAATTCACTGCCAGCACAGCTAGAATAAAAAGCAGGCAGAAAAATATGAAAGGAGAGACTGGCCTAGCCTCCCAGCCTACATATTTCTCCCATGCTGGATGCTTCCTGCCCTTGAACATCAGACTCCAAGTTCTTCAATTTTGAGACTGAGACTGGCTCTCCTTGCCCCTCAAGCTTGCAGACAGCCTACTGTGGGACCCTGTGATTGTGTAAGTTAATACTTAATAAATTCCCCTTTATTTATATATCTACCTATATAGATATCCATATCTATATAGATATTAATAAATCTAGAGAGACAGAAAGCAGACTGGTGATGGCCAGTCTAGATGGCTAGATAGATAGACATGGATATAGATATAGATCTCTATATAGATAGAGGTAGATACAGATATAGATATATGCCCTATTAGTTCTGTTCCTCTAGAGAACCCTAATACAGTGACCGTATTTGGAATCGGTCCTTCTGTTAATTTCACTTGGCAAGTACTAAAAGATGATGATCTCAGATATACCTATGGCTGCAAAAACATGACATGGCTAAATCCCTTGGTTGCAGTATCTCTTTTCTTTTTTAAGGGGGGTGGGGGGGCGGGTCTCACTGTTGCCCAGGCTGGAGTGCAATGGCGTTATCATAGCTCACTGCAGCCTCAAACTCCTGCGCTCAAGTGACCCTCCTGCCTCAGCTCCCAAAGTGCTGAGATTTTGCAATATTTATGGTCACAAGATTATGTTATTCCATAAAAGTATCTTTCTGAGGCTAGGCATGTTGGTTCACACTTGTAATCCCAGCACTCTGAGAGGCTGAGATGGAAGGATTCATTGAGGCAAGGAGTTCAAGACCAGCCTGGTCAACATAGTGAGACCTCATCTCGGAAGGAAGGAAGGAAGGAGGGAGGGAGGGAGGGAGGGAGTGAAGGAAGGAAGGAAGGAAGGAAGGAAGGAAGGAAGGAAGGAAGGAAAAGTATATTTTTGAATCTTTTTCTATTTCTCCAACTCTTTCTTTAGAAGAATTCTATTTCCATTCTTTCTTCACCTCTTTGCCTTTGTTAGCCTTCTCTCCAAGCAAATCGGGAGCCTTTATTTTTTGTGTATTCATGAGGGAGAGGAAGATGAATTGCTGTACAAACTAAAGTAATGAAAATGGAGTAGGTAGGAGGATAGACAGCTGCAAGGATCTGAGCTGGATAGACTGAACAAACCCTCATCCTAAGCAACTCACAGCTCAGATTTCTTCTCTGGACAGCTGGCTTTTTTCGTCCTTCTGAAATACTCTGCAAAGATAGGAGAGGGGCTATGAACTACCTCTGCTATGGATCTTATTCAAAGTCAGCTACCTCCTAGATACTATCTGTAGAACCTAAATGTAATATTCAGCATAGCAGGGATGAACATGGTAAATGAAAGGTATCCAATTGCCCACTGTAATTTTTAAAGGCCAGGAGCTCAACATTATTGAAAATGCTGGAGGGCTGCCTGGAGTAGGCAGTGACCACAGAGTCACACAAGCTGGAATTGGATATCCAACTTGTCTGTCATATTTCTCTCCTCCCTCCCTGACTTGGCACTCAATACTCCATATTCTTTCTAATCCTCTAACCCTCCCCACTCCCCCAACTCCCACACCCTACCCCCACCAACGTTCCTGGAATTTTGGACTTAGCTATTTTTAAAACCGTCAACTCAGTAGCCACCTCCCTCCCTGCTCAGCTGTCCAGTACTCTGGCCAGCCATATACTCCCCCTTCCCCCCATACCAAACCTTCTCTGGTTCCCTGACCTCAGTGAGACAGCAGCCGGCCTGGGGACCTGGGGGAGACACGGAGGACCCCCTGGCTGGAGCTGACCCACAGAGTAGGGAATCATGGCTGGAGAATTGGATAGCAGAGTAATGTTTGACCTCTGGAAACAGTAAGTCAAAATGAAATTGCAATTCCTTTAATAAGCTTTTATATTGAAGTTAGACTTTTATAAAATTACAAACACCTACTTGGATGTCTCTCGTCCAAATGCTGGGATCTCTCCCTACCAAGGTGCCCCAATCTCCATTTCTCTTTCTGTCTTATTTCTTTCTGGCCTCTGGCCTCTAGCTTTTTGAAGTTTAATTCTCTGTCTCTCCTCTGGCAGTCTTAGCCCTCTCTTTACCTTATTACCTCAAGACTCCTGATGAAGTTTTAGAAGGAGTTCCCTACGTCCTCTATTCTGTAGTTTTCTTACCAAGGCCAAATATGACCTCAGATGATGAGTCACTGATACCCTTCTATCCTGCCCCCACTTAGCAATGCCCTTCACATTGAGATTCCAAGCATGGGGGCTGCTCCCTGTAAATGATTTCTCCCCACAACTCTAGTCCCTCCATTCTATTCTCCCTCTTGCAGGACTCTTCCCCCAATCATATCCTTACCCATAAGATAGGGGAGTTAGGCAGGAGGGATTTAGCCCCTCTCCAACTCCTGTCATCATAAAAGACTGAGAACTTCAGAATTTGAAAAGAAGAGATTAATGGAAGGAGTGATATTTGGGAAAATACAAGAACTGTTGACTTAGAAAAAACAAATATTGATTTGCATGTTTGGTTTGCATCCCATTATTCCATGAGAGAGGGAGATTAAAATTGCAGCTCTCTAGAGCTGATGAAAAGAGATTGGTTTCCTTTTCATTTGAATACTGATATTCTAGACGGGATGGGTATGCCACCCTTAATCCTTCTTGTGTTCTGACACAAAGGAGGAAAAGAAATGTATGACTCCTAGAGGGCATCTCCTCCTAATGGAGAGGGACAAATAAGAAGTATGTTTCTGAAATATTTTCAGGTCCTAATTTTACTAGGGTACCCACTAGGATTACTGGTATCTGATCTAGCCCCATGATTCCTCCATCTTTGACATACCTGCTGTTTGGTAGCTCAGAATGGAGCAATACAGTGGACTCTGCCCCCTTGAGTTCACTCAACCTTCCCTCCACCCCCACCTAGGGGTATTGCACAAGGGCCCTAAAAGTGGCCACAGGAACAGGGCAAAGAGGCTTAACTGCCACACTTATAGTTTGAGGAACTCCAATCTCCCCAAATTCCAGTCTGTTCATCCTTTTCTTGATCTCCCCAGATTCACTCCACATTATCCTTACCAATCTTCAATTCTTCTCTCTCTCCATGTCCAGCCAAATTTCTTTTTTCAGTCACTTACAGGGCTTCCGGTCAAAATTCACTAGGTAGGAGGGTCATCAGCTGGGAAGAACCGGCGCCTGGGAAACCTGGCTGGATAGGTATGGGGGAGCCAGGCCAGTCCCCTAGTCCCAGGTCCTCCCATGGCAGTCCCCCAACTCTAAGCACTCTCACTCTCCTGCTGCTCCTCTGTGGACATGGTAAGGAAGGGCCAGGGAAGGGTTTGGGGAAATCTAGAGGGTAGGCTGCTATGTAGGGGTGGGCATGTGAGCCTGAATGAGTGAGGAGAGATAGGCGCTGAGAGTCCCGATCACTCGCCCTGCTCTCAAATACTAATATTTTATTTCCCGTTCAGTCTGGGGAAGGCCACTGGGGAAGCCCTTGGTCGACAGGCAGAAGAGATGTGGCAGGCTTACACACTTTTAGTAAGACAGCCGAGAGAACTAGGGACTAGGGGGTTGGGGGCTGGGGAAGGCCCTTAGTTAGGTTTTAGGAAGGCTGGAAACCCCTGATGAGATTTGGAAGAGTTATGAGCAAACTACACTCCGATAGAGCAGAGGTCTGAGGACCGTCTCACAATCCTCTCCCTTCTGTCTTTAGCTCATTCTCAATGCAAGATCCTCCGCTGCAATGCTGAGTACGTATCGTCCACTCTGAGCCTTAGAGGTGGGGGTTCATCAGGAGCACTTCGAGGAGGAGGAGGAGGAGGCCGGGGTGGAGGGGTGGGCTCTGGCGGCCTCTGTCGAGCCCTCCGCTCCTATGCGCTCTGCACTCGGCGCACCGCCCGCACCTGCCGCGGGGACCTCGCCTTCCATTCGGCGGTACATGGCATCGAAGACCTGATGATCCAGCACAACTGCTCCCGCCAGGGCCCTACAGCCCCTCCCCCGCCCCGGGGCCCCGCCCTTCCAGGCGCGGGCTCCGGCCTCCCTGCCCCGGACCCTTGTGACTATGAAGGCCGGTTTTCCCGGCTGCATGGTCGTCCCCCGGGGTTCTTGCATTGCGCTTCCTTCGGGGACCCCCATGTGCGCAGCTTCCACCATCACTTTCACACATGCCGTGTCCAAGGAGCTTGGCCTCTACTGGATAATGACTTCCTCTTTGTCCAAGCCACCAGCTCCCCCATGGCGTTGGGGGCCAACGCTACCGCCACCCGGAAGGTCAGGCACTCAATCTTCCTTCCGATCCACCTCATGAGATTCTTCCACGGGCACCATTCCTCCCCATCCCCACTATTCAACAGCAATGCTCCCTAATTCCCTTTTCTTCCTCAACCTCTCCCCCATCTCGAATCACTCCCTTCTACCAAACACCTGGAGCTGTAAATCACTTCCCCTTGATGGGAATTTGACTCAAATGCAGAAAACCTTGAAGAGACAGTCGGAGAGGGCGGACCTGAGGAGTTTCAGAAGGGAAACTTTTCCCTCTCCTAGGAAGTTGCCACGATTAAGTAGAGAGGGGGTTAAGTAGGGATGAGGTAATACTGGAACATAAATAGGAGAAGGGATCAAGGATTGAGGGCCATAGTAGTCCTGCATCTCTACTTGGATCAGATCTCTAACTATGTATGAGGTCTGATTGGGGGGAAGATGCACTGAACCCAAAATGAACTGTTTTCCCTCTTGTCCTCACAGCTCACCATCATATTTAAGAACATGCAGGAATGCATTGATCAGAAGGTGTATCAGGCTGAGGTGGATAATCTTCCTGTAGCCTTTGAAGATGGTTCTATCAATGGAGGTGACCGACCTGGGGGATCCAGTTTGTCGATTCAAACTGCTAACCCTGGGAACCATGTGGAGATCCAAGCTGCCTACATTGGCACAACTATAATCATTCGGCAGACAGCTGGGCAGCTCTCCTTCTCCATCAAGGTAGCAGAGGATGTGGCCATGGCCTTCTCAGCTGAACAGGACCTGCAGCTCTGTGTTGGGGGGTGCCCTCCAAGTCAGCGACTCTCTCGATCAGAGCGCAATCGTCGGGGAGCTATAACCATTGATACTGCCAGACGGCTGTGCAAGGAAGGGCTTCCAGTGGAAGATGCTTACTTCCATTCCTGTGTCTTTGATGTTTTAATTTCTGGTGATCCCAACTTTACCGTGGCAGCTCAGGCAGCACTGGAGGATGCCCGAGCCTTCCTGCCAGACTTAGAGAAGCTGCATCTCTTCCCCTCAGATGCTGGGGTTCCTCTTTCCTCAGCAACCCTCTTAGCTCCACTCCTTTCTGGGCTCTTTGTTCTGTGGCTTTGCATTCAGTAAGGGGACCATCAGTCCCATTACTAGTTTGGAAATGATTTGGAGATACAGATTGGCATAGAAGAATGTAAAGAATCATTAAAGGAAGCAGGGCCTAGGAGACACGTGAAACAATGACATTATCCAGAGTCAGATGAGGCTGCAGTCCAGGGTTGAAATTATCACAGAATAAGGATTCTGGGCAAGGTTACTGCATTCCGGATCTCTGTGGGGCTCTTCACCAATTTTTCCAGCCTCATTTATAGTAAACAAATTGTTCTAATCCATTTACTGCAGATTTCACCCTTATAAGTTTAGAGGTCATGAAGGTTTTAATGATCAGTAAAGATTTAAGGGTTGAGATTTTTAAGAGGCAAGAGCTGAAAGCAGAAGACATGATCATTAGCCATAAGAAACTCAAAGGAGGAAGACATAATTAGGGAAAGAAGTCTATTTGATGAATATGTGTGTGTAAGGTATGTTCTGCTTTCTTGATTCAAAAATGAAGCAGGCATTGTCTAGCTCTTAGGTGAAGGGAGTCTCTGCTTTTGAAGAATGGCACAGGTAGGACAGAAGTATCATCCCTACCCCCTAACTAATCTGTTATTAAAGCTACAAATTCTTCACACCATCCTCTGTTGCCTATGTTGAATCTCTTTACAGATGCTTGAAATGGAGTAAATGCAATGTGTTCACTCCACTGAAAGAGGGCTCGGAAGTATCAGATACTGTTGCTATCTCAGGGAGTTTACAGGCTATTGGAGAGACAAAACCAATTCACATGAAAGAGTGATGAGTGTGTAATTATTCACTAAATCCTACAGTATGGTACATTCAGATGGGAAGATGGTAGATTTGAACTAAAGTAATAAGAATAATAAAAGGTAACAGA
This sequence comes from Homo sapiens, assembly GCF_000001405.40. Lineage (NCBI taxonomy): Eukaryota > Metazoa > Chordata > Mammalia > Primates > Hominidae > Homo > Homo sapiens. Next base: position 146,017,208 of record NC_000001.11, on the reverse strand, counting down.
GAAGATGGGATTTGAAGTGAGCTTTGAAGACTGGGTAAGATTCAAATTGTTAACGATCTTCCAGGCAATGAAAACCATCTGGAGTTATGCATGGATTCATGATTCAGCAAGGAAATGAGCAAAACTCAAATGCAGTAGACAAGGAGTAATGGGACAGAAGGTTAGATGGGCAGAGGCCAGATTATGAAGCACCTTAAAAAGGGGGTAAGGGGTTTAAATTTGATTAATATCTAACACTTATTGAAGCTTAAAATCTGCCAGGCAATGTTTTAAACACTTTTAAAACATTGACTTAATTCTCATAGCTCTCTAAGGAAGGTGGTATTCTTATCTCTATTTTTATATAAGGAAACTTGCCTCCAGTCACACAGCTAACAAATTATGGAACTTGCCTCCAGTCACACAGTTAACAAATGGCAGAGCCAGAAACTGAACCTATGCCGTTTGGATCCCGAAACTTAATTTTTAATCACTATACTATATTGTCAAGGAAGCAGAGAGCCATTAAAGATTCTGGTTGTGGAGCTGGTAAAGATTCTAAAAGGGGAGTTGTGGTGGTCAATGTCACCACAAAAGCTACTCTGAGGCTGGGCGCGGTGGCTGACACCTGTAATCCAGCACTTTGGTAGGCCAATGTGGGTGGATCACTTGAGGCCAGGAGTTCGAGACCAGCCTGGGCAACATGGTAAAACCCCATCTCTACTAAAAATACAAGAAATTTGCCAGGCATGATAGTCCATGCCTGTAATCCTGTAATCCAAGCTACTCAGGAGGCAGAGGCATGAGAATCGAGAATTGCTTGAACCCGGGCCAGGAGGCAGAGGTTGCAGTGAGCTGAGACCACGCCACTGCACTCCAGCCTGGGCAACAGAGTGAGACTATCAAACAAAAAACAACTACTCTCTTCTCATATTCTCATATAAAGCCAAAAAGAGAGAGTTGGAAAAGGAGGGAAAGCCCAAAGTTGAAGGAATCTAGTTTGTAGAAGAAAGACTGAGAAGAAATGCTGTTCTAGATGAGGGTGCTCTAAAGTAACAATGCTGCTCTGAACAAAATTATGAAGGAGGTAACTTTTACATTTAATATCTTCCCTGTTTCTGGTCTCATCCTCCCCTCTCAGGTACTCCATAACCGAGGACCTGTCCTCCCTGCCCTAATCAAGTACTCACCATTATCTTCCACCTCTCCTCTCAGTCCCTGACACCCGACAATACTCCCCTGAACAAATATTACAGTAGGGCCCTTTGTATCTACTAATTCTGCATCCACAGATTCAACCAACCACGCACTGAAAATATTTGGGAAGTAGCCGAGCGCAGTGGCTCACACCTGTAATCCCAGCACTTTGGGAGGCTGAGGCGGGTGGATCACAAGGTCAGGAGTTTGAGACCAGCCTGACCAACATGGTGAAACCCCATCTCTACTAAAAATACAAAAAATTAGCCAGGTGTGCTGGTGGGAGCCTGTAGTCCCAGCTATTCGGGAAGCTGAGGCAGGAGAATGGCGTGAACCCCGGAGGCGGAGCTTGCCGTGAGCGGAGATCGCGCCACTGCACTCCAGCCTGGGCGACAGAGCGAGACTCCGTCTCAAAAAAAAAAAAAAAAAAAAGTAAATAAGGCTAGCTCTAAGCCCGCGCGAAGGAAGAGTATTACATGACAGGTGTCATCAAAGAATTTCACTTACCACTTGGCTGTGAAATTCTTTTTTTTTTTTTTTTTTTTTTGAGACGGAGTCTCGCTCTGTCGCCCAGGCTGGAGTGCAGTGGCGCAATCTCGCAATCTCGGCTCACTGCAAGCTCCGCCTCCCGGGTTCAGGCCATTCTCCTGCCTGAGCGTCCCGAGTAGCTGGGACTACAGGCGCCCGCCACCACGCCCAGCTAATTTTTTTGTATTTTTAGTAGAGACGGGGTTTCACCGTGTTGGCCAGGATGGTCTCGATCTCCTGACCTCGTGATTCGCCCGCCTCGGCCTCCCAAAGTGCTGGGATTACAGGCGTGCGCCACCGCGCCCAGCCGAAATTCTTCTCAATTCACTTGAAATTCCCACACCTGAGGGATAAAGTTACTCTTTTAAGAGAACCAATACAAAGAGTATTTCTTCAAAAGGATGTTTTGAGTTAAAATACCTATATTTTCTGTGAAGTGAAGAGACAGCCCTGGATATGTCTCTTCCCCCAATTTTTTTTTCTTCATTACAACACATTATTTTCTCCATTAGCTAAAGGTTACTTTGGAAAGCATAGAGACAGTGCTTTGAGGGAATGGCAGAATGGCTGTGGTCCTTAAAAGAGGTGGAGAGGAGGGAATAGAGGATAAAGAATTGCAGGAGAAATTTGAAATGGCAGACCAGATACGTCTCGAACTCCTGGCCTCAAGTGATCTGCTCGCCTCAGCCTCCCAAAATGCTGGGATTATAGGCATGAGCCACCATGCCCAGCCCAACTAGCCCTATTATTAATGGAGCATTTTTAAATAGGTAGCTCAAAATAAGCATATGAAAAGATGCTCAACATCATTAGTCACTGGGGAAATACAAATCAAATGAAAACAACAATGAAAAAATACTACATACCCACTAGAATGGTTAAAATGGAAAAGACTGTTAAATAAAATACAAAATGTTAGGAAAATGTGGAGCTTTCATGTGCTGTTGGTGGGAATGTAAAATGGTACAACTACTTTGTAAAACAGTTTGGCAGTTCGTTAAAAGGTAAGTGTACACTTACCATACAAACCAGACATTCCAAACTTAGGTACTGACCCAAGAGAAATGATAACATGTGCTGCACAAAAACTTATATACAAATGCTTATAACAGTTTTATCTGTAATAACCAAAAACTGGAAACAACTCAATGTTGAAATGGTGAATGGATACACCAACTGCAGTAAATTCACATAATTGAATACACAGCAATAAAATGAAATTAATTCCTGATATACACAACATGGATAAATCTCAAAGTAATTATGCAAGTGAAAAAAGCTGTTGCCCCGCAAAAAAAAAAAAAGAGTATATACCATCTGCTTCCATTCATATCAAATTATTAAAAATCTTCAGCAGATCATGGACTGTAAAAATATATAAAATGTTAGCAAACATATAGTGAGAAAAGGTGATCAATGGTTGCTTAAGGAATGGGCAGAGTGAAGGAGGGATGGCTTACAAAGGGGCATGAAGTAGGCCGGATGCGGTGGCTCACACCAGCAATCCCAGCATTTTGGGAGGCTTAGGAGGGTGGATAACTTGAAGCCAGGGGTTTGAGACCAGCCTGGCCAACATGGCAGAACCCTGTCTCTAATAAAAAGCCCTGTCTCTACTAAAAACCCTGTCTCCACTAAAAACCCTGTCTCCACTAAAATGCCCTGTCTCTACTGGGTGTGGTAGCATGAGCCTGAAATCCCAGTTACTCAGGAGGCTGAGGCACAAGAATCGCTTGAACCCAGGAGGTGGAGGTTGCACAAAGCCGACATCACGTGACTGCACTCCAGCCTACGCGATACAGCAAGACTCTGTCTCAAAACAACCCAAAGGGGCATGACGAAACTCATGGGGGTGATAGATATGTTCATCATTTTGATTGTGACAGTGGTTTCATGGATATATATATATATTTGTATATGTCAAAACCCATGAAATGACACACCTTAAATATGTACAATTTATCATACACCAAGTATACGTCAATAAAGCTGTAGTTTTTTTTTTTTTTAATTGAGTAGCACATCTTTCTCTCTTTTCTTGGTAGATCAGACAAAAGGCTTAGAATGACCATAGCATGACAAGGAAGATTACAACAGAGACTTTTCTTCTTCTAGGAAACATACAAAAGAAGAGGATAACAGAACAAAGGAAAGACCTTATTTAGTGATTTTATATTCTCCGCTACTCCTATGACAAGGACCACATTCCTTCCTCCAGAATGTCATTCTCAAAGTCAGAGACCACAGAAAGGAGATTTTCCGATTTAAGAACATCAACCCTGTGAATCATAATTCTGTCTTTCCACTTCACCAAGAGTCAGCAGGTGGTGCTAGTGACTAAAAAGTGACTTGGCAGACAATGAGGCAAGTTTCCAGGAAAAGAAAAATTATCGTCTAAGATTATCTGATATGTTGACCATTTGAAAGAAAATATTAATAGGCATTTGCCAGAATTGACATTTAGGAAATAAACTGAAGATAGGTACATAGTAAACAAAGTAAAATTTTAAATAAATTATAATTTAACAATAAAGGGTTGTTCAAGACATGAAACAATCAATATATACTACTTGGCTCCTCAATGGATATCATTTACACAGTAATACTAATGTAAACACTGACTATTGATTCAGCCAGAACTATGCTATAACTTTCTATTGGGAGGATGAGGTAAGGGGAAAGGAAAGGTGGGAATATAGCATGATGTAAGAGTTAAAATTTCAATTACTATAACCATAAGAGAGTAGATATGTCTAATATTTATTTTGTTTCCTTTTTTTTTTTTTTTTTTGAGACAAGAGTCTCTCACTGTTGCCCAGGCTGGAGTGCAGTGGCGCAATCTCAGCTCACTGCAACCTCTGCATCCCGGGTTCAAGCGATTCTCCTGCCTCAGCCTCCCAAGTAGCTGCGACTACAGGCATGCACCACCAGGCCCGTCTACTTTTTGTATTTTTAGTAGAGATGGGTTTCACCATGTTGGTCAGGCTGGTCTCAAACTCCTGACCTCAAGAGATCCATCCACCTCAGCCTCTCAAAATATATATGTAATGTTAGCACATATATAGTGAGAAAAGGAGCTCAATGGTTGCTTAAGGGATGGGCAGAGAGGAGGAGGGATGGCTTACAAAGGGGTATGAAGCAGGCTCTGTCGCTCTCGCTGTATCGCCAGACTGGAGTGCAGTGGCCCAATCTCAGCTCACTCTATCCTCCATCTCCCGGGTTCAAACAATTCTCATGCCTCAGCCTCCCAAGTAGCTGGGATTACAGGCGTGAGCCACCACACCCAGCCTAGTTGTATTTTTATATTTTCAACACCTAGTCTGGCACATGATCTGTAAATGTTTTTAATAAGGAAAATAGTCCAGGCACGGTGGTTTACGCCTGTAATCCCAGCACTTTGGGAGGCCAAGGCTGGCGGATCACCTGAGGCCAGGAGTTCAAGACCAGCCTGGCCAACATGGGAACCCCATCTCCACTAAAAATACAAAAATTAGCCCAGCGTGGTGGCGTGGGCCTGTAGTCCCAGCTATTTGGAAGGCTGAGGCAGGAGAATCACTTGAACCCAGGAGGTGGAGGTTGCAGTGAGCTGAGATTGCGCCACTGCACTCCAGTTTGGGTAACAGGGCAAGACTCTCTCTCAAAAAAAAAAAAAAAAAAGAAAGAAAGAAAAGAAATATGAAGTGCATACCAGATGAAAAAGCTGAAAGAGGCAGGGTGCAGTGGCTCATGCCTGTAATCCTAGGCATGGATTTAAGAGGCCTAGGTAGATGGATCCCTTGAGCCCAGGAGTTCAAGACCAGCCTGGGCAACACAGCAAAACCCTGTCTCTACAAAATATATAAAAATTAGCTGGGCATGGTGGTATGTGCCTGTAGTCCCAGATACTTGGGAGGCTAAGGCAGGAGGTACACCTGAGCCCAGAAAGTCAAGGCTGCAGTGAGCCATGATCATGCCACTGCACTCTGGCCTGGGTGATAGAGTGAGATCCTGTCTCAAAAACAAGGGGGCGGGGGCCGGGTGTGGTGGTTCATGCTTATAATCCCAGCCCTTTGAGAGGCCAAGTGGGGGGAAGATCACTTGGGCCAGGAGTTCAAGACCAGCTGGCCTACATGGTGAAACCTCATCTCTACTAAAAATACAAAAATTAGCCAGACGTGGTGGTGTGGGCCTGTAATCCCAGCTATTTGGGTAGCTGAGGCAGGAGAATTGCTTGAAGCTAGGAGGTGGAGGTTGCAGTGAGCCGAGATCGCACCACTGCACTCCAGCCTGGGGCTGAGATTGCCCCACTGCACTCCAGCCTGGGTGACGGAGTGAGATCCTGTCTCAACAAAAAAAAAAAAAAAGAAAGAAAAAGAAAAAGGGGCTTGGGCTTGAGGACTGCTGTTTTTTGTAAAATCATTTAATATCATGTGATTTTTAACTACATGTTACATTACATTGATTAAAAAGAGGAGCATTTGGCTGGGCGCAGTGGCTCATGCCTGTAATCCTAGCACTTTGGGAGGCTGAGGTGGGAGGATCACCTGAGGTCACGAGTTCAAGATCAGCCCGGTAAACATGGTGAAACCCCGTCCCTACTAAAAATACAAAAATTAGCTGGGCATGGTGGTGCATGCCTGTAATCCCAGCTACTTGGGAGGCTGAGGCAGGAGAATCGCTTGAACCCAGGAGTCCGAGGTTGCAGTGAGCTGAGATTGTGCCACTGCAGTCCAGCCTGGAGACACAGTGAGACTCCCTCTCAAAAGAAAACCCAAAAAACAAAAAGAGGAGCATTTCTGGGCAGGTGCAGTGGCTCACGCCTATAATCCCAGCATTTTGGGAGGCCAAGGCGGGTGGATCACTTGAAGTCTGAAGTTTGAGAGCAGCCGCGGACATGGCAAAACCTGACTCTACTGAAAATACAAAAATTAGCCGGGTGTGGTGGCTGGCACCTATAATCCCAGCGGCTTGAGAGACTTAAGCAGGAGAATCACTTGAACCGGGGAGGCGGAGATTGCAGTGAGCCAACATCATGCCACTGCACTCCAGCCTGGGCAACAGAGTGAGACTTCATTCCCCACCCTCAAAAAAAAAAGGGAGCATTTCCACCTTGGCCTGAGCTTTTTCCCCTTAACTTTGTGGCCATCTCAACCACTTCTCAGATCAAACAAACACCTCCCTCCCTACTATACTCCACCCTATGTACTTCATGGCAAGTTCCTTCCCACATTTCTTCTCAAGGAAACAGATAGTAGCCATGGCCCAGTAATTATAGTTTTCAAAATCAGTGCCAGGAAACCATACCAGCACTAAGGAAGGGAAAGAAGACATAAAACTAGGAAATAAAAGGCCTTCCTCAATTTTTCTGTGTACTCCCAAACCAAATTACTAATCATTTTTCCAACAATTAACAGAAGAAATAAGTTACATATGTTTCCTCAGATAAAAGTTATATAAGTGGAGGGTGGGCTTTGAGAAACTGAAAAAGAAAAACCAGGAAGAATAACTAGATTCTACCTCCAATACAGGGCGATTTTGGAATCATTCTTTGCTATTGGTTCAAAGAACTAATTTTTTTTTTTTTTTTTGAGACAGGTTCTCACTTCATCACCCAGGCTGGAGTGCAGTGGCTCAATATTAGCTCACTGCAGCCTTGACCTCCTAGATTCAAGCAATCCTCCTGTCTCAGCCCCCTAAGTAGCTGAGACTACTGTGCTAGCCACCACTCCCATCTAATTTTTTGTTTTTTGTATTTTTTTGTATAGATGGGTTTTCGCCATGTTGCCCAAGCTGGTCTCGAACTCCTGGGTTCAAGCAACCCACCTACCTTGGCCTCCCAAAATGCAATGATTACAGCCTTGAGCCACCACACCTGGCACAGAACCAACATTTTTAATATTAAGCGTTTCACATAGTCAGTCTTTGATACAACACTTCTACCTTTGAGAAACTAAGTCATATTTTCAAAAAAGTAGGCTGGCTGGGAGCGGTGTCTCATGCCTGTAATCCCAGCACTTTGGGAGGCCAAGGTAGGAGGACTGCTTGAGCCCGGGAGTTTGATACCAGCCTGGGCAACATGGTGAGACCCCCGTCTCTACAAAAAAAATAAAAATTAGCTGGCTGTTGTGGCATGTGCCTATAGTTCCAGCTACCTGGGAGGCCGAGGTGGGAGGATCAGTTGAGCCCAGGAGGTTGGGGCTGCAGTGAGCTATGATCGCACTACTGCACTCCAACCTGGGTGACAGAGCAAGACCCTGTCTCAATAAAAGAATTAAAAATAAATTAAAGGCCAGGCGCAGTGGCCCATACGTGTAATCCCAGCACTTTGGGAGGCTGAGGTGGGCGAATTGCTTCAGCTCAAGAGTTCAAGACCAGCCTGGGCAATATGGCAAAACCCCTTCTCTACGAAAAATACAAAAAATTAGCCGGGAGTGGTGGTGTGTGCCTGTGGTCCCAGCTACTCGGGAGGCTAAGTTGGAAGGATTGCTTGAGCCCAGGAGGTCAGGAGGTCGAGGCTGCAGTGAGCTGAGATTGCACCACTGCACTCCAGCCTGGGTAACAGAGTGAAATACTGTCTCAAAAAATAAATAGGTAAAAATTTAAAAATTAATTAATTAAAAATGAAAAATAAATGTAGAAATCAGAGAAAGCTTTACAAAGGAGATGACTTTTTTTTTTTTTTTTTTTTTGAGACAGAGTCTTGCTCTATCACCCAGGCTGGAGTGCAGTAGCACAATCTTGGCTCACTGCAACCTCTGCCTTCCGGGTTCAAGTGATTCTCCTGCCTCAGCCTCCCGAGTAGCTGGGATTACAGGCACCCACAATCATGCCCGGCTAATTTTTGTATTTTCAGTTGAGACGAGGTTTCACCATGTTGGCCAGGTTGGTCTTGAACTCCTGACCTCAGGTGATCTGCCCGCCTCAGCCTCCCAAAGTGCTGGAATTACAGGTGTGAGCCACCACACTTGGACAATCTTGGACTTAAAAAAAATCTTTTTTTTAAGGCTCAGGGACTCACTAGGAATTTTGTCCTAGCTGTGTGATCATAGGCAAGTCATTTGAGTTCTCTGAATCACAATATTCTCTTCTGCAAAATGTCTTCCTGCTTACCTGGTGAGAATCAAATGTTTGTGCAACTGCGTTATAATGCATATATATAGATATATAGATGACAAAATATAATTAACAAAGAAAGTACTGGCCGGGCATGGTGGCTCACACCTGTAATCCCAGCACTTTGGGAGGCCAAGGTGGGCAGATCACCCGAGGTCAGGAGTTCAAGACCAGCCTGACCAACATGGAGAAACCCTGTCTCTACTAAAAATACAAAATAAGCCAGGCGTGGCGGCGCATGCCTGTAATCCCAGCTACTTGGGAGGCTGAGGCAGGAGAATCGCTTGAACCTGGGAGGTGGAGGTTGCGGTGAGCCGAGATCGCCCCATTGCACTCCAGCCTGGACGACAAGAGCAAAACTCCATCTCAAAAAAAAGAAAGTACTGATCTGGCACAGTGGCTCATGCCTGTCATCCCAACACTTTGGAAGGTCGAGGTAGGAGGATCACTAGAGCCCAAGAGTTAGAGACCAGACTGGGCAACATAGCAAGACCCCCATATCTACAAAAAACTTAAAATTAACTAGGCATGGTGGTAGTCCCAGTTCCTCAGGAGGCTGAGGCCGAGGGTTGCTTGAGCCCAAGAGTCAGAGACTGCAGTGAACTGATCGCACGACAGCACTCCAGCCTGGGCAAGAGAGAGGCCCATCTCTTAAAAAAATTAATTCATTTTTTCAAAAGGCATTGATGGATCTAGAAAAATAAATAAATGTTTTAAAATTTTTTCTTAGAAAAGAAAGTATTATTAATTGTCAGTCTGGATAAAAAAATAGAAACTTGTTTTAATGTAGAATTTCTTTCCCTCAGTCATGAACACCACATTTCCTTCATTTGTTCCTTCTCATAATCAAAAATCATCTTTGCCACTCAGGGGAGTGATCTGGGCTGTTTTGGCTCTCAGAAAAGCTTTTATTTGTTTGAGACAATTCTTGGACTAAGAATTTTGACAGTATATTAAACTGCCCACTAGGTGGCAGAGCTGAGTCAACTGTATTTCTGAATTGTGTAAGAAATAATTTCTCAGAAAAGGGGAAGTTGGGTTGAGCACACAATGTCCCATCTCCCTCATACTTATAAACACCAACGCAGTCCAATTTTCTTCTCACAGAAAAACAAACCACCACCTCTCGCCTCCTTACCGTCCCTGCTCTGATACATATTTGGGCCACAGGCTTTGAGGAGGGACAAATATGATACAGTTTAGCATAAGAAACTGAGGTTGAGGTGTCAAGTCTAATAGTAATAAGAAATAATACTAGGATCTGAATTACTGGTATATTCTATCCAGAGACATAACCCAATCTATCAATTCAATCAATCTATCTCTATATGTATGTGTGTGTCTGTGTGTGTGTGTGTGTGTGTGTGTGTGTATATATATATATATATATATATTTTTTTTTTTTTTTTTTTTTTGACATGGCAATTCAAGCCATCCTCCCACCTCAGCCTTCCGAGGAGCTGGGACTACAGGCGTGCACCATCACACACAGCTAATTTTTTTTATTTTTAGTAGAGACAGGGTTTCCCCATGTTGCCCAGGCTGGTCTCGAAGTTGTGAGCTCAAGTGATCCGCCTGCCTCAGCCTCCCAAAATGCTGGGATTACAGGCGTGAGCCACTGCACCTGGCCTCAATTTATATTTAATAATACATTTATTCTGTGAAGTGTACTCTAATAGATGCTAGGAAGAATACAAAGATAAAAAAGGGCAGAGTTTCTATTCTCTAGGAATTTAGGAGAGAAAAGGCACTTTACGTGTTAGTGCTATGTAAGAAATATGAATGTGCTATGGAGTATTCCAAAGAGAATGAAAAAATATTTGATTGTAAGGTAAAAGATGAGGGGATTGGCTGGGCATGGTGGCTCATACCTATAATCCCAGCACTTTGAGAAGCTGAGGCGGGTGGATCGCTTGAGCTCAGGAGTTCAAGACCAGCCTAGGCTACATGGTGAAACCCTGTCTCTACAAGTTTTTTTTTCTTTTCTTTCTTTTTTAAGTTAGCCGGGTGTGGTTGCATGCCCCTGTAGTCCCAGCTACTCGGGAGGCTGAGGTGGGAGGATTGTTTGAACCTGGGAGATCGAGGCTACAGTGAGCCATGATAGCACCACTGTACTCCAGCCTGGGTAACAGAGTGAGACTCTATCTAAAAAAAAAAAAAAAGTTGAGGGGATTGGGAAGCAAGAAATGTTTTTGGTTTTGCTTTGTTGCTTTGAGATAGAGTCTCACCCTGTCACCCAGGCTGGAGTGCAGCAGCATGATCTCAGCTCACTGCAACCTCCACCTCCGGGGTTCAAGCAATTCTCCTGCTTCAGCCTCCCGAGTAGCTGGGATTACAGGCACCTGCCAACCATGTCCTGCTAATTTTTGTATTTTTAGTAGAGATGGGGTTTCACCGTGTTGGCCAGGCTGGTCTCAAACTCCTGACCTCAGGTGATCCACCCACCTCGGCCTCTCAAAGTGCTGGGATTACAGGCGTGAGCCACTGCGCCCAGCCAAGAAAGGTTTAATAGAGGAAAAATTATTTGGCTGTCTACAGAAGAGTGGGTAAAATTTCAAAAAGCAGAGATGGGGAAGGACAGGCACACTAGGTACAAGGAAAAATGTAAGCAGGGACATAAAGACAGAGAAGGATATATTAAGGGAACACTGAGTGCTCAGTTTTGGCTGAAGCATAGGGTACATGTATGAGGAAATAGTGGGAAATGAATGAGAAAATTTGGTTGAGGACATTTCGTGAAGGCTTAAATGCCAGGTTGAAGCATTTAAACGTGATTCAGTAAGCAATACATTTTGCATTATTATAGGAACACACAGGAACTCAATTCTGTGAGATTAATCTAGTGATGTTCTATAGATTACAGCAGGAAAATCAGTTAAAATCTATTAAAGTAATCTAGGCAAAAGTAACAAAAACATGAACCAGAATGGTGGCAGTAGAATAAGAAACAGGAGACAGGTGCTAGAAACACTAGAAAGATGGCTCTATAGAATTCAGCAGTTGACTGGATGTGGGGCATGACAGAGAGGAAGGAATTAAAGGCAATCCCTGGATTTTAAGCCTTTATAACTTGGGGAATATATAATGGTTCTATTAAAACAAACAAGGGGGCTGGAGGCAGTGGCTCATATCTATGATACTAGCACTTTGGGAGGCCAAGGTGGAATGATCCCTTGAGCCCAGGAGTTTGAGACCAGCCTAGGCAACAAAATGAGATCCCATCTGTACCAAAAATTAAAGAATTAGCTGGGCATGGTGGCATATGCCTGTGGTCCTAGCTACTTGGGAGGCTGAGGCAGGAGGATCCCTTGAGAGCGGGAGTTCAAGATTGCAGTATGCTATGATCCCTGATCCCACCAGTGCAATCCAACCTGTGTGACAGAGCGAGACCTTGTCTCAAAAAGAAAGAAAGAAAAAGAGGGGAAAAAAAAAGGCCGGGCGCGGTGGCTCACGCCTGTAATCCCAGCACTTTGGGAGGCCGAGGCGGGCGGATCACCTAGGTCAGGAGTTTGAAACCAGCCTCAACATGGAGAAACCCAGTCTCTACTAAAAATACAAAATTAGCCGGGCGTGGTGCTGCATGCCTGTAATCCCAGCTACTTGGGAGGCTGAGGCAGGAGAATTGCTTGAACCTGGGAGGTGGAGGTTGCGGTGAGCTGAGATCACGCCATTGCACTCCAACCTGGGCAACAAGAGCGAAACTCCGTCTCAAAAAAAAAAACAAGGCAAAGAAATGGGTTTGACCACCAGGGAAAGATTATGAATTCATTACTAGACAAGCTGAATTTGAGATAACAGCTGGAACTTTGGAGACAGGCTAAAGGTATAGCATAGATTTAAAGTCATTTACACAGAGTGATGTACAGACAGTCAAACTGAAAAGTGAAACTTCAAGAAAGAAAAGGAGAGGGCCCAGGACAAGCCCTTAAGAAGAATTTTCAGGGAGTAGAAAAAAAAAGAATTGTTAGCAAAGGAGAAAAGGATGAAGTCCAAAAGTCAAGATTTAAGTGTTTAAAATTTTAAAACATGGCAGTTTCCAAATCATATAGAAGTCAAAAGGAATAAAGCCTATAAAAAGTACTCTGACTGGCCGGGCGCAGTGGCTAATGCCTGTAATTCCAGCACTCTGGGAGGCCAAGGCAGGTGGATCGCCTGAGGTCAGGAGTTCCAGACCAGCCTGGCCAGCATGGTGAAACCCCATCTCTACTGAAAATACAAAAATTAGCCGGGCGTGGTGGCACGTGCCTGTAATCCCAGCTACTCAGGAAGCTGAGGCAGGAGAATTGCTTGAAGCCAGGAGGCGGAAGTTGCAGTGAGCCAAGATCGCGCCATTGCGCTCCAGCCTGGGCAACAGAGTGAGACCCTGTCTCAAAAAAAAAAAACACCCTACGTTGATTTTGCCAGGTATGGTGGCTCATGCCTGTAATCCCAGCACTTCGGGAGGTCGAGGTGGGCGGATCACTTGAGGTAAGGAGCTTAAGACGAGCCTGACCAACATGACGAAACCCGGTATCTATTAAAAATCAAAAATTAGCTGGGCGTGGTAGCACATGTCTGTAATCCCAGCTACTTGGGAGGCTGAGGCAGGAGAATTGCATGAACCCAGGAGGCAGAGGTTGCAGTGAGCCAAGATCGCACCAATGCACTCCAGCCTGGGTGACAGAGCAAGACTCCATTTCAAAAAAAAGGAAAAGAAAAGAAAAACTACTCCAATTTCCGCTGGAGACCTTGAAGAAAATAGTTTCAGAGAGACCAGAAGGCAGACTACAAAGGGACAAGTTCAGTCCACAGAAAAAGCTGATACAGATTATTCTCTTAAGAAATTTGACAGTAAAAGAAGAATACCGCCTGGGCACAGTGGCTCACGACTGTAATCTCAACACTTTGGGAGGCCAAAGTGGGTGGATCATTTAAGGCTAGGAGTTCGAGACCGGCTTGGCCAACATGGTGAAACCCCATCTCTACTAAAAATACAAAAATTAGTCGGGCTTGGTGATGGGCACCTGTAAACCCAGCTACTCGGGAGGCTGAGGCAGAAGAATCGCTTAAACCCAGGAGGCGGAGGCTGCAGTGAGCCGAGATCGAGCCACTGCACTCCAGCCTGGGTGACAGACTGAGACTGTCTCAAAAAAAAAATACTGTAATAACATGAGAAGGGAAATAAGATATTTTTATCACATATAAAGGCAACTTTAAGAACTATGGCCCAGCACAGTGGCTCACGCCTGTAATCCCAGCACTTTGGGAGGCCAAGGTGGGTGGATCACTTGAGGTCAGGCGTTCAAGACCAGCCTGGCCAATGCCTGTAATCCCAACTACTCTGGAGGCAGAGGAGAATCGTTTGAACCTGGGAGGCAGAGGTTGCAGTGAGCCAAGATCGTGCCATTGCACTCCAGCCTGAGTGAGACTCTATATAAAAAATAAATAGATAAAGCTGGGCATGGTGGCTCAAACCTGTAATCCCAGCATTTTGGGAGGCCAAGGCAGGTGGATCACCTGAGGTCAGAAGTTCAAGACCAGCCTGGCCAAAAAGGTGAAACCCCACCTCTACTAAAAATACAAAAAATTAGCTGGGCATGGTGGTGGGTGCCTATAATCCCAGCTACTAGGGAGGCTGAGACAGGTGAATCACTTGAACCTGGGAGGTGGAGGTTGCAGCGAGCCGAGATCACGCCACCGCACTCCAGCCTGGGTGACAGAGTAAGACCTTGTCTCAAAAGTAAATAGATAAGTAAATAAAGCTAATTACAAAAAAAAGAAAAGAAAAAGAACTACCTTTAGGAAGTTATTGTAAGGGCCTTCAGAAAAGAAAAAAAACTTTTTTAGGTTTTTTTTTTGTAGACGGAGTTTTGCTCTTGTTGCCCAGGCTGGAGTGCAATCTTGACTCACTGCAACCTCCACCTCCCAGGTTCAAGCTATTCTCTTGCCTCAGCCTCCTGAGTAACTGGGATTACAGGCATGCGCCACCACACCTGGCTAATTTTGTATTATTAGTAGAGACGGGGTTACTCCTTGTTGGTCAGGCTGGTCTCAAACTCCTGACCTCAGTTGATCTGCCTGCCTCGACCTCCCAAAATGCTGGGATTACAGGCGTGAGCCACCACGCCCAGCCAAAAAGAACTATCTTAAATGAGCCTACAATACCTCCAAACAAGTTAATTCAGCCCCTCTCCCCATCTTGCCATGACATTGGACAATACTGAGATCTCTATCCTTTGCTTATCATGGTAGAAAAATTGATCTCAGTAAACACGAAATGTGGGCCTCCAGATGAGATATTTTTAAAAGTTAAAACTAAATTAACAAACAAGATTGGACATGGTGGCTCATATCTATAATTCCAGCACTTTGGGAGGCCAAGGTGGGTGGATAGCTTGAGCCCAGGTGTTCCAGACCAGCCCAGGCAACATGGCAAGACTCCATCTCTACCAAAATATATGAAAATTAGCCCGGCATGTGCCTGTAGTCCCAGCTGACTCAAGAGGCCAAGGTGGAAGGATCACCTCAGCCCTGGAGGTTGAGGTTACAGTGAGACATGGTCATGTCACTGCACTCCAGCCTGGTGATGAAGTAAGACCCTTTCTCAAAAAAAAAAATTAGCTGAGTATGGTGTGTGTTCCTAGTAGTTCCCGCTACTGAGCTATGCTTGTGCCACTGTACTCCAGTCTGGGCAACAACAAAATAAACAAATAGATAATAAAGAGAATCCTGGGTTTGGAGAGTGGCTCCACCAGATACTAGCTTATGTCCCAGGTCAAGTCACTTAACCAAAATAAGAACTGGTTTTAAAAAAATAAAAGACTGCTACAGTCCCATTTAACTCTAAAATTCTCTGAGTCTTGCCCTGAATCCTTTATTAGACTATTGTGAGAATCAAACAAGATACTGTGTATCAAAGCACTGAGAGCCAAGACAACACATTTTTATAGTACATACTTTTAGACAGACATGGGCGGGTTCAAGATCTTGCTCTACTTACAAAATCTGTGACCTCAGGCAAATTACTTCACTTCTGAGCCTGACTGAACCAACACCGAGTCACAAGGTTATTGAGAGAATTAAATGAAACAATCTAACCTCAAATACTTTCTTTTTTTTTTTTTTTGAGACGGAGTCTCGCTCTGTCGCCCAGGCGGGAGTGCAGTGGCGCAATCTCGGCTCACTGCAAACTCCGCCTCCCGGGTTCACGCCATTCTCCTGCCTCAGCCTCCCGAGTAACTGGAACTACAGGCGCCCACCATCACGCCCGGCTAATTTTTTTTGTATTTTTAGTAGAGACGGGGTTTCACCGTGTTAGCCAGGATGGTCTCGATCTCCTGACCTCGTGATCCGCCCGCCTCGGCCTCCCAAAGTGCTGGGATTACAAGCGTGAGCCACCGCGCCCGGCCAACCTCAAATACTTTCTAGAACAACATGACAGATGACAGATAATTATCACTGACATAATTATATAAAAGACTTGGTTCATTATAGGTGCTCAATAAATGGCAATTACTTAAAAAGTCACTTGGAACTCTAACATGCTATACAATTCTTTTTTTTTTTTTGAGATGGAGTCTCACTTTGTCGCCCAGGCTGGAGTGCAGTGGCGAGATCTCGGCTCACTGCAAGCTCCACCTCCCAGGTTCACGCCATTCTCCTGCCTCAGCCTCCCGAGTAGCTGGGACTATAGGCGCCTGCCACCACACCCGGCTAATTTTTTGTATTTTTAGTAGAGACGGGGTTTCACTGTGTTAGCCAGGATGGTCTCAATCTCCTGACCTCGTGATTTGCCTGCCTCAGCCTCCCAAAGTGCTGGGATTACAGGCGTGAGCCACCGCGCCCAGCCTTTTTTTTTTTTTTTAAAGAGAGATGGGGTCTCACTACAATGCCCAGGGTGATCTTCTTGAATTCCTGGCCTCAAGTGATCTTCCCATTTCAGCCTCCCAAAGTGCTGGGATTACAGGCATGAGCCACCACACCTGGCTTACAATTGTTAATTTATTCTTATTGATCTATGACTTGGGGCAGTCTTCAAACTCTTAATTTGCCTCTAAATTCCTTAGGGAAAAAATTGAAAGGGAAAAGGGTGCCTATAATCCCAGCACTTTGGGAGGCCGAGGTAGGCGGACTGCTTGAGCAGGAGTTTGAGACCAGCCTGGCCAACATGGTGAAACCCCATCTCTACCAAAAATACAAAAATTACCTAGGCGTGGTGGAGCACATCTGTAGTCCCAGCTACTCGGGAGGCTGAGGTGGGAGAATCACTTGAGCCTGGGATGCGGAGGTTTCAGTGAGCCAAGTGACACTGCATTCCAACCTGGTTGAGAGTGAGACCCTATGTGGAAAAAAAAAGAGAGAGAGAAAGGAAAATGGGTAAGGGTAAAAGGGAAGTTTACAGAGTAGAGGTGAGAGAAGTGATTAAAAGGACCAAGAAAGGGCTTTGTTCTGCATTAAGAACTATGAGTCTTCATGTTCTAAATGTTTGTCAGGCCAGAGGTTAAAGAAAAGAGAAATGCAATCAGTGTCTTGTCTCTGACTGGCAACAAAGTGCTGAGGGCACTTCCCTCCCTGAAACTGCTGGCTTTATTCTGTCACCTGCAGTAAAGCAAACAAACAACAATCACCACTTGGTTTCCTGTTGGCACTGGGACTGAAGAGGGTAGAGAAGGGGCAGATAAAGATGATCCAACTTGCAAAACTCTTTGACTGTGCCCTACTTTGCTGTTCCTCCTTGGCCCACCCCTTTTCCCAAACCTCACAAGTGTTTTTATACCCTGATTTTAGGACAAGAGTTTACAAAATTTCTTTCTTCTTAGACCCAAGAACTGGGAAAGGAGAATCGGGGCAGGTTTTTATCAGAATACCAGGTTACAAGGTGAAAGGTCGTAAACAACCGTGTCCAGGAGGACTCCACTTCAGAACATGCCTTGGCTACAGGCCTGGTAGGCAGCAGCTGCTGCCAAAGCTAAATAATTTTTTGGCATTTAAAGGAACCCAGGCATAACACAGAGCAACGTAGTCTGTAGTGAGCTCTGCAAATGGGAAGATACAAGGAAACCAGAGCCCAGAAGAGAAACTTAGAACGAGAGAATTGTCATAGGATTTTTTAAAACTCAGCAATTCAGTACTTCAGAGATGTGCCCACATAAATATCAAATAAATTGAAAGGGAAAAGGGTGCCTATAATCCCAGCACTTTGGGAGGCCAGGTAGGCGGACTGCTTGAGCAGGAGTTTGAGACCAGCCTGGCCAACATGGTGAAACCCCATCTCTACCAAAAATACAAAAATTACCTAGGCGTGGTGGAGCACATCTGTAGTCCCGGCTACTCGGGAGGCTGAGGTGGGAGAATCACTTGAGCCTGGGATGTGGAGGTTTCAGTGAGCCAAGTGACACTGCATTCCAACCTGGTTGAGAGTTGGATGTCTTAAGATGTCCCATATTACCACCACCCTGATCCATCACTAGCCACCATCTTTCCTATTCCCTCAAAATGTATGTAGTTAAGATTTAACAATATTTAACAATATTGACTATGTAGTTAACAATATTGATTCATATATTTGTCAGCATTTTGATGTTTGATAGTTACACTTTCATACCCATCAAACTAAACGTTCTCCCAGAAGCCACAATTTTGAACTTTTAAAATTACTTCAGTCAGGCCAGGCACGGTGGCTCACGCCTGTAATCCCAGCACTTTGGGAGGCCAAGGCGGGTGGATCACCTGAGGTCAGGAGGAGTTCAAGACCATCTTGGGCAACATGGTGAAACCCCATCTCTACTAAAAATACAAAAATTAGCTGGGCGTGGTGATGCATGCCTGTAATGCCAGGTACTCAGGAGGCTGAGGCGGAGAATCGCTCTAACCCAGGAGGCAGAGGTTGCAGTGAGCTGGGGTCAGGCCACTGCACTCCAGCCTAGGCAACAGAGCAAGATTCCACCTTAAAAAAAAAATTACTTCAGTCAGAGTTCCACCTCCTCTGCTCCCAGTAACTCAATCAATATTGTTAACCAACTGAAAACACCTCAAGCCTAGCTGGTTAAGTTTCTAGAACAGGGTGCCGCCTCAAACACACCCTAAGGATCAACATGTTCCTGGGGTTTAATGCATGTGTGTGTTTTCGAAGAGACTCATGATGCCTATTCTTGAGCTTGCTTAATATTGGGGTTGAGTTGTAACTCTCGTTAGCCTTAGAGTGTCAATCCAGCTAGGCTGTCTGAGGAAGGAAGAAGGCTCTTTAACAGCAATGAATATTGTTTTTTTTTTGCTGATTGGGTAGGGTTTCAATATACTTGAATGCTTCTTAATTACCTCCCCATCTCAATCTTGGGACATTATCTTCCTCTTTCCAGCACAAGGAATTAAATAATAATCTTCTGATACCCCAGCACAGATATAGGAAGGGTCTATGAATCAAATAAAAGGAGGAAGAATCCCTGCACTTTTGCATACAGGTTTTTCCTATTACATTTAAGAGTAAGTTCTCAGTACTCAGCTCCTAAAGCATCTCACAGCCAGCAGGGGAAAATCCATCTGACAGCTGGCCAAACGAAACCAACAAAGAATGAAGAGAGAGGGTAGGGTCTCTTCTGGCTTGAATTTATAGTGCTCTGTTGACCGATCTTTCTTCTCTTTTCCTTCTTACTGTTTTCTAAACCGTTTAGGGAAAAACCTTTGAAAATAGTTTTTAAAATTGTTCCTTCAAACAGGTGTGTGGCCATCTCTCCACTGAAAATTTGGATATAAACAAGAGGACTTTCTCACTTTTAACCAGATTTATGGATGTACATTTGATTTAGTGAGTTGGAAGAGGGGATGGAGACAAGAAAGAGTG
Source organism: Homo sapiens (assembly GCF_000001405.40). Taxonomy (NCBI): domain Eukaryota; kingdom Metazoa; phylum Chordata; class Mammalia; order Primates; family Hominidae; genus Homo; species Homo sapiens. Next base: position 145,997,596 of record NC_000001.11, on the reverse strand, counting down.
AACATAACTGGAAAAAAGTGAAAAGAGTGAAGCATCCTTTTTTTCCCGCTTTTCCTTTTCCTCCAGAAGCAGGTAGGAAGTGGGAGATAATGAGCGCCTGGACACACCTCACTAAAGAGGTAATGAGGTAAATGGGGAACACAGACAAAGTGTTCCCCAACTTTGCAGGTAGAAATTGAAGAGATGACAGGATAAGCAACAGGATGTAAACACGCCCCTCCTATTTCCGTTCCACAGAACAGAGAGAACAGAAGAGAGGGTACAAGCTGGGGGTGGGTGACGAACAGCACAGGCACGCAGCCCCCAGCCCTAGCCCCAAGGGATTGGAACGGGAAGGAGAAGACATCGGTCCTACACACACAATGAGGCCTGAAAGTTCTCCTTTCCCTCAGAGACGGTGGTGTTTTTTATACTTAATAGGGATGCGGGGCAAGAGAAGGACAAAGGGCTGTTCCTGAACAGTAACACCAAGCATTCTGCGCTCCACAGCCCCAAACCTGAAAGTATTCTTGGAGCTATGGGATTTTCACACACTTGCTATTTATGAGCCAGGAATAACGACAGGCTCTAAAGTAACTGCACTGGCTAAGACTAGGCATGAAATTCCCTCATAAGCACATTTTCCTTTTACCTCAAAACACCGCTCTCAGACCAGAAACGTCCACACCCGCCCTCCGATGGCCTGTCGCCCTGGCTAGGTTTTAGGGTCAGTGGGATCCTCCTTCCACTGGACCCGGGAGAAGACGCTCAACAGCCCCCTCCTTCCCCTCCTTCCTCTCCTTCCTCTCCTTCCCCCCTCCCTGCGCCGCTCCAGAGCGCAACAACCATTTTCCCAGCCAGGAGCACACCGTGTCCACGCGCCACAGCGATCTCACTGATTGGTCGGGCTCCTGGTAAACAAGGACCGGGCAGCCAATGGGAGGGATGTGCACGAGGGCAGCACGAGCCTCCGGGCCAGCGCTCGCGTGGCTCTTCTGGCCCGGGCTACTATATAGAGACGTTTCCGCCTCCTGCTTGAAACTAACCCCTCTTTTTCTCCAAAGGAGTGCTTGTGGAGATCGGATCTTTTCTCCAGCAATTGGGGGAAAGAAGGCTTTTTCTCTGAATTAGCTTAGTGTAACCAGCGGCGTATATTTTTTAGGCGCCTTTTCGAAAACCTAGTAGTTAATATTCATTTGTTTAAATCTTATTTTATTTTTAAGCTCAAACTGCTTAAGAATACCTTAATTCCTTAAAGTGAAATAATTTTTTGCAAAGGGGTTTCCTCGATTTGGAGCTTTTTTTTTCTTCCACCGTCATTTCTAACTCTTAAAACCAACTCAGTTCCATCATGGTGATGTTCAAGAAGATCAAGTCTTTTGAGGTGGTCTTTAACGACCCTGAAAAGGTGTACGGCAGTGGCGAGAAGGTGGCTGGCCGGGTGATAGTGGAGGTGTGTGAAGTTACTCGTGTCAAAGCCGTTAGGATCCTGGCTTGCGGAGTGGCTAAAGTGCTTTGGATGCAGGGATCCCAGCAGTGCAAACAGACTTCGGAGTACCTGCGCTATGAAGACACGCTTCTTCTGGAAGACCAGCCAACAGGTAAGCGGCCCAATTCATTGTTGGAGGGTGAAAGCTGATTAGAGAAGAGAATTGAATACACAAAACCTGTACGAAATGTTTTAAGTTGCTCAGTTTGAGTGGTTTGAATTACGTGTTGTTGCTTCCTTTTTTCTGTTTTAATTTGCAGACATTCTCCTCCCCCCCCAAAAAAAAGGGTGATTTGTACAATTTTTTATGGTGCTGTGTCCTAAAGGGGATCCTGAGGGGCGTTGCCTCGGGTAGTTAAAGTCTTATGTGTGCATAAGTTGCTTATTCTTTGTCTACTTCCTATTTGAGATGTTAGTAGAGAACTGTCCTGGGTGAATCTTTCAGTATTGCAGGGCTTGGCAACTTGCTGCCCGACAAAATACATCAGAATTTCTCTTTAAGAACAATATGGGATGGATTAAAAAATATATATATGGGATGAAATTGGGGGTACTTCAATACCTTGCATGCCACCCAAGCATTCCTTATCACACAGATGCATTTTAAGTGTAACAGCAAGCCTAATGGCTACTCGATTTTCTTTCCCTTCAGGTGAGAATGAGATGGTGATCATGAGACCTGGAAACAAATATGAGTACAAGTTCGGCTTTGAGCTTCCTCAGGGGTAAATATCAGCTAAATGCATCTTTGAACTTTTCTGTCTAAAATATCTTGCCCTCCTTTGATCACTTACTGTTCTTGGAGAGCGTTTTAAAATTTTCATTTTCTTGACACAGGCCTCTGGGAACATCCTTCAAAGGAAAATATGGGTGTGTAGACTACTGGGTGAAGGCTTTTCTTGACCGCCCGAGCCAGCCAACTCAAGAGACAAAGAAAAACTTTGAAGTAGTGGATCTGGTGGATGTCAATACCCCTGATTTAATGGTGAGATCCATTTTAAAGATTCTATTCTCCTGGGTCATGAGGATGATAAATCAGACGTCTTGGGCATTAGATTGAAGCATCTCAAAACACCTTTTTATCCCCTTCTATATAGGCACCTGTGTCTGCTAAAAAAGAAAAGAAAGTTTCCTGCATGTTCATTCCTGATGGGCGGGTGTCTGTCTCTGCTCGAATTGACAGAAAAGGATTCTGTGAAGGTAAAATCCTAGTGCTTATGGCAGTTAAAACAGGAACTGGGTTTAGGGGCAAGGGCATGGGACTGGGGTAGAGGAAGTGTCATTAACTATACTGAGTATCAGTAAGTTTTCATCTTTCTCATTGCTAGGTGATGAGATTTCCATCCATGCTGACTTTGAGAATACATGTTCCCGAATTGTGGTCCCCAAAGCTGCCATTGTGGCCCGCCACACTTACCTTGCCAATGGCCAGACCAAGGTGCTGACTCAGAAGTTGTCATCAGTCAGAGGCAATCATATTATCTCAGGGACATGCGCATCATGGCGTGGCAAGAGCCTTCGGGTTCAGAAGATCAGGCCTTCTATCCTGGGCTGCAACATCCTTCGAGTTGAATATTCCTTACTGGTGGGTAGATGCAGGGTGGCTTCAGCAGAGAAATTGTTCATCTGTTACCACAGCTGTCTTGTTTCTCCAGACCTCTGGTGTAATAAACTGCCATCTTCCTTTCTAGATCTATGTTAGCGTTCCTGGATCCAAGAAGGTCATCCTTGACCTGCCCCTGGTAATTGGCAGCAGATCAGGTCTAAGCAGCAGAACATCCAGCATGGCCAGCCGAACCAGCTCTGAGATGAGTTGGGTAGATCTGAACATCCCTGATACCCCAGAAGGTGAGCCAGACCTAATGTCTTTTCTTTGTTTCTGGTCTACCTGGGTTTGTAAAATTGTGATGGTCCAGCATTTCTTGGGCAGGATTCTTATGTGGCCATATTTTCTTTTCTAGCTCCTCCCTGCTATATGGATGTCATTCCTGAAGATCACCGATTGGAGAGCCCAACCACTCCTCTGCTAGATGACATGGATGGCTCTCAAGACAGCCCTATCTTTATGTATGCCCCTGAGTTCAAGTTCATGCCACCACCGACTTATACTGAGGTGAGGATTGTCATCTTTACTGTTAAATTTGTCCTAAGCTTTCTATAAGAAGTTGACTTAGACGGATTGCTAAACTGGTTTGTTCTTTTTGTTCTTACCTGAACTGAAATAGTCTGTTTCTTTCTTTAGGTGGATCCCTGCATCCTCAACAACAATGTGCAGTGAGCATGTGGAAGAAAAGAAGCAGCTTTACCTACTTGTTTCTTTTTGTCTCTCTTCCTGGACACTCACTTTTTCAGAGACTCAACAGTCTCTGCAATGGAGTGTGGGTCCACCTTAGCCTCTGACTTCCTAATGTAGGAGGTGGTCAGCAGGCAATCTCCTGGGCCTTAAAGGATGCGGACTCATCCTCAGCCAGCGCCCATGTTGTGATACAGGGGTGTTTGTTGGATGGGTTTAAAAATAACTAGAAAAACTCAGGCCCATCCATTTTCTCAGATCTCCTTGAAAATTGAGGCCTTTTCGATAGTTTCGGGTCAGGTAAAAATGGCCTCCTGGCGTAAGCTTTTCAAGGTTTTTTGGAGGCTTTTTGTAAATTGTGATAGGAACTTTGGACCTTGAACTTACGTATCATGTGGAGAAGAGCCAATTTAACAAACTAGGAAGATGAAAAGGGAAATTGTGGCCAAAACTTTGGGAAAAGGAGGTTCTTAAAATCAGTGTTTCCCCTTTGTGCACTTGTAGAAAAAAAAGAAAAACCTTCTAGAGCTGATTTGATGGACAATGGAGAGAGCTTTCCCTGTGATTATAAAAAAGGAAGCTAGCTGCTCTACGGTCATCTTTGCTTAGAGTATACTTTAACCTGGCTTTTAAAGCAGTAGTAACTGCCCCACCAAAGGTCTTAAAAGCCATTTTTGGAGCCTATTGCACTGTGTTCTCCTACTGCAAATATTTTCATATGGGAGGATGGTTTTCTCTTCATGTAAGTCCTTGGAATTGATTCTAAGGTGATGTTCTTAGCACTTTAATTCCTGTCAAATTTTTTGTTCTCCCCTTCTGCCATCTTAAATGTAAGCTGAAACTGGTCTACTGTGTCTCTAGGGTTAAGCCAAAAGACAAAAAAAATTTTACTACTTTTGAGATTGCCCCAATGTACAGAATTATATAATTCTAACGCTTAAATCATGTGAAAGGGTTGCTGCTGTCAGCCTTGCCCACTGTGACTTCAAACCCAAGGAGGAACTCTTGATCAAGATGCCCAACCCTGTGATCAGAACCTCCAAATACTGCCATGAGAAACTAGAGGGCAGGTCTTCATAAAAGCCCTTTGAACCCCCTTCCTGCCCTGTGTTAGGAGATAGGGATATTGGCCCCTCACTGCAGCTGCCAGCACTTGGTCAGTCACTCTCAGCCATAGCACTTTGTTCACTGTCCTGTGTCAGAGCACTGAGCTCCACCCTTTTCTGAGAGTTATTACAGCCAGAAAGTGTGGGCTGAAGATGGTTGGTTTCATGTTTTTGTATTATGTATCTTTTTGTATGGTAAAGACTATATTTTGTACTTAACCAGATATATTTTTACCCCAGATGGGGATATTCTTTGTAAAAAATGAAAATAAAGTTTTTTTAATGGAAAAAAAAATGTCTGTGAGATGGCTTTGGAAAAGTTTTTGGAAAGAAGGTGTGTCTAAAGGAGTTTTCCTCTACTTAACAATCCACACTAATGAAAACCTTGTGGAGAAAACACTCCCTATGGACCCTAAGGAATGTCGGCAGAGTGGGGGCTAGAAGGTGAAGAGGGAAACCGTTTGAGGCATGTTTCAGATTCACTGAACAACTATACTGGGATTTTCCGGTTGTCTAAACTAGTTTTCCAAATCCATAGGTAATCATTACTAAATTCCTTCAGTTTTGGAGTTCATGGGTTCTTGAAATACAGGGAGATGATGTTTATGAGGGCATTTGAAAGAAAAGAGTGGCGGTTCCTTTTTTTGAGACAGTCTCACTCACCCAGGCTGGAGTGTAGTATGATCTTAGCTCACTGCAGCCTTGATTTCCTGGGCTCAAGTGATCTTCCCATCTCCGCCTCCCACATAGCTGGGCTACAGGCATACACAACTACGTTCAGTTAATTGTGTGTGCGTGTGTGTGTGTGTATGTGTTTGTTTTTTCTACGCTCAGCTAATTTTTTGATTATTTGTAGAGTTCGGGTTTTGCCATGTTGTCCAGGTTGGCCTCAAACTTCTGGGCTCAAGTGATCTGCTGGCCCTGGCCTCCCAAAGAGTTGGGAATACAGGCGTGAGACACCACACTCAGCTGAAGATCCCCTTTTTACAATATGGTTTTATCATAGGGTTTCTTCCCAATGTAAACTTGATTTATATACTAACAAGGATAACTTCAGGACTTAAGAGGTTATAGAGTTATGAGTATTAAATTCTTTGGAGGCAGCTAACCATTTTTTATTTTCACAGTTCCTAACCAAGCACATAACTCAGTAAATGTTTGCTAACTATTCAACTTCACCCTCATCCCTTAGATGATTTGATGGTTCCTATTCCTTGTAGGGTAATAGTAGTAGAGTAATACCACAATCCCATGTTTAATTGGTGTGATTTTCTTTCTTTCTTTCTTTCTTTCTTTTTTTTGAGATAGAGTCTTGCTCTGTCTCCCAGGCTAGAGTGCAGTGGCCCAATCTTGGCTTAATACAATGTCCGCCTCCCAGGTTCAAGCGATTCTGCTACCTCAGACTCTTGAGTAGTTGGGATTACAGGCATGAGCCACCACACTCAGCTAATTTTTGTATTTTTAGTAGAGACGGGGTTTCACCATGTTGGCCAGGCTGGTCTCGAACTCCTGACTTCCCGTGATTCACCCGCCTCAGCCTCCTAAAGTGCTGGGATTACAGGTGTGAGCCATGGCGCCCAGCAGTGATTTTCATTCCTAAAGAACCGACAGGTGGAGAAACCCTGGGATGGCCAATTTAAATATTTGCACAGATCTGGTCCTGGTCCTTATTTGGGAATTGATTTTTCTGAGGACTTCCACAAACTAATTCCAAATAACAGGCTCCTGGAAATTCTACATGAAATCAGTGTGGGGTGTTGTAGCTCTAGCTACTCACAAGGCTGAGGCAAGAGGATCATTCAAGCCCAGAAGTTCTAGGTTACAGTGAGCTATGATTGCACCACTTGCACTCCAGCCTGGGGGACAGATTTTGTCTCAAAAATAAATAAATAATAAGCAAACTAAAATCAATGTGAATTTAACAGAAAGTGAGATTTAAAAGATCCTTTTCCATTTCAATCCTCATTTTTCGTTTATCTTTCATTTTCCATAGCACTCTCCTCCCTCTCTTTGTCTCTCTTTCATTACCAAAGTGTCAGTCTCTATTTCTCCCTATTGCCAGGGTGACTTTCACCTGAACTCTCCGCCCCTTTCTCACCTGTGCAAGAATTTAGTGGCTCCTCTCCTTCAAATCTGTGACCAGGAAATTAGGTCAAAGTTGATGGAAAAGTTTTTTCTGTAGCTTGTTTTCCAGGGCCTAGAGGGGTGAAGCAATGATAAGAGCAGGCCAGAGAGCAGGACAAAGGAATGGAGAGACCATGGAGTACATGAGCCTGGTTGTGTGCACAGTTGGGCTACCAGTACCCAATATGAGAAGAGGGATGGCTTCGAAAGGATAGATAACTTTATACCCAAGGCCTCTTAGAGATCTGATCCTAGGGCCAGGCGCGGTGGCTTACGCCTGTAATTGCAGCTACTCGGGAGGCTGAGGAAGGAGAATCACTTGAACCCAGGAGGTGGAGGTTGCAGTGAGCCCAGACTGCACCACTGCACTCCAGCCTGGGCGACAGAGCAAGACTGTCTCCAAAAAAAAAAAGAGATCTGATCCTGGAAGGGCCAGAACATGGGCATCTCCTCCGGATACCCTTAATATCCTTTATCCAGCTGTCCAAATAGAACTTTCTATGATGATGGAAATTTTCAATACAGTAGCCACTAGCCCTGAAATGTGGCTACTATGACTGATAAACTGATTTTTTTTCTTATCTTTTTTTTTTTTTTTTTAGATAGGGTCTCATTCTGTCTCCCAGGCTGGAGTGCAGTGGCACAATCTTGGCTCACTGCAGTTTTGACCTCCCAAGCTCAGGTGATTCTCCCACCTCAGCCTCCCAAGTAGCTAGAACTACAGGCACATGCCACCATGCCCAGCTAATTTTTTCTATTTTTTGTAGAGACAGGGTTTCACCATGTTGCCCAGGCTGGTCTTGAACTCCTAGGCTCAAGCAATCTGCCCACTTCAGCCTCCCAAAGTGCTGTGCACACATTTTTTTTTTTTTTTTAAACAGGGTCTTGCTCTGTCTCCCAGGCTGGAGTGCAGTGGCATGATCTCTGCTCACTGCAGCCTCCACCTCTCAGGGTCAAGTGATTTCCCATCTCAGCCCCCTAGTAGCTGGAACTACAGGTGCATGGCACCAAGCCCGACTAATTTTTGTATTTTTCATAGAGATGAAGTTTTGCCATGTTGCCCAGGCTGGTCTCAAAACTCCTGGGCTCAAGCGATCCTCCCACCTCAGCCTCCCAAAGTGCTAGGATTACAGGTGTGAGCCACTGTGCCCAGCCTGTAACTGAATTTTTAATTTTGTTTAATTATTTATTTATTATTATTATTATTTTTTGAGATGGAGTTTCTCTCTTGTTGCCCAGGCTGGAGTGCAATGGCGTGATCTCGGCTCACTGCAACCTCCACCTCCTGGGTTCAGCGATTCTCCTGCCTCAGCCTCCCAAGTAGCTGGGATTACAGGCATGCGTTACCACACCTGGCTAATTTTGTATTTTTAGTAGAGATGGGGTTTCTCCATGTTGGTCAGGCTGGTCTTGAACTCCCGACCTCAGGTGATCTGCCCATCTCAGCCTCCCAAAGTGCTGGGATTACTGTGCCCGGCCCAATTTTGTTCAATTCAATTAAACTTTAGCTTTCTGTGACTAGTGACTGTCACATATGTGACTAGTGACTAGTGACTAGTGACTGCCATATTGAATACCACATCAAAATCTAAGGGAGTAAGCAGCTAGAGCTGTTCCCCCAGAGGAAACCTATCCTTCTCTTACAGCACAAAAACTCCACTCTACTTCTTTTTGCCTTGTGTATACAACTTCTACCTCACCCGAGGACATTTTCCGCGTACAGGCTTGCTTCAGTACACTTCCTTGGGGAGTGGCTTAGCTATTTCCCCACTTAAGTGGGGGAATATTCTGGGTCTTCTTTGCCTATCCTCTTCTCACGTGCCTTTTAATTTTTAAGTAGCTATGACCTACATGTACAATGATTAGAGGAGATGTGGTTCTGAGTATCATTTATTCAGTAGGTTTAATCTGGTATAGGGAGATCTGAGAGAACTAAAAAAGAAAACTACCTAAAGAGAGAAAAGGGCAAGAAAATAAAATTAACAAGAAAAAGGGGCCGGGTGCTGTGGCTCATGCCTGTAATCTCAGCATTTTGGGAGGCCAAGGTGGGTGGATCATTTGAGGTCAGGAGTTTGAGACCAGCCTGGCCAACATGGTGAAACCCCGCCTCTACTAAAAATATAAAAAATTAGCCAGGCGTGGCAGGCACCTGTAGTCCCAGCTACTTGGGAGGCTGAGGCAGGAGAATCACTTGAACCTGGGAGGCAGACATTGCAGTGAGCCAAGATCACGCCACTGTACTCCAGCCTGGGAGACAGAGAGAGACTCCTTCTCAAAACAAAACAAAACAAAAAACAGGTACTTCAACAACCAGAGTCATTGGCTGCCTTGATTGATACCTCTGAACAGACTGGAAACACAAGGATCTAACTTGGGTTGAGGCACTGGGAAGGAAAAATGTGGAGGGGAGGATCTGACAAAGCACATGTTCAGCAAAAAACAATCACACAAGAGCTGAAGGGCATGAAGTGGAGTCAAGGAGTGACCTTTGCACAATTCTTTTTTCTCTTTTTGAGAGAGGGTCTCACTATGTTGCCCAGGTTGGAGTGGAGTGGCTATTCACAGGCACAATCATAGCAAACTCTGACCTTGAACTCATAGCCTCAAGGGATTCCCCCTACTCAACCTCCCATGTAGCTGGGACTACAGGCACACGCAACCTTGGCCCAATTCTTTCAACAGACTACAGATCCCTCTTAGAATTATTTTCTTGGGCTACCTCTAGGTGATAAAATGCATAAGGTGAATAAGGAAAATATTTTACTGACCTTCCAATGATCACAAGTCCCTGCCCCCAGGCATCCTGGCCTCAATAGTTTGGGGATGGGGGATGGGAAGTTTTTTTGTCCTTTCTCTGTTGTGACCTCACATCGACCTCCATTTCATAAGCTGAAACACTCCTTTTCAGAGAGCTAAAGATCCAGGGCTGCAGGTCCTGGCACAATAGGTAAGTCTAGAACCCAGAAAAAGTCCAAAGATTAGTCTTCCTATACTATTAAGAAAAAATAGGCCGGGCACGGTGGCTCACGCCTGTAATCCCAGCACTTTGGGAGCCGAGGTGGGCGGATCACCTGAGGTCAGGAGTTCGAGACCAGCCTGGCCAACATGGTGAAACCCCATCTCTACTAAAAATACAAAAAATTAGCCAAGTGAGGTGGTGCGCACCTGCAGTCCCAACTACTTGGGAGGCTGAGGCAGGAGAATTGCTTGAACCCCAGAGAGGGAGGTTGCAGTGAGCAGAGATCATGCCACTGCACTCCAGCACCTGGGTGACAGAGCGAGACTCTGTCCCAAAAAAAACAAAAAAAAAAAGAAAGAAAAGAAAAGGAAAAGGAAGAAAAAATAGCATAGTATAGTAGTTAAGCACGTGGACACTGAAGCCAAACTATCTAAATTAAGATCTTACTTCTACCATTTAACCAGCTATGTGACCTTGGGCAACTTGTTTAAACCTCTCTATGTAACAGTTTGTTTATTTATAAAATGAGAGATAATAATAATGCCTACCTCAGAAGATTGTGAGAAATTTAAAAATATATGTAAAATTTAGAACAATGCCACATAAGTGATTGTTATCTAAAATAAAAGAAGAGACATATCCCTCATTACCCCCCTGATTAATTTACTTTCTTTCTTTCTTTTTCTTTTTTTTTTTTTTTGAGACAGAGTCTCACTCCATCACCCAGGCTAGAGTGGAGTGGGGCGATCTCAGCAACCTCCTCCTCCTGGGTTCAAGCAATTATCTCGCCCCAGCCACCCAAGTAGCTGGGATTACAGGCATGCACCACCATGTCTGGCTGATTTTTTTATTTTTAGCTGAGGTGAGGTTTCACCATGTTATCCAGGCTGGTCTCGAACTCCAGACAGCTCGACTCAAGCTATCCGCCTGCCTCGGCCTCCCAAAGTGCTTGGATTACAGGAGTGAGCCACAGCACCCACTTAGCCTCAGGGTGTTCTTTTTCACACTTCCAGTGTGCTTCACAAGCCTGTGGATTAAACCCTGTAACCTTCTAAAAATTATTTGAACTTTCTTAACTTTTCAGTACACAACTCCAAAGAAAAGCTTCCCACCATTTGGAGTGATAAACTGAGGAACAGAGAGTGCTGGATATACAATGTGATGCCACAGGTCTTCCAGACTTTTTCTTTCAAGGTATTGCATTCCATTTGATTTTTCTGTGGGGTGGACTAGACTGAGGAGCACAAAGGTCAATGGAGGTGAGTCCACGGATGAGGCCCAGTTTAGCCTATTTAGGCTATTCTTGTTCTGTCCCGACCTTTCCCTTTGCTTGACCCTTCCCTACTCTCTGCTGGGCCTGTTATGTAAGGAGAAAAGAATGAACAGACTTTGACTATCAATTGATTGGTCATCTCCAGGCAACAGAGTGATGGGAGAAAGAAGACAGGGAAAACAAAGGTACAGGATTGTGAATTCCATGTGCCCTGAGTCCTGAGATGTTAGGCAACGTCCATTCTCAGTCCTTGTTGGGCTATGAAGTTGCTGACAATCAAAGTTAATCAAATGGTCAGTAAACAGGTTCTTGGAAATGTCTGGCTAGGTTCCCAGCTTGGATATTTTTAACCTCCTGGACAGATGGATAGAACAAGGATTTCAGCTGCTGAGAGGGGAGGAGGTATTCAGGGGCATAAGAACTGTGCTTCCTTTTTTTTTTTTTTTTTTTTTTTTTTTAAGAGATGAGTCGCACTCTGTCACCAGGCTGGAGTGCAATGGCGCAATCTCGGCTCACTGCACCTCCGCCTCCCGGGTTCAAGTGATTCTCCTGTTTCAGCCTCCTGAGTAGCTGGGATTATAGATGCTCACGACCACGCCTGTCTAATTTTTGTATTTCTAGTAGATACGGGGTTTCACTATAGATCCGCCTGCCTTGGCCACCCAAAGTGCTGGGATCACAGGCGTGAGCCACCGCGCCTGGCCAACATTTGTGCTTCCCTTATATGGTTCTGTGGCTAAAGATCCCTCCCTCTCCACTTCAGATTCTGACTTCCTCCTTCATCTAGCCAGACTCAGGGTTAATCCTTTGTTTCCTGCTCTCCCATTTCTCTTTATTCCCTGTCTTTCATGCTTGCTTCACCTTCCAACTCTGAGGAAACTCTGGTTTCTGTTTTACCTCTGGATTCCTGTAGATCAGGAAGAGGGTGGTTGGGCAGGGGCCAATGGCTCCTTTGTTTCCCCTGGAGATAGGTGTAGCTCTGCCAGTAGTACTCAGAGGCTTCTCTGCAGTTCTATCTCCTCAAGCTGTCCCGCAGGACAGCTTCAAACTCTCCTGCAAACTCATGCATCCCACTGCCCCCAACTCTTGGGAACAGAATTTGACACCCTGCAAGCCCAGGCCTGTGCTTCACATACTTTTGGAAAGTAGAAGAAATGATCGTGAAGGTCAGAGAGGTTGGAAATGGTGACCAAGTCTGACAAGGCAAGATCTGCTATCTCTGGTTTGGGAAAATTAGGTCACCTGGAAGGTGGAAGGGCTGGGAGAGAGGTCGATCATTAGCAAGTTCAGAATATCTTTTTGACTGTGAGGGAGGCCTGGAGGTTAGGAATGAAAGTGAGGAAGGAGAGACAAAAATTATGATAATTCCCTATTTGGGGTTTCATCTTCCCCTGGTGAATACCCTTTAAACTGAATACCCTTCTATATCCAAAGACTGCTTTCTTCTTTCCTCTTGTTCTTTCCTGTATCTCAACACCATTTCTGATAGTGCCCACCCTGCTTTGTGGTTGGAGGAGAAAATCCCTGACACAAGTGCTCCAAGATTGACGGGAAGCTGGTGGGGAGATGGACTTAGGTAGGGAAGGGAGATCACACTGTGATTCATGTTTCTCTTCTTTTGTCTTGATTTTAGCTGATGATGAACCTAAGCAAAGCTGGAGGAAACACTAAGCCAGAGGCAGCAAATCAGGGGCCCATAGGCCAAACCAGCTTGCAGACATTTAGAAACCCATATTTCCGGCTGGGTGCGGTGGCTCACACCTGTAATCTCAGCACTTTGAGAGTCTGAGGCAGGCAAATCACCTGAGGTCAGGAGTTAGAGATCAGCCTGACCAACACGGCGAAACCCCATCTCTACTAAAAATACAAATTAGTTGGGCATGGTGGTGCAGGCCTGTAATCCCAGCTAGTCAGGAGGCGGAGGCAGGGGAATTGCTTGAACTTGGGAGGCGGAGGTTGCAGTTAGCCGAGATCGCACCATTGCACTCCAGCCTGTGCAACAAGAGTGAAACTCTGTCTCAAAAAAAATTAAAAATAAATAAATAAATAAATAAACCTGTATTTCCTTTCCTAAACATTTGAATCGGTTGTAAACATTTAAAAATCAGATTTCACTAACATCTACCGTTCTGGTGTCTCTTAAAAAGCAATCATATTTGGTAACACTGAGTCACATTCTTTCATGGCATTAATCAGCTGGAGCTGAAGGGGCTAGACAGGCTCTGGTTTGCCAGTTCTCACCACTCCCTATTGCATTACACTCACATGCTTCGATCTTTTATATCTGCCTGACTCCTGTTTAGTGTTTAGGTTTGTCTTAGTTTGTTACCTCTGCTCTAAGTAGAGCTTCTCAAATATTTCTTCTGCAGGACCCCTAAGATACAAGAGAGTGAACCATTTTCCCCCAGGACTCCCAAAGCAGTCTAAAGTAGCCTGTCATAACCCAGAAATGTCTTTGAAGTACCTATTTTCTTTAAAAAATGCAAATTTTGATTTACACTGCATAATATATTTGTGTTGGTTTTAGCATAAAAATGATTTATCTTCCCCCACCAAATCTTAAAAGTAAAATTAACACTCTGGAAGATGTGCCATGTGTATTCTGTGGCTCCAAATAGTCTTCACCATATCACCCTAGGAATAATCCAATTTAAACAGCACTGTATAAAGGCATGAGGTAAAGAGAGACATGGAGAAAAGACACAGAGAAAGAGTCAAAAAGAGGAAAAGAATTTGAAAAACAACAAGAATGAGTCTGAGTGACAAGCTTTCTGTCTGGTCCTCAGCCAACCCTCCAGGCCTGGCCCAGTCCAGCCACTGAGAAGTGTATAAACATCCCTGATATCTCTGGACAGGTGTTAGTGTGGCGGCTCAGGGTAGAAAGCAAGACCCAAAACAGGAGCCAAGCCAAGTAAGGGAGAGGTGAGGGATCCAGAGCAGCCAAGTATGGTCAGATGAGAAAGATTGTCTAGGTGTGCCAGGAAAGAGGCTTGGAAAGGAAATGGAAGACTTAGAAAAGGGCTGATCAGCATTTGCCCTTTCTCCCACTGAGCCCATTTTGTGTCACTTCCTCTTATCACTCTGCCTAAGAAAAATGAGGTACAAGCATTAAATTGTCCTCCTTTGAAGAGGGAATTTCTTCTCCAAAATGGCTACATCTCTGGTCATACCAGAGCCTAAGGAGGATGAGTACCAGGGCTTCTTTCCCTGTCCAAATGGGACTCTACCTATTCTCTCCAAGACAGGAAATACCTCAAATCCACATCCCTAACTTAGGTGAGTTTCTTCCACCTACCCCTTTTGGTAAGACAAAAATAGGTCTAACTCCCTCCCTCCTAATCTAATATTATCAGCACTGCCCTGAGTGTACCAAAGAATATCAGAGACAGGATTTGGATATTTTCCCCCTTTCTCTACTGTAAACCAGGATCAATGTGGAATCACAAGGATGGGAACTATTCAGGAAAGGGCTGGGAGCACAGCCCAAAGCTGAGGATCCTGGGAGGAGGAGAGGTTTGAGAATGGAGAATAATCCCAGACTCTGAGGTCGTGGGGACCTAGCCCCTTCCTGCATTGGTTGGGATCAGGCCTAAGGAATCTCTGGATTCCTTCCCCAGCATCTTGACATCTTGGATTCCCAAGGTGAGAGCACCTAGCCATTACGGTCCCGCAGTTAAGCTGGATCATTGTCTTCCCACTGACCCCCATTAAGGTTATGAGGGGGACCTCCCTTCTTTCCTAGATACAAAGAGGCAAATTAAAGTCTATTGGAGATGAGCCAAAGGCCTTTCTGAGGTGATAGCAGGAAACTGGAACTTATTTCCAGTTTTGTGGTCCCAAATGACCTTGAGGAAATGTGAGCCCCAGAAGGGGAAAGGTCAGTGGAGAAGAGGTCACTACTGGTTTGGCCAGATTAGTTAGTGGAGCTATTCTCGTTGAGCTCATTTCTCTTCTCCATCCTCTGGCTGGACATGACATACGAGGGGAGATGAAGAGGACATGCCCACCAGCCCCTTCTTCAGTCAGAAATCTACTGGTGGCCTGTTTGATTTGAGTCCTGGCTTGCAGATTGTGACCTTGAACTCTGCTGTAGGTGGTGTCCCTTTCTTGCTAGTTGATGGAATTGTTGATCTTCTTGCTACCCAAGCTGAAGCAGGTTCTTGGAAACGACTGGCCAGATGCCTGAGGTATCTTTAGTCTGCCTAGGCTGAAAATAAAGTGGGGAAATCCAGCGAATGGAATGTGTTCAGCCAAAGCTAGGCACATCCTGCCTTTGTTCTCAGGCCCATTTGAATTCTTACAGATGGATCAGCATAAGCCCTACTATGTGAGAGCTAGAAGGGCTCCCAGTGGACACATCTAGTCCAAATTTATATTTCACACATGAGGAATACTGAGGAGTGGAGACATACATGACTTTCTGAAGGGCACGAAGCTATGGAGTGGTGAAACTAGGACCACAAAATAGTGTGAAACACTGTCTCTTAAAAAAAGTGAATTGAGGAAAAGAACTGTCTGTTCCTTACCAAATTATAGGTGCCCAATTACCTTATTCATCTGACCCTCCAATTTTCTTTGGTCTCCACTCCCAATCTAAACTACATGTTGCTTCCAGGTCTGCCATTTAGCCTCCCTCAAACCACTTGAGTCACTGAGGCTGTCTGCAGACCCCTCTTAAACTGCCCACCTGAGATGGGAGAAAAATCATGAGGCTAGGGATGGAACATAGCATAGAGAAAAATAGGACTCTTTCCCTTTTTTTTTTGTAGAGGCAGACTTAGGGAAGACTATGTTGCCCCAAGCTGGTCTTGAACTACTCGCCTCAAGCAACCTCCCACCTCAGCCTCCAAAAGCTGTGGGATTACAGGTGGGAGCCACCATGCCCAGGATAGGATTCTTGACAGAGAACCTACCCTGCCTGGGGCCAGTGCAGCCCAGGCTGTGGACATGGCAGCAATCTGTTCAACATAAGCCCTATCAGGCGAGTAGTACTGGGCTGAGCAGCACTGTGTAAGTCCTCTGTAAATGTTTGCAAGCAGGCGCTGGGCACGGTGGCTCACGCCTGTAATCCCAGCACTTTGGGAGGCCAAGGCAGGCAGATCACAAGGTCAGGAGTTCGAACCAGCCTGACCAACATGGTGAAACCCCGTCTCTGCTAAAAATATAAAAATTAGCTGGGCATGGTGGCGTGCGCCTGTAATCTCAGCTACTCAGGAGGCTGGGGCAGCAGAATCACTTGAATCCAGGAGGCAGAGGTTGCAGTGAGCTGAGATCGTGCCACTGCACTCCAGCCTGGGCAACAGAGTGAGACTCCATTTCAAAAAACAAAACAAGACAAAACAAAAAAAGTTTGCAAGTATGGCCTCAAGCCCTAACCTCTCAGGGGTTCTTCCAAAGTGAATAGGAGCCGTGACCCTGTTTACTAGGTCTTGGGCTTCAGGCCTGCCTGATAGTACCTATGGAAAGTAGGGGAAAGGTTGATGGAAACAAGTCTAGCTCATGCCTGGAACCACTTCAGAATCTGGGAAAGCTGCTGGGTCCTGTGTCCCTGGCTTTGTCCAGCAAGGTCACCTGCAGACAGGGCAGAGTCCAAGAATAGTCTGATCTTCCTGACACTTTGAAGTAATACAACTGATCTCAAGTGGTCACTCCAACCTTTGTCCTCATTTCCCCAGTTTCATGGGAAAAGGATGTGTGTGCATAGGATGTGTGCTGCTTTTCCAGAATCTTCTTTGTTCCCACTCTTTTAAGTTCCCAGGCTGACATTGTGGGCTTTATGGGGTGGCTATGCTCCCAACACAGACACATATAGTTGACCAGGTTAGGACTTGGTGTGTGTATGTAGGGAACAATGCAAAAGGAAAATTTTCAATAGCTTTTACTTTTGTTTTTGCTGATCTCTCCCTAGCTATAATCACAGGCTGAAGTACAGCTATGGGAAACCCGTTACAGGTCCCCTATTTCCTTCCTGCCACTCAACACAACACCTCAGGAGGACTAAAAAAAAAACACATCAATCATCATAAATTGCTCAATGACTCTAGAATGTTCTGTTTCTATTCCTGTTTCCTTCACTGCTTCTACTCTTTTCTTCTTTTCTTAGAGGCGGGTTCTTGCTTTGTTGCCCAGGCTGGTGGTGCAATCATATAGCTCACCGCAGCCTCAAACTCCAGGGCTCTAGGGATCCTCCTGCCTTAGCCTCCCTAGTAGCTGGGACTACTAGGGAGTGCCACCACGCTCAGCTATTTGAAATATTTTAAAATATTTTTGTTGTAGAGACAGGGACTCGCTTTGTTGCCTAGACTGGTCTCAAACTCCTGGCTTCAAGCAATCCTCTTGCCTCAGTCTTCCAAACTTCTGGGATTACAGGCTTGAGCCATGGCACCTGCCATTGCTTCTATGTAAACACTAACTAACACACCCAAACTAGGCTTTTAAGGTGCTTTCCCTCAATGGAGTCACAGTCTTTCTTCATTCTTTACAATGGGGTCAGACATATTCAACCTTAGATTGACAGTCTCTATCACTTGATGCTGTAGGGAATTCAGTCGGCCTGCCTGAATGCAGTTGGGGAATTTTTTGAAGGTTCTTCTATACCCCATCTTACGGCTTTCAAATGCTCAGCAGGGTTGCTATGATAGCATGCCTTCTTATTCAGTTCCTATTCTGGACACGCAGCTTGCCCGTGACTGTTGCATGTCAAGTGGCTGGAACCAATCAGCTTATCTAAGGCTTCCTCAGAAGCCAATCAGAGCCTCGGAAAGTGACCTCACCCAAGGGAGAGCTCTGTGGGCGAGAAAGCATCTCTCAGATCTGTGAGTGTCCCTAAGTCACTCCCTTCCTCCCCACCCTCCTTACTTCCTGTAAAACAACACCACACCGCCTACCTCCCTTCCCCCAAAGAAAGGGAGTGAGAAAGGCTAACTAAATTCCACAAAGGGAAGAACCAAAAGAGAAACTGCAACTCAGCCACACACTGGTTTCTGTAACTGGAGAACAGGATATTTAGGGGGACTTGCTCTGCACAGACATACCTTTCAAAGTGGCATCTCCAGAGTCTGGAAGAGGAGGGAGTATGGTGAATAAGTCAGCTCCTCCTCCCTCCTCATACCTGGTTTTCTTGCCTTTCCCCACAAAAATAGCTGTAATCATTTTTTGTAAATAAGGACAAGATCAAGGTCAAGTGTGGGAAAGACAGGACCTATGTCCTTGTGAACATGTGTGAACAGACACAATCATGTCCTTGTGGCCTGAGGACCAGAGGCTCAGAAGTCAGCTGTACTGCAGGGGGCGTAGGCTGTTCTCTACAATTTACTTTGCATTGCCCTACAGATGAGGCCTTGAATATTCCTTGGCTGGGCTCGATTGTGAATATGTGTCCCACCATGGGGGTAGAAGGGAAGGGACAAAGGACAAGCGGGCTGTAGGGCTGTAACCCTCCAGTGTGTCACACCAGACCCGGCTTAGTTAAGCATTTCCTTCATTCCTCCAGCCCTCTGTCACCAGGCCTCACCCACAACAGAGAGACAGATAAAAACACTTTATTTAAAAGTATAAAACCAGGCTTACTCCTTCAAACTGCTCCCACCCCTAATTATCTCCACAAAGAGCTATATAAATTGGGCAGGGGTATGTGTACAGTCATCTCAGCTCTAACAACCCCAGTTCTTCTTTCAATTCTCCTTTCTCCCTTCATACAATTGAGATGTTTGTCCTTTGCACTTTCCCCAAGATAGCAAAGGTGATACAAATGTGGAAGGAGGGGAAGTGTAGAAAATAAACTGTCATCATCCTCTATTCCCATCTCCAGGGAACAGACAGATTATATGAACTCTGACCAAATGATTTGCTTGTCTGAAGAAACAAATAATAGGTACAGTTACTCTCTGTATCCTAAAGAAAGACACGAGGGTCCAGAGTCCTTCTTCAGTATATAGCCTCGTCCATATTGTCATCACTGTCACCACCAAAGTCCTCTCCATTGTCAAAATATGACATGATGTAATCAGTTTCCTGAAATGGAAAAAAAAAAAGTAAAAGTCAATTTGGCATTCACCTTCCTTCCTGTGTACCAGACCCCTTTCCTCTCAGTCACACCATTCCAGGCCTGAGACATCTCTTCCAGCTGTAGTTTGTAGAAGGGGGGCAGATGAAGTAGAGAGAAGCCCCTACCCTGGGGGGCACTATCTCTGTTGGCATGCCAACCCTCTGAGGAGAGCAACCCTAGTATAAAGAGGGTAAAGGGAGGGGGACTAAGGTGGAAGGAGTCCCCTTCACCTCTTCATGTTCTTCTTCATCATACTCTTCTTCTTCCTCCTCTTCCTTCTCTTCTTCTTCTTCTTTCTCCTCATCCTCCTCTGAAGTTACTTCTTCTTCCTTCTTCTCCAGGGTCTCATGTGGGGATGAATAGGAATAGAAACTCAGGTTCAGTTCACAGAAGGGAAAAATTGAGGCACACATGGGCCAAGAGAGAGGGAATGGATCCAGGGCTCAGGAGGTCTCTATGCACACTTCCTCCTCACCTCTAGTTTCTGTATTGTTTCCTCCTTATCTTCTGTGGTCTTAGGGGGCCTCTTGGGGAGCAGAATTGTAATCCCTGGTGGAGGGATCAAAAGGTAAACCTTCAGAGAGCAAATTTTGCCAGCTTTATAGCCCATCCTCATGCAAAGAACATGTCACTCTGCTGCCCTCATGTGGCCACTATGACATCTAGCAACAACACTTGGTAGATTGGGTATAGGAACTGGGATGGAAGGTGAGACCAGCAGCAGCCTCGGCCCTCAGGCTGATGAAGGAAACCTCTCTTCTCCCTCCTTTTTTCCAGATACACTCACGTTCCTTCTGTAGCTTCCGCACTCGGATCTTTAGCTCCCGGGGTAGACGCCGCCAATCTGGGAATAGTGGGAACGTAAATGTCAATAGGACCCTGCCTGGGGTCTCCAGTGAATACTGACTGGTTTTAAAGGGGGGTGAGGGTTTTAAAGGAGAGGAAGGAAGGGGCTGGGCCAAAGTTGTTCAGTGGCTTGGATATCTCCTGAGTAGTGGGAACTATTTAATAGCTTTTTCAGGTAGAATCTGAGAATGTGTTGGACCATAACTAAGGCTCTAGCTTGCAGATGCTGGATCGGGGAATGGGGTGGGGTCATGGGCGTGGTGGGAATAGCTTGAAGCATCCCATGCATTTGAAAGAAGGGCAGTCAATGAAAGGGCCCATCACCTACCAGGGTTCCAATCGATGGCATTGTCAATCGGACCTGACATCTGATATTTGTCTGAATAACGCTCCACATCTGAGGGGTGGAAGGGTCAAAGTTTTATCCCTTCAGAGACCCAGAACAGGACTGTTCCTGAGAGTCCAGCCCTCTCAATACTGAGGAATTATCTGTTTCCTTACCCCAAACCCAGAGCCCAGGGGGTCAGCTTCAGTGAGGACCTTATCTACTTTTTTTTTTTTTTTTTTTGAGACAGAGTCTCGCTCTGTCCCTCAGGCTGGAGTGCAGTGGTACAATCTCAGCTTACTGCAACCTCCACCTCCCAGGTTCAAGCGATTCTCCTGCCTCAGTCTCCTGAGTAGCTGGGACTACAGGCACACACCACCACGCCTAGCTAATTTTTGTATTTTTAGTAGAGACGGGGTTTCACCATGTTGGCCAGGATGGTCTCAATCTCCTGACCTCGTGATCCACCTACCTCGGCCTCCCAAAGTGCTGGGATTACAGGCGTGAATTACTGCGCCCGGCCCCTTATCACTCTTCTAACCTGTTCCTTTTCCACCCAAAATTACGATTTTTTTTTTTCAGACAGAATCTCGCACTGTCGCCTGGGCTGGAGTGCAGTGGCGTGATCTCAGCCCACTGCAACCTCCGCCTCCCAAGTTCAAGCAATTCTTGCCTCAGCCTCCCAAGCAGCTGGGATTAGAGGCATCTGCCACCAGGCCTGGCTAATTTTTTTGTATTTTTTGTAGAGACGGGGTTTCACTATGTTGGCCAAGCTGGTCTTGAACTCCTGACCTCGTGATCTGCCCACCTCAGCCTCCCAAAGTGCTGGGATTCTAGGTGTGAGCCACCACACCTGGCCTTTTTTTTTTGAGACAGAGGTTTGCTGTGTCACCCAGGCTAGAGTGCAGTGGCAAGATCTCAGCTCACTGCAACCTCCACCTCCCAGGTTCAAGCGATTCTCATGCCTCAGCCTCAGCCTCAGCCTCCCGAGTAGCTGAGACCACAGGCACACACCACTGTGCCTGGCTAATTTTTATATTTTTAGTAGAGACAGGGTTTCACCGTATTGGCTAGGCTGGCCTCAAACTCCTGGCCTCAAGTGATCCACCCATGTCAGCCTCCCAAAGTGCTGGCCATTACAGGCGTAAGCCACCGCACCCGGCCATGATGATTTTTTTTTTTTCTGTCCCTTAGTTCAAAGGCATGGCTGTATTAAGAAATAGCGTGGTGCAGTGGAAAGTATGCTAGGGAATAAGAAACCAGGATTTCAGTATTCTCTTGTTGGTTGGTGCTTATAATATCCAGATTGTTAAAAATTTTGCTGGGCGCAGTGGCTCATGCCTGTAATCCCAGCACTTTGGGAGGCCAAGGCAGGAGAATCTCTTGAGCCCAGAAGTTCAAGACCAGCCTGGACAACATAAGGACACCCTATCTCTATTTTACAAAAAAATAAAAAATATATAATTTTTTAGAAAATACATCCCCCTACTTATACACGTGAAATGGGATTTTAATATTTAACCTCCTGCTGTCCCAAGACTATCATGAGACTCAAAACAAACCATGAATACTATAATGCATTTCAGATACAGGGGTAACTATTATGATCTCCCCAGTTAGATAGTATGCTTCCTGTGCCCCTCTGGCCCCCAGTGGTGCTGAGCACAGGGCACTCCCCATGGAAGGCACTCAGAATATGATGCTAGCATTCCAACTGACCTCTCTTGGGGACAGCTGGCCGGATGAAGTAGGGGAGCTGCCTCATGGCTCCTCGTAGCTCTTGCTTCAGTGCCAGGACATATTCCCCTTCCTCGCCTGAGGGCAAAGGTACTGGGCGGAACTCCAAGGGCTAAAGAGGCAGGGGCAGTGGTCAGTTCAGGGAGAAAATGCTAGTACAAATTTAGGAAGACCCCTCCTCCCAATTTAGTCTAACACTCCCACTGAGCAGAGGGCCAAATGACAATCGAGGGAGTAACATATTATTTTGAAAGCTGGGGAGAAGTAAAGGTGGACACTTCTTTGCCTGCAAAACATCCCTGTGCATTGGGAGTATAGAGAGAGGGCCAAAGCGAGGATGGTTTTATGATGGTCCAGGAGGAATTCAGAATCATGTACAGTCAGCCAGGGGCACATGAGAGTCTGGGAAGGGAGTGGAGAGACTCACAGGGAAGAGTGGAGAAGGCTGCAGGGTGGGTGGGGGCAAAGCATCCCCTTTCCCAATGCCCACGGCCTCCACGTTGAAGGTCAACTGGCCCCGGCCACGACCCCGGCCCCCACCCCGGCTGGCCATGGTGGAGGGGGCCTGGGTATTCAGAGATCCAGTGAATAAACCTAATAAAGACAAAAACAAAGAGAAAAAGAAATGTAGTAGAATGGACAGGAAGCCAAGGAGGTACAAGACATTCAATCTTTTATCTCTGGGACATGAAAAGTTAATGTCATTCAACAAATTTTGACTGAGAAGGCACAGTGTCAGAGAGAGAATTTCTGGAAATATAAACATGAATGAGACATGGTCCCCCAAACAGGTCAGATAATTACAATATAGTTTAGCACAAAGGAGAAAGTGCTGACACCTTTGGACAAAACTCTACATCCCTAAGACAATTTGATGTTTATCTCTATCTGCATTTCTTTATTTTTATTTTTAGAGATGCTCTGTCACCCAGGCTTGAGTGCAATGGTGCAATCACAGTTCACTCTAGCCTCGAACCCCTGGGCTCAAGATCCTCCTGCCTCAGCCTCCCAAAGTGCTGGGATTACAGGCATGAACCACTATGCCCAGCCACAAACTGCATTTCTACATATAACCTTTGAATTCTTTCTATCTCTGGCCTTCCAAACCTGACCAGGCCCCAATTCAATCCAATGCAATGCATTCGGCGAAACATTTATTAATCGTCTACCATGAAAAAGATAGTGTGTCAGGCACTGTGGGAGCACAGGGATGAGTCATCAATTTCATTGTAAACCAGGGGAAAAGACACATTACAATCAAATTGATCTTTTTATTTTATTTTATTTGAGATAGGGTCTCTTTCTGTCATCCAGGCTGGAGTGCCGTGGTGTGATCATGGCTCACTGCAGCCTCAACCTCCTGGGCTCAGGTGATCCTCCTGCCTTAGCCTCCCAAGTAGCTGGAGCTACAGGTGTGTGCCACCATGCCTGGCTCTTTTTTTTTTTTTTTTTTTTTTAAGAGACTGGATTTCATTATGTCAAGTGATCCAACTGTCTCAGCCTCCCAAAGTGCTGGGATTACAGGCATGAGCCACCGCGAGAGGCCAAATTGATCTTTTTAAACACCACTTGGAAGCATAGAATCTTAGAATTGGGAGGACCCTTATAGAGGTCATCTAGTCTAAACCCCTCCCAGTGCAGGACTTCACTCTGTAAATTGTTTTGTTGTTGTTTGGTGTATGTGTGTGTCTTCTTTTTTTTTTTCTTGAGACAGAGTCTCACTTTGTTGCCCAGGCTGGAGTGCAGCAGTGCAATCTTGGCTCACTGCAACCTCTGCCTCCCAGGCTCAAGTGATCCTCCTGCCTCAGCTTCCTGAGTAGCTGGGACTACAGGCATGTGCCACCAAGCCTGGCTAATTTTTGTATTTTTTGTAGAGACAGGATTTCGCCATGTCACCCAGGCTGGTCTCGAACTCCTGGACTCAAATGATCCACCTGCTTGGGCTTCCCAAAGTGCTGGGATTACAGGTGTGAGTCACCACCCCTGACCCTACTTTGTGAATTGTTATTCAGCTTTTGGTGGCATTTCCCTAAAGAGATGGTATCCATTCTCCCCCCAAGACAGTATATTCCACTGTGATCAACACTGATGAATCTAAAGTTTCTCCTTCTACCGAATTTTCACTCTGTCTCTTATCATCAATCCTGAGGAACCAGTCAGAGGCAGCTAGGATGGGGGAATAAAATCACCAGATGAAAAGAAAACTTGAGAGAAATGATATCCCAGTAGCAATGAGCACACCTAGCACCCAGATCTTGGTTTCTCATACAATTTTCCAATAAAAGGAACCAGGGCTCTCTGGACTACTAGCTGATTCTAGGACAGGGTAGGAAATATACAACATGAGTCTAGAGCATCTTGAGGTGCCAAAAAGTAAGGAGGTGCTCAAAACAACAACCACACTCACATATTGATGGGTTAGCTGGGTGCAGCGGCTCATTGCTATAATCCCAGCACTTTGAGAGGCTGGAGCGGGCAGATCACTCGAGCCCTAGGAGTTTGAGACCAGTCTGGACAACAGGGCAAAACCTCGTCTTTACAAAAAATACAAAAATTAGCCAGGCATGGTGGCATGCACCCGTGGTCACTGGGTGATCCTTCCCTACTGGGAAGGATTGCTTGAGCCGGGGAGGTTGATGCTGCAATGTTATGATTGCACCACTTGCACTCCAACCTGGGTGGCAGAGTAAAGACTCTGTCTCAAACAAACGAAAAACAAACAAAAAGGAGAAAAAACGAAAAAAATAAACATATTGATGAGGCTATGTCAAAGGGACATAAGAGCCAACTGAAAAAGTTCCCAATGGCCAAAGCTGAAACAATTTGAGGAACAAAATAAATAAAGCAGTATTAGATTATAACCCCAAAGTATAAGATAAATATCTGTGAGTCCATAGTGATATAAATAAATGACTGAATTTATTTATATGGGGGAAAAAAGACAAATCTCTCATGTAGAATTCCAAATAAAATATGTAGACACTCCATCCTAAAAGGGAGCAGGGGAGCATAACTCCCCACTTTTTTTTTTTTTTTTTGAGATGGAGTTTCGCTCTTATTGCCCAGGCTGGAGTACAACGGCACGATCTCGGCTCGCTGCAACCTCCACCTCCCGGGTTCAAGAGATTCTCCTGCCTCAGCCTCCCAAGTAGCTGGGATTACAGGCATGTGCCACCACGCCCGGCTAATTTTGTATTTTTAGTAGAGACGGGGTTTCTCCATGTTGGTCAGGCTGGTCTCAAACTCCCAACCTCAGGTGACCCACCCACCTCGGCCTCCCAAAGTGCTGGGATTCAGGCGTGAGCCACCGCACTGGCTATAACTTCCCACTTCTTATGTGTGGACTGTGTATAGGGAATTTCTCTCTCTCTCTCTCTCTATATATATACACACACACACACACACGTATATATATATATATATATATATTTTTTTTTTTTTTTTTTTTTTTTTTGAGACAGAGTCTCACTCTGTCACCCAGGCTGGAGTGCAGTGGCGCAATCTCAGCTCACTGCAACCTCTGCCTCCCGGGTGCAAGCGACTCTCCTGCCTCAGCCTCCTGAATAGCTGGGATTACGGGCGCACGCCACTACGCCCGGCTAATTTTTGTATTTTTAGTAGAGACGGGGTTTCACCATGTTGGTCAGTCTGGTCTTGAACTCCTGATCTCATGATCCGCCTGCCTCGGCCTCCCAAAGTGCTGGGATTACAGGCGTGAGCCACTGCACCCGGCCCTCATTCAATAATTTAGGAAATCAGGAGGAATATCTTTACAGTGGAGAGACCAGAAAAACACTACTTCAACCAGATGACCAAGGTCAGCATCAGTACTCATAAATCATGTTTTCGGTATGTGCCCTTAAAATTACATGATAAAATGGTACTTCACCTCTGTGATCATCCTCCTAAAAACCCATAACCCCACACTAATAAAGAGAAAAATATCAAATTCCAGCAGAAAGGCATCCTACAATATACCCAACTCCTCAAAACTGTCAGTCATCAAAAACAGTAAAGTCTGAGAAACCCGTCACACTTAAGAGGAGCCTAAGGAGACGTGACAACTAAATATAATGTGGAATCCTAAATGGGATTCATGTACAGAAAAAGAGCAATAGGTAAAAACCAAAGAAATGTCAATCAAGTATCAACCTTAGTTAATAATAATGTATCAGTATTCATTCATTAATTGTAACAAATATACGAATCAATTTTTTTTTTTTTTTTTTTTTTGAGATGGAGTTTCGCTCTTGTTGCCCGGCTGGAGTGCAATGGCGCGATCTCGGCTCACTGCAACTTCCGCCTCCCAGGTTCAAGCGATTCTCCTGCCTCAGCCTGCTGAGTACCTGGGATTACAGGCATGCGCCACCACGCCTGGCTAATTTTATACTTTTTTTAGTACAGAGGGGGTTTCTCCATGTTGGTCAGGCTGGTCTCCACCTCCCGACCAGGTGATCCATCCGCCTCGGCCTCCCAAAGTGCTAGATTACAGGCATGAGCCACTGCGCCCGGCATTTTTTTTTTTTTTTTTTTTTTTTTTTTTGAGATGGAGTTTCGCTCTTGTTGCCCGGCTGGAGTGCAATGGCGCGATCTCGGCTCACTGCAACCTCCGCCTCCCGGGTTCAAGCGATTCTCCTGCCTCAGCCTCCCGAGTAGTTGGGATTACAGGAGCCCGCCACCGTGCCCGGCTAATTTGTTTTTGTATTTTTAGTAGAGACGGGGTTTCACCATCTTGGCCAGGTTGGTCTCGAACTCCTGACCTCGTGATCCACCCGCCTCAGCCTCCCAAAGTGCTGGGATTACAGGCGTGAGTCACCGCGGCCGGCCAATCTACAATGTTAATAGGGGAAACTGTGCACTGGGACAAATGGGAACTCTTGGCACTATCTGCTAAATTTTTCCGTAAGTCTTAAATTGTTCTAAAATATATAATCTATTAATTAAAACAAAAACAAAAAACAAAAAAAACTCGAGGCTGGGCGTGGTGGTTCACACCTGTAATCCCAGCACTCTGGGAGGCTGGGGTGGGATGACTACTTAAGTCCAGGAGTTTGAGACCAGCCGGGGCAACATAGTGAGATTCCATCTCTACAAAAAATAAAAAAATTAGCCAGGCATGGTGGCACATGCCAGTAGTCCCAGCTACGTGGGAGACTGAGGTGGAAGGATCGCTTCAGCCCGGGAGATAAGAGGATTCAGTGAGCCATGATCATGTCACTGCACTCACCCTGGGTGACAGAGACCTTGTCTCAAAACAAAAAGCTAAAACAAAAATCAAGTAGCAATTCAAAATTCCCAAGAGATTAGTTGGTGAAAAAAATATTTAAAAATAATATGTAGAAGGTAATCTTCTGTCAGAAATACATACACACATATGAATTAAAAATCTGTTATAGAAGGATATGTACCAAAAATTAACAACGGTTAATTTGAAGGATGAGGGTTTTTTGAATTTTTTCTGGTGGGGAGAGTTGTGTATCTTTTTTTTTTTTTTTTTGAGACAGAGTCTTGCTCTGTCACCCAGGCTGGAGTGGTGCAGTGGTGCAATCTCGGCTCACCGCAGCCTCCACCTTACGGGTTCAAGCAATTCTCCTGCCTCAGCCTCCTGAGTGGCTGGGATTACAGGCACCCACCACCATGCTTAGCTAATTTTTGTATTTTTAGTAGAGAGGGGGTTTTCCCATGTTGGCCAGGCTGGTCTCAAACTCCTGACCTCGTGATCTGCCTGCCTCAGCCTCCCAAAGTGCTGGGATTACAGGCATGAGCCACCATGCCCAGCCAGGTTATGTATGCTTTGTTTTTTTCTATACTGAATAGAATACTATAACAACATTAAAATATTAATTTAAAAATTTTTGGCTGGGCATGGTGGCTCATGCCTGTAATCCCAACACTTTGGGAGGCCGAGGCAGGTGGATCACAAGGTCAAGGGATCGAGAACATCCTGGTCAACATGGCAAAACCCCGTCTCTACTAAAATACAAAAATTAGCTGGGCATGGTGGTGTGCGCCTGTAGTCCCAGCTACTCAGGAAGCTGAGGCAGGAGAATCGCTTGAACCCGGGAGGTGGAGGTTGCAGTGAGCCGAGATGGCGCCACTGCACTCCAGACTGGCAAAAGAGCGAGACTGTGTCTCAAAAAAATTTTTTTTTAATGGGCCAGTTGTGGTGGTTCATGGAGGTAATTTCAGCACTTTGGGAGGCCAGGGCAGAAGGATCACTTGGGCCCAGGCAGTCGAGGCTGCAGTGAGCTATGATCACACCACTGTGCACCAGTCTGGGCAACAGAGTGAGACCGTGTCTCAATAAATAGATAAATAAAATTTAAATGTCGTAACAGAATACTAAATGAGATTAATAATCTGTAGCTAGGAGAGGGTAGAAAAATGTATATCTGAGGAATCTGGGAAGTTTCAAGCCCAACTGCCATAAAAAAAATTGAGGAAACAATGGCTGTTGGTTAAGATATCAAATTGCAATCTGTTTGAAAAGAGCATATTAAGGGAGAGAAGATGTCTCATGGAGACTAGAGAAATAATAAGAATTTGTTGGCTGGGCGTGGTGGCTCATGCTTGTAATCCCAGCACTTTAGGAGGCTGAGGTGGGCGGATCACGAGGTCAGGAGTTCAAGACCAGCCTGACCAACAAAGTGAAACCCCGTCTCTACTAAAAATACAAAAAATTAGCCAGGCGTGGTGGTGCACGCCTGTAATCCCAGCTACTCAGGAGGCCGAGGCAGGAGAATAACTTGAAATCAGGAGGCAGAGGTTGCAGTGAGCCAAGATTGTGCCACTGCACTCCAGCCTGGGCAACAGAGCGAGACTCTGTCTCAAAAAAAAAAAAAAAAGAATTTGTCACCGTGTCTTCAGCCCCTTTTAAGCGAGAGAACATTCTAACCAGCTGGTTAAGTATCTTTCCACTTGACAGATATAGTTCTGGCAGTGGAGATAGGAGCTGCTGTGACTGCAAAGCAATGAAGAGTCAATAAATGGCCATGAGTTTGAGGTTAGACAAATTCCACACCATTTCTACACATTAAATGAGTGATCCTCTAAGAATGCAGGGGAAAAAGAAGACAAAATTTTATTTAATACAGGTTGGGAAATAAACCATCCATCTGCCCCATTCATCTTAGGAATCTATAGGGAGTCTCTGCTATTAAAGATTGTGATGGAGTTAAAATTCTTGAGGATACTTAAGGTCTCCCATAATCTAGTCACAATCTGCTCCTCCTTAACATCAACCTTTCCAGAGAGTTTACCCCTGTACTCTGTTTTACTCCAAACAACACTCATATACACTATGCTCATTCCCAATTATTCATACATATATATTGTGGTGGAAGTTACTGAGAGGCAGGTTTCAACTAAACATACAGAAAAACACTAACAATTACATCAAATTTAAGGAAGGCAGTACATGTAGAGGTTAAGAATATGGTTTTGAATCCCAGTTCAATTTCCTAGCTACAAAACTCTGGTAATTTATTTATTGTCTCTAAACCTGTTTCCTCATCTGTAAAATGGGAATAAAAATAACAATAATAGAATCATTTCACTCAACAAATATTTACTGAGTGCTTACTAGGTGTGCCAGGCACTGTTCTAGATTCTATGGATATAGCAGTGTGCAAAACAGACAAAAACATGCTGCACCCACGGGGTTTAAATGGAGCTTTCATTCCAGTGGAGGCATCAGCAAACAAACAATACTTCAAGCCATGAGACTAGGTGAGACCCCTAAAGGAGTGGATGTGGACAGAGAAAATAAGAAATCCAGGCACTGAGGCCTGGGGCACGCTGATGTGTAGAATTTGCTATACATGTAATAAATAAAGCAAGAAATTAACACCCTTAAAATCTTGGAAATCCAAATTTTAAAAAATCATCTCAATAGAAAAAATGGGCAAAGGACATGAACAGGCAACTGGCAAAGAGAATGGCCATGTCTGGACATGGTGGCTCACTCCTGTAATCCAGGGTTTTGGGAGGCCGAGGTGGACAGATCACTTGAGGCCAGGAGTTCATGACCAGCCTGGGCAACATAGAGAAACCCTGTCTCTACTAAAAATACAAAAAATTAGCCAGGCACAGTGGTACACACCTTTAATTCCAGCTACTCAGGAGGCTGAGGCATGAGACTCACTTGAACACAGGAGGTGGAGGTTGCAGTGAGCTGAGATCTCACCACTGCACTCCAGCTTGGGCAACAGAGCAAGACTGTCTCAAAAAAAAAAAAAAGGAGAGAGAATGGCCAATAAAACCACTCTTCACCTATGAAAGTGACAAAGATTTAAATAATAAGCAGGCTGTCATGAGTTTTTTTTCAAATGGACACTCTCATACCTCACTGGAAAGACTATAAACATAATATTTCAAGGGGAGCAATTTGTCCAGTTAAATCAACAGCCTTTGAAATGTTTATATCCCTAATCCAGCAATCCCACTTTAAAAATATATTCCAAAGACATCAACAGATATACAGTCACAGATATAAGTAAAAGGATATTCATCAAAGAGCTATTTATGGTAGCAAAAATTCTGAAATAACTGAAACAATCTAACAATAAATGAATGGTTAAAAAATACCCATTTTATTTATTTATGTTCTTTTTATTTTATTATTTTTTTTTTGAGACAGTTTCACTCTTGTCGTCCAGGCTGGAGTGCAATGGCGCAATCTCAGCTCACCGCAACCTCCACCTCCTGGGTTCAAGTGATTCTCCTGCCTCAGCCCCCCGAGTAACTGGGATTACAGGCATGCGCCACCATGCCTGGCTAATTTTTTTTGTAGTTTTAGTAGAGATGGGGTTTCTCCATGTTGGTCAGGCTGGTCTTGTACTCCTGACTTCGTGATCCACCCGCCTTGGCCTCACAAAGTGCTGGGATTACAGGCATGAGCCATCACGCCCGGCCTCTTTTTTTTTTTTTTTTTTTTGAGACAGGTTCTTGCTCTGTCGCTTAGGCTGAAGTGCAGTGCAGTGGCAATTTTGGCTCACTGCAGCCTCGACTTCTCCAGCTCAAGCAACCCTCCACCTCAGCCTCCTGAGCAGCTGGAACTACAGGCCTGAGACACCATGCTTGGCTATTTTTTTTGTAGTTTTTGTAGAGACAGGGTTTTGTCATGTTGCCTAGACTGGTCTTGAACTCCTGGGCTAAAGTGATCTGCCTACCTCAGCCTCCCAAAGTGCTGGAATTACAGGCATGAGCCACCACGCCCAGCCAGAAATGGCTTGCTTTTAAGAATGCTACCAATTCCACTGTAAAAGGACAGATTTCCTTTTTTTTTTTTTTTTTTTTTTTTTGAGAGGGAGTTTTGCTCTTGTTGCCCAGGCTGGAGTGCAATGGTGCGATCTGAGCTCACTGCAACCTCCGCCTCCTGGGTTCTAATGATTCTCCTGCCTCAGCCTCCCCAGTAGCTGGGATTACAGGCATGCGCCAACACGCCCAGCTAATTTTTGTATTTTTAGTAGAGACAGAGTTTCTCCACGTTGGTCAGGCTGGTCTCCAACTCCCGACCTCAGGCGATCTGCCCGCCTCGGCCTCCCAAAGTGCTGGGATTACAGGCATGAGCCACCGTGCCCAGCCATATTTCCCTCTTTTACAGTGGAAGTGTGGAATGCATTTCCTTTAGCTATATATTTCTTATTTAGAATATTTGTAGGATATTGACTAAAGAACAGGTATCAAAAAATTGAATGATCTACAAGAGAGATAAGAGAGTTCCCTTACTAAAGATGTTTACATAGAAGCTGGGTAAAAATTTACTACATAGGGTTTGTAAGAAGGATGCATGGCTCTAGTAGAGGATTCCCTATGATCAGCATGATTTAGCATTGTGTCTGGCATATAGTAGGTGCTCAATAAATATTTATTGAATGAATAAATACATCATTTCTATGGGCCTTTCCAAACTTGAGAAATTGTGATCCATAAAGCCTCCCCTCACCATTCCAGTTCTCCTTGCTTTCTTCCTTCTCTAGATTGTAGAAACAATTATGAAACACTAATATTATGAACCACTAATTTAATGGCTCTTAATTACATACTGTATTGTCTTTTATTGTTCCCTAGTTATGTTAGGAGTTTAAATTCTGCCTCCCCAAAAAGAGTGCTAGTTACCAGAAATCAATTCTATTTAACTAACGTTTATTGGGCACTATATATTAACTACTAGCACCTGTCCTACAAAACCTTCTATTCTAAAAGGCATAGAAACGTTAAAGAGAGACAGTGCACTAAGTGTCCTAATAAAGGTATATACAAAACGCTATCGTAGACGGGGGAACAATTCATTTTGCAAGAAAGGCGGCCCAGGAAAACTACAGGTAGCATTTCAGCTAGTCTTCATAGATAACAGGAGTTTGTCAGGCTCTTGGGATAATATTAATAGATTAGGGGGAAGTTGATGCTATAGCAAAGACAGATACAAGAGGCTGTCTCGTTTTCTGCTTTAATGTCTCTCCCCATGCGCGATAGAAAACTGCCATTCTCTAGTATACAATCAATACAGAAATGGAAGCCCAGGGGAGAAACGGTAGGGAGCCAGAAGGGGGCTGATCCAACAACCTGACGGAAAGCGTTGTCTATTTCGCAGCCTGGCCGGGGTGAACAAGTTTGGCAAGTGTCGGACCGAACCAGGTCAAGCCTTACCTGCTGCCCCTCCCCAAAGCGGAGCCCAAGCCGCGACCAACTTGAAATGTACTGGGCTTCCTCAAGTCGGTGGCGTTCTAAGCCCGCCTCCCGGAGCTCCCTATTGGTGAGTTTTCTCGGCCAATGCAGGAGAAGCCGAGGAGGGAAGTCCGCCCTCTTGAAGCCTAGGAAGAGAAGGAGGGAGGGAGCGAGTACGCCCGGAACCGAAGCTTGCGAAGCGGGTCGCAGAGAGAGATGGGCGTTGCAGAATCAGCTGGGGTCACTTATTTCCGGTCTCACTCCAGATGAAGGAGCCACTAGCCGGCGAGAGTTCACCGAGGGAACGTGACACTCATATCTCATCGAGGGACCGTGTTGAGGGAGCCCCTACAGAGAGGCCAAAGGAGGAGAGGGCCTACGGAGAAATGAACCTCTGTAAAAGCTGCTCTTTAGGGATCAGTCTTTTTGTGACTCTAGCTTCATAGCTTGGTCTCTCCATTACTCCAGCCTTCCTTTCAATCATACACTGCCTCTCTCCAGCACCACCAATGGATACTTCTTTTCTAAAAATGTTTTTCTGTGGGTTGCTGCCGTGTCTGTGAGAAGGTGGGCAGAGGGTTCAAGAAAGGAAGGATTTGGGATCAGCGTACCAGGGTTGGGGAGACAGGGCAGGAGCCCAGCTTTTTCTGCATTTTCCACTACTTTCCACTTCCTGCGAGCTCCTTGGGAAAGCCAGCAGAGTGGAAGGAGGAGTCCTATTTTCACAGAAAGCAGAAACAAGGGAGAAAGGTTCAGAATGGAGATGAAATCTAGGAGTTAGTCAAGAAGAACATCCCAGATGTCAGAGAAAATGGCCTGTAGACTGGGAGGCTGTAGGTGTAGTGGCAAGCTCCCAGTCTTTGCCATAGGACAGAAACATAGCTGTGAAGCTTTGGAGAGCTTGCTTAACCTTATTAAGTCTGTTTCCTCATCTGTAACAAGAAGATGATAGTTCCTATCTTATAAAGTTGTGAGGATTGAAAATAGTGTATGTAAAGCACATGGCACATAGTTGACACGTGTCCAAGAAATAACTAGTAAAAATGGGTAGCTTCCTGCAAATATTTCTCTCTCTCTCCCATCCCCGGGAACATTATTTTCAGTATCTTGCATCTGGGGGGCCTCCAGCCTCTGAATTAGCTCAGGACCCTGAGTGAACTTTTTAAATCCTTAGGATTTTTCTTTTTCTCCCACTTCCCTTGGTGCCTTCCAGCTGGACACAAACTCATTCCTAAAATATGTGGATGGAAGCTATGGTAACCATGGAGACAGGGCAGGTGGCAAGGAGAGGCAGAGACAGTGTGAGAGACCAATAGACAGATAGGAAGAGAGAAGATATAAGGAATGTTTCAGACAGAGATCGTCAAGCAAGATGGAAAAAATAAGACGTCTAAGCAAGACTGAGATTAAAGAGATGCAATGTGAGAGAGTGTATTACAAGGTTCGCTCTTCTTCCTGCCCCTGTCCTATCTCCCTGCCCACAATAATACGGGGTGGAGGCACCTGGAATGTCCCTTGCCTTATCTAAAAGTGCTCCCATATCCACCTTCCTCATACTTATCTAAGAGGTCTACATAAGGGAGCTGAGGTCCAAGTTTCTCTGCGATGGGTGTTCCGTTTTTGAGAGATGGGGCGGGGGTGTATCTGTGTCTGACTCCAGGCTGGACCGTGATCTCCTTCACAATTAAACTACAGGAAGAAAGCCACATCTCTTGCCTCTCTTTGCACAGTATGGACACCGGCTGTGGATCCAAAAAGCCTTTCTACACCTTTCTTACACAGTGTGCCATGTGCCGTGTATGGCAGGTCAGGTCTGGCGCACAGGAGCGCACAAACACACCAAGTGCGGAGAATGGGGATCTGCTGAATCTCAGCGAAGAATCTGGATGATGGTCCCTGTCTGGGTCGCGGAGGAGTCCCCTAAGGAACACTTAGGTTTGTTGGGGCTGAGGGGAGGTCGGCTGAGAAAAGGAAGTCAGGATTGGAGCCTCTAGGTTTTTGAGGGTTTATGTGTGCATGAGTGGGGGAGCAGTTTGGTGCCTGACGCCCCCACCCGCAGTGACTAGGCTATAAATAGCACAGCAGAGCTCCGCCCCCCCCCCCCCCCCCCCCCCCGCCAAGCTTCTCTCCTCCCGAGCCGGCGCTGTGCCCGGGGCGCTCCGGGAGGAGGGACCAGGATCCGGCGCCGGGGCGCAGATACTGACACCAAGGGAATCCGGGTGCCCCCCCCCCCACGCCATGCGGGCCCCCAGGAAACTGGCTCCGCCACCTCGGCTGCCCCGTGGCCACGGCCCCAATCCTGGCCAGGCGGAGATTCTGCGGACATTCAGGTATCTATCTGGGCACACAGCCTGGGAGGGGAAAGAGCAAGGAGTGATGGGGAACATCGCAGGGGCAATAGAACCCCCCAATTCTCCCTCCACCCGTTTTAGGTCTCAAATGCAGGCTGCTTCCCTCCCCCCACTCAATTTTTGGGGTTGTGGCAAGCTAAAACAGGTTAGGAATGAGAATACATGTGTGACTGTAGGGTGCATGTATGTGGGTGGGTGGCGTTCAGCATCCTAGAAAGGGGGATCCCAAGTGTGGATAAGACAAGGGGGACAGAGGAAAGGTCTGATAAGCCATGGGGTGAGGGTGGGGGTGCGGACATCCCTGCGCGTGCACGAACGCATTTGCACGCGCGCTAGTCCTTCAGTGCGGGTGCACCCTTCCCACCTCCTCAGGCATGCGCTGCGGGGGAAGGGCCGGCTCAAAGGCATGAGTTAGAGGAAGGACTGTATGCCGTGAAGGTCTCCTCCACCCCACGCTGGGTCCCTGCATCTGTGCCTCAGTTTTCCTGCCGAATCTATCAATGAGATGTCTCTCTTGCAGGGATCGGCTTCGTCACTGAGACCTCAGGCCTCTGCCAGCCACTCCCCCTCCCCATACCCCTAGTCATCCTCGGCAGGTCTCAGTCCCGGCTCCATCTGTGCCCTCGCCCCAGCCGCAGCTATGTTGCACACCGAGGGCCACGCTCTTCTTCGGGCGGTGGGTCAGGGTAAGCTACGCTTGGCCCGTTTGCTTCTGGAGGGAGGCGCCTACGTGAATGAGGGTGATGCGCAGGGGGAGACTGCGCTAATGGCAGCCTGTCGGGCCCGCTACGACGACCCCCAGAACAAGGCACGCATGGTACGCTACCTCCTGGAGCAAGGCGCGGACCCCAATATCGCAGACCGATTAGGGCGCACGGCGCTCATGCACGCTTGCGCCGGGGGTGGGGGCGCCGCGGTGGCCTCGCTGCTCCTTGCCCACGGCGCAGACCCCTCAGTCCGAGATCACGCGGGCGCCTCGGCTCTTGTCCACGCCCTGGACCGCGGGGACCGCGAGACCCTTGCCACACTGCTGGACGCCTGCAAGGCCAAGGGTACGGAGGTCATCATCATCACCACCGATACCTCGCCCTCAGGCACCAAGAAGACCCGGCAGTATCTCAATTCTCCACCATCCCCAGGGGTGGAGGACCCTGCTCCCGCCTCTCCTAGCCCGGGGTTCTGCACGTCGCCTTCGGAAATCCAACTGCAGACCGCTGGAGGAGGAGGGCGTGGGATGTTATCCCCTCGCGCCCAGGAAGAAGAGGAGAAGCGGGACGTATTTGAATTCCCTCTTCCTAAGCCCCCCGATGACCCATCCCCTTCCGAGCCGCTCCCCAAACCACCACGCCATCCCCCAAAACCACTCAAAAGGCTCAACTCCGAGCCCTGGGGCCTAGTGGCCCCTCCTCAACCAGTCCCACCCACTGAAGGGAGACCGGGGATCGAGCGCTTGACTGCCGAATTCAATGGCCTGACCCTGACCGGTCGACCCCGTCTTTCCCGACGTCACAGCACCGAAGGCCCTGAGGACCCGCCCCCATGGGCGGAGAAAGTGACTAGCGGGGGTCCTCTCTCTCGCCGAAACACAGCACCAGAAGCTCAGGAGTCTGGTCCCCCTTCAGGGCTGAGGCAGAAACTGAGCCGCATGGAGCCAGTGGAGCTGGACACCCCTGGACACCTTTGCCCTGACTCGCCTGAGTCCAGCCGCCTGTCCCTGGAGCGCCGCCGATACAGCGCCTCCCCGTTGACCCTCCCTCCAGCCGGCTCGGCTCCCTCTCCGCGCCAGTCCCAGGAGAGTCTGCCAGGGGCAGTATCTCCGCTAAGCGGAAGGAGGCGGAGTCCGGGGCTGCTGGAGCGGAGGGGCTCGGGGACGTTGCTCCTGGACCACATCTCGCAAACGCGGCCGGGTTTCCTACCCCCTCTCAACGTCAGTCCCCACCCTCCCATCCCTGACATTCGCCCACAACCCGGAGGTCGGGCGCCTTCGTTGCCTGCCCCTCCTTATGCCGGGGCGCCAGGCTCTCCCAGGACCAAGCGCAAATTGGTGAGACGCCACTCCATGCAGACTGAGCAGATCCGCCTGCTGGGGGGCTTCCAGAGTCTAGGTGGGCCTGGGGAGCCAGGGCGCTGAGAGGAGTGAGAGGAGCCAAGGAGGGTGGGGATTAGGACCTTAATGGGATAGGTGGGAGAACCAGCTCACACACACACCACGAACAAAGGGATCTCTTGCATGTGCTCATGGGTGCACAGTGCACCCACACATGGTTAAACATGTGTCCATAAGCACAGTACTCTTATTAGCAAGAAAGAATAAGTACTCTATTTACTGGGTATATACACACATGTATTCATGCCCTGGTCATTTCACATGCATATGGGATTACTTGTGTACCTACAGGCACAGCATATCAATAAACACACAGGGCTAGGGTCCCAAACTCTCTTGCATTTGTTCAGAAGCAGTAGGGAACCCTTACTTATGGGCAGTCTCCGATGTCTTTGCCCTCCTGCAGAAGCAATCCCTTGCTTTCCATGTATGCCCTGAAACACAGCCTATCATGATTTTGCACACTCTCTCCGTGGACATCCCAGCCCATTCTGCAGGTCTTGCTTCTTTCTCCAGGCCTGGCTCCTTATTCACACCCTGCTTCTAACCCCAACCACTTTTCAGGATATCTTTTTCACTCTTCTTGGGGGTTCCTGCAGCAACCCCCAGCCTCAGTTCTGCTGCTGTCTTTACTGCTCTCAACTTCACTTCTCAACTTCCTGCTTTTTATTCCCACCCTGTTCCTCCAACAACTACAACAGATTGTCTCATTTTCCCAGGGGGTGGGTCATGGGCTCTAAGCTGCTCTTCTGTCTGTCTGAGCTTATGAACACCCCCACAGGTAGAAGTGGGGAGAAACCCTAAATCACTCCTCTCTCCACTTGACATATCAAATAAATGTGTTCAGAAGTCTCTGTTTTGTCACTTCTGCCTGGAGGTGTGGGTATGGGGAATGAGGAATGGGGAGGGAGGGTAACACTAACTTATAGCTATAATTATCCAAGGGATACTTAGCTGTTCCAGCCACCTTCTTTCCAAGAAACCAACTTTTCTATAGAGAAAAGGCAAGTGTCCTGTGTCCTGAAGATTTTAAGGCATTTGACAGGATTTCATTTCCTCCAGTTTCCTCTATGTCCAACCTTGAATTCTTTAAGGTTCCTACAAAGAGTTCCTCCCTCCATCATCAGCAGATATATCCCAGTAGATTAACTGTCTCCTTTTGAAACTTCCTATTTCTTGACTACTCACAGTTTTTATTCAGGGTCTAATTTTCATTTCACCAAGTGTGTTTCTTCTATTTTCTTCTACTTCTGGCCTCTATTTCCCCATCTTTGATTTCTGAGCCACTGTAGGAGAGATGGGGGGAAGCAGTTAATATAATCTCACCTAAGCAAAAATGGCCTGGTGACCACATGATAAAGGGTATGTAGAGTGTGTGTGTGTGCATGTGTGCAAGTGTGTGTGTGTGTGCAAAGTAATCAGAGGAACCCAGTCTGACATATTATACCAACAAGGGTAATTTTCTTAATTCCCCCAACTGGACTTCTCAGTTTGCTAATTTTCTGCATGTATCCTAACTCTTTCTCACTCTAATGGGAGGCAAAGAGACTTGCCCATCCCACTCTCTCTTATTCCCTTCCTCTACTTAGAATAAGTGAACTCAGAAATTTACCCAACAATGTGGCATAGTAAAAAGATAAAAATATTGGGAATCAGAACACCTATGCTTAAACTCTGAATTCCACTTTGCCATCTCTTAGCTATTTAATTTTGGCCATTTTTCTAGCTTCCCTCAGCATCTGTTTCCTTATCCCTAAAATAACAAAATCTAGTTAGTGATTGTGATTGTAAATAAGACATGCACTACAGTACATTGCATAGTTTATGTTCATTAAATGTCAGTATCTTTCTTGCCTTAGCTCCACCACCAATTGCATATGATGTTGGACAAGTCGAATTACTTCTCTGAGCCACAATATCCTCACCTGCAATCTGTGAAATGAAATGGTAGGACAAAATGATCTCTACTCTGTCTGCAATCCTCCCCAATCTTGCATCTAGGCCCATTTTTTTCTTCAAGCCCAGCCCCAAGATTCTGTCCTGCTTTCTAGTGCTTGCCACAGGACTCCCAAAGACGCGCCGAAGCTCTGCGTCTGCCTTTCAGAGGATACGCTTTTTCTCTTTGCAATTGGTTCTGAGAATCCCCACCCTCCTCAATAATTTGCCTATGGCGGAGCAGGAGCCCTCCAGCTCCCGCCCCATCACTGGTGATTGGCATGGGACCTAGCTCGTCCCCGCCCCCACTTGACTGAAGGTTCGGCCCTGGCACCGCCCTGAGTCCCCAGGCGCTAGCTGACTGGGGTGGTTGGGACCGTTAGCTCGGCAGGCTGGCAGGCTCCGGGGCGCTACTCCATTGGCGGCCGGGATGGAGACTATGCGAGCGCAGCGGCTGCAGCCTGGTGTGGGCACCAGCGGGAGGGGCACTCTCCGAGCGCTGCGGCCCGGAGTGACTGGGGCCGCGGCCGCCACCGCCACACCCCCTGCGGGCCCCCCGCCTGCCCCGCCGCCTCCCGCACCGCCCCCGCCGCCGCTGCTCCTGTCTGGGGCCCCAGGACTACCCCTGCCCCCCGGCGCCGCCGGCAGCCCGGCAGTGCTGCGAGAGGCCGTGGAGGCCGTGGTGAGGAGCTTCGCCAAGCACACGCAGGGCTATGGCCGAGGTGAGTCTGCGGGTCTGGCCTCCTGCGCGACACCCTCTGTAAGGGAGCCTTGCTCCCACAGTCCTCCGGATCGCTTTTCCTGGCGTGGAGCCCTCACATGCATTTCCTTTTGGGGAGTTTCCTTCTGGGCTACGCACACGCACAGACGCACACACTCATACACACGTTTAAGCCTCCTACCTCCTCCCCTTTACTGAGTTATTAATATATTCTCCAGGGACTCTTTTTCAGATACAATCCTCTTTTCTTCCTAAGCTTTTCTCCTTTAGAAATGGAATTCCTCCTCCAGCTTAATACCTTAACATCTCTCTGCCTTTGAGAACCAGTCCTCATTGTGTGGGATCCTGTCTTTTATTTCAGATCCAATTTCTCATCCATACCCTCTCAGTCTTTCCTCTGTGATCTCTGCAATTCCTGGACTCACCTGTTAATTTGCTCCAGCCCCTTAACCTTGACTGTTAAATTCTTTACTTACTTACCTTCACTCTGAAATTTCAGTGCAACTTCAGATTTACTGGGGAACTAGGTAGTGCCTTCACAAGTCACTCATAGTAATTGTGTATTTAAATCCGGACCTGTACCACTGAACTCACAGCAGCTTCCTGTGGCTCAGTACCTTACTTTGGTATCTTTTTTAGTATGGAGACTCACAAC
This sequence comes from Homo sapiens, assembly GCF_000001405.40. Classification (NCBI taxonomy): domain Eukaryota; kingdom Metazoa; phylum Chordata; class Mammalia; order Primates; family Hominidae; genus Homo; species Homo sapiens. The sequence continues at coordinate 145,956,981 of NC_000001.11, read as the reverse complement.
TCCAGCCTTTCTGTCTGGCTGTGTTTTCCTGGCCCTTGCCCAGGAACTGAGGATAAATCCCAGGCCTTGGCTCTTTCAATGTTAAATTCTGTGGAAATGTGCCAGGTTAGAAACTCTATTTCAGTTAGAAAACTTCGTTAATTTCTGGAAAGAGGGATGTGAGGGTTTTCTTTGTTGTTTTCGTTTAACTAGGGTAGTTTCCTGTCTGAGTTTGAGTTCCAGATTTATAGTGTAAGTAATAAGGAATATATAGTGAAGGGTGTGGAATACAGAATTTAAGCCTGGAATTTACAAGACATCCCTTCTGTCTGCTTGGCCAGGTCCTGCCTGACCTGGAAGTGACTATATCTTTAACTTTCTGTTTAACAATAATACAGAGAAAAGTTACAGGGCTTTTCTGTAGATTTTCTTTTTTTAAGAAAGTTTAGTGAAAAGAGCACACACAGGCTTTGGAGATCTTTGTCACTTACCAGCCAAATCTTTGGGGAAGGGACTTAATTTCACTGAGCTTCAGTTTCTTCAAGGGTTACAATATGGATTGACTGAGACATTGCAAATGACATATAACCTAAAAATGATTATTATCTCAAATTTGTTGGTTCATAGTTCCTTAAGTAGAACATGCTTCACTTTTTCCCACTCTTAAATCCTAATAATGTAAACCCAAAAATTCCTATGAAAACAGATTTTTAGAGCCATTTTGCTATATGTGCCTAATGATTCATTCATCATCAATTTCCCTTTGTTCTTCATACAATTTGAACTCCTATTATAAGACAGGAACTCTGCTAGGTGCTGGGGATACAAATGGATGAATCTGAAACTCATGAGGAAATACTATTTTTCCAATGTAATCCCAAGATTTAACAAGGCTATGTGATGGAACTGCTATTAGCTACTATCCTGCTGCTTCAAGTCTCTAAGTCAAGATCAAGGGAAGGTCTTTGCCTCTGGGCACAGGAGTAGCCTAGAGTGGTCACACTAAATCTGAAGCCTTCCTCTTGGCAACTTACAGGCATTTATTAAAATTATAGAAGAGTACACCCTTTTTCTTGTCTGTGTTACCTGGAGAGCCTCTGCTTTGGCTCCCAAACTGGACATCCTGTAAAAACTTTCATTTCCTTAGCAAGGATGAGGGAACAAGGGGATTGTACTGACAAAGGGCAATTAATCAGGCTTCACACTTCGTGGTGATTTTCTTTCCTATCTCCCCACCTCCCATCGCAGTCTTTCTCATTATTCTTGAGTTTCTCATTTCCAGTCTGAGTGTCCAGCCAGTACTTTAGGAAAGTCTGGCAGATAGTTCAGCTTCAGGCAAGCAGAATCTCTGCCCATTTGGCTCAGAAGTCCTTTACCACATGGAATCACTTATTCTGCTTCAATTCTTAGGCAAAGCTGCCACTGGCATATATTCACATACCCTTGTGACTGATGGCATGTTATTTGGGGGAATGGCTGTATTCCCCTGAATACAATTTACTTTAGCCTCTGCCTAGACAATTCATTCCCTCATCCAGCAATGCTTTACCACATCATCTTCAATTAACATCCTTCATCTTCTTCCTGAATGCTCCAAATCCACCTTTTCCAATCAGTCTTTAGATCTACCTTCACTCATGTGGGCTATCAGTATGTATGTATATATGTATGTATGTATGTATTTACTTATTTATTTTAAAAAGCTTTCCTGTCCTTTATCTGCCTCCCTCACCCACTTACCCAAGATACACACACAGCTCAGTATTCTGTAGGATCTTGATAAGTTTGTAGTGCATGGGATTTGTAATCAGAGGACCTAGCCCTGTCAAATAGTTGGCTGTGTGATCTTGGAGAAGTTGCTTAATCTCTCTATGCTTCATCTGTTCTCTTCATTCATTTACCAAATATTTATTGATCACCAGATGCAGTGGTGGACAAGGCAGATATTTAGTCCCTATCTTGATGGAGCTCACAGTTTACATTACAGAGCATGTATAAAGATTAATGGTGTAGTAAAGCAGGCCAGCCCAATACAAAGAGGGTTGACTTTGGAGCCAAACAAACATTGTTTCTAAATCCTGGTTCTGCCACTTCTGGCCTGTTCCTTAACTTGCTTACTTTTTGTAAAATGGGTATTATAATACTTATCCTGATAGTTTTGTGTGGATTAAATAAGACAACGAATATAAAGCATGCAGCACCTGGTACTCAGTATGGTTGCTACTATTGTGCATTTGGAAATGCTTTGGAAACTGCAAATGATAGGTACTGTTCTGCATTGCCATTTCCTTTGCACCCTTTTTTTCTATGGCATATAGTCTCTTTCTCATGTTTGACATCTGGCAATCTCTAAACTGGCAGGATCGAGTAACTCACTTTCCTTGCTCTGTAATTGCTACATTTCCCTCTTCAAACCTGTTGTTTTGGAAGTATTGCTATCCTTTTATGTTACAATATGGCTGCATGATTGGAGATTTTGCCCTGTTATTTCACTAAGTTGAACAAATGAATCTTGTGTAGTATTTTCTATTTAGTTGTTCCTTTTCCTCAGAATCACAGATAGCTTCTTTTCTGTAAGACTGGAGTTAAATGGGTTGGGCTGAATATTTCCAATTTTTGGAAATGCTGGATTAGTTCCTATATTAGTTTCCTGTGGCTGCTGTAACAAATTATCACAACTTTAGTGGCTTAAACCAACAGAAATTTGTTCTCTCATAGTTCTGGAGGCCAGAAGTCCAAAATCAGTATTACTGGGCCAAAATCAAGGTGTTGGCAGGGCCGTGCTCCCTCCAGAAGCTCTAGGGGAGAATTCATTCCTTGCCTCTTCCAGCTTCTGGTGGCTGCTGACATTGGTTTATTACGTGGTTTATTGCTGTATCACTATAATCTCTGCCTCCGTGACTCCTCCTCTTCATCAAATATGCCTCCTTTTTTTTTTTTTAAGAAATGGAATCTCGCTGTGTTGCCTAGGCTGGACTGCAGTGGTGCAATCATAGCTCACCGCAGCCTGGAACTGCTGGGCTCCAGTGATCCTCCCACCCGCCTCAGCCTCCCAAGTAGCTAGACTACAGGTGCATGTCACCACACCTGGCTGATTTTAAAAAATTTTTTTGTAGAGATGAGATCCCACAGTGTTGCCCAGGCTGATCTTGAACTCCTGGCCTCAAGTGATCATCCTGCTTTGGCCTCCCAAAGTGCTGGAATTATAGGCATGAGTCAGTGTGCCCATCCTGCCTCCCTCTTATAAGGACACTTGTGAATGCACTTAGGGCCCACCTATATAATCTAGGTCATCTCCCCATCTCAGATCATTTAAACTCATCTGCAAAGTCTTTGCCAGATAATGTCACATTCACAGGTTCCAAGGATTAAGACATGGACATTTTGGCAGGTGGCATTATTCAGTCTACCAGAGTCCCCTCCCAAAGTCACTGTTACTTTGCAGTCTCTCCTTCCAAAGAGACTGTGGATCGTGGGCTATTTAGGGGCAGATGTACCTTCTAAACATTGAAATAGGAAATAGATGAACTATTGTTAACTAGCTTCCCTATCTTCCATAATAATGTGAATAGAGTCAGTCTATTCTCGCCATCCTCTATGATCAAGGAGAATCTTTTTACTCACCTCTTAACTTCATTATCTCTTTATTCCTGCTTCCCCACCACAAAGTTGTATTTATTACTTTTTTCTTTTATTTTTGTTAATTACCTTCCTGGCAAGGTTGTATTTATCCTTATGATATAAAATTTTTACTGTAGTTTCATATATTGTTTTAATATTTTTATCCTGGCCAGGCACAATGGCTCATGCCTGTAATCCCAGCATTTTGGAGGCCAGCGCAGGAGGATTGCTTGAACCTTAGGGTTTGAGACCAGCCTGGGCAACATAGTGAGACCCCATCTCTACAAAAAAATTTTTTTGAATTATCCAGGCATGGTGGCATGCATCTTGTAGTCCCAGCCACTCAGGGAGCTGAGGTGGGAGGATCACTTGAACCCAGGAAGTCAAGGCTGCAGTGAGGTGTGATTGTGCCACTGAATTCTAGCTTCAGCGATAGAGCGAGACCTTGCCTCAAAAAAAAAAAATGTTTTAGGTTAGGTGCGGTGACTCACACCTGTAATCCCAGCACTTTGGGAGGCTGAGGTGGGAGGATCATCTGAAGTCAGGAGTTCAAGACCAGCCTGGCCAACATGGCGAAACCCCGTCTCTACTAAAAATACAAAAATTAGCTGGGTGTGGTGGCGTGCGCCTGTAATCCCAGCTACTCGGGAGGCTGAGCAGGAGAATTGCTTGAACCTTGGAGGTGGAGGTTGCCGTGAGCCAAGATCATGCTACTGCACTCCAGCCTGGGCGACAGAGCAAGACTTTGTCTCAAAAAAAAAAAAAAGTTTTTATTTTGGCTGAAAATGATCACTACCTCTCATTCCCATCCTGTCCACTTAGACATTCGTATATTTTATCTCCTAAAGGCAAAAACTAAATTATTCTCTTTTTTGTTATTCAACAGCAGGGTATAAGCACTGAAATATTCCTATCTTGGTCTTTCTTGTGAGAGACTTTGAGAAAACAATTATCAGATGTGTATATCTCAGTTCTTCCTACCCTCCCACCTCACTGTTCTTTAGCCATCCTTATGTAAACCATTATATCCATGGTTCCTCATTGAAAATATGATACAAAATTTGGGTGCTCCACATATACCCATGCACAAATACTCATATGCATACAGACACACACATAATTTTACTTAACAGTTTTAGGAAGCTTGTGAACCTCCATGAAGCTCAGCTGTGGACTGGACCTTGGAGCCTGTGTTAAGATTCCCAAATTGGAAAGAATATTGGCCCCCGGAAATCTAGATTCATGCCCCAACTCTGCCATAGCTATGTGACCTCAAACAAGTCTTCTGTTCTTTCTTAGCCAGCATTGGACTAGATGATCTCTAAAGTTCCTTCCAGCCCTAAAAATGAATAAGTCTAGAAGCATTTTCAAATGCGGATCACAATTAGTTGCTTTTTTCTTGACCACTTTGCCCAATTATCATTTCATACTCACATTTCTAAAATCAAGACTCCCCATGTCCCTTGGCCTTGAGTAATCATTAAAAAATGATTCTCTAGTCTGTGCAAAGGAATGTTTAACTGGATAGAGACTGAACATATGCTTTTTAATAGGACCTTCCCAATTATGGTGGTCTCCTCCTCTTCCTCTTTATTCCAGTATTCTCCCTGTTGTGTGCATGTCAAGAGAGCTGTCACCCAGTGCATTGTGCTAAACTGTCTCAAAGAGGGAACTGGAGCTGAAAAGATCTCACGGAAAGAACAAAGATGGCTGAGCTTTCTGGTCAGTATTGACCTTTGAAGAGCCCTGCCAAAACCAATAGAAGGAAAGAGAGTTTTCTTTTCATGCTGGATCTTTTTTTAAATTTTAATTTTAATTTTTTTTGCCCATGACAGAGCCTCAGGAGGTCCTAATGACATGTGCCCTCATGCTGTCTTTTAATAGAAGAATGAGCATTCTTAAAAGTCAGTTAAATGTAGGTTATTAAAAAGAGTTTATGCTGCTTCTCCAACTCAGGCTAGTACATGGGTGTTTGTTTCAGTCACAGAGCAGGCGAGATAATTTATTATTGGCCACTGATTTCAAATTCCTTGCTTGCTGGGCGCGGTGGCTCACGCCTGTAATCCCGGCAGTTTGGGAGGCCGAGGCAGGTGGATCACCTAAGGTCAGGAGTTTGAGACCAGCCTGACCAATATGGTGAAACCGTGTCTCTACTAAAAATACAAAAATTAGCCAGGCGTGGCGGCATGTGCCTATAATCCCAGCTACTCAAGAGGCTGAGACAGAAGAATTGCTTGAACCTGGGAGGTAGAGGTTGCAGTGAGCCAAGATTGCGCCACTGCACTCCAGCCTGGGAAACAGAGGGAGACTCCAACTCAAAAATAAAATAAATTCCTTGCTTGCAGGAACTGTGAGTTATTCTTTTCATGCTCAATGCTTAGAATGATGCCATGTACCTATTAAGTGCTCAAAGTTTTGCTAACGTGTATATGACAGCCATGAAAATGTGCAGTTCTCATTGCCTGCTGCAGGGAGCATAACTAACAGCCTCAGCCACTGCCCACTCTGGGTCATCCATAACCACATTTGCACCACAAAGTCGCACATTCGCATCCATAACCACATTTGAAGGAACCACGCTTCCTGTAGGCTGCTCCCAGCCAATGACCTAGCACATCAGGGGTATTAACACAGGCAGATCCTGGTGAGATATGGGATTCCTTTGGCATGAGGACTTCTCACTGACTTAGCCAAATCTTTCTTAAAACTGTACTACAGCCGGGCGTGGTGGCTTGCGCCTGTAATCCCAGCACTTTGGGAGGCCGAGGCGGGCGGATCATGAGGTCAGGAGATCAAGATCATCCTGGCTAACACGGTGAAACCCTGTCTCTACTAAAAATACAAAAAATTAGCCGGGCGTGGTGGTAGTCCCAGCTACTCAGGAGGCTGAGGCAGGAGAATGACATGAACCCGGGAGGTGGAGCTTGCAGTGAGCTGAGATCACGCCACTGCACTCCGGTCTGGGCGACAGAGTGAGAATCTGTTTAGAAAAAAAACAACAACAACAACAACAACAACAAAAACTGTACTACAGTCTGAGATTGTCATATCTAGACCTCCTTCTTTCCCTCTCTTCCACAGGCATGAGATCTTTGCTGTGCTCAGAAGGCTCTCCCTGTTGTCTCCTACTTCCTCCCTGATAAATCTCTTGCAATTGTCTATCCCATCTTGGTGTCTTCTTGGCAGATCTGAACTAAGGAAATATGAAAGAACGAATGAGACTTTGTTGCGATTAAGAGTAGAAGAGGAGAGGCCAGACGTGGTGGCTCACGCCTGTAATCCCAGCACTTTGGGGGGCCAAGGTGGAGGAGGAGCACTTTGGGAGGCCGCTTGAGCTCAGGAGTTTGAGACCAGCCTGGGCAATGTAGTGAAACTCTGTCTCTACAAAAATTACAAAAATTAGACGGGCGTGGTGGCATGCACCTGTGGTCCCAGCTACTCAGAGGCTAAGGTTGGAGGATCGCCTGGGCCTGGGAGGTGGAGGTTGCAGTGAGCTGAGATCGCTCCACTGCACTCCAGCCTGGGCAACAGAGTGAGATTCTGTCTCAAAAAAAAAAAAAAAAGGAGAGTGGTCAGTATGTTGCAAGATATTTCAGAGCACCTGGGATAATTTATTATTATGAGGCTTTAGCTAAAACTATTTGAAATGTTTGGAACCCTAGAGCCAATGTGATCCTTTCTAAAAGCAAACTGATCTCATCCCTCCTTTTTTTTTTAATTAGTTATTTTTCCTTGGAGCTGAGTTAGAAAGACTCCCTTCTTTTTAAAGTCCTCCAATTGCTTCCTATTGCTCTAGGATAAAGCCAATACTCTAACATGGCCTAAAAGGCCCTACTTGGTCTGGTCCCTGCCTCCTCTTGCAACCTCATCTTGCATTACACTTCCCCTCCCTCACTCTTTCATAGCCATATGGTCTTAATTCCCTTTATTCATCATGTTCCCTGCCGTCATGAGCCTTTGAACATGCTGTTCCTTACGCACAGAACACTGTCCTCTCACCTCTTGCCTAGTGAATTCCTAGTCATACCTAAACTTAGATATTGCCTCCTCAGGGTAGCTTTCTTTGACCTTCTTAACTAGGTCAGATACGCCGACATCTATCACTCCTTTATAGAACTTGATCACAGCTGCAATTTTACATTTGTTTGAGATTTGGTTAATATCTCTTTCCCTCTTTACACTGTAGGCTACATAAGGAAAACGTAGGGATGAGAGGAAGTTTTCTAGAATACAATGTCAGGTCTGGAGTTTGATTTTAGCCTACCTACAACTAATAAATTAGCCATTTACTGTTTCATGGGTGCTGGCAGAAGTCAAGAGACTTTGAGATTTAGAGACAAAGGAATTTATTATTCATAGCACAGCAAGTAGCATGAGCATCATGTTTATATTAGTTCTCCTTGCCTCCTCCCAAGTCCAATGCAGAGGACTCAGGTGGATACTTGCATAGGCCATGGGTTGCTTCACAACAGAGGAACACTTATAGAACCCACAGCTTGGGGAACTTGCCATTTTACAACAAGCTGAAGCAAGCAAGTTCTTTATCTGAGTGAAGGTAGTACCTCATCCCTCAATATTTCTTGCTGCAAGCACAGTCCTGAAAAATAGCCCAAGTAAAGAGCAGTCAGGGATTTGCAATCTTGGTGTACCTAGCAAGATGTGAAGGAGCATGAGAGACCGACCCATGGAGGAGTGCTTCTTTTTAAAGTCCTCCAATTGCTTCCCATTGCATTGCTTCGCATCTCACCATATGGCTCCTCCAAAAACATTTATACCCAGGTAAAGCCTCAAAAGAGTTTTCTCTCCCACCCCCATGCCCTGGCTTCTCTCACTCGTAGTATGTACATAGTATTCTGGGTTGGAAAAGGAATCTGGCAATGGATGTGCTCACTAGAAGCACAGGCTCGAGAATGGTTATTAGGGCTATATTTCCTTGAGCCAGCAGTATTGCATAAAAGAATATTCATTGGAACCAAGACTACTTGAGTTTGAATACTCAAACTGCTACTTTCTCCTGGCATAACCTTGGGCAAGTTATTTAACTTCTCTGTACCTCATTTCCCTCATCTGTAAAATATGGATAGTAAAAATATCTGCTTCATAAAGTTGCTGTGATTAAACACGTAAAGCAGTTACAGAAATGGGTGACATACAGTTCAATACATGTTAGCACTTATTGTGGTGGTTATTATCATCCTGGGCCAGCTAACCAACTGTGGAATAATCTGCTTGTATTTCATCAGGCAGTGATAATGGTCTGCTGACATTGGGAACTCTGCCTTCAATATTTAAGTTATTCTAGGACTAAGTTAAAATGTGAACTATTCAGATTGGAGGTGGGAGTGAAAAAAAAATTTAAATAAAATAAAATGTGAACCAGAAAAGTGGTGGAGGAGGGCAGGCCTACTCTGGTCTTTCTAGGCAAATTAACTTAATCACAGTCTAGGTTTATTAACTTAAATGCTTTTCAATGGCGATAGGTAGGGAGCTAAGGGGCAGACTCTTAATGTAGGTACAGGTTACAGGTACTGTATTGAAGTATAGCACCACGTGGAGGTGTTCTCATTCATTGCTGAACTTAAGTACTTCTCTTTTGTAGTGAATGTGGTGGAGGCACTTCAGGAATTCTGGCAGATGAAGCAGTCCCGTGGTGCTGACTTAAAGAATGGGGCTCTAGTGGTTTATGAGATGGTTCCCTCCAACAGCCCTCCTTATGTCTGCTATGTCACCCTGCCTGGGGGAAGCTGCTTTGGGAGTTTCCAGGTAAGAGTTGTGAGGTGGCAGTAGCAAAGGTAAATGCTTAGATGTTAGTAACGGCTTTCTCCACCACTTTGGCCATTAAACTGCCTGAAATCATATATTTGAGGACCTAAAGCAATTCTGGGGAAATTATTCTGGCAAGCATCTGAGGCCAATTTGACCATAGTAGAACCTCAGTAGCATGCTTTCCTTTCAAAAACTCAAACCCATTTTGAATTTGAGCAGTTATGAATATCCCCTTGCTCAGTATATCCGACTACCAGCATCCAACCCATGTTCCAATCTGGCTTCAGTTATTGCATTCCAACTTTCTTCCATCTCTTATTGAGGATATAGAACAATATTCCTTGCCTCCAGTACTTTTTCGTAGGCAATTACTAAAGAAAGCAATGTTGGAGTTCTCTAAGAGGTCAAATCGGAGGGACTATGTATGCTGGAAACAGTACTCATCTAAGAGTTAGGAGATCCAAATTTACATTCTTCTGAATATCAATGGGGCAAATCTCTGGGCCTCACTTTTCCCATCTATAACATGAAGGAGATAGGTTAGATTATTTCTAAAGTCTTTTCTACTACTAACATTCTACAATTATGTGAAATACCTATGATGATGAAAAGAATGGTTGCCATTATGAGGTAGTAGTGAAAAATTATGGACTAGTACGAATATTCTCATCAAAGATGGATTTTTTACATTGCAGACAGGGAGGCAGCCTTCTGAAATGTCAACTTAAAAGTCTCAAATGGAATTTAGAGAAAATAATAAACACCTTTGTTCTGTTTTCCATATGGTTTGTGAAACCCTTAGACAAGGTTAAAGGCCCTACTGTGTGTCTGCATAGCACCTTGAACTTCCCCTATCATATCACTTATTACAACATATCATAATTGTTTGTCTCTCCTAGTGGACTATGTTCCATAGAGGCAAAGATTGTGTTTGTCTTCTTTCTCGTTAAATCCCTACCACCCATCTTAGTGCCTAGCAGATAGTAGGCAAATAATACGTCTGTTGCATGAATGAGTGCCATTGCAGCTTAGTTTCTGCCTCAAACAGAAGCAGTCCTAAGGAAGCTTCATTTCAAATCAGGTGATGAAATTTTTTCCCTTAGAACTTCAGTCATTTCAGGCCGGGCACAGTGACTCACACCTGTAATCCCAGCACTCTGGGAGGCCGAGGCGGGTGGATCACAAGGTCAGGAGTTTGAGACCAGCCTGACCAACATGGTGAAACCCCGTCTCTACTAAAAATACAAAAATTAGCTGGGCATGGTGGTGCACGCCTGTAATCCCAGCTACTTAGGAGGCTGAGGCAGGAGAATTGCTTGAACTCTGGAGGCGGAGATTGCAGTGATCTGAGATTGCACCACGGCACTCTAGCCTGGGCAACAGAGTGAGACTCTGGCTCAAAAAAAAAAAAAAAAGAACTTCAGTCATTTCAGAGAAATAACTATATACCCAAGATGACAAATGTTTATGCTTTCACTTGTTTTTTTTTGTTTTTTTGTTTTTTTGTTTTTTGAGATGGAGTCTTGCTCTGTCACCCAGGCTGGAGTGCAGTGGTATGATCTTGGCTCACTGCAACCTCCGCCTCCTGGGCTCAAGTGATTCTCCTGCCTCACCTTCCCCAGTAGCTAGGACTAGAGGCGCATGCCACCACGCCTAGCTAATTTTTTTTTTTTTTTTTTTTTTGGTATTTTTAGTAGAGACAGGGTTTCACCATGTTAGCCAGGATGGTCTCAATCTCCTGACCTTGTAATCCACCCGCCTTGGCCTCCCAAAGTGCTGGGATTACAGGTGTGAGCCACTGCGCCCAGCCTGTGCTTTCACTTCTAAGAGAATAAGATCTTTCCTTCTTCTTTTTTTTTTTTTTTTTGAGATAGAGTCTCGCTCTGTTGCCCAGGCTGGAGTGCAACAGCCCGATCTCAGCTCACTGCAACCTCTGCCTCCCGGGTTGAAGCGATTCTCCCTGCCTCAGCCTCCCAAGTAGCTGGGAGTACAGGCACCTGCCACCACGCTCAGCTAATTTTTTGTATTTTTAGTAGAGATGGGGTTTCGCCATGTTGGCCAGGCTGGTCTCGAACTCCTGACCTCAAGCAATCCGCCCACCTCGGCCTCCCAAGGTGCTGGAATTACAGGCGTGAGCCACCGTGCCTGGCTGATCTTTCCTTCTTCTTCCCACCTCATTACATTGTTGAATGACTTGAAAATTTTATGACAATGCCCATAACTGAAACATTATAGTAATTTGATTTCTGTTATTTTTGGAAAGAGGAGAATTGTCTTTCTTGGCCTTTTAGCCTAAACTTTTTTTTTTTTTTTTTGAGACAGAGTCTTGCTCTGTCGCCCAGGCTGGAGTGCAGTGGTGTGATCTTGACTCACTGTAACCTCCACCTCCCAGGTTCAAGCAGTTCTCCCTGCCTCTGCCTCCGGCCACCACACCCAGCTAATTTTTGTATTTTTGTATTATTTCACCATGTTGGCCAGGCTGGTCTTGAACTCCTGACCTCAGGTGATCTGCCTGCCTCAGCTTCCCAAAGTGCTGGGATTACAGGTATGAGCCACTTCACCCAGCTTTTTTTTTTTTTTCTTTCTTGAGACAGGGCCTCACTCTTGTCACCCAGACTGAAGTACAGTGGCACAATAATGGCTCACTGCAGCCTTAACTTCATGGGCTCAAGTGATCCTCCCACCTCAGCCTCCTGAATAGCTGGGGCCGCAGGCATATGCCACCATGCCTGGCTAATTTTTGTATTTTTGGTAGATATGGAGTTTTGCCATGTTTCCTAGGCTGGTCACAAACTCCTGAGCTCAAGCAATCCTTTCACCTCAGCCTTCCAAAGTGCTGGGATTACAGGTGTGAGCCACCTCGCCCAGCCAGGGGCAGGGTGCAATAACTGAAGCTAGATTAGAACATGGGCTGGGTGTTGATAGTCCGATATACTGAGCAAGGGCATATCCATAACTGCTCAAATTCAAGATGGGTTTGAGTTTATACCTCTTTATCCACTTTGGCAGGTGAAATTTCTCCCTCTGGTTTTCTTCACAGATGACTTTTTAAGCAACAGCACTATAGAGCAGGCCAGCAAGCTAGTAACAGACAAATAGAAACAGACAAATTGAAGCACTGGGAAGACTTAGGACTTACTTACCAAGCCTCATATGCTGTCTCAGAGAGCCTGTCAGTTAATAGAAATTAGGAATTATTGATATTAGGGATGCTTAAGTACTAAACACATCCTGGTCTACTTATTTATTGTTTTTTTAAGACAGAGTTGTGCTCTGTTGCCCAGGCTGGAGTGCAGTGGCACAATCATAGCTCACTGCACCCTTGACTCCTAGGCTCAAGTGATCCTTCCACCTCAACCTCCTGACTAGCTGGGACCACAGGTGTGCACCACAACCATGCCCAGCTAATTTTTAAATTTTTTGTAGAGTTGGCATCTCACTATGTTGCCCAGGCTGGTCTCAAACTCCTGGCCTCAAGTGATCCTCCTGCCTTAGCCTCCCAAAGTGCTGGGATTACAGGCATGAGCCACCATGCCCAACCCCTGGTCTACTTTTTATTTTAAGTTTTCTTTTAGAGACAGAGTCTCACTCTGTCACCCAGGCTGCAGTGTAGTGGTGTGATCATAACTCACTGCAGCCTGGAACTCCTGGCTCAAGTGATCCTTCTGCCTCAGCCTCCTGAGTAGCTGGGACTACAGGCACGTGTCACCATGCCTGGCTAATTTTTTCTTTTTTTTTTTTGGTAGAGACAGGGGTCTTGCTATGTTGCCCAGGTTATTCTTGAATTCCTGGGCTCAAATGATCCTCCTGCCTTGGCCTCCCAAAGTGCTGGGATTACAGGTGTGAGCCACCAAGCCCGGCCTTGGTCTACTTTTAAAAACTGCAACATCACTTTCTTCCTTTCCTCTAATTACTCATAAATGACATAGGGCAAAGAGGCCTTTGAGACAGCCAATAAAGATGAATTATAAAGGAATACTATGGTGGCTAGAGATCTGAAGTTGAATAATTTTGAGACTTCTGCAGATCAGACTTGTTCTATGATACCTATGTTGGATACAATATAAAAACATGAATTAATTTTTATTTTTTTCCTTCTTAAGTCAGCTTTCCTTCCCTTAGTTACTCCTCTCCTCTTTGTTTCCACTGTGGGGAAAAAAGAAGTCTATAAATTCCTTCTTCAGACTTAAACCCTTCTCAGGGATAGCTCCTTTGGCTCACTACGTTATTTGAGAAAATGCCTGCTCACAGCTAAAAATGAAGTCCGAGATTCCAAGATGGGTGCTTCTGATAGAGACCAGTGGCCTCTGTAGAAGCAGCCTAGACACAGCTTTGGTTCTAATCTTGGGTTATCTAGAGGAATCCAAAAAACCTTACCTGTCCGCAGAACAAGATACAGATTTCTATTAAGCCGGCCAGAATCTGACTTTTGAGTAACTAATTCTGTCGACAGTTTAAACGGGTATTTTTCATGACCAGTGATTATATGCTGACTTAAGCAGCCTTCCTCGTTCTGCATTCAGTTTGGTATGAGCTACAGCCCTCTCCCAGTTCCTTAATGACTTCAGGATGTTGAATCAAAATTATGTTTCCAAACATCCCAACCACTTTACCATAAAAACCTTGGAAAGTGTGTTGAACACAACTGATTTATCCAAAGAGCGTCCAAGTGTTTTCTATCTGAAGTGTTTCCCTCCCACTGTTCCTTCCTCTCTCTCATATGCACAAATACACATATTCTCACTCTTTCTCCCCTGCCTAGTTTTGCCCCACAAAAGCTGAGGCCCGGAGGAGTGCTGCAAAGATTGCGCTAATGAATTCTGTGTTTAATGAACATCCTTCCCGAAGAATCACTGATGAGTTCATCGAGAAGAGTGTCTCTGAGGCCCTGGCATCTTTTAATGTAAGTTGTATGGAGCTGGAAGGAAGGAGAGTGGGAGATGGGAGAACTGGCTGCTTGGGAAGTCGTAAATTACTGTGAAACAGAGCATGAATTCTTGTTTTCTTTCTGGTCCACCTCTCTGTTCTTTTGATTTATTCTCTGTCAGTCTATTGTGTCATGTGCTCCACCTGTCGCAGTCTCTAGTTCTGTATCTGTGTTTATGTGTTTTTTGTTGTTTTGTCTCTTTCATTGTGTCTCTTTGGTATCTAGAAACCTTTAATTGCAGATTTATGGAATTGTAGAGCTATTCCAAAATGAAAATTGAGCTTCAATTTTGCTTTTGCTAATTTGGGTTAAGACCTTAGTTTCTGCAGTTCTTTTTTTATGACTGTTTTTTATTGTCACTTGTCTCCTGCCTCCATTACTTCATCTTATTGATAAAGAAGACTTTTATAACAAAACGTCTTTTTAGGAACAAGGAGGATAATTTATTTACTCTCTTTATTTACAACTGTTCTTTCAAATGATGATGATAAGAATAACCATAATTAGCCAGACGCGGTGTCTCACGCCTGTAATCCCAGCACTTTGGGAGGCCGAGGCGGGCAGATCACGAGGTTAGGAGATCGAGACCATCCTGGCTAACACGGTGAAACCCCGTCTCTACAAAAAATAAAAAAAAAATAGCCGGGCATGGTGGGGGGCGTCTGTAGTCCCAGCTGCTTGGGAGGCTGAGGCAGGAGAATGGCTTGAACCCGGGAGACGGAGTTTGTAGTGAGCCGAGATTGCGCCACTGTACTCCAGCCTGGGCGACAGAGTGAGACTCCATCTCAAAAAAGAAGAATAACCATAATTAATCCTAATTGAGTATTTACCTTGTGGCAGGGACTGTTCTAGGGGATTTATATGCATTTTACCTCATTTGATCATCACAACAATCTTATGAGGTGTAAGTACTATTATTACCCCTATTTTACAGATGAGGAGACTAAAAACACAGAAGTGGAATGTTGCTTAACATGATATAGCTAGTAATTGGTCACGCCAAGATTAGAACCCAAGTTGACTTAATTTAATTACATCTTAGAAATTAACACCGCCATCTTCCTTCCTCTCCACAAATTCATTAATAGTCAGACCAAGTATCTGTTCTATTTGCATTTAATTAAGATGTAATTACAGGCCAGGTGCAGTGGCTCATGCCTGTAATCCCAGCACTTTGGGAGGCTGAGGCAGGCGGATCATCTGAGGCCAGGAGTTTGAAACCAGCCTGGCTAACATGGCAAAACCCCATCTCTACTAAAAATACAAAAGTTAGCTGGGCGCAGTGGTGGGCGCCTGTAATCCCAGCTACTCGGGAGGCCGAGGCAGGAGAATTGCTTGAACCTGGGAGGCAGAGGTTGCAATGAGCTGAGATTGTGCCATTGTACTCCAGCCTGGGTAACAGAGCAAGAATCCGCCTCAAAAAAAAAAAAAAAAAAGATGTAATTACATATACTAAATTACTTCAGTTATCTGCTTTGTGGATTAGTTGTTGAATACTTTATTGAAAGTTGGTTTCCCTCTGTTATTTAGGACCCAGCTGTTTTTCTCCCATTATTCTTTGCCCCAGTCAACAGCATCTGCAGGGAATGAAAACATTTTTATATTAATCCAAACCAAATAAAAAAAGAAAAAGCCAGCTAAAATTTTTTGGAAAGTACATTTGCTACTTTTAGGTCACCTAATGGTATTATAAAATGAAACAGGGCGAGGCGCGATGGCTCACGCTTGTAATCTCAGCACATTGTGGGGTGGATGCCAGCAGATCACTTGAGGTCAGGAGTTCGAGACCAGCCTGGCCAACATGGCAAAACCCCATTTCTACTAAAAATAGAAAAATTGGCCAGGCACGGTGGCTCATGCCTGTAATCCCAGCACTTTCGGAGGCCGAGGTGGGCAGATCACGAGGTCAAGAGATCAAGACCATCTGGCTGACATGGTGAAACTCCGTCTCTACTAAAAAAAAAAAAAAAATTAGCCAGGTGTGGTGGTGCGCGCCTGTAGTCCCAGCTACTTGGGAGGCTGAGGCAGGAGAATCACTTGAACCTGGAAGGCAGAGGTTGCAGTGAGCCGAGATCACGCCATTGCACTCCAGCCTGGTGACAGAGCGAGACTGTGTCTCACAAAAAAAAAAAAAAAAAGAAAGAAAAGGAAAAAAAAAAAGAAAAAATACAAAAATTAGCTGGGCATTGTGGCACATGCCTGTAATGCCAGCTACTCAGGAGGCTGAAGAATGAGACTCGCTTGAACCTGGGAGATGGAGGTGCAGTGAGCTGAGATCATTCCATTGCACGCCATCCTGGGCAACAAAGTGACACCCTGTCTCAAAAAAAAAAAAAAATAGAAAAGGAAAGGAAAAAAAAAGAAACTGTGGATTATGGAAAGTAGGATGTGCAGTATTTATCTGATCATGGGCTCTAAATTCATTGTTGGCGCGGTGGCTCACGCCTGTAATCCCAGCACTTTAGGAGGCGGAGTTGGGCGGATTGCCTAAGGTCAGGAGTTCAAGACCAGCCTGGCCAACATGGTGAAACCCTGCCTCTACTAAAAATATAAAAATTAGCTGGGTGTGGTGGCGGGCGCCTGTAATTCCAGCTATTTGGGAGGCTGAGGCAGGAGACTCACTTGAACCAGGAGGCGGAGGTTGCAGTGAGCCGAGATTGTGCTATTGCATTCCAGCTTGGGTGACAAGAGCAAAATTCTGTCTCAAAAAATAAATAACTAAATTCATTGTTATTGAAATTATGGTTCTAGGCCAGGTGTGGTGGCTCACGCCTGTAATCCTAGCACTTTGCGGGGCTGAGGCGGGCAGATCACTTGAGCTCAGGAGTTGGAGACCAGCCTGGGCAGCATGGCGAAACTCCATCTCTACAAAAAACACAAACAGTTATCTGGGTATGGGGGCATGCATCTGTAGTCCCAGCTACTTGGGGGTCTGAGACAGGAGTATCACTTGAGTGAGGAGGTCAAGGCTGCAGTGAGCCAAGATTGCACTACTGCACTCCAGACTCAGTGACAAAGTGAGACCCTGTCTCAAAAAAAAAAAAAAAAAAGAAAAAGAAAAAAGAAAGCAATTATGGTTCCTGGCTGGGCGCTGAGGTTCATGCCTGTAATCCCAGCACTTTGGAAGGCTGAGGTGAGCAGATCACCTGAGGTCAGGAGTTCGAGACCAGACTGGCCAATGTGTTAAAACCCCATCTCTACTAAAAAATACAAAAATTAGCCAGGCATGGTAGTGCACACCTGTAGTCCCAGCTACGTGGGAGGCTGAGGTAGGAAAATCGCTTGAACCCAGGAGGTGGAGGTTGCGGTGAACTGAGATCGCACCACTGCACTCCAGCCTGGGCGACAGAGTAAGACTTCATCTCAAAAAAAAAAAAAAAAAATTATGGTTCCATAGTCTTCCTTTGGGATCTGTGTGGGATTGGTTCTAGGATCTCTCGAGGACACCTAAACCCAAGGATGCTCAAGTCCTTCATATAAAATAGCACAGTACAGCCTGGGCAACATAAAGAGACTTCATCTCTACAAAAAAATAATAAAATAATTAGCCGGGTATGGAGGCACTTGACTGTGATCCCAGCTACTTGGGAGGCTGAGGCAAGAGGATCACTTGATCCTGGGGAGATTGAGGCTGCAGTGACCATCCACTGTACTCTAGCCAGGGTGACAGACAGAATGAGACACAGTCTCAAAAAAAAAAAAAAAAGTACAGTATTTGCATATAACCTATGCACATCCTCCTGAATAAATGCTTTAAATCATCTCTAGAGTACTTATAATACCTAATACATGTAAATGCTGGGCCAGGCACAGTGGCTTACGCCTGTAATCCCAGCACTTTGGGAGGCCAAGACAGGCAGATCACCTGAGGTCAGGGGTTCAGGACCAGCCTGGCCAACATGGTGAAACCCCGTCTCCACTAAAAATAAAAAAATTAGCCGGGCGTGATGGCGCATGCCTATAGTCCTAGCTACTCTGCAGGCTGAGGCAGGAGAATCACTTGAACCCAGGAGGCGGAGGTTGCAGTGAGCCGAGATCGCACCACTGCACTCCATCCTGGGCGACAGAGCAACAGAATGAGACTCCGTCTCAAAAAAAAAAAAAGGAAATTTTTATTTTTAATTTAAAATTTTATTTAATTCTCAAAACAATCATTTAAGGTAGCTCTATGATTATTCCCATCTTACAGAAGAGGAAACTGAAGAACAGAGAGGTTAAGTGACTTTACCAAGGCCACGCTATTTGTAGGAGCTCCAGTCCATGCTCTTAACTTCTATGCTGTATTGGTTTTTTTACATGCTAGGCTTGAATGCAGGACAGTGTGTCTTAATTCTAACCCTGCAGGGTTACATAACCAATAGAAGACACAATAGGCCAATGTCCAGGAGACCACACTGCTACCCAGAATTTCCACACTTATACCACATTTCAGAAAGTCAGTACAAAAATGTAAAATATTTCATTAATAATGTTTATACTGACTACAGTTGAAAAATAATATTTTGAACATATTGGGTTAAATAAGATATATTATTAAAATTAATTTTACTTGTTTTTTTTTTTTTCTGAGACAGAGTCTCACTCTGTTGTCCAGGCTGGAGTGCAGTAGCCCGATCTCTGCAATCTCCGCCTCCCAGGTTGAAGTGATTCTCCTGCCTCAGCCTCCTGAGTAGCTGGGATTTACAGGCACCCACTACCATGCCCGGCTAATTTTTGTATTTTTAGTAGAGACACGGTTTCACCATGTTGGCCAGGCTGGTCTCAAACTCCTGACCTCAAGTGATCTGCCCACCTTGGCCTCCCACAGTGCTGGGATTACAGGCATGAGCCACTGCACCTGGACTTACCTCTTTATTTTTACTTTAATGTGGCAGAGAGGAAATTTTGAATTAAATATGTGGCTTGCATTATATTTCTACTGGACAGTGCTGCTTGAGATGATAATCCTGGTTGAAAATCTATTTGTCTTTTCTGTTCCTCTACTACCAGGGCAACAGGGAGGAAGCTGACAACCCAAATACAGGGATTGGTGCCTTCCGATTCATGCTGGAATCCAACAAGGGCAAATCAATGTTGGAGTTCCAGGTACTTTCCCATGTACTTCCCTGGTTCTAATAACATGGGTCAGCCTGCTACTGTAATATATAATGGCTCCTACTAATTCCTAACTCATTGATACTGGAAAAGAAAGAAGGTTGTTACACTATTTTTCAAAAATAAATACCTTCCTGGCTGGGCATGGTGGCTCAGGCCTGTAATCCCAGCACTTTGGGAGGCTGAGGCGGGTGGATCACTTGAGGCCAGGAGTTTGAGACATGGCAAAGCCCCGTTTCTACTAAAAATACAAAAATTAGCTATGATGGC
Organism: Homo sapiens; assembly: GCF_000001405.40. Lineage (NCBI taxonomy): Eukaryota > Metazoa > Chordata > Mammalia > Primates > Hominidae > Homo > Homo sapiens. Next base: position 145,937,324 of record NC_000001.11, on the reverse strand, counting down.
ACATGCCTGTAATCCCAGCTACTTGGGAGGCTGAAGCACGAGAATTGCTTGAACCCAGGAAGCAGAGGTTGCAGTGAGCTGAGATTGCGCCACTACACTCCAGCCTGGGTGACAGAGCAAGACTCTGTCTCAAATAAGTAAGTAAGTAAGTAAATAAATAAATAAATAAATAAATAAATAAATAAATAAATAAATATTTTTCTTCCCCAAAGGCCTATCAGAGTTAGTGATGAGAGATGCTTCTACAAATCCATTTTGTAAAAGGTTTCCCATGTAATTCTGATGCAACCTCCCAATATAAAAATCACTGTCCTGGTACTTCCTATCCTCTTCCCCCAGGAGCTAATGACAGTTTTTCAACTGCTACACTGGAATGGCAGCCTTAAGGCCATGAGGGAACGACAATGCTCTCGGCAGGTAAGAGATTTTATGAGTGGGGGCGAATGAGGGGAGCACAATCTGTCAGTGGACTCTTTTGAGGTGGTTACTATGTTAGAAATAAGGTCTATTGTGACCTATGGTTGTGAATATTGAAAGCCTTACCTAAGTACCCTCTTCATTCCTATAATCTTTCCTGTGTAAATATTAGCTGTGATTCTTTTGTCTATCTTGCTTCCCGTAGCAGGAAGTGCCTTTAAGAATCTCCTTGAAGAACTTAGGTGCTGACCTCAGTTAGGTCTCTAAAGCTGAGTTCTTAGTCCCAGTTGGGTCAGTGTGGTATGATATGAACCTTTACCTTCTCAATGATGTTCACATTCCCCTCCCCTACTAGGAGGTGTTGGCTCATTATTCGCACCGGGCCCTGGATGATGATATTCGCCACCAAATGGCCTTGGACTGGGTGAGCCGGGAGCAGAGTGTGCCGGGGGCACTGTCTAGAGAGCTGGCCTCTACTGAGCGGGAGCTGGATGAAGCCCGACTGGCAGGCAAGGAGCTGCGCTTCCACAAGGAGAAGAAAGATATTCTTGTGCTGGCTGCTGGGCAGTTGGGCAATATGCATTCTTCCAACTGCTAGGCATCCACCCACATAACTCCCCAGGCTTTCCACAGCCTTTTTTTATGTCTCCTTTCTAAGATTTAGGATGATTTTTTGTACATACTTTCTCATTTTTATACTTTAAAAAATATATATGTGTATAAATTCTACACCTAGATTCCTATTTGCTAAGAGATCCCTTTTCTTACTACCAGTTTTTGGATGTAGTTTTATTTGAAACATCTTCAGTCCACTTTACAACAAAGAGCAGCTTGTCTTTGCAGCTTTGTTAGCTCTTAAACTTCCAGATTAACTGTGTAGCCATTTCAGTAGCACTAAAAGATTAACTCTAGTGTTCATGTGTCCTTCTTTTCAAATATCAGGTAACTTGAATAAGGATTATGTGCCCCACCCTTACTCTCATTCCTGCTTCCTCTTGGACTCAAACAGGGTATGAGTATGAAGATTTTGCCTTTAGTTCCTGAACTGAACCTGCTTGCTATCCCTTTCCTCCCCACCACTACCTTATTCCTTCTCTGCCTCCAAATTGCCACTTTGTTTTGAGGCTTCCTTCCCTACCTTATTATTCTGAAGGAAGTAGAGATCTTGCTTCTGAAACCCCTCCTAAGAAACTGCCCAGGGACAAGATAAATTACAAACAATTCATGGGAGTTTACTACCTAAGTTGCTTCTAGGGCATATGTATACCATACTAGTAGTCTAGATTTCTGGATATACTCTACAGTAGATGGGGGTTATGGTTGAAACTGATTCTCTTTCAGTATTCCCTCTAAACATCTCCCCTACTCCCCCAGCTTAGTTAAACCCTGCGTTTGGACCTTCCTGCCTGCAGCTATTAGTAGAAAGTAAAACATATTTCCATATTTCCCTTCACCTAACATTTTATTTTTTGGAAGCGTTATCAGTCCTATTTGGTTAGTGAGAACCATGTTCCCCTTATTCCCGCTAAGTTGCTGCTGTTTACTACCTTAGATTCTCATTTGTTTTCTCTTTCTTTCCTCTCCTTCCACATTAATTATTAGAACATAAGTTGATCAGGAAAATTAAATGAGACTTTAGTATTTTGGCACTTCCTAATTGACACCTTGGGAGACTGCAGGAAGGGAAAGAGAATCAATGATCAGTTATTTGTGTGTGTGTGTGGTTTTTTTTTTTTTTTGGAAGACAGAGTCTCACACTTTTGCCCAGGCTGGAGTGCAGTGGCGTGATCTCGGCTCACTGCAACCTCTGCCTCCAGGGTTCAAGCGATTCTCTTGCCTCAGCTTCCCGAGTAGCTGGGATTACAGGCACACGCCACAACGCCTGGCTAATTTTTATATTTTTAGTAGAGACAGGGTTTCACCATGTTGGCCAGGCTGTTCTTGAACTCCTGACATAAGGTAATCCACCCGCCTCAGCCTCCCAAAGTGCTGGGATTACAGGCGTGAGGCACTGAGCCTGGCCTATTTGTGGTTTTTTTTTGGTTTTGTTTTTGTTTTTGTTTTTGAGACGGAGTCTTGCTCTGTCGCCCAGGCTAGAGTGCAGTGGCGCGATCTCGGCTCACTGCAACCTCCGCCTCCCAGATTCACACCATTCTCCTGCCTCAGCCTCCCGAGTAGCTGGGATTACAGGTGCCCACCACCACGCCCAGCTAATTTTTTGTATTTTTAGTAGAGACGGGGTTTCACCATGTTAGCCAGGACGGTCTCCATCTCCTGACCTCGTGATCCACCTGCCTCGGCCTCCCAAACTATTTGTGTGTTTTTTTTTTTTTTGAGACGGAGTCTCGCTCTGTCGCCCAGGCTGGAGTGCAGTGGCGCTATCTCGGCTCACTGCAAGCTCCGCCTCCCGGGTTCACGCCACTCTCCTGCCTCAGCCTCCTTAGTAGCTGGGACTACAGGCGCCCGCCACCATGCCTGGCTAATTTTTTTGTATTTTTAGTAGAGACGGGGTTTCACCGTGTTTGACAGGATGGTCTCGATTTCCTGACTTCGTGATCCGCCCGCCTCGGCCTCCCAAAGTGCTGGGATTACAGGCGTGAGCCACCGCGCCCGGCACTATTTGTGTTTTTAACACCATTCTCCCCCACTTCTCTCCTGGGTGACATAAGAGAGAAATAACCTGTAGTACAGCAGCTAAAGTATTCTCCTTTCAGAGAATTTTTTTGGAGGTCTCTAATATATATTTCCCCCTTGTCTCTGTGATCTCTTATTTATACTATATTATTGTCCCATGTACTTTCTAAACTGAGCTTGGAACATTTAGTATTCCTGCAATTGGACTTCCCACTTAACAATTATACAGACTTTGCTTTTAGAAATAGATTAGGTTCCAAACAGAAAGTTCAAGTGTAACAACAACAATAAAAATAGATTATGAAACAGGCTATAATTGGCTCTTTTGGATTTGATAGGGGCAAGATGAAAGGCAACTTTCTTGCTTTTGAAATCATGTTGGGTAAGAGGTAAGGAATCCAGCTACAATTTTATTAGTGCTTGAAACGGGCTTCCTTGAATTCTCCAGGCCCTATCATTTTTTTTTTCTTACTAATCAGAAGAGAGCTGGGGTAGAAGCCCCATGTTTGTATTCCATGAAACACGTCGGGTTGGAGTAAAGGCAAAAACAGCTAGACACACCAGGTGTGTCTGTTTGACATTTATAAGCTGGCACTCATCAACACTCCTGTTTCTCCTTTCTCTGGGACGTGTGGATTAAGGGGTGTGAGTTGTGGGAAGAATTGCCCTCGTACCTCCTGGATTTATTATTTTTCTCAAATACCAACCAGTAAGATCCCAAATAACTTGAGAAAAATTGTTTCCTGATCTGTCCACTTCTGGTGTCAAAGATTTTACTCATCTTCTTAGTACATTCTATGTATTTTATATGTATAATTTTATACAATTAAAAATAGATTTTTGTCTAGTGAGCCAGACTGACTCTTTCTTGAGACCTATATATTACAAAAGTGAAGGGGTGGGTTGCCCCTCCACACCTGTGGGCGTTTCTCGTTAGGTGGAACAAGAGACACAGAGACAAAGTATAGAGAAAGAAAACTGGGCCCAGCTGACCAGCGTTCAGTATACGGAGGATCCACGCCAGCCTCTGAGTTCCCTTAGTATTTATTGATCATTATTGGGCGTTTCCCGGAGAGGGGGATGTGGCAGGATCATAGGATAATAGTGGAGAGAAGGTCAGCAGGTAAACACGTGAACAAAGGTCTCTGCATCATAAACAAGGTAAAGAATTAAGTGCTGTGCTTTGGATATGTATACACATAAACATCTCAATGCCTTAAAGAGCAGTATTGCTGCCCGCATGTCCCACCTCCAGCCCTAAGGTGGCTTTCCCCTATCTCAGTAGATGGAATATACAATCAGGTTTTACACCGAGACATTCCATTGCCCAGGGACGAGCAGGAGACAGATGCCTTCCTCTTGTCTCAACCGCAAGGAGGTGTTACTTCCTCTTTTACTAATCCTCCTCAGCACAGACCCTTTACGGGTGTCGGGCTGGGGGACGGTCAGGTCTTTCCCTTCCCACGAGGCCATATCTCAGGCTATCACATGGGGAGAAACCTTGGACAATACCTGGCTTTCCTAGGCAGAGATCCCTGCGGCCTTCCTCAGTGGTTTGTGTCTCTGGGTACTTGAGATTAGGAAGTGGTTTGAGATTAGGGAGTGGTGATGACTCTTAACAAGCATGCTACCTTCAAGCATTTGTTTAACAAAGCACACCCTGCACAGCCCTTAATCCATTTAACCCTGAGTTGACACAGCACGTGTTTCAGGGAGCACAGGGTTGGGGGTAGTGTTACAGATTAACAGCATCTCAATGCAGAAGAATTTTTCTTAGTACAGAACAAAATGGAGCCTCCTATGTCTACTTCTTTCTACACAGACACAGTAACAATCTGGTCTCCCTTTCTTTTCCCCACAAGAAGCTCTAAAACATCCCTGTTCTTTTACATATATACTAAAGAAGAATTTTTAGGCCAGGTGCGGTGGCTCATGCCTGTAATCCCAGCACTTTGGGAGGCCGAGGCGGGTGGATCACGAGGTCAGGAGTTCGAGACCAGCCTGGCCACCATGGTGAAACCCCCATCTCTACTAAAAAAAATTAAAAATTAGCTGGGCATGGTGGTGGGCGCCTGTAATCCCAGCTACTTGGGAGGCTGAGGCAGGAGAATTACCTGAACCCAGGAGGTGGAGGTTGCAGTGAGCCGAGACTGAGTGATTGCACTCCAGCCTGGACATCAGGGTGAGACTCTATCTCAAAAAAAAAAAAAATTTTATTAGCATTTTTGGGGTGGTAGAAATGATTGCATAAGGCAGCCTGCCTCCCTTTCTGCAGATATTTAACCTGGAGTTTGTCCTTGGTCTTTTCTCCTCAAGCTCTACCTACTCCCACTGGCAATCTCACCCATTATGGTGACTTGAACTCCACTATACACATGACTCTCAAATCTATTTCTTCCTCCCCAACCTGTTTTAAGCTTTTACATTTACTTTCCACATACTTGACACGGCCATCTGAATATGACAAAAGCACTTTGAAACATATCGAAAATAAAAAACATTTCTCCATACTCATTCCTCTTTGACTCTCTAGATTATTCGAATTATTATTATTCTTATTATTATTATTTTTGAGACGAAGTCTTGCTCTTGTCCCCCAGGCTGGAGTGAAATGGCGCGATCTCGGCTCACTGCAACCTCTGCCTCCTGGGTTCAAGCGATTCTCCTGCCTCAGCCTTCTGAGTAGCTGGGATTATAGGCGCCCGCCACCACGCCCAGCTAATTTTTGTATTTTTAGTAAAGATGGAGTTTCACCATGTTGGCCAGGCTGGTCTCGAACTCCTGACCTCAGGTGATCCACCTGCCTGGGCCTCCCAAAGTGCTGGGATTACAGGCGTAAGCCACCATGCCCCGCCGATCTATTATTAGAATTATTATCTACACTGTTACCTAAGCCACACACCTCAGATCCACCCTCAACTCCTCTACCATAATGTAAATATGTTGTTTTTGAGACAGAGTTTTGCTCTTGTTGCCCAGGCTGGAGTACAATGGTGCAGTATCAGCTCACTGCATCCACTGCCTCTTGGGTTCAGGAGATTCTCCTGCCTCAGCCTCCCAAGTAGCTGGGATTACAGGCACCCACTACCACACGTGGCAAATTTTTTTATTTTTAATAGAGATGGGGTTTTACCATGTTGGCCAGGCTGGTCTCGAACTCCCGACCTCAGGTGATCCGCCCGCCTCAACCTCCCAAAGTGCTGGGATTACAGGTGTGAGCCACTGCGCCTGGCCTACCTCCTAATATGTTTTGTCCATATTTACTGCCTGAGCTTAGGTTTGGTCCTTTCTCATCTCCAGACTGGATCACTACAATAGCTTCCTAGCTGGTCTTCACCTCCATTCTTAACATCCTCCATACTACTGTCATATTTCTTTATAAAATACTTATGACTGTGACACTCCCTTGCTTAAGCCATCACTGAACTATCTTTACCTTTAGCAGCATTTCCCAAAGTTTTTTTTTATTTTTTTTGAGACAGGGTCTCACTCTAATGAGCAGGCCAGAATGCAGTGGCGTGATTTTGGCTCACTGCAGCCTCCACCTCCCAGGCTCAAGGAATCCTCCCACCTCAACCTCCAGAGTAGCTAGGTCTATAGGCACACACCACCACACCCAAGTAATTCTTTTTAAATTTTTTGTAGAGGTGGATCTTGCTGTGTTGCCCAGGCTGGTATTGAACTCCTGAACTCAAACTATCCACCTGCCTCGGCCTCCCAAAGTGCTGGGTTTACAAGCATGAGCTACCATGCCTGGCCTACCATTTCCCAGTTTTATATGTGTTCCTGAGATGATTTTAGATGATAGATGGGCAAACAGTTTTTAATAGTTGTGCTTTTATCTGAATTCGTAGTAGAAAAATACTGATTTTCCTTTCAGTGTAAATTTATGTTTAAAGTCAGTCTATTTAAGGAAAAATAATAAGCAACAACTAGTATGGAGGCTATTTTCAAATATTAAAAACCATGAATACTCAAATATTTGAAGTAGGTAAATTTCTTGCCTATAGGATAAATTCCAAAATCCTTAGCACAGCAGACCCTAAACTGTATTTCCAGCTTTATTTTCCAGTCACATAGCATCGGGCAGACAGAATTTCCTGCCATTCTAATATTCATTCATTCGATAAGTATCTACCAAATGTCTACCATGAGCCAGACATTGGGCTAAACTTCAGGGATTTTAGTTGTAAATAACTATCTCTGCTATAAGGATTACATTCTAACGGGAAAAACAGACAATAAACAAGTTAGAAAGTAAACAAGGTAATTAAAGATTCTGACTGGCCTAAGCAACATGGCAAGACTCCGTCTCTACAAAAGATTTTTTAAAAATTAGCCGTGTGCAGTGGCGTGTGCCTGTAGTCCCAGATATTCGGGAGGCTGAGGCAAGAGAATCACTTGGGCCTGGGAGGTTGGCTGCTGTGAGCCATAATTGCACCACTGCACTCAGCCTGGTTGACAGAGTGAGACCTTGTCTTAAAAAAAAAAAAAGAATGAAAGAAGATTCTGATTTAAGTTCTGTGAAGGAAATACACAGTTAAAGACAGGAGGGTAGAGAAGACCCCTTTGGGTGACAGTACTATTGAGATCTTAAAAATGAGGTCGAACTCGGCCGGGCGCGGTGGCTCACGCCTGTAATCCCAGCACTTTGGGAGGCCGAGGTGGGTGGATCACAAGGTACGGAGTTCAAGACTAGCCTGGCCAATATGCTGAAACCCCGTCTCTACTAAAAAAATTTTAAAAAGCTGGGCGTGGTGGCACGTGCCTGTAGTCCCAGCTACTCCGGAGGCTGAGGCAGAGGAATCGCTTGAACCCAGTAAGTGGAGGTTACAGTGGGCCGAGATCGTGCCACTGCACTCCAGCCTGGGTGACAGAGCGATACTCCATCTCAAAAAAAAAAAAAAAAAAAAAAAAATGAGGTCGAACCCAATATGTGAAAAGCTAGAGGAAGAGCACCAGGAACAGAAAGCTGCGGGGAGCAGTGGCTCATGCCTGTAATCCAAACACTTTGGGAGGCCGAGAAGGGCGGATGACCGGAAGTCAGGAGTTAGAAACCAGCCTGGCCAACATGGCGAAACCCCGTCTCCACTAAAAATACAAAAATTAGCTAGGTGTGGTGCCGCACGCCTGTAGTCCCAGCTAATCGGGAGGCTGGCGCAGGAGAAGCCTTGAACCCAGGAGACAGAGGTTGCAGTGAGCCAAGATCGCATCACTGCACTCCAGCCTGAGTGACAGAGTGAGACTCCGTCTCAAAAACAAAACAAACCAAGTTGCAAAAGCCCTGGGATGAGAAAGAGCACACCACAGTTGGGCGAAAGAGCAAGGAGAGCTTCATGGGTGAAGGAGAAGAACGGTGGTTGAACAGGTTGAAAACACAGGCAGAGCAGGCTTTGTGAGTTTGAATTTTTATTCTAAGTGCAGCAAAATGCCAAGGAAAGAGCCGGGTGCATGGTTACACCCCTGTCGTCCCAGATGCTTGGGAGGCGAGTTTCAGGCCAGCCTGGGTAGTATAACCAAACCCCTCTAACAAAAAGGGTTTTTAGGCCGGGCGCAGTGGCTCACGCCTGTAATCCCAGCACTTTGGGAGGTGGAGGCTGGTGGATCACTTGAGGTCAGGAGTTCAAGACCAGCCTGGCCAACATGGTGAAATCCCGTCTCTACTAAAAATACAAAAATTAGCCGGGTGTGTGTGTGTGTGTGGGGGGGGGCGCCTGTAGTCCCAGGTACTCAGGAGGCTTGGAGGGCGCCTGTAGTCCCAGGTACTCAGGAGGCTTGAGGCAGGAGAATTGCTTGAACCCGGGAGGCAGAGGATGCAGTGAGCCGAGACTGCACCACTGCACTCTTAGCCTGGGTGATAGAGCGAGACTACGTCTCAAAACAACAACAACAAGGATTTTTAGTAGGTATGTAACCAACTGATTTTTAAAATGATCACAGTACCTACTGTGGAGAATGAATTAGTGTCTCCTAATCGCTTTTTAAATTTTATTTTTCGTTTTACTCTTATTCACTTTTTTTTTTTTTTTTTGAGACAGAGTCTCGCTCTTGTCCCCCAGACTGGAGTGCAGTGGCAAGATCTCGGCTCGCTGCAACCTCCGTCTCCCGGGTTCAACTGATTCTCCTGCCTCAGCCTCCTAGGTAGCTGGGATTACAGGTGCACTCCACCACGCCCAGCTAATCAGCTTCCGTTTCTCGGGTTCAAGCGATTCTCCTGCCTCAGCCTCCCTAGTAGCTGGGATTACAGGCAGGGAGTTTTATATTTAAAAAAAAAATTGATATCTGTCTCACCAACCGTATTGCAACCAAGTCTGTTAGTTTCCTGAAGAGAAATTTGGTGCTGCAGGTTCCAGAAGCAGCTCTTTATGCCCTCACTGCTGATCAAACTATTTTTTAAAAACGCTCCTATCATACACCACGCTGCCTAAAGACAGGGTACAGGCCTGGGATTTTTGAAAGAAAAGGGTTTCTTCAATTACCATTTCCCAGTTTGGGATGAAGAGACGTAAAGAAGCCCTCTAATAAGGAAATTACGCCGGGCCTCACTGTTAATAGTACAGTATTTATCAGCAGCTGCCGCGGTTAAGAGGAAGCCACGGCCCCCTGTAGTCTGTACCTCCTAAGATGGATGATTTAGCTTGCGATCTGTTCAAGATGGCCACAGAAACACTTCCGGTATCTTTCCGCACTAGGCCCGCCCCAATTTGCGTGTTTTTACCGTGCAGAGGGAGGGATTTAGAGTTAGCCTTTGATTGGTCAGCTTGACTGGCGACCTTTCCCCTCTGCGACAGTTTCCCGAGGTACCTAGTGTCTGAGCGGCACAGACGAGATCTCGATCGAAGGCGAGATGGCGGACGTGCTAGATCTTCACGAGGCTGGGGGCGAAGATTTCGCCATGGATGAGGATGGGGACGGTGAGGACAGTGGAGACGGCTGGTGGGAAGCGGGGAAGGTGCGAGAGAAGGCTATAATAGGAAAATTTACTCTTTTTTCCTCGGTCGTAAGGATGGGAATCGAGGAACCGGGTCTTGGGTGGATTAGAGATTCCGCCCCCTTCAGGAGAAGGGAGGGCGTGACCGGGAAGGCACTAAGACTGGAGGCGGTGTGGGTCGGCTTGCTGGTAGTGTATTGGGAAAGAGACGATTGTTACAAATGACTGTCATAGTTACTTATTCTTTTATCTTCTGGGGTTCCAGAGAGCATTCACAAACTGAAAGAAAAAGCGAAGAAACGGAAGGGTCGCGGCTTTGGCTCCGGTGAGTGTGGGGAAAATGGGGTAGAGTGGCCTAGTAGGGCAGGAGCTACGGGTTTTGGAGTCCCCACCCACCTCATAGGAACAATGGGAGAAAGGAGGAGTTTTCGGTGATCTCGTGTATGTCCCTTATAGAAGAGGGGTCCCGAGCGCGGATGCGTGAGGATTATGACAGCGTGGAGCAGGATGGCGATGAACCCGGACCACAACGCTGTGAGTAATAATGGAACCTGTGAGGTATCCGTGTCTGTGGTAGTAGTTAGAAACCAATAAAATAGTTAAACGCAGTAGGAATGGGTTCAGAGATAGCTTAAACAATCTGAGTCCGCACTCACTCTATTCCTGTGAGCCTGCTTAAAGTGTCTCTCATGTACTCATACAACTTCCCCCCGTCCCCCAACAGCTGTTGAAGGCTGGATTCTCTTTGTAACTGGAGTCCATGAGGAAGCCACCGAAGAAGACATACACGACAAATTCGCAGAATATGGGGAAATTAAAAACATTCATCTCAACCTCGACAGGCGAACAGGATATCTGAAGGTATCCTAAGTGACACTTTATTGCCTCCTTTCTTTCATAAGCCTTAGGTAGCATTCGTAGTTCTGTGTTTGCTGTGGTTGGCCAAGAGCAAAGTTGAAATAAAATGACATTGGAAATCTATGTTTTGTCAGACACGCCAAAGAGACAGAAACGGAGATGATGTATATATACAGTAGAGATATATGATGTACATTCATTGTTTAAAGTGTGTAGATTTTTCTGAGTTTAGATTTGAGGAAAAAGATACTCAGTGATACTTGGGGAAATAGGAGGGTTTTCATATCTGTCTTTTCACTTTCCCCAGGGGTATACTCTAGTTGAATATGAAACATACAAGGAAGCCCAGGCTGCTATGGAGGGACTCAATGGCCAGGATTTGATGGGACAGCCCATCAGCGTTGACTGGTGTTTTGTTCGGGGTCCACCAAAAGGCAAGAGGAGGTAAAATGAAGAGGGCAAATACTGTCTGGGTGAAGGGAATACGAACGAAACAGAATGAGGACTTAGTATTATGTCCCTCTAATGGACTCCTCTCCCTGCTTCTTTTTCCCTAGAGGTGGCCGAAGACGCAGCAGAAGTCCAGACCGGAGACGTCGCTGACAGGTCCTCTGTTGTCCAGGTGTTCTCTTCAAGATTCCATTTGACCATGCAGCCTTGGACAAATAGGACTGGGGTGGAACTTGCTGTGTTTATATTTAATCTCTTACCGTATATGCGTAGTATTTGAGTTGCGAATAAATGTTCCATTTTTGTTTTCTACATTTAATGTTACTTTCCTGTCCTAAAATTGAAAGTTCTAAAGCATAGCAAGGCTGTATGGATCATTGTGAAGATACTTCTAGGGACTGAACTCTATGTATTTCTTTTTTTTCTTTTTTTTGAGATAGAGTCTTGCTGTGTTACCCAGGGTGGATTGCAGCTGATCATAGCTCACTGCAGCTTCAAACTCTTGGGCTCAAGCCATCCTTCTGCCTCACTGTCCCTAGTAGTTGGGATTACAGGCACATGCCACCATGCCCAGCTAAATTTTTAATATTTTTGTAGAGATGGGGTCTTGCTGTGTTACCTGGGCTAGTTATGTGAGTTTCTATATTAGACATAGTCTCAAGTTTCAGGTAGGGTTTAAAGTAGAGACACTGGTCAGTATTTCTTTTTTGGGGGGAACTAGGAGAGCAGGAGTAGAAGTGAGATGTTAAGATCTTATGGCACTAAAGACTTACTATTCTGTTCCTACATACTCTGTTAGGATCAGATAGATGTTATAGAAATGCCTTTTGTTTCTCCTGCCCTTCTTGATGTCACAGTTTTTTGTACTTCCAGCTGTCTAAAGGCATGAATCTCCTCTTGGAGCATTCTCCCAGACCCTTCTTTAGAAGAGTCTATACTAAGTTCTTGGTGCCCTCTTCGGCAGCCAAGGGTGAAGGCCCCATAGAGGAGAGGATCCAAAGGAGCATTGAGGAGGCCCAAGAGGAAAAGGATGTGGCTCAGGCTGGGAGGGACTTCAGTTAGCATGGTGGGGGAGAACCAGTACCACATACCCAGTAGGTAATAAGGTGTCCAGCAGAGGATGAAGGTCAGCAAGATAAGCAGGGCCAGTCTCAGGGCCCGGAGACGAACACGGGGACAATTGTCAAAGGAGCGGGGGAGGGCAAATTCACCAGCAGGGGCTAGGAATTTAGAAAATATACTGTAATTCAGACACTCAGCTTCTGATCTGAGTATAGGGTGAATTGATGGAGGGGCATAGCTAGTGAGACAGAGCTCGCCTCCTACAAGGAGGAGAATGTTGCAAACCGTTTTCCCCTTCCCAACCTGGGACTATATGATTTCTTACCCCCAGGGATTATGATAGAAATATGAAGCCACCAAGTCTAGACTTGATGGTGTTCAAGAATAAATAATACTGATTGCCTCCCTAGTCCTTGTCCAGCTAACTCAGCTGTTTATAATTGAAGGGATTCAACAAAATTATCTCTAGCATCAGGTGCTAGACATGGTTAGAATCTCACCATGGTTTAGTGACTGGTAGATAGCTATTAGGTAGGTAGATAAATAAATGATGCTAGAGGCAACAGGTCTAGGGTTAAGGATTAAGGCCTGGGAATTGGAGTCTCACCATGGCTCCCCTTCCTTGTCTGGGGCCTGGACACACTGAGGACAATGCGGCTATAGCAGATGGCCATGGCAGTCAGTGGCAGCAGAAAGAGGCAGCAGAAGGTGAAGAGGTTATAGGTGGTCTCTTGCCATTGAGCCTTGAAGCTGCCTTTGGTGACACACTGAGTGAAAGGGACTGGGCCAGCTCAGTGGACCGTGTGGAACAGGAACAGCTGGAGTGGAGTTGAGGACTATTAGAACTGGTTCCCCTCACCACCCAACCTACCCACCTATGTCATACTGTCTCCTCCCAATTCATCCTTAATTCCAAGTGAAGCAGCACAGTGCTGAGAAACAGTTCATCCATGGTGCCATGTTAAAGAAGTTGGAAATATATCTTGAAAATCCTATCTTCCTTTTAGGCTTGAATATGATGCTGAACAGTAAGTTTGTTAAATCTTGGAACTTAAAACAATCCTGCTTTCTCAAGTACTATTCTAACATTGCGCTTTATAAGGGATGATATTTCTACCACCTCACTCATATTTTTAGCTGAAATGATTTTCCTGGTATGTCTGTTATTTTGTGGAAAAAGAAATATTGTGTAAAATGGGTGCTGCCAAAATTCCAGGCCATTTTGCAGGGACTCTGAAGTGACCTTTAGTAGTAATAGTCTTATGTGCAGTAACTATAATGGTAAAGAATGTTAAATAATAAAATTTAACATTTTCCAAATGCTATTGGGCTGCCCCTCCCCCTTTTTGTTAAATTGCTGGGTTTTCCAACTGAATCAGTAAAAACTATTTCTGTTTAGAGCTACAAGGTTAAAGTGCCTGCTTTCCAGTAATGGAGATTGAGTCACTATTAATTTGATAAAAGGTAAGCTCAGTAGGCATCAGATTCCTAGATACAAGGCATTTGGGAAAGTGATTTTAGCAGACATGAGGGACATTTAGGAAAGATGAATAGTTTCAGCCTAAGAGAATTTTGTGAACTGTTTGGAGTTACGATCAGGCTACTCTGAGCTAGTTGGGAAATGGTCTTTCCTCTTCCCATCTCTTGCATTCATATATTTCTAAGTTTTTTTTTTTGTTTTTGTTTTTGTGCTCTGCCTAAGAAGTGCTTGAGAATTGTGAGGAGTATAAAAATAGTCAAAGCTGGCTGGGCGCGGTGGCTCACGCCTGTAATCCCAGCACTTTGGGAGGCTGAGGCGGGCGGATCACGAGGTTAGGAGATGGAGACCATCCTGGCTAACACAGTGAAACCCTGTCTGTACTAAAGATACAAAAAACTAGCCGGGCGTGGTGGTAGGTGCCTGTAGTCCCAGCTACTTGGGAACTCGGGAGGCTGAGGCAGGAGAATGACCTGAACCCAGGAGGCGGAGCTTGCAGTGAGCAGAGATTGCGCCATTGCACTCCAGCCTGGGCGACAGAGTAAGACTGTCTCCAAAAAAAAAAAAAATAATAATCAAAGCTCTTGGATTTATAGTTTGGTCCACAGCCTTGTTTTGATCTTTCCTTTATCCTGTTTTATTGCCATTTACCACGTACTGTAGAAACATCCCTTTCAACTGCTGATAACTTGGAAACAAGCCTACAAAAATAAGTAATTTCTAACTACTCCTAATACTACCTATAACTACCCCTAAGCCCTTACCACTCTAACGTGACATTATTAAATTTTTTATTTTATTAACACTAATATTTTAACTACAATTACAGCATATGGGCAATACAGAATTTACCTAAAAGGATACTAATTTGGAACAAAAAAAATCACCTTTCGCACATGTATCATGTCACAACCAGTTTGCCATTGAAACAAATAGAGGTTGCAAATATTGTCAGATTGTCAGGCTGTAAGAAAGGATGAAATTCATTTCCCATTGCATCATCTTGTGGCCCATGGATTTCAAGTGCCTTAGCCAAAATCATATAGCTAGTTAGCAGTAGAGCCGAGACTCAGAAAAAAACAAAGTAAAACAGGCAGACTGAAACAAAAAGTCTTCTAATTCCCAGTCCACATGTAAAATTTGCTTCATATAAACAAACCTAATTGTAAATGGCACTGTAGCAACAGGCTTCTTTTTAACACTTGGATTGGTAAAGGTCTTGTTTGCAACATATTAGAAGTATTATTTTTCTCTTTCCCCCCCACCCCACCCCCAACAGAGTCTGGCTCTGCCGCCCACGCCGGAGTGCAGTGGTGCAGTCTTGGCTCACTGCAGCCTCCACTTCCCAGGTTCAAGCAATTCTCGTGCCTCAGCCTCCTGAGTAGTTGGGATTACAGGTGCTCACCACTATACCCGGCTAATTTTTGTATTTTTAGTAGAGATGGGGTTTCGTCATGTTGGCCAGGTTGGTCTTAAACTCCTGACCTCAAGTGATCCACCCACCTTGGCCTTCCAAAATGCTGGGATTACAGGCTTGAGCCACCAGGCCTTTCTTTGTTCTTAGGAGTATAGTCAGACTAACTTCTAGTAGTTATATTTCTAATAATTGAGGATGTAAGTAAGGATCAAATCTTAAATCAGTATAATGCATTGTCATTCCAGAGATAAATCCTAGACCCTTCTTGGCCTCCTTCTGACATAATTCTAATCCTACAGTCTCAGAGATGCTGTTGTATCCTGCCCCCCAACCCCATGATAGTGATAGTGGTTTTTGCCTTGAAGGAATTGCTTTGTATTTAGCTTTTCCCCCTCTAGATTTCTAGTTCCTTTTCAGTATTGGATTGGATTTGAGATTTGATTAACCTAGTACTCAGGTTCAGATGCTCGCCTCTTTGCAATTTTAACACTCATTCGACAATAAAGTCAGTAAAAAACACAAATTTGGTTATGTCACTCTCTTTTTACTTTAGTGTCTCTCCACTGCACTCAGAATAAAGTACAATTTTATTATTTGTGATCTGGCTTGCTCTTCCCCTCTCAGTTCATTACTCACCATTTTCTAGTCCTCAGCTTTAGTAGCATTGAGATCCTCTATCCTCCATCCTCCCTAGCATTTCTCCTATTTTAATTGGTCTAACACCTATCTCTGAAGAATCAAATTTTAACATCTGGAAAGCTTTTCCTGACTGCACGGCTGTGTCAGACACCCCTATCCACTCCCCACCCCCATTGTCTTCTTTAGCTCCTTTAGCATAACACTTTTGAATACACTATATTGTAATTGCCTAATTTCTTTGTTTCTTGCAGTAGTCTATACATTTCTTGAAGGCAGGATTTTGCTGCCCTGTCCTTAGCAAAATTTGAGTGGCGCTGGAGATGCATATTACTTTTTGAATGGATAAATGAAATGTACCACAAAGTTTTACCCAAACCACTGACTTCACTCTCTTAATAGATCCCCATGTATGTTTTTCTTCCCTGCCCCAATCTGAAGGAGGTGAGATTGGGAGGATGCAAAGAGGTAGAAACCACGTGTAATAAAACAGATGTAATGGAAGAGGCACAGATAGAGGATACTGTTTTTACAAGGCAGGCTCTTTTATTATTATTATTATTATTATACTTTAAGTTTTAGGGTACATGTGCACAATGTGCAGGTTAGTTACATATGTATACATGTGCCATGCTGGTGTGCTGCACCCATTAACTCGTCATTTAGCATTAGGTATATCTCCTAATGCTATCCCTCCCCCCTCCCCCCACCCCCCAACAGTCCCCAGAGTGTGATGTTCCCCTTCCTGTGTCCATGTGTTCTCATTGTTCAATTCCCATCTATGAGTGAGAACATGCGGTGTTTGGTTTTTTGTCCTTGCAATAGTTTACTGAGAATGATGATTTCCAATTTCATCCATGTCCCTACAAAGGACATGAACTCATCATTTTTTACGGCTGCATAGTATTCCATGGTGTATATGTGCCACATTTTCTTAATCCAGTCTATCATTATTAGACATTTGGGTTGGTTCCAAGTCTTTGCTGTTGTGAATAGTGCCGCAATAAACATGTGTGCATGTGTCTTTATAGCAGCATGATTTATAGTCCTTTGGGTATATACCCAGTAATGGGATGGCTGGGTCAAATGGTATTTCTAGTTCTAGATCCCTGAGGAATCGAAAAGGCAGGCTCTTAACAGATGTAAATTAACATACAAATAATCTTACAGAAGAGAGAGCAGAGGTAGCAGGGTGCGGTGGCTCACGCCTGTAATCTCAGCACTTTGGGAGGCTGAGACAGGTGGATCATGAGGTCAAGAGATGGAGACCACCTGGCCAACATGGTGAAACCTCGCCTCTACTAAAAATACAAAAATTAGCCGGGCATGGTAGCGGGCGCCTGTAGCTTCTCGGGAGGCTGAGGGAGGAGAATTGCTTGAACCCGGGAGGCGGAGGTTGCAGTGAGCCGGCAAAAAAAAAAAAAAGCAAGCAGAGGCTTACTCCCTGAGAATTAATGGCTAATGGCCCCCAAGCGCACCCTTTAACTCATGCTATGGACCCAAATCCCTGTCCTGCCCGGTCCTGAGTCCTAGGTCACTCACCTGGGGGAAGGCAAGCAGGAAACTAAGTCCCCAGGCTGCCCCCAGAAGTTTCCTTACACCTGAACGGGATCCAAGCGGGTTGAGTACTGCTGCCTGGCGGTCCAATCCAATGACCACAGGCAGGAAAGCTGCAGAATACGTGGCCATTAGTTTCAGGAACATCAGTGTCCGACATGCGATGTCCACAGCCAGCCATTGAACAGTGATATTCCAGGTGGCATCTAGGGGCATAACCACAAAAGTGACTAGTAAGTCGGCGGCTGCTAAATGGATGAAGAGTCTCCTGACCGGAGAGGGGCGGAGCTGGCTGGGTTCCCGCCGTGTCACTGACCACAGGACTGCCAGGTTCCCTCCAGCCGAAGAAACAAACAGCACAATGGTCACTCCCACTCGGACCTTGGCTGCTGCCGAGAAGGTGGGCAGCTCTGAGCCCTCCACCTCCACTCCTGATCCAGCCCAGACCTCCTCCCCCGCTGCTGACCCCAAGGGGTGCCGTTGCCTGCAGACATGGTGGCCTGGAGAGAAACTGAGGAGGATGAAGTGTGGGTATGAAGCGGTTAGCTTTGGCCACTGATTCTTCGCCCTCCTTTTCAGGATCTGGAGCTGATTATTGCGAATTTCGTTCACTAAAGCCTCTGCTTCTGGAGACTCTCCATCTGTTCTGGAGGAGGTCACTTGTTCAACTGTCAAGGTTCTGCAGGGAACGAAGATCTGGTACCAATCACGCTCCTTTTTCCTTGGACAGACCAGCCTGGGCTTCAGGCCTCTACTGACCTAGACCTCTTTAGCCCCTACAGCCCTGGATTCAGTCGGGGCCTGCGTGCATGTGTATTTGTGAGGTTCTGCCAGGCGCACACCTATGCCGGCGGCCTCCAAGACGTGGAGATCACTGCGGCGCTTTCTCGCCCCGCCCCGGCCCCTGCAGGCCCCGCCCTTGGTCATGAATATTTAAAGAAGAAGGTGCCGCTGGAGGCGTGCTAGGGAGTAGGGGTCGTCTGATAAGGGGAAGCTGTGACGCAGACACGCACAGTAATACACAGATGGAGGCTCAAAAGACACGAGTTTCGCGTCCTGAAATTCCGCTTCCAGGGCCAAGCTTTCTTTTCTGATACTGTTTGTCCCTCGCGAGGCACCGTTGGGTCGCGCAGTAGGCGTGACTAGGGGCGGGAAGTGGGGCGGGAGCAGGGCCGCGGAGCCTGGGCTGCGGCTGTCATGGACGCCTGGGTCCGCTTCAGTGCTCAGAGCCAAGCCCGGGAGCGGCTGTGTAGGTGCGGCCCGAATAGGAATGGGGGTGGGGCGGGGGAGGGATGGACAGAGGAAGACTCTAGTGAGGCGAAGTCAGTTTAGGCTACAGGGGGGTCAAGAAGGGTCAACTCCGGCTACGGGGGCCCGAACGGACCGTGAGGCGCAGATTTGAGCCGCTGTTGAGATGATTCCTTTCCGTTCGCGGAAGAGATGGGGAAACTGAGGCATGAGTGGGCCAGCGGGGAGGCCGCTCAGGGTTGCTGTGTCCACATAAGACCGACAGTGTCCTCACTGGGCGGTGATGGAATGAGGAGCATTCGCCCCACGGTGGATAGCCCCAGACTCTGCCCCCAGAGCTGAGGAGGCACTCCCAGTTTCCGTGTCCCCACACCGTGCTGCCATTCGGGAACTCCCCTGCCTCCGCCCTGGCGTTTGGTCTCCATTCAGCTAGAGGGCCTTGAAATCTCTCAGTTCACCTATTCTGAGGAATAAAATGCCCTCCAACTGTCTGCCTCCCCCTCATCGATCACGTACATGCTCACGCTGATGTGCTTGTGATGGACCCCTGCGGCCTGCACTGGCCCCTTCAGGCCTCATCATTGTCAAATCTCTAATTTGCTCAACATTCAATAGTGCTCCCCACCCCTTTCTAGACTCTTTTTTCTCCTTATGCCTTTCCCTTCCTCTGGCCTGGAGAAATGGTGAGATATGGGCATGGAGGAGGAAGGGGAGTGTTCTCAAACTGGGAAAGGGGGAAGTCTGTCTGTGCCTTTTGGAAGATAGTTTTGAGCGGAAGGTTAGGGAGGTCTCCACCTTACCTTGCCTGCCCTCTCCTCTAGGGCCGCCCAGTATGCTTGCTCTCTTCTTGGCCATGCGCTGCAGAGGCATGGAGCCAGTCCTGAGTTACAGAAACAGATTCGACAACTGGAGAGCCACCTGAGCCTTGGAAGAAAGCGTAAGTAACTCTGTCTTTCCTTTTATCCCCCAACCTTTCCTCCATCCCCAGCTCACCTTCCTTTGTCCCTCCTTCCTGTACCCTCTCTGTTCTTCTTTCTCATTTGGCTCTGCACTTACCCTCTGCATGAGTCCAGTTGAGATAAGAGAGCAGGGGTATGGAAGTAATTAGGCGGACTGGAGAGAATGGGTCAAGTTTGAGAAAACTAAACTGGCACAAAAATTAAATTTGAAATTGAAAAATGGACTGTTTCTGCTCTTTATTTTTTATTTTTTTGAGACAGAGTCTCTCGTCCAGGTCAGAGTGCAGTGGCGCAATCTTGGCTCACTGCAACCTCTGCCTCCCAGGTTCAAGCAATTCTCCTGTCTCAGCCTCCTGAGCAGCTGGGACTACAGGTGCCCACCACCATGCCGGGCTAATTTTTGTATTTTTAGTAGAGATGGGGTTACACCATGTTGGCCAGGCTGGTCTCAAACTCGTGACCTCAGGTGATCCACCCACCTCGGCCTCCCAAAATGTTGGGATTACAGGCTTGAGCCACCATGCCCAGCCTGTTTCTGCTCTTTAAAAAAATTGTCATTATTATTGCTCAACTTTTGCCCTCTTGCTTTCTCTGTTTCTGTTTCTTGTTATCTGCCTCTCCACTTACAAATCCTTGCTTTCCCTTTCTAATCTCCACAAGTTCTACGCCTGGGTAACTCAGCAGATGCCCTTGAGTCAGCCAAAAGAGCTGTTCACCTATCAGATGTTGTCCTGAGATTCTGCATCACTGTTAGTCACCTCAATCGAGCCTTGTACTTCGCCTGTGACAATGTCCTGTGGGCTGGAAAGTCTGGACTGGCTCCCCGTGTGGATCAGGAGAAGTGGGCCCAGCGTTCATTCAGGTTTGATATCCTGTTCTCCTTTAAGATTTTTTTTTGTAGCCTCTATATTGCATAGCTTGTCTTATATGAGGGAAAGATATCTTAGGATCTTTCCAGAGTATATAAGTCTTGATCAGTCACTTGGCTTCCAATCACTTAGATCTTAAACTATCGGAGAATATCAAATGGGGAGAGATGGAAGACAGATGCTCTTCCATAATGAATGACTAATATTGTGCAAGGTAAGATATTATATCACTTTAATTGTGCTTCTATACCACAGGTTATTCCCCCTCACTACCTGCTTACTCATTCATTCCAAAGATATTTATTAGATGCTTACTGTGGCGCAGGGGATAAAGCAAAGAGCTAAACAGATAATGTGCCTGCTCCCATGAAGCTTCTAGTTTAGTGAGGGAGTTAGATACTACAATGAATAACTTCTCATATATATTTGTGGAAAAGTATGCGGTATTATGAAAGAATATCACAAGGGGAGCTAATTTAGATTGGAAAATCAGGAAAAAACTCTTTGAGAAAGTAATATTTTAGCTCAGACCTGATGTCTGAGTAGGAGGAGTTAGACAAAGCCAACAGTAGCAGAAAAGACATTTCCAAACAGAGAAAATTGCACATTCTAAGTAAGGCTTTGAACTAAGAAAGACTTAAGGGAATTAGAGAAATAGAAAGAAAGCCAGTGTGATTGACAGTATTGAGTCCATCAGTTCAAATTTGAGAGATAGACAGGCACCAGATCTTTCATACAGGGCCTTTTAGGCAATGTTAATGTTTGTTTTATTTTATCCTACAATGGGACATTATTGAAGGATTCTGAGCAGGGAAATGACATGATTCAAATTGTGTTTAAAGGACATCTCTTTTTGAGATGTTGAAAATGGATTGCAGGCCGGGCGCAGTGGCTCACGCCTGTAATCCCAGCACTTTGGGAGGCCGAGGTTGGGGGGATCACGAGGTCAGGACTTCAAGACCAGCCTGGCCAACGTGGCAAAACCCCGTCTCTACTAAAATTACAAAAATTAGCCAGGTGTGGTGGCGGGCACCTGTAATCCCAGCTACTCGGGAGGCTGAGGCAGGAGACTCGCTTGAACCCGGGAGGCAAAGGTTGCAGTGAGCCGAGATCGTGCTATTGCACTCCAGCCTAGGTGACAAGAGCAAGACTCCATCTCAAAAAAAAAAAAAAAAGAAAAGAAAAGAAAAGAAAATGGATTGCAGTGGGTCAAGAGAGGAGGAGATGCCCTAATACGAGCAAGAGATGACGTTGGCTTGGACAAAGGAGGTAGCTGACAATAAAGGTAGAGAGAAATATGATGTGGGAGTAAAATTCTCTAACATATTATCTGTATTGTTTTTCGTTTTCCTATGATTGTACTTTTTCATTATATTAACCTTGCTTTTCCCTTCATCTTTCTCAGTGATTTACAACTTTAACATGGCTTATGATGTATGAGGGGTGGGAGCAGAGGCATGGCTGGAGCAGTATGGAAAAGCAACTCCCTAAAGGAGTCTATATGTTATATTTATTCATTTCATCCAACAGATACTTACTGAGCTCTTACTATATGGTAGGCACCAGTGTACATACAGGGATACAGTGGTTAAAGATAAACAAGGCCGGCCAGGTGCGGTGGCTCATGCCTGTAATCCCAGCACTTTGGGAGGCCAAGGCGGGCGGATCACCTGAGGTCAGGAGTTTTGAGACCAGCCTGACCGGCATGGAGAAACCCCGTCTCTACTAAAAATACAAAATTAGCCGGGTGTGGTGGCGCATGCCTGTAATCCCAGCTACTCGGGAGGTTGAGGCAGGAGAATCGCTTGAACCCGGGAGGCAGAGTTTGTGGTGAGCCGAGATCGTGCCATTGTACTCTAGCCTGGGCAACAACAGTGAAATACCGTCTCAAAAAAAAAGAAAAGACAAACAAGGCCTCTGCTCCTCTGGAACTTACCTTGTAATGGGATGAGATAAACATAAATAAACAATAAATTAAAATATCAGATACTGGTAAATGTTATGCAGGAAATTAAAACAGTGTTATGGAGTAGAGAGTAACTGACTCAGTGCTTTAGATTTAGGGATAAGGGAAGGCGTCTCCGAAGAGGTGATACTTAAGCTCATACCTGAAGAGCAAGAAAGAGCTAGCTATGTGAGGGTTTTGGAGGGAGAATATTCCAGGTGGAGGGAGAATATTCCAGGTAGAGGGAATAGGTAGTGCAAAGGTCCTAAGGCAAGAACAAGCTTGATGGGATTAAAATGTAGAAGGAAACCAACATGGTTGGAGCATAATGATTGCAGGAAAGAATGATACAAGGTAAAGTTAGAGGGGTAGGGACCAGATGTTGAGTCTGTAAGCCTCTCTAAGGTATTTATATTTTATTATGAATGTGACAGGAAGAAAACCATGGAGAGCTGTGGTTTGTTTATTTGTTTTTGGTTTTTTTTTTTTTTGAGATGGAGTCTTGCTCTGTCGCCCAGGCTGGAGCGCAATGGTGCAATCTCAGCTCACTGCAACGTCCATCTCTTGGGTTCAAGTGATTCTGCTGCCTCAGCCTCCTGAGTAGCTGGGATTACAGGCACGCGCCACCACACCCAGCTAATTTTTGTATTTTTAGTAGAGACAGGGTTTCACCACGTTGGTCAGGCTAGTCTCCAACTCCTGACCTCATGATCCACTTGCCTCCACCTCCCGAAGTGCTGGGATTATAGGCGTGAGCCACCACGCCTGGCCAACCATGGAGAGTTTTAAGAAGGGAAGTAATGATGTGATTTATGTTTATGCTAGCTATTATATGAAAATAGATTGTTGGGGGTGGGGGCAACAATGGCCACAGTGAGACCAGTTAAAACATTAAAGCAGAAGTCCAGACAAGAGATGTTAGTGGCTTAGAGTATGGCAGTGCGGTGTGATAGAGAGATGTGGTTGGTTGGGTTCAGGATATACTTTGAAGGTAGTACAAGTTATTGAGTACAGACCACCATTGTCAGATTGGATTACAAATAAAAAACATGGATTTTTTACTGAAGAAATTTATAATTTAACACATTTGGCAATTACTTAAACCTCTGGGCCTCTAAAGGAATAGGGATTGGATTTAGATCACCTTTAATATGTTTGAGTCTCTGAGACATCTGAAATTTGTTCTTTCAAAACAAGTTTGCCTTGTTATAGGTCAAGTTGAGAGAGAGATGGAGAGTGTGTGTGTGTGTGTGTGTGTGTGTGTGTGTGTGTTGCCAAGTGGAAAATGAAATTTGAGATTGACCTTGGAAGATTTCATGATGCTCATGGAGTTTAAACCAGGATCTTAAGGTGCACATAAACATGTATTAGTTACAGAATGTTGGGAGGACTTTGTTTCTTCATTTTTATTGGGACATAATTGACAAATAGAAATTACATATATTTAAGGAGTTATAGCTCGATGTTTGTACATGTACGTTGTGACATGATCACCACAGTCAAGCTAATTAACATATCCATCACCTCACATAATTACCTTTTTTCTTTTATGGTAAGAACACTTAAGATCTACCTTCCTGGCAGATTTCAAATATACAATACAGTATTGTTAACTATAGTCACAATGTAGTACATTAGATCTCCAGAACTTACTCATCTTGCATAACTGAAACTTATACGCTTTGACCAGTATCTTCCCATTTCCCTCACTCCCCAACCCCTGGCAACCCCCATTCTATTCTGTGCCCCTATGAGTTAGCCTTTTTTTTTTTTTTTTGAGACAGAGTCTTGCTTTGTTGCCCAGGCCGGAGTGCAGTGGTGAGATCTCGGCTCACTGCAACCTCTGCTTCCTGGGTTCAAGCAATTCTCATGCCTCAGCCTCCCAAGTAGCTGGGATTACAGGTGCTGGCCACCACAACTGGCCAATTTTTGTATTTTTAGTAGGGACGGGGTTTCACCATGTTGGCCAGGCTGGTCTTAAACTCCTGACCTCAGGTGATCCACCTGCCTTGGCCTCCCAAAGTGCTGGGATTACAGGCATGAGCCACCACGCCCGGCCTTATTTTAGCTTCCACCTATAAGTGAGATTATGCAGTATTTGTCTTTCTGTGTCTGGCTTATTTTGCTTAGCATAGTGTCCTCGATGGAGGACATTTCTAATAGGGGTAATAGCATTCACTTTACTTCTGATCTAATGTGTAATCTCTTTGCTACAGGAAAAGAAAATGTTAAAATGTGATGTTGGATATGTTAAGTAGGTATACATGCCCTTACTGACCCTTTTGCTCTGTGTATCAGGTACTATTTGTTTTCCCTCATCATGAATTTGAGCCGTGATGCTTATGAGATTCGCCTACTGATGGAGCAAGAGTCTTCTGCTTGTAGCCGGCGACTGAAAGGTTCTGGAGGAGGAGTCCCAGGAGGAAGTGAAACTGGGGGACTTGGGGGACCAGGGACTCCAGGAGGAGGTCTGCCCCAACTGGCTCTGAAACTTCGGCTGCAAGTCCTGCTCCTGGCTCGAGTCCTTAGAGGTCATCCCCCACTTCTGCTAGACGTGGTCAGAAATGCCTGTGATCTCTTCATTCCTCTGGACAAACTAGGCCTCTGGCGCTGTGGCCCTGGGATTGTGGGGCTTTGTGGCCTCGTGTCCTCCATCCTGTCTATTCTCACCCTAATCTATCCCTGGCTACGACTCAAGCCCTGACCTTCCGGTACAGGATAAGGAGGGGACCTGAATTGGTGAGATGGAATCTTAGATCGTCCCCCATGTGCCAGCCTCATTCGAATTCTACTCTTTGGTTAAAGTTAGAAATTCAGAGATTTAGGGGTGGAGGAAGAGCTTTGGGGAAGATGAGGTAAGGAAAGATGACTCGTGAAGTTAATAGGATGTCTCTAATTTCTAGATGTGCCTGAGCTTCTGTTCTTTTCCTCTTTCTTTGTGTCTCTCTTGAATATATTTACTTTGTGTCTCTTAACTCTGTTTAAGGTTCTGTGTCTATGCATCTCTCTCTTTCTTTTTTCAACCTTCTCATTCTCCTATCCAGGGATTTAATCAGCAGAATTACTTTTTGATAGGGGAGGTATAAGGTTTGGCCTGTAAGGTTCTAACTGCCTTCTTTTTTCTCACAGAGGTGGCTTATGGCAGATTTTTCCTCCTTCAAACTCCAAACATAATTTTTAAGACTATGTGCCAGTGGACTCTTCCCTTATATCTCTGCACCACAAGTTGTTGGATGTTTCCTCTTCCTCCCTTATGTCTACCTCACCAACCTCGCTCATCATTTGGCCCTTATCCTTCCTTGTACACCTACCTTCAGATTTCTGCTTACACTTTGATTTCAGAGCTTTATTCCCCAGTCTGTTCTTACTCCTTTGTCGCTTATCCAGAATGATGCTATGTGTAGCATCTTGCTGTAAATCCTGTACAATGATTCTGTGTAAATAGCTGTGGCCTATGCCAATAATGAAGAGCAAGCCTTTCAGGTAAGCAAATTAAAGTTCAGTTTGCTCATCGACATTTGGTCTGGTCCCTCATTTTTTGGTAATTTGAGGCCCCTATTCCTGTCACTGTGGTTTGGGTTTTTCTCGGGATTAGCCACTAACATCACCCACATTATTTTTCTTGAGCACCTACAGTATGTAAAGCAACATACTTAGTGGGCATCCAAAAATCTAAGAAGCTCCACACTCCCAACTTTAAGAAGTTTATAACCTAGCTGAGGAGTTGGGGTGGCAGAGGAGTGGTCTAATACTAAAGTTATTGTCCTGGCTCCACAAAGCACATCTCATACCAGTTCAGATATAATCCCTCTAAGAAGCAGAATGCCATATGACAGCATAGGCTAAGAGCCAAGGACAGAACCAAGTGGAGTGGGGCTGGTAAGGATTTGGAGCTGTGTCTTCACAAGTTGAGACTCCCCTGGGTGGGTAGGGAAATGATACCACTGCTATCAGCTCTTTCATTTTCCATATTCCAGGTTGAGATAAATAAGGTTAGGAAGTGAATCTATCGGCCAGGCGTGGTGGCTCACGCCGGTAATCCCAGCACTTTGGGAGGCCGAGGCAGGTGGATCTCTTAAGGTCAGGAGTTCAAGACCAGCCTGGCCAACATGGTGAAACCCTGCCTCTACTAAAAATAAAAAATTAGCCAGGCATGGTGGCATGTGCCTGTAGTCCCAGCTACCTGGGAGGCTGAGGCATGAGAAATGCTTGAACGTGGGAGACAGAGGTTGCAGTGAGCCAAGATTGTGCCACTGCACTCCAGCCTGGGTGACAGAGTGAGACTCTGCCTTAAAAAAGAAAAAAAAAAATCTGAATCTATCTCCTATCTCCCAGCTGGGTGCAGTGGCTCACTTTGGGAGGCTGAGGTGGGAGGATTCCTTGAGTTCAGGAGTTCAAGACCAGCCTGGGTAACATAGTGAAACCCTGTCTGTATTCTCAATATAAATAATTTGTCTAAAACTTTTAAACAAAAGTTTAAGATTCTTTTCTTATAAAAAAGAATCCATCTCCCACTCCTGTTCCAAATTTGAGGAAAGCATTATTGACCTGGCAACAATAAACAGTAGAAAAAAAGAAATAGCAGAAATGGGCAAAAAAATATGTTCTCTGGATATAGAGATGAGGCCTCCAGGGGGCAGCACCAAGGCAGAGAAATAGACTAAGATCGCTCAGTGTTTTCCTTGGTCTGGGGCTCCCCACAGTTCCCCACCATCACTCCTCCCATTCCTTCCAACTTTATTTTTAGCTGCCATTGGGAGGGGGCAGGATGGGAGGGAAAGTGAAGAAAACAGAAAAGGAGAGGGACAGAGGCCAGAGGACTTCTCATACTGGACAGAAACCGATCAGGCATGGAACTCCCCTTCGTCACTCACCTGTTCTTGCCCCTGGTGTTCCTGACAGGTGAGGGAAGTTAACTTCTTGGTTTCTGGTGGGGATGGAAGATACATAGATTGTTTGGAATTGGGACCATTATAGTTAAAATTCTTTGGGATTTAGGTTAGGAAGCGAACACTGGTTGTACATTTCTTGTATGTGTGTCTGTGTCCTTGTGCATTTTTATGCCCTCACATATGACTGTTTGAATATTGAGACTGGCAGGGGCTAAAGCTGCCTAGGACCTTGTGTAAGATTTGTATCTAATAATTATATAATATATAATGTATAATTATATATTATATATAATATACATATAATATATAACAATTATATATTATATATAATATACATATAATATATAACATAATTATATATTATATATAATATACATATAATATGTAACATAATTATATATTATATATAATATACATATAATATATAACATAATTATATATTATATATAATATACATATAATATATAACATAATTATATATTATATATAATATACATATAATATATAACATAATTATATATTATATAGTTATATATTGTATATAATAATTATTATTATTTTTTAAAGATAGGGTCTCACTTTGTTGTCTAGGCTGGAGTGCAGTGGTGCAACCACAGCTCAGTAGTTGGGACTACTAGGTACGCGCCACCACGCACAGCTAATTTTTTTTTTTGAAACAGGGTCTCACTCTGTCATTCAAGCTGGAGTGCAGTGGCATGATCATGGCTCACTCTAGCCTCAACCTCCCAGGCTGAGGTGATCCTTCCACCTTAGCCTCCCGAGTAGCTGGGACTATAGGCGTGTGCTACCACGCCTGGCTAATTTTTTTTTTTTTAGAGACAGAGTTTTGCTATGTTGGCCAGGCTGGTCTTTAACTCCTGGACTCAAGCAATCCGCCCCCGACAGCCACCCAAAGTGCCGGGATTATAGGCATGAGCCACCATGCTTGGCTGAGATTTGTATCTAAATATATAAAATCTTCATCCTAAGCCCTATAGGGGTAAGGAGACAAAAAAGAAATGTGATGTGACCTTCCACGTGGCTAGTCTGATTCCTATTATCCCCTCCCTAACTTCTTACCCTTGGTGGTCCCTGGGGCCTGAGGCATAACTGACTAACTATGTGGTCAGAACTCTGGGTTTATCTAACCAATGAGCTGCAGTTTCTGGTCATACAGCCCTGCCAGTTTTCTGGATGCAAAACTGCTCACATACTAAACACCTTTCTGAAAATGAGCATGGTTTGGGATAAAGCTATAGCCATTGGTAATGGTGAGGGGGTAGCCTGAGAGGGGGTTGCTTAGAAGTACAGAGCAAGACATAGTTGGGGAAAGGACCATGGGAAGGACAAGAGGCCTGGAATTTTTCCTTGGCAGTGCCCTGTAATCATTGTTTCCTAAAATACCAGCTCTGATTTTAAAGGCATTGGGGTCAAAAGGGAAGATTAGCTAGGGTCGGGCACCTTTAGAATGGGCTGAAGGCTGAGGAAACCATGGAGGTAGGTAGGGGACCAGTTGGGAGAGTAGATTAGTTAAAAAGGAAGCAGGTTGTGGGAAACTTCAGGATGATGGGACCCTTGGAAAGGATGGATGGCAAACTATGTGTGTGGGCAGGCGAGTGGCCCCACCCAGTTAATTACCACTGAGATTTCCAAGGCTGGAATCAACCAGGGACCTAGACATTGGAAAAAGACAGTGAGAGTGTGACAATGACACTGGAAGTCAGGAAGAGATAGAGAAGGAGAGAGCCAGACATGCAGTGCTCCTTAGCTTCCTTTCATTCCCCCTATTTTGGGGAGAATTGGAAGCAATGGTTGTTCTGGGGATACAGAAAGGCCCTCTCCCTCTTTTGACCCTCACAGTTTGTTGAGGAGAGTGTGTGGAAGGAATGTTGTGGAAAAGAGTAGCCAGGCGCGGTGGCTCACGCCTGTAATCCCAGCACTTTGGGAGGCCGAGGCGGGCGGATCATGAGGTCAGGAGATCGAGACCATCCTGGCTAACACGGTGAAACTCCGTCTCTACTAAAAATAAGAAAAATTAGCCGGGCGAGGTGGCAGGCGCCTGTAGTGCCAGCTACACGGGAGGCTGAGGCAGGAGAATGGCGTGAACCCAGGGGGGCGGAGCCTGCAGTAAGCCGAGATCACGCCACTGCACTCCAGCCTGGGCGACAGAGAGACTCCGTCTCAAAAAAAAAAAAAAAAAAAAAAAAAAAAAAGTAACTTGACCTTTTCAGACATGTCTGTGAATGAAATTTCAGGGGTGGGAATGGAAATACAGCTGTACATCAGCATGGCAGAGGGCCACAGTTTAGGCATCTGGACACAAACACAGGAAGGGAATCATCTTTGCCTGGAGCTCTGAGTACATGACACTGAGAGAGGCCAGAAAAGCTTATGAGTGAAAAAGCAGGCAGGCAGACTGAGATTAAGACGCTTCCTCACAGCTTCTCTCGGGCTGTGCCTCTAGCCATTCACTACCTCATACTAACATTATGATCCTGACCCCACAGGTCTCTGCTCCCCCTTTAACCTGGATGAACATCACCCACGCCTATTCCCAGGGCCACCAGAAGCTGAATTTGGATACAGTGTCTTACAACATGTTGGGGGTGGACAGCGATGGTGAGGAAGAAACCGGAGTGCCAGGGGATTGGGACTGCAGTAGTGCTAACAAAGGGGAGGCAAGATAGATGGGACTCTAAACTAATCTGGTCTTTTGAAAGTGGCTGGGGCTCTAAACTTACCACCTCCATGCTCTTTCCCTTTGGCCTATGTCAAGGGTCATGTTTGCCCTGTGCTTACTTACATTCACATCCTCTTCCCAGGATGCTGGTGGGCGCCCCCTGGGATGGGCCTTCAGGCGACCGGAGGGGGGACGTTTATCGCTGCCCTGTAGGGGGGGCCCACAATGCCCCATGTGCCAAGGGCCACTTAGGTGAGAAGATGCCTGACCCTTCTCCTCCTAACCCCTGACTTTGATACTCTAGAAGCTTCAACTCCCTATACCTCAGCTTTTTCACCCCTAAAATCCGCATACTCCCTGTCCCCAATCTGATACCAATCCCTGCTCATTCTCCTCCAAAATCACATGAATTCAAGCACCCCATCTATGACCCCATGATCTCATTCTCTTCCACCTCCTTCCAACCAGGTGACTACCAACTGGGAAATTCATCTCATCCTGCTGTGAATATGCACCTGGGGATGTCTCTGTTAGAGACAGATGGTGATGGGGGATTCATGGTGAGCTAAGGAGAGGGTGGTGGCAGTGTCTCTGAAGGTCCATAAAAGAAAAAAGAGAAGTGTGGTAAGGGAAAATGGTCTGTGTGGAGGGGTCAAGGAGTTAAAAACCCTAGAAAGCAAAAGGTAGGTAATGTCAGGGAGTAGTCTTCATGCCTCCTTCAACTGGGAGCATGTTCTGAGGGTGCCCTCCCAAGCCTGGGAGTAACTATTTCCCCCATCCCCAGGCCTGTGCCCCTCTCTGGTCTCGTGCTTGTGGCAGCTCTGTCTTCAGTTCTGGGATATGTGCCCGTGTGGATGCTTCATTCCAGCCTCAGGGAAGCCTGGCACCCACTGCCCAACGTGAGCCAGAGGAAGGCTGAGTACTTGGTTCCCAGAAGGAGATACTGGGTGGGAAAAAGATGGGGCAAAGCGGTATGATGCCTGGCAAAGGGCCTGCATGGCTATCCTCATTGCTACCTAATGTGCTTGCAAAAGCTCCATGTTTCCTAACAGATTCAGACTCCTGGCCAGGTGTGGTGGCCCACACCTGTAATTCTAGCACTTTGGGAGGCCAAGGTGGGCAGATCACTTGAGGTCAGGAGTTCAAGACCAGCCTGGCCAACATGGTGAAACTCCATCTCTACTAAAAAAAAAAAATACAAAAATTAGCTGGGTGCGCTAGTGCATGCCTGTAATCTCATCTACTCGGGAGGCTAAGACAGGAGACTCTCACTTCAACCCAGGAGGTGGAGGTTGCGGTGAGCCAAGATTGTGCCTCTGCACTCTAGCGTGGGTGACAGAGTAAGCGAGACTCCATCTCAAAAATAATAATAATAATAATTCAGACTCCTTATCAGGAGTCCATGATCTGGCCTGGCACAGTAACTCATGCCTGTAATCCCAACATTTTGGGAGGCCAACGCAGGAGGATTGCTTGAGGTCTGGAGGTTTGAGACCAGCCTGGGCAACATAGAGAGACCCCATCTCTACAAAAATAAAAAATAAAAAAATTAGCTGGGTATGGTGGTGCATGCCTGTGGTCCCAGCTACTCAGGAGGCCAAGGTGGGAGGATCACTTGAGCCCAGGTGGTCCAGGCTGCAGTGAGCCATGATTATGCCACTACACTCCAGCCTGGGCGACAGAGTGAGACTCTGTCTCAAAAACAAACAAAATGGGCCAGGCGTGGTGGCTCACGCCTGTAATCCCAGCACTTTGGGAGGCCGAGGCCAGTGGATCACGAGGTCAGGAGATCGAGACCATCCTGGCTAACAGAGTAAAACCCTGTCTCTGCTAAAAACACAAAAAATTAGCCGGGTGTCGTGGCGGGCGCCTGTAGTCCCAGCTACTCGGGAGGCTGAGGCAGGAGAATGGCGTGAACCCAGGAGGCAGAGCTTGCAGTGAGCCGAGATTGCGCCACTGCACTCCAGCCTGGGCAATAGAGCGAGACTCTGTCTCAAAAAAAAAAAAATGTTCTCTACCCACATGCCTTTCCTAATATTCTCTTCTCCTTAAACATTTTCAGTCTTCATAGTTGCTACCATGTTTCATTCCTCACCATCAGAACCACTCTGCTTTTGTTCCCCCACCATACAGTCATTGCTATGTTCCTACATAGCATTTAATTCCTTCTTGTTTTTTAGAACATTGTATATATAAATTATATCTATGTATATAAATGTGTAGGTGTGTGTGTTTATATACCTATATATACATATATACATATATATACATTTATATGTATACTTACATACACACAATTACTAAAGATTACTAAAGGAATATTTTATTAATTTCTACACTTACACAGAGCCTGGCACAGTACCTTCTTTGCATGTAAGAAGTGCCTTATAAATGTCTAAATTGAATGTGTCCTCCTGTGACCTCTTTCCCTTGTTGCCCCCAGCTCAGTGTCCTCTACCTCAGTGTTCTCCTTCCTTCTAGGCTGCCCAACATACATGGATGTTGTCATTGTCTTGGATGGCTCCAACAGCATCTACCCCTGGTCTGAAGTTCAGACCTTCCTACGAAGACTGGTAGGGAAACTGTTTATTGACCCAGAACAGATACAGGTAAGAGAAGGCAATATGAGCTGGGCACAGTTGCTTGTGGCACCTACTTAAGAGGTGGAGGTGGGAGGATCCCCTGAGGCCAGGAGTTCAAGACTAGCCTGGGCAATACAGTGAGACCTCATCTCTAAAAATATGAAAGAAAAAAAAAATAGCCAGGCATGGTGGCATGCGCCTACAGTCCCAGCTACTCAGGAGGCTGAGGCAAGAGATCAGTTGAGCCCAGGAGTTTGAGGCTGTAGTGAGCTTTGATCACACAACTGCACTCCAGCCTGGGTGAAAGAGTGAGACCTCATTTCTTAGAGAGAGAGAGAAAGGCAATATGGATGGGCTTGGAAGGGGAGAGACAGAGAGAGAGGGGATAAATGTAGGTGTTGTCTTCAGTAGTATCCAGGTGTTCATCTCTCCTCTCTTATATACTTTCTTCTTCCTCCTCTCCCCCCATCTCACATACATACATTTCATTTGAATGCGCTTTATTCCCAGGTGGGACTGGTACAGTATGGGGAGAGCCCTGTACATGAGTGGTCCCTGGGAGATTTCCGAACGAAGGAAGAAGTGGTGAGAGCAGCAAAGAACCTCAGTCGGCGGGAGGGACGAGAAACAAAGACTGCCCAAGCAATAATGGTGGCCTGGTGAGGCATTGGGAAGACAGGTGTGGGAGGCTAGAGCAATGAAGGCTTAGAAGAGTTAGGGCGGGGCCAGGCATGGTGGCTCACGCCTGTAATCCCAGCACTTTGGGAGGCAAGGCAGGCGGATCACCTGAGGTCAGGAGTTCGAGACCAGCCTGACCAACATGGAGAAACCCCATCTCTACTAAAAATACAAAATTAGCCAGGCATGGTGGCGCATGCCTGTTCAGAGGCATGCTACTTCGGAGGCTGAGGCAGGAGAATCACTTAATCCCGGGAGGTGGAGGTTGCAGTGAGTCGAGATCACAACATTGCACTCCAGCCTGGGCAACGAGAGCAAAACTCCATCTAAAATAAAATAAAATAAAATGAAATGAAAATCTTTCCCTTAAAAAAAAAAAAAGAAGAAGAAGAAGAGTTAGGGCAGGTTTGGAGTGCAGTGTGTATATCCCAAGATGTCTTGCATACTTTCTTTGTATGTACACTAATGGTACAAAGAGGAAGGCTAAGTGGGCTGTCATTGTACTCCCTCTCACTGCATTTCTACAAAGTATCTATGTCTGTGTCTCTCCATATTTCACAGACAGAAGTCTCTTTCTATCCCTCCACTCCAACAATGATCCTGGCCCACAGGTTCTCCACTACTGATGTCCTAGCCCACGTTCCAAACATGATCCAAAACTCATCTCTAGGGGCACGGTGGTAAAATTGAAACAAAACAAAACAACTCATCTCTGGGAGGAGTCCCTGCCCAGATCATTCTTTTCCGTTCTATATTTCATCGATATTTCCCCTCCCAAGTGCAATATTTGTTGAATGAATCTGAGTGTATGAACGTTGTACTTATTTGGACTGATAAGCTACTCTGTATGTTCTATGACCTTCAAACATTTGAGCTCTCACTCCATGCCATCTCCATGTTAAATACTCAGGAAATGGCCTAAAAGGCAAGATGCCTGACCTCAGGGAAGTGCTGATGTTAAATCCTGTGTGTGTGTGTGTGTGTGTGTGTGTGTGTGTGTGTGTGTGTATGTGTGTGTGTGTGTGTGTGTCTGCATACATCTGATCTCACCTCACTCCTTTCTCTTCTCAGCACAGAAGGGTTCAGTCAGTCCCATGGGGGCCGACCCGAGGCTGCCAGGCTACTGGTGGTTGTCACTGATGGAGAGTCCCATGATGGAGAGGAGCTTCCTGCAGCACTAAAGGCCTGTGAGGCTGGAAGAGTGACACGCTATGGGATTGCAGTGAGAATTCACCCTGGATCTGGAAGAGTTGGGGAGTGGCAGGGGGGCAGTGTCTTGTGAACTGTCCAAGGACTGGGAACTTGAGGAAAACAAGGGCATTAACTACTTCCCAGACTTCAGCCACAGCATGTTAGTTGGCTGTGTTCTGTACCAACTCTAATGCCTCATTCCTTGATCTTATGACCTCTTAGGTCCTTGGTCACTACCTCCGGCGGCAGCGAGATCCCAGCTCTTTCCTGAGAGAAATTAGAACTATTGCCAGTGATCCAGATGAGCGATTCTTCTTCAATGTCACAGATGAGGCTGCTCTGACTGACATTGTGGATGCACTAGGAGATCGGATTTTTGGCCTTGAAGGTGAGGATTACTCTGGAGAAATGGACAGGGCGGGAGAAGTTCTGGAGTGTAGGTGGGGCTCTGGAGTGAGTTCAGTAGGTCAAAGGGGAAACTGTCTTCCCCTGATATTGTCTCAATGTTTTCTCATGACCAAGGGTCCCATGCAGAAAACGAAAGCTCCTTTGGGCTGGAAATGTCTCAGATTGGTTTCTCCACTCATCGGCTAAAGGTTGGACAGATTGACCCCTTCATTACTTCTCCCATTCTCTGACTCAGATAACTTCAACCACAGGGCCCTCCAGATTCCTCCTTTAACCAGCCTCCATGCTCACCTTCCCATGCCTTTCCAACTGAGCCCAGCAGACCCTCAGTGATCTTTTCACTCCTGGAACGTTTTTTTTCTCTTTATTCCCCACTGTCTTCTCAGTGACCCCATCTGCTTCTGTCCCACAGGATGGGATTCTTTTTGGGATGGTGGGGGCCTATGACTGGGGAGGCTCTGTGCTATGGCTTGAAGGAGGCCACCGCCTTTTCCCCCCACGAATGGCACTGGAAGACGAGTTCCCCCCTGCATTGCAGAACCATGCAGCCTACCTGGGTGAGCAGCAGAGAGTTGCAGAGGACTTACAGGGTAGGGGAGGAAATACATCCCTAGTGGGGGCGGGTATGAAATACTCCCTCTTAACTCATGCGGTTTCTCACTGACCTCTGGTTACTTCCCTTGGGACCTCCTGCTATGCCTTTAGGGAACCCCCCTACTCTGGACCCCATCTTCTTTTCCTTTACCTCTGTTACTTTGCCCACTTCTAGGTTACTCTGTTTCTTCCATGCTTTTGCGGGGTGGACGCCGCCTGTTTCTCTCTGGGGCTCCTCGATTTAGACATCGAGGAAAAGTCATCGCCTTCCAGCTTAAGAAAGATGGGGCTGTGAGGGTTGCCCAGAGCCTCCAGGGGGAGCAGGTAGGGCATCCAAGGAAGGGTGGGACCTTTGGATTCCCAGGGACCTCTGGGCTGTTGGGGAGGAGTGTGAAGTGGGTAAGAGAGAGGCCTCCAAAGTCTGTGCGGAATTCTGGTTGGCAGAGTCTGTCAGGGATGTAAGGAGCAGACTAGCAGGCTGGTGAGTGCTTCCCACTGAGTCCACTTGTCTACAGTTACCTTCCCTTTTCTCTGGGGTCATCATCACCCACCATTCCCCAGATTGGTTCATACTTTGGCAGTGAGCTCTGCCCATTGGATACAGATAGGGATGGAACAACTGATGTCTTACTTGTGGCTGCCCCCATGTTCCTGGGACCCCAGAACAAGGAAACAGGACGTGTTTATGTGTATCTGGTAGGCCAGGTGAGACTTGCTGGGACCCCCTGCCCTGGACTTGCATTGTGGGGGTGGAGGGAGGAAAGGAGGGAAGGTGCACATATTTGAGGGTTTGCTGAGAGGTTGGGTCTGCCAGATTAGCATCTTCTATCTTCTCTCCTCCACCAGCAGTCCTTGCTGACCCTCCAAGGAACACTTCAGCCAGAACCCCCCCAGGATGCTCGGTTTGGCTTTGCCATGGGAGCTCTTCCTGATCTGAACCAAGATGGTTTTGCTGATGTGGCTGTGGGGGCGCCTCTGGAAGATGGGCACCAGGGAGCACTGTACCTGTACCATGGAACCCAGAGTGGAGTCAGGCCCCATCCTGCCCAGGTCAGGAGTACCCAAATAAAGCAGGGGCACGGTTGTAGGAAGAGGAATAGGGGGATGCTCTTTGCTTGTCAATAGTCTCCTTGGCTTGAGACCCAAACTGAACAAGTGCTTTTATTAGTAGGCAAAAACATAAGGCAGTGGACAGGTTGCTGAACTAAGAACTCCTGAACACAGGCAAGTTTCTCTTATTCCCAGGACTGACGGGAGCATTATAAAGAGCAAGGCATGGCCGGGTGTGGTGGTTCACGCCTGTAATCCCAGCACTTTGGAAGGCTGAGGCAGGCAGATCACCTGAGGTCAGGAGTTCGAGACCAGCCTGGCCAACATGATGAAACTCTACTAAAAATACAAAAAATTAGCCGGGCCTGGTGGCGCACACCTATAATCCCAGTTACTCAGGAGGCTAGGGCAGGAGAATCGCTTGAACCTGGGAGGCGGAGGTTGCAGTGAGCCAAGATCACACCATTGCACTCCAGCCTGGGCAACAAGAGTGAAACTCCATCTCAAAAATAAATAAATAAATAAAAAGAAAGAGCAAGGCAGGAGGCCTGAGAAACTAGGTGTATGGGTCCCTGCCTCAGTATTCTCTCTCTTCCTCTCAGAGGATTGCTGCTGCCTCCATGCCACATGCCCTCAGCTACTTTGGCCGAAGTGTGGATGGTCGGCTAGATCTGGATGGAGATGATCTGGTCGATGTGGCTGTGGGTGCCCAGGGGGCAGCCATCCTGCTCAGGTGAGGGGTCCCAGCTCAGGTGGTGGTGGACAGCATAGCATAGCTGTTAAAGGCAAGGGCCTTAAAGTCACAGATGGAGATTTGGTTTTCTTGGTCAACTTACTCTGTGCCTCCATTCTTAGTTTATAAAATGACAGTAGTAATAGTACCTACCTTATAGGTTTATTGTGAAGATTAAATGAGATAATCCATATAATGATTTGAACACAGTGCCTAGCATGTAAGTGCGTATTGAAGTGAATCTAGGGCTGGGTACAGTGGCTCACACCTGTAATCCCAGCACTTTGGGAGGCGAAGGTAGGAGGATCATTTGAGGCCAGGAGTTCAAGAACAGCCTGACCAACATGGTGAAACCCCGTCTCTACTAAAAATACAAAAAAATTAGCTGAGCATGGTTGTGGGCACCAGTAATCCCAGCTACTCGGGAGGCTGAGGCAGGAGAATCACTTGAACCCAGGAGGCAGAGGTTGCAGTGAGCTGAGATCGCCCCACTGCACTCCAGCGTGGGCCACAGAGTGAAACTCCATCTCAAAAAAAAAAAAAGATCAATGACATGAATCTATTATCTTACTTCTGTCAGAGGGTTCGGGGGAGGGTGACATGTGCATTCAGCCCCTCCTTCTTTGTTTTGACCATGGGGAAGCAAACACTGGGCTTGCACTTCTCAGAGGGCTTACCTCCTACTGCTAGAATTTCTTTTCCACACTGTTCCCAGCTCCCGGCCCATTGTCCATCTGACCCCATCACTGGAGGTGACCCCACAGGCCATCAGTGTGGTTCAGAGGGACTGTAGGCGGCGAGGCCAAGAGGCAGTCTGTCTGACTGCAGCCCTTTGCTTCCAAGTGACCTCCCGTACTCCTGGTCGCTGGGATCACCAATTCTGTGAGTGACTAAAATGCATCACAGGCAACTCTCAATTCCTTGCATGCCTTCCTCACTAGACCCCTTTCCACCCTCACTCTTGCCTCCTTCATTCAGACATGAGGTTCACCGCATCACTGGATGAATGGACTGCTGGGGCACGTGCAGCATTTGATGGCTCTGGCCAGAGGTTGTCCCCTCGGAGGCTCCGGCTCAGTGTGGGGAATGTCACTTGTGAGCAGCTACACTTCCATGTGCTGGTAAGGAGAGGGCAGTAACTGCTTAGCATCAGGGCCTGAGAATGAGGAGAAAGCTGGGTCAGAGGAGGAATTTTAGCTGAATCAGCAAGAAAGCCAAAGCCGGGAAAATGAGATGATTCAGACTTTGGAGTCAGGGCTGATCTGGGTTTGAATCCTAGCTCTGCCATTTACCACCTATGAATTCTGGCAAGTCCAACCCTCAGTTTTCTTGTCTGCAAAGGGGTGATAATAATAACTGTATCATAGGAGTTGTATTAAAATTAAATTTAGCCGGGCGCAGTGGCTCACGCTTGTAATCCCAGCACTTTGGGAGGCCGAGGCAGGTGGATCACAAGGTCAGGAGATCGAGACCATCCTGGCTAACATGGTGAAACCCCATCTGTACTAAAAATACAAAAAATTAGCCGGGCGTGGTGGCAGGTGCCTGTAGTCCCAGCTACTCGGGAGGCTGAGGCAGGAGAATGGCCTGAACCCAGGAGGCAGAGCTTGCAGTGAGCCGAGATCATGCCACTGCACTCCAGCCTGGGCGACAGAGCGAGACTCTGTCTCAAAAATAAATAAATAAATAAATAAATTAACTAATTAATTAAATTTAGTAATACAGTTAAGATCTTAGGACAGTGCCCAGCACACAGAAAATGCTTCATAAATGATCACTACAATTATCACAAGATCCTTGACTCTGTGACTCTGTGACTCTGTTTTCCTTCAGGATACATCAGATTACCTCCGGCCAGTGGCCTTGACTGTGACCTTTGCCTTGGACAATACTACAAAGCCAGGGCCTGTGCTGAATGAGGGCTCACCCACCTCTATACAAAAGCTGGTCAGCAGTGCCATGCCCTGCCCCTTGCTCCCAACACTGCCCTCCTTCAAGAGAAAAGGGAGGGAGGGAGAAGACATGAGATCATGGTGAAATCTGACCTGGGCTCCTCTAATCAAAATATACCCACTTTTGTCTTTTCACTTTCCCCCTATTCTATTCCTTTCCTCCTTGCTTTCCTCTCAACCCTTAGCCCCTTCCCTTTCTTCCAGGTCCCCTTC
This sequence comes from Homo sapiens, assembly GCF_000001405.40. Taxonomy (NCBI): domain Eukaryota; kingdom Metazoa; phylum Chordata; class Mammalia; order Primates; family Hominidae; genus Homo; species Homo sapiens. The sequence goes on along the minus strand of NC_000001.11, from coordinate 145,897,891 downwards.
TCAAAGGATTGTGGCCCTGACAATGAATGTGTCACAGACCTGGTGCTTCAAGTGAATATGGACATCAGAGGCTCCAGGTTGGATGGACATGTACTAGGCAAACCAGGGTGACCTGAGACAGACTGGAAGGGACTCGAAGGGCGGGTAGGGGGTTGTTTCTTACCCATGATAACAAAAGTGAGACTTTTGGCACTCCCCTCCTTCAACTCCTGGTCTCTCCCTCATTCATCATTCCCAGGAAGGCCCCATTTGTGGTTCGAGGTGGCCGGCGGAAAGTGCTGGTATCTACAACTCTGGAGAACAGAAAGGAAAATGCTTACAATACGAGCCTGAGTCTCATCTTCTCTAGAAACCTCCACCTGGCCAGTCTCACTCCTCAGGTGCCTTTGGAGGAGGGGGTGTGGGAGAAGGAAAGAAAGGAGGAGGAAGAAGATTGGGGTATTGGCCTCAGCTGTGAGGTCCTCTAGAGAAAGGCTCAGTGTTTAGAGGCTGTGGGTAGGACAGCAGTTGCAGCCCCAGCTCCAGCTTCTATCTCCATTCCCCTGCCCTCAGAGAGAGAGCCCAATAAAGGTGGAATGTGCCGCCCCTTCTGCTCATGCCCGGCTCTGCAGTGTGGGGCATCCTGTCTTCCAGACTGGAGCCAAGGTGGGTTGGGGTCTAGGATGAAAAGAGGGCTCTAGGAGGGCAGAGGCTGGGATCTGAGGGTCCTGGGACTTCAGGGAAGGGGGCGCACAAGGGCTCCTGTTCCTCTGTAGTTGTTCCATGAGGAAGACTCTACCATTACCCTGTGTCCCCTGCCCCTAGGTGACCTTTCTGCTAGAGTTTGAGTTTAGCTGCTCCTCTCTCCTGAGCCAGGTCTTCGTGAAGCTGACTGCCAGCAGGTGAGAATGAAGGGAACTTTCTTCCAGACCTCTCCTCCTACTGAGTCTTGACTGGAGGGGTGGGGAGGAACAACATTGATTCCTCTATTAACAGAGAAGGGTGTCTTCTGAGGAGGGGTTGAGATGTGAGCCTCTCCCCTCTGACCCTACAGTGACAGCCTGGAGAGAAATGGGACCCTTCAAGATAACACAGCCCAGACCTCAGCCTACATCCAATATGAGCCCCACCTCCTGTTCTCTAGGTATGCCCAGCTTCTAGGGTGGGACCCAGTTCTGACCTCAGACTCATACCCTTATGCTGCTTCCCTCCCCTTCCATGTGCCTCAGTTTTTCCAAAAACCCAAGCCCTTGCGGCTGCTCAGTCTTTTTGCCCTCAATCCTATTCATGCTGAATCTTCCCTTTTAAGCATCTTACTTTCCTAGGTATAGTGTTTTGCCAGGCCTTGGGCACTGGAGCTGGGATGAGGGGATATGGGATGTAGCCATAAAGCTTGCATTGTCTGTGTCATGTTCTACTTCTGTCTTCTCCATGTACCCCCACCTCTTTATCCATGTGCTGGCCCTGCCTCCTCTGAATCCACGTCTGTGTGCTGATCATGTGCCCCTGTGTCTGTGTTATGGCTGTGACCATGTACTTCCTGACTTGGTGTTCACACAGTGAGTCTACCCTGCACCGCTATGAGGTTCACCCATATGGGACCCTCCCAGTGGGTCCTGGCCCAGAATTCAAAACCACTCTCAGGGTGAGAAGCTGGAGGGGTCTTGGCATGAGGAGAATGTGGGGGAACAACAGCTTTGTGGGAAAAGGATGGGAAGGGTCTCTCTTGGATTTTAATGGTATCTAGGGTGAAGGGGAACAAATGAGGAAGGGTCTTCTGTCTCCCACTTCTTCCTATTCCCAACCTTCCTCTTAGGTTCAGAACCTAGGCTGCTATGTGGTCAGTGGCCTCATCATCTCAGCCCTCCTTCCAGCTGTGGCCCATGGGGGCAATTACTTCCTATCACTGTCTCAAGTCATCACTAACAATGTGAGTCTGGTCTAGGAGGGCATGGAATCCTGCCACCTTGAGCTGGTGGACTCACTGAAGCTGGACACCACACCAGCTCCCTATCTGTTGGGCCTCTGCTCTTGGGGCTCTTCTCTCTGGGGGGCTTTCTTTTTACACATGTGGCTTATTAGAGAGAAGAAAAAGGTATTATAAGGGGAAGAACTACAAGGGTGTAGGTATGTTCCAACTCAGCCTTGAGTGGCTAGCGCCACCCCATCAGGAGGGTCTTTCAAGTTGGATCTTCCTCTAGGCAAGCTGCATAGTGCAGAACCTGACTGAACCCCCAGGCCCACCTGTGCATCCAGAGGAGCTTCAACACACAAACAGACTGGTATGAGTCACAAAGGGGTGTCCAGAGTGGGAATGCAAGTGGAGTTGGGTGACTTGGGACAAGAGGGTAGGAACTGGAGTGGGGAAGAAGGGATCTTTCCACCCCAGGGTCCTGATCTGGAGTGGGAATGAAAATGGAGTCAGGTGCCTTGGGACAAGACTGTGTGAACTAGAGGTGGGGAAAGAGGATGTTTCTACCCCAGAGTCCTGATCTGTCTCTCTCTGTCTCTTCTGTTAGAATGGGAGCAATACTCAGTGTCAGGTGGTGAGGTGCCACCTTGGGCAGCTGGCAAAGGGGACTGAGGTCTCTGTTGGACTATTGAGGCTGGTTCACAATGAATTTTTCCGAAGAGTAAGCCTTTCCTTTTCTAGTACTCCCCACTTCTGCTCCTTTCTGGAACTTTAGCATAGGTTTTGGAGGTAGACAGACCCACGTTCAAGTTTCACTTTTGCCTCTTACTAGCTATTTGACCATGAGCAAGTTATTTCATCTCTCTAAGCCTCTTTTTCCTAATCTCTAAAATGGGAAGATAATACCAATTTCATGGGGTTGTTATAAAGAATAAATGAATAATGAGCTGGACATATGGTGAACACTCAGTGGAAGCTAGTTATTATCCTTGTATTTTCCTCCACTGACCATTACTTTTTTTTTTCCTGACCATTCCTTAGTGCTGTATCAATCAACATTTGCAGGATACCTAAATTTAATCAGTTAAGAATCCATCACGTTCCTATTACGTAAAAGGCCCTGTATTAGGTTGACACTGAGAATATCTCCAACATTTAGCCTCATGCCTAACTCATTGTAGGCGCTTAACATATTTTTGCTAAATGAATGAATTATTGATATTACATGCAGGATTTGTACTGGGGAGTGGTGGGAAGTAAGATTGTATAGGTGAGAGGGATCTAGATTACGAAAGGCCTCTGAAGCCAGGGAGAAACTGAACTTAATATGACAGGTAGTGAGGAGTCAGTGTGAGTTCCTCCTGGGCAGGGAAATGGCATCTTAATTGTAATGGCTGTTTGGCACTAAGGTCAATGTTGTGCTTTCCCATATCTACCTGGAATAACACAAGATCCCTGGGATGTCATCATATGTTTTAGGGAAGTTAAGTCCAATAAACCACCCTTCTCCAAGTCTCTGTCCTTCTTTGGTATCTTTTTTTCACTAGTCTATTCATGCTTTCAACAAAGATTTATTAAGAAACCACTACATGGCCGGGCGCGGTGGCTCACGCCTGTAATCCCTGCACTTTGGGAGGCCAAGGTGGGCAGATCATGAGATCAGGAGATCGAGACCATCCTGGCTAACACGGTGAAACCCTGTCTCTATTAAAAATAAAAAAATTAGCCAGGTGTGGTGGCAGGCGCCTATAGTCCCAGCTACTTGGGAGGTTGAGGCAGGAGAATGGCATTAACCCGAGAGATGGAGTTTGCAGTGAGCCGAGATCACGCCACTGCACTCCAGCCTGGGTGACAGAGCGAGACTCCATCTCAAAAAAAAAAAAAAGAAACCACTACATACTTGGTACTCTGCTATCTAGTAGGCACTAAGGACACAAAGGTTAGTAAGGCACAGCCTTTAACCTAGAGGATCTTATAGTTCAGGAGTGAAAAACAGAAGTAAACACCAGTGTTGGTGGGGGTTAGGAGGAATGATTTCCCTAAATCCCAGAGGGGATGACATCTAAACTTCAATCTAAAGGAGGGGTAGAGGTCAGCCAAAGGAAAGAGGAGTAGAATGCATTTCAGGTAAAGCACCAGATGTATTGATTGTCCTTGGAAAACAAACAGCAGCAGCAGATGTGACCAGGGGTTTTCCATCTATTACCCTTCCTCTCTTTTCCCATTGGTCTTCAGCCTTTTCTTCTGGTCTTGAGAGCCCTCAACATTATGCCTCTCAGCCTCAACTTTGCTGTTGGGATTCCAAAGAACTATATCACCTGATAATGGCTCATTTTAAATGTCTTCCTATCCACTTGTTCCATAGGCCAAGTTCAAGTCCCTGACGGTGGTCAGCACCTTTGAGCTGGGAACCGAAGAGGGCAGTGTCCTACAGCTGACTGAAGCCTCCCGTTGGAGTGAGGTAGGGCTGGAGACCGAGTCTGAGAGCTGTGAAAATAATGATGATGGGTATGTGGTAGGGCCACCCGTGGGCTTTTTCAGAACGAAGGCATCTCCATCAGGCAGCAGGATCCTAGTGTTCCACTGCCGCCATTCCTGCCTCAGTTTCTTTCCTTTAAGTAGCAGGAGGTTATTTATTCTATTTGGGGGCTGGCTTTGATATAATGTGGGGTGAGGCTAGCTGGGTTATAGGATGCATGTAGAAAACTACTCTTCTGTCCACGCAGAGCCTCTTGGAGGTGGTTCAGACCCGGCCTATCCTCATCTCCCTGTGGATCCTCATAGGCAGTGTCCTGGGAGGGTTGCTCCTGCTTGCTCTCCTTGTCTTCTGCCTGTGGAAGGTAAGCACTGCTTTAGTGGGGAGTGTGGAGCATGATGCCCATGAGTTGAGGGATCCTTGATTATAGCAGAGAGAACAGGATTTGTGCTGGGCAGCTAACCAGGCTGTGGATGTCATGCCCAGATCTCCTTCACTGTACCCCACAAATGTTGGTTAAATTATTCTAAGCCAAATAAAATAAATTTGAATTCCATTTTTGGAAACAGAACAAAAGTGAAGACCTCAGATAAGTCTGAGAGCTACTGGCAAGGTTCCCAGTCTAGGCATTTGGCAGTGACGCTTATCTTTTCTTCTACAGCTTGGCTTCTTTGCCCATAAGAAAATCCCTGAGGAAGAAAAAAGAGAAGAGAAGTTGGAGCAATGAATGTAGAATAAGGGTCTAGAAAGTCCTCCCTGGCAGCTTCTTCAAGAGACTTGCATAAAAGCAGAGGTTTGGGGGCTCAGATGGGACAAGAAGCCGCCTCTGGACTATCTCCCCAGACCAGCAGCCTGACTTGACTTTTGAGTCCTAGGGATGCTGCTGGCTAGAGATGAGGCTTTACCTCAGACAAGAAGAGCTGGCACCAAAACTAGCCATGCTCCCACCCTCTGCTTCCCTCCTCCTCGTGATCCTGGTTCCATAGCCAACACTGGGGCTTTTGTTTGGGGTCCTTTTATCCCCAGGAATCAATAATTTTTTTGCCTAGGTGCCTGACTCCTTTCAGATTCCCTCTTTATCTTCCCTCACAGTTTGGAAAGGATGAGGGTTATCTTCCTCGATTCTTCCACCCTCTCACTTTCCTGCCTGTTCCCCACTCCACAGGAGGGAGCTGACGTTGGCTTGAAAGGAGTAAAGTCAACATCTGCTGCTTTCCTGTGGACTCTGGTGATTCATAGAGCCGGATGGGGAGAGTCAACAGGAAAAAAGGAGGGAGGAGGAAAAGCCACAAGAGACATTCTGTACAATTCCAAGGAACAGAGAAGCCTTTAGACAGGCAACTGCCATCCCCCCTGAAACCTGAGACCTGTAGTGCACTCGACCGCCCTCAGGTGTTGGTGAAACAGAGCTGCCCCCAGGCTCGCTGGGCATAGGCTTCCTGATTCCAAGCCTTTTCTGGGAGCAAAGCCAGGGCCTGGTGCCTGATTTTCTGAAGCCAGGAGCCCTCAGGTGGCTGGAGCTGGAATAGCAGGGAGGACTGGGTGTACCTAGGCAGTATTTTCTCTACTTCTCTCAAGTCTTATACTCACTCTTGAGCCCTCCTTGGGGCCTGCTTAGAAAGCAGACAGGAGAGAGAGTACTGCTACTTGATGATGGGAAATGCTTTCACTTTACCAGCTTTGGGAAGCAGCAGCCCCATGGGATCTAAAAGTGTGGAGTCTGCATTAAGAAACCTACATGGGTGGCATGGGGCTCTGGGGAGCAAGCCCTTACTTGCTCAGCACTGGTTATGTAGCACAAATAGCTCCTAGGAAAATGTTTCTGGGGCAACCCTAGAACCCTGGTCATATTTTGCAGGGTTTCTCTGGTGGAATCAGTTTGCCAGCCCTTGCTTGATGCTTACTGGAAATCTCCAGGTTAATTTCTATCTCTGATCCCTCCCCAACCCACTCCATATTTGGGTCATGGACAGTAAAGGCAGTTGGATTCTCATAGACAACTGGGTAACTTATATTTCTTTGTAATCAAGACTTGAGATATCGAAGTCAGTTATTGGTCTCCAGAGTGCAGCTCTGGGAGCCTTTTGAAGAATCAGCACTCATTAAGAGCTGAGAAGAGAGAAGACCTGATTGGGTGGTTGACTAGCAGTCACAGAACCTGTCCTCCCAGGCTGTTCCTGAGGCCTGACCACAGTATTTATTTTGGCATGTCTCTGGCCTTCTGCAGAGGCCCACCCTCATGGGCATTGTCTCTGTTTCCCAGTGGGGTGGACAGTATATCAGATGGTCAGAACAAATAAAGTTCAGTGTCAAATGACTTTTGGCTCTATATGTATTCCCTAGGATATAGACTGCTCAGTAATAGTGAGAGGTAGATACTTGTTTTGCCTGGGATTTTACAGAGTGGAGTCCCTGGAAGGCAAAGTTAAGAAGTATTTTAAATGTTTTCTGTGGCTTTCCCACAGGAGATGTATTCTAGCCTCCTGTAATTCTCACCTGCTTAAGTGACCAGAAAGTATAAAGGTCTGGGAAGCACAGAGGTTTAGATTGAAATCCTATCTGCCATTTATTAGCTGTATGGCCTTCAGCAAATCATAACTTCCTTGAGGCTCAGATAATAAAAGGCTGTGTATTACAGTGGTTAACAATGAAGGCAGATTTGGGTTTAAATCTAGGCTACACAACTTAAAAAGTCTGTTTGACCTAGGACAGACTTAACTTCTCTAAGTCTTGGCTTTCTCATCTTTAAACCTATTAGGGTCATGAAGACAAAATGAAATAATCCAAGAAAAGTGAGCATTTAGTAAATGCTCAGTAAATGGTAACTATTATTATAAAACTATTTTGTCATAAAATAATCTACCATATCATGCCTTGTGAGGATTAAGGGAGAAAGTATACTGGAGCACCAGGTGGTGGTGTTCCTGCTCTCTGACCCATCTCCCAGATTGTGAAGATGTGTTTCTACGTGCTGTTGTCTCATCCACTAAATCTTGTCCTATGCCTCATCTTTTTTTTTTTTTTTTTTTTTTTTTTTGAGACAGAGTCTCGCCCTGTCGCCCAGGCTGGAGTGCAGTGGCACGATCTCAGCTCACTGCAACCTCTGCCTCCTGGGTCCAAGCAATTCTCCTGCCTCAGCCTCCTGAGTAGTTGGGACTACAGGTGTGCACCACCATGCCCAGCTAATTTTTGGATATTTAGTAGAGACAGGGTTTCACCATGTTGACCAGGCTGATCTTGAACTCCTGATTCACGTGATCTGCCTGCCTCAGCCTCCCAAAGTGCTGGGATTACAGGTATGAGCCACTGTGCCTGGCCTGCCTCATCCCTTTTGAAATAAGCTCTTTGAGCCCTCTAAGGTGATAATTAGCTGAAGAATTTAAGGTTCTAATGGTAGAGATCAAATCTATTTGATTCCATTAAGCAGGTATCTTCTAGGCTCCTCTTGAGACACCCAGAGTTTTTCCATTATCCTGAGAGAACACGTGCACTTAAGCAATGGCCTTCTAGAGACCGAGTCTCTGCCTCTATTGCCTAACCCTGAGAATTGTGGCCTGTCTGGCCTATTTGGCATGAACACCATTCTGTGTCAACCTGCTGAGTTGTTTTGTGACAGGAAAGGGTTTCCATTGTGACCCTCAGTGCACTTCATACAGGCTGTAACTTGATCAGCCTTTATGGAGCACACAGTTTCTAGGGCTGAGACCGCAACCAGATTATGTTGACAGACTCTCCTCTCCTCTTTACCCTCAGTCAGCCCCCAAATGGAGGTAGGTTTCCTTGAGTACTGGTTCATCTAATGCTCACACATATATACATATACACACATATATATGTGTGTGTGTTTGTGTGTGTATACATATATATATATTTAAATTTTTTTTAGAGAGGGGGTCTCACTATGTTGCCTAGGCTGGTCTCCAACTCCTGGCCTCAAGCAATCCTCCCGTCTTGGCCTTTCCACATGCTGGGATTATAGGTGTGAGCCACTGTGACTGACCTCATGTAATTCTTTTTTTTTTTTTTTTAGGATTAATTTCTTTTATTTATTTATTTATTTTATTTTACTTCAAGTTCTAGGGTATGTGTGCACAACATGCAGGTTTGTTACATATGTATACATGTGCCGTGTTGGTGTGCTGCACCCATTAACTCATCATTTACATTAGGTATATCTCCTAATGCTATCCCTCCCTGCTCCCTGACCTCATGTAATTCTTTATCCATATGATTAAGAGAGCACTTTTAATATATTTTTCCAACTAGAGATTCCCCTCCTATCCATCGTCAGCTCCAGACTGGGGCTTTCTCTAAACCCAATCTTGTTACCCCTTTCTTTGCAATAGTATTAGTTTAAGAAGCAACTGTGTATTGTTCCTTCCTTTCCTTGTTGTTGCTCCTTTGCTTCTTCATTAATTTTTTTCATTCATTTATTCATCAGATATCAAGCACGTAATATGTGCTTGACAATGGCAATAATATAAAACACAACTACCATCAAAGAGTCCAGTCCAGTAGCAGAAACAAACATGTAAACAAATAGTGGCAAATACAGCCTGGACGCAGTGGCTCACACCTGTGATCCCAGGACTTTGGGAGGTCGTGGCAGGTGGATCACTTGAGTTCAGGAGTTCGAGACCATCTTGGACAACATGTGAAACCCTGTCTTTACCAAAAATACAGAAACAATTAGCTGGGCATGGTGGTACGCACCTGTAGTCCCATCTACTTGGGAGGCTGAGGTGGGAGGATGGCACGAGCCCAGGAAGTGGAGGTTACAGTGAGCCGACATCACGCCATTGCGCTGCAGCCTGGGTGACAGAGTGAGACACTATCTCAAAAACAAAAAAAAATGGCAAATGCAAAGAGGTGGTTGCTATATATCAACAAGCACTAGGAGTATGTCATACAAGAGGCATACTTTGTTGGGCGGTGGGGGTGGCGGGGTTGTAAGGGAAAACTTTATAGAAAAAAGAAATTTGGCTGCGGGGTTGTTCTGTGCAGGAAACGCACAAGGGGAGAAGAAGAGACACACACAATACCTTTAAGGGTAAACAAGCTTTATCCCATGTAAATGGCAATGGAGATATAATAAGCAAATGGTACAAGCAAATTAATATAATAAGCAAATTATATAATAAGTAAGCAAATGATATAATAAACAGATTGATATAATAAGCAAATTGCAATGGGAAGGGGAGAAGGGAAAAGATGTTTACATTCACCAGACTATGGAGGATTTACCACCAGACTGGAAAGCAACAGCCTGGGTTCCAGAGTTGAACACCGCACTCATAAGACTATAGAGGATTCACCACCAGACTGAGAAGCAACAGCCTGGGCTCCAGAGTTGGCCACTCATCCATGCACAGACGAGGAGAGGTCTCATGAAGTTTTGGCGCAGTCTGGGACCCTAGCTCTTTTTGTAACGAGTTGTTTGGCATGAGGCCCAGTCACGGGGCCCTTGGCGACTGGGCTCAAGGAACACAAAACATTCAACTTATTTTTGCAATTGTCTATTGTTTTTCAATAACTAACGTGTAGGAATAGATTGAAATAGAGATTTCTCCAAAACAGTGCTGGACGAACACCTCAAGGGGCTCACACAACCTGTTCTGGGACTTGGTGACCATTGTTTCTGTCCACGTTCAATTGAGTTCAAATTTAATATTTAACTTTTCCACCGCAGGGATCAAATGTGACAGGAGGCATTCTTGGGAGGATTAATCACCAGCTGCAAAGGGAATTGTAAATTAGAACAGTTTGAGGCCTGGTGCTCTGGGAGTTGAGGTGAGGAGAATCGCTTGAGCCCAGGAGTTCAAAACCAGTCTGGGCAACATGGTGAAACCCCATCTCTACCAAATATATGAAAATTAGCTGGGCATGGTGATGTGCACCTATAGTCCCAGCTACTCAGGAGGCTGAAGTGGGAGGATCCCTTGAGCTTAAGAAGTCAAGGCTGCTGCAGTGAGCCCCGATCATGCTATCACACTCCAGCCTGGGTGACAGCGAGACCCTGTCTCAAAACAAAAAAAACAAGGCCAGGCATAGTGGCTCACGCCTGTAATCCCAGCACTTTGGGAGGCCAAGGCAGGTGGATCACTTGAGGTCAGGAATTTGAGACCAGTCCGGCCAACATGGCAAAACCCTGTCTCTACTAAAAATACAAAACTTAGCGGGCGTGATGGCACATACCTGTAATCCCAGCCACTTGGGAGGCTGAGGCAGGAGAATTGCTTGGACCGGGAAGGCAGAGGCTGCGGTGAGTGAGCCGAGATTGTGCCACTGCACTTCAGTCTGGGTGAGACTCTGTCTCAAAAAATAAAAATAATAATAATAAAAAAAGAAACAGTTTGAGTGGCTCTTTTGTGTGAAAGTAATGAGAGATGGGACTGGGAAAGAGGGCGGCAGCATATGACTCCTGAAGAGCCTTGTAAACCACTTAAGAACTTTGGGCTTTACCCTGTAGGTTTTCATATGCATTTTAGTGAGCTCTCTCCGGCGGGGAGAGGAGAAAAGAAAGACAGGAAGACCAGTTGGCTGCGACTGACTGTTCAAGAATTACCAAGAGCCTGAACTTCAAGGGCAGTGGAAATAATGAAGACAGTTTTTTGTTTGGTTATTTTTTGTTTCTATGCGGGGGCGGGGGCGGGGGGGGCAGCTTAAAATAAAATTGCTCTCCTCGCTCTCTGCTGTTTTCTAATTCAGATGTGCGTTTAAAAATTGAGCCTGGGCCAGGAATAGTGGTGGCTCATGCCTATAATCCCAGCGCTTTGGGAGGCTACGGTGAGGAGAATCGCTTGAGGCCTGGAGTTGAAGACCAGACTGGGTAACATAGAGACACTCCATCTCTTAAAAAAAAAAAAAAAAAATTAGCCAGGCGTGGTGGTGCATGCCTGTAGTCTCAGCTACTCGGGAGGCTGGAGTGAGAGAATCCCTTAAGCCCACAAGTTGGAGGTTACGGTGAGCTATGATAGCGCCATGCACTCCAGCCTGGCCGACAGAGGGACAGATTAGAGACACTGTCTCAGAAAACAGAAAGAAAAAATAAAATTGAACCTGATCACCTTTCCTTAGGTTTTGTCCCCCAGGTTACCGTGGGCCGCGCATTATCTCTGCTCTGCTTAACACTACAATCTCCTATTTCCGAACTGCTCTCTTCAAATGCTCTTTTTTGCTTGGGTTTTTGGCCGGGGAATAGTGGCGGGGGAGAGGCGGGGGGAGTTGGCGGGGGCAGAGGTAACTTTACCAGTGATTAAATGCAAATGCGACAGTCCGTGAGACCGAAGCCCCTGGTAGAAGCCGGGACCCTCCTGCCTCTGGCTGCCGCTCTCCGAGGGGCGGGGCTGAGGCGGGGCTTGGGGCGGAGGCCCCGCCTGGAACTGAGGGTGGGGCGGGTCCGGGTCCGGGAGGAGTCTCAGCTGGAGCCCACCCGGTTCCTTTCCTGATTGAGCAGGTCGGATCCCAGGGTGGGTTCAGATTTGAAGGGCGAGGTTCGAGGCCAAGCCCCCGTCGCAGCCTAAGACTGCGGGCTTTTCTCCTCTGCAGGGATGGGGTAGGGCAGGGCCAGGGGCGGAGTTTTGAGCCCAGCCCTTGGGTTCTTGCCTCTGATTGAGCAGGGCGGGTTCTGAGGCGGATCGTGGGGCGGGGCCCGCTCTGCTTTTTGACAGCTGTCTCTTGCACAGCCGCAGCCAAGTCCGGTGGGTTCGGGAACCTGTGGCCCGGCTCTCTGCGCGTCCCCATCCCCCGTGGCCCCGACCCCGGCCATGAAGCGTATCTTCTCCTGCTCCAGCACACAGGTGGCGGTAGGTGCCAAAATGTGTGGGAGGATGGGGTTGGGATCCCAGCTCTGTGGTGACAGAAGTCTTTAGTCCCGTCTCAATGCATCATCGCCTTTTCTTTTTATCAGTCTTTCTAGCTCTTCTAGTCTTGCAAGGAAGCCCGCCAGCTTTGCCTTCCTCAAGACCCTGCCCTGCAGCTTCTGACTTGCCCTGCTCACCTCTGCCATCCCCAAGGCCCTTTCCCCGGCCCCTTTCTTGTCCTCCTAGCATCTACACCCCCGATTTCTGGTTCGTTTTCTGCAACTCTGTCCCCTTCCCATGGCCCTGACCCTACTTCTGCTCCGTCTCCCAGTACCAAACCTCCCCCAAGCATCTTCCTCAGCCCCTGCCTGGCCTCAAGCTCCATTCTACACCACCAAGTCATGCCCCAGAGCCCCATATTTCATCCCTGCCCTGTCCCCGCAATCTTGCCTTCCACGTAGCTCTATCCTTGCTGTTTCCTGTTAGTTCAACAAGCACTCCCAGCCCTGTGCCTTCTGCTAACCCTTTTTCACAATCTCCTCTGTCATTGCTTCCCTCCTGCCCCATGCCACTTTCACTCCCATCTCTCACCAGCACTGCTGTTCCTCAAACATCACTCCAAACCTTTTTCCAATTGATGCTCCCACAACAGCAACCTTCTGTTCTCCCCTCCAACCTCTGCCCTACTCTGCCCAGTGGTCGCCAGTCCCACTTTTCCTCCTGCCTGCTTGCTGTGAGTTAATATTGCAGTCTGGTCAGCCTCACAGGCACTGCCAGAGGATGCACAGTTGCCTGACTGCTCCCCAGAGGACTGGGTGAGTTGCCTGCAGAGTCCACCCCAGCCAGTTCACTGCAGTGTCTGATCATCAGACTGGTTCTTGGGCCAGTCAAGGCTCAAGGCCTTTCTGCCTGCTTTTCCCCAGATTATTCATTTCCTGAACCCTTGCCCAGTTGCTTAGGAATGATACTCTCTGTTTCCTTGGTTGAGGTGGGGGAAAGTGATGATGAGAGAAGAGGATAGAGCAGACTCAGAGTTCCCAGCAGAAGTCACTCTATTCCCCATGTTCTCCCAGAAAAAAAAAAACATAAGATTATAGAAGGTGGTGGCTTAGGGAGGGTATTGCTTCTTCTTCTCTAGAGATCTCTTACAGAGAGCCCCCTTATTTGGAAATGGAATTTTCTGTAGAGGTTGGGGTTACGGCTAATTTAGAAGCAAATTAGCCAGCTACTTGTAGCAATATTGCTTTGCTAACTTGACTTAGTAGTATCGTTCATAAGAAAATATCAGAAATGTTCAATTAGCTCATTCTGCATGGGCAGGTTACAGAATCCTGGAAGCAAGCTATGAGGCAAGAGTATGAACTCTGTTGAGGCCTGTCCTTGTCCCACTTACATTTGCATCTCTACTTAGTTTCCACACATTGATCAACCAATCAAAAGGTATTTACTATTATATGCACCAGAAACTGAGGCTGCCCAGACTCAGTCTTAACTCATAATGACTTTTTAGAAATTCATATGGACTCTTCCTTAGTTACTGAAAGTATTCAATGTTGCCTTTCCCTTACAGGTTTGTGGAGTCTGCCTGCTTCTTAGGAATGGGGAAACTATTTCATTCTTTCTGATCCCCCAATCCTTGGGCAGTACCTCCTTTCCAAGGTGCTGGAATGAGTGGGCTGGCTTTTGGAATTTGGAACCATCCCTCTGTCCTCCTTGATTCTAGCTGTACAGAGGTTTGACCATAAAGAATGACCACCCATTCTAAACTTTTAGTATAACAAGATCTTACTATAATGAGATTATGGGAAGTAAGTTGGATGGGTTTAGAATTATCTAGCTGGAAAGAAAACTGTTTCTTCAGACAGATTGGAGTCATAGAAAGCTTGCAAATAGGGCAGTTTCAGCTGCAGATTGGTTCCTCATGAAATTTCCCCACACTTCTCATGATAAATTCCTCCACTGTTTTGGGTGGCAAACTACTCTGGAACCATTTGTCAGAGAAGTAGTGTGGCAGTCTTTATGGCCACTCCAAAAGCCTGGCTTCCCAGTCACACTGGAAGACTGCCTCTACCCATCTCCACTCACACATTTGGGTCCAGGGCCAGAGCCCTGCACTGTCAGTCTGAGTAAGGACTGAAAAAGCAGTGATCATTTTAAAGCTAATCTAAGTTACCAGTATATAGGAAAATCCACACACAAAAAAACCCCAACTCCTATAATCCCATTTTATTTTAGTCAAGTAGAGGATATCCTTGAGGGTATCTTACCTATGAGCTTACTCTGCCTAGGTAGACCAGAAGTAGACCAGAAGAGAGCTTTAAATAATTGGCACTGGATCATCTGGGCGCAGTGGCTCACGCCTGTAATCCCAGCACTTTGGGAGGCTGAAGCGGGTGGATCACCTGAGGTCAGGAGTTTGGGACCAGCCTGGCCAACATGGCGATACCCTATCTCTACTAAAAATACAAAAATTAGCCGGGTGTGGTGGCAGGCACCTGTAATCCCAGCTACTTGGGAGGCTGAGGCAGGAGAATCGCTTGAACCCGGGAGGCGGAGGTTGCAGTGAGCCGAGATGGTGCCATCGCACTCCAGCCTGGGCAACAAGAGCAAGACTCCGTCTCAAAAAAAAAAAAAAAAAAAAAAAAATTGGTACTGTCTACTGCAATTACAACGTTGAGAATTAGGTCCTGGTTCCCCTTTCTGTTTCCACTCACCTGACCTACAGCAGAAGTCATTCCTTCTCTCTCTACTTGCTGGTGTGCTTCCATGTTGTAGGATGCTTATAGGTACACAGCCAGAGATATAAGGAGAAGGTACAATTACTTCTACAAAAGTCCTCTAATCTCAGCTATGGAAATACAAAGCTTATACTTATTGAGTCTGCTGATTAATTTGGTGATTGCTCCCTTGAGGCTGTGATGGTAATCTAGTGCCTCCTTTCCAAGGTGCTGGGGTAAGCTACAGACTGGATCTTGACATTTGAAAGCATCTCTCTGTCCTTTACTTCAGCTCTGCAGAGGCTTGGCCATGAAAAGTTTCTACCCATTCTAAACTCTACTTAGTATAATGAGATTATAGGAAGTAAATTGGGTGGATTTAGAACTATCTAGCTGGAAAGAAAAGTACCCAGGCCAGGCGTGGTGGCTCACACCTATAATCCCAGCACTTTGGGAGGCTGAGGTGCGGAGGATCACTTGAGCCCAGGAGTTTTTGAGACCAGCCTGGGCAATGCAGTGATACCTCATCTCTAAAAAAAAAAATTACCTGGGTGTGGTAGAGCATGCCTGTAGTCCCAGCTACTCAGAAGACTGAGGTGGGAGGATCACCTGAGCCCAGAGGTCAAGGCTGCAGTGAGCCATGATCATGCCACTGCACTTCAGCCTGGGCAACAAAGCAAGACTCTGTCTCAAAAAAAAAAAAAAAAAAGGAAAGAAAGAAAAAGAAAAAAGAAATAAAAAGAAGTGGAAAGGGCCAGGCGCGGTGGCTCACGCTTGTAATCCCAGCACTTTGGGAGGCCGAGGAGGGCAGATCACGAGGTCAGGAGATTGAGACCATCCTGGCTAACATGGTGAAACCCTGTCTCTACTAAAAATACAAAAAATTATCCGGGTGTGGTGGCGGGCGCCTGTAGTCCCAGCTACTCGGGAGGCTGAGGCAGGAGAATGGCGTGAACCTGGGAGGTGGAGGTTGCAGTGAGCCGAGACCACGCCACTGCACTCCAGCCTGGGCGACAGAGCAAGACTCTGTCTCAAAAAAAAAAAAAAAAAAAAAAAGAAGGGGAAAGA
Source organism: Homo sapiens (assembly GCF_000001405.40). Lineage (NCBI taxonomy): Eukaryota > Metazoa > Chordata > Mammalia > Primates > Hominidae > Homo > Homo sapiens. The sequence goes on along the minus strand of NC_000001.11, from coordinate 145,881,937 downwards.
AAAGTATCTATATTGCTAAGAAGCATCTTTACCATCTGTACAGCTTGGCTGTTATTCGCTGGCTAGTATCAGCAAGATCCCTTCCACTCTCCTGGCTGGAGAATTCTGAGCCCAGGAACATCTAAAATGTGCTCAGGAAGGATGGATTGTGCATCTACTATGTGACAGACACCGAGCTAGATGCCTTATAGGTTGTTATAGTATTAGGAAACTGAGGTTCAGAGATGTTGTTACATGCCTAAATTCACAGAGGCAGACAGTGTTAGAGTCAAGACTTGAAACATTTCGAGAACTGCAGGTTGACGTCAGCTGATGGCAGCACCCTGTCGTGGGGCATAGTTCTAGCTCTCTGCTTTCCTGGGGGTGACCTGGTCTCCAAAGGCCATTAGAAAATGCGTTCTTACATGTCAGAGTCTGTTAGTATGTGAAGGAGTCATTTTGCTTATTTTGTCCTTTGAGAGTTAACCTGTTTGGAGACTCCATGAGACAGTAGAGTCTGAGGGTGGGTGGCTTTGCCCTGGAGGCAACTTGAGACTGTTTATCTGGAAATAAGTAAACCTGTTTCTATAGCTTGTAGTAGTGTGGTCTGGTGGGGAGAGCTAGGATTTGGCATCAGGTGGACTGGGTTCTTTTTTTGTTTGTTTGTTTGTTTGAGATGGAGTCTTGCTCTTGTCACCCAGACTGGAGTGCAATGGTGCAATCTCAGCTCACTGCAACCTCCACTTCCCAGGTTCAAGCAATTCTCCTGCCTCAGTCTCCTGTAGCTGGGATTACAGGCACCGGCCACCACCCCCAGCTAATTTTTTGTATTTTTAGTAGAGACGGGGTTTCACCATGTTGGCCAAGCTGGTCTTGAACTCCTGACCTCAGGTGATCCACCCGTCTTGGCCTCCCAAAGTGCTGGGATTGCAGGCGTGAACCACCGCACCCAGCCATGGCCTGGATTCTAATTCCAATTTTGCCACTCTTTTTCGTGATCTTGAATGGTTATCTAATCTTGGTATACTTCTGTTTCTTCTGTCAAAGAGATGGAATAATAGCCCTAGCTACTTTCCAGGGATGTTGAGAGACTAATTGAAATAGCATGTGAAAGGACTGTGAGAAGTTACAACTTCTGTACAGGAGTATTACCTCAGAATCCATCTACCTTAGATAATTTTATGGTTTGGATATTTAGAGCTTTCCTGTGGTTGATTAATAATTTGCCCTGGCTACGTAAACAGTGTTTGAAAATGAGTTACTGGGCTTCCACAGACCCTATTTTTCTTCACCCCTTTCTATAGCCTCTTGTTGAGATTATACCTTATAAAATGCTATGTGCCACCACCAACACCCCACTACTTCCTGTTTTGTTACAAGGATGCCATATATTTGTATGGCTCTTTACAGTTTATAAAGAGATTTTGTATATATTAGCTTGTTTAATAGTCACAGCATGATGAGGTAGTTGTTATTAGCCGTATTTTATAGAAGAGGAAACAGGTTAAAGGTGTTTAATGGCTTACTTTAGGTCACATAGCCGAGAATGTAGCTGAACTAGGTCCCAAACTCAGGCCAGCCAGCGAAATATTTGTCTGGCAGCCTTTACATCAGACCACAGATCTTTGCATCTGTCTCTTCCTTTTCATTCCCTTCTCTGGACAAAACCAGGCTTTTCTGTACTTTCAGCCCTGGGTGTTTTTACATAGCTGTCTCTTTTATGCCCTATAACACTTCAATTATTATAATTACCCTACCACCCACAAAACCCAAGCTGGAATGATAGAACAATGCATGCCCAGGTGTGGCTGTTGTCTAGACAGCTGCTCCCTGCCAGGGAAACTGGGAGGGAGGAGAAGGGGAGCTACCTCTTGCTGCTTCCTCAAACATAACTAGAAACCTCTTTGCCTTTTGGTTGTTGTTGCCATGGAAAGGAGAGAGACGGTCGCCAAAGGGCCTAGATATGATATGGGAAAACAGAAACTCTAGTTTCCTCTTTTAACTGTGGGGCCCAAAGCCAATGAAAAGAGGTGGAATGGTTAGGTATTGGAACTCCTAGCTGTAACCTGAAGCTCGGTGCCTTAATGTACTTCTCAAACAACTGACAACAAAAAGCAGAGCAGCAGGGTTTCAGGGGTGGAGGCGGTGGTGAGAGGCAACATGAGTCCTCAAAAGTGGTCACGTTGGTTCCATTTGCTCCAGCAAGACCTAGAGAGCAAAAGGGAAAGGATTGCTCTGAGGTTGGGCACTGAACAACAACTCTAATCATGATGACAAAAGGACATTTGAAATACTGTGCATTCAGCACTCAAATGATTTTTAATTCAGTGGTCCAGGGTCCTTCTGGCTCAGGGCTGGAAATAACCAGCAATAGTTCTTGGTGGCATATTAGCTGGTTAAGATTTAGCTAGGCCCACCTAAGAAGGACTAAATGATCTAGGATGTGTGACTTGTGGAAGAGAAAAAGGGATGTTCCTTTTCTCTCATTTGGCATCCTAACCATTTGCCTCTTTTCTTTCTCCACACTACCCTCATGCCCTATATTCACACAACCTGTGGCTCTGGACCAGGTGGAGAGATGGAACCGCCATGATCAGAAGCTGCTGGAGGCAGTGCACAGGGGGGATGTGGGACGCGTGGCTGCCCTGGCCTCCAGGAAATCTGCCCGACCCACCAAGCTTGACTCGAATGGCCAGTCCCCGTAAGTCAGTCCTCCTGCCCCTGCCCCTTACATGTGGCTCCCTTTTGAAGCCCCCAAATCCAATATAACATAGGACCAGGGAATGCCTACAACTTCAGAGCTCTTTTCATTGTCTTAATTAGCAAGTATATCAATAGTTTTTTGCTACATATAAGTTCTACACAAAGTGAGGAAAGAAAATATTGTTCCTGAGCTCCATCCATTGCACAACCCAGATTGACACCACTGACTTGTAAAGTACATAAAGCCCATTAAACAAACAGAAAATGAATATATACACTAAGTAGAGTGTTTCTTCATTGCACAAGTAGGAGGGTGTGTATGCATGGGAAATTTGAAATGAAGTGGTAGCATGGGAGTCACATGGCTAGAGGGAGTAGTGATTAAGTCAAAGGAAATGTTATCCCTTGTCTCTACCCAAAGCCTTCGAATGTCCAGCCTTCACTCTGCTCTGGCTGACTCTTTCTGTGACACTTCCACTTCCGCTAAGGTTCTGTGCTCAGAGAGGCAGGTAATTATGTGTTCCCTAGACACCCCTGCAATAGTCTGAGATTCCTTGAGACCTGTAGCTCTTATTTCTTCCTTGCTTTTAGCATCCTTTGTGATTGGAGGCCATATAGACTTCTCTTTCTCAGAAATTCAAGCTAGGGGAGCTTCTTTTCCTGCTTTTAGGATTGGCTTTGGGGTAGGGAGCATAGCAAGAAGGGCTTATCAAGATTCTCCCATTCCTCATCCCTGGTCCCTTTATCCTTTGGCCTCTCGGCCTTGATTCTGGCAGGTTTCATCTGGCAGCCTCCAAAGGCCTGACAGAATGTCTGACTATCCTGCTTGCAAATGGGGCTGACATCAACAGCAAGAATGAGGATGGTGAGTGAGCCGGAGCACTGGGCCACGCTGCTTGCTTGCCCCTGGTACAGCAGCAGTCGGGGGCGGTGCTGGGCCCTGCTGGACATTCCTACTGTGGCCCCTTGCTTCTCTCCTTAGTAAGTTCTGGCCAGCATCCTTCCAGGAGTTCCCCTCCCCGTAAGCTGGGCACACCTCACCCCCACTCCCACCTTCATCACAGGTACCAGGCACTTGGGGAACAGGAATTTCTGGCCCCGTGTGGCTGAAAGCTTCTCTCCCTAATCTCCTGATTATCTGTGCGTCTCTTGCCTTCCCTCCCTGTGAGTCATCAGCATGCATGGGGCCACCTACCCTCCTTCTCCCCTTCTTTCTGTTCCAGGAAGCACTGCCCTACACTTGGCCACCATCTCCTGCCAGCCACAGTGTGTTAAGGTTCTGCTTCAGGTAAGAGCAGTCCCTTGATACCACTCTTATGAAGGGAAGAAGTGGTCCCAGAGTTTTCTAACTTCATTTCATACTTAAAAGGAATAGTTGGCCAAATGTACTCGCCTCATCCCCAATAGGAGGGCTGATAATCATTTGTTTGCCAACATTTATTTAACTACTATGTGCAGGCACCATGTTTGATAGTGCCTTTGAGGGCAGGTTATAAAGCAGAGTTGCCAGGCACTATCGATTTTGTCATTAGCAGAGCCACTGCAGAGACTTCCTGCTATGATGAGGGGCAAGAGGAAGGAGGACAGAGATGTTCAAATTAAACCAAAGCCCTACTGTCTGTTTCTGAAGAGTTTATAGTCTAGTAGTATAAAGAGAAATATACATGTAAAATGACATGTGGATCATTTATAAATGAGTCTCCAAAAGCACAAAAGGCAGTTACTGGCCGGGTGCGGTGGCTCATGCCTGTAATCCCAGACTTTGGGAGATGGAGGTGGGCAGATCACAAGATCAGGAGATCGAGACCATCCTGGCTAACACAGTGAAACCCCATCTCTAATAAAAATACAAAAGATTAGCTGGGTGTGGTGGCACGTGCCTGTAGTCCCAGTTACTCGGGAGGCTGAGGCAGGAGAATCGCTTCAACCCAGGAGGCGGAGGTTGCAGTGATCCAAGATCGCACCACTGCACTCCAGTCTGGGCAACAGAGAGAGACTCTGTCTCAAAAAAAAAAAAAAAAATCAGTTATCTTAACCGGCCATCAGGCAAATGGATGTTCTACTTTCGTTCTTCCTAATCCTTTCCAAATTTCACAATTATGTTTCTAAAGTACCAGCCACGGGGACATTGGGTGTCATTTTCCCTAACACGTTTATTACCATCTGATTTTTCTTAGCCCCTTGGTTTAGAAACCAGGGCTGATATTCAAGGCTGCCTATCATCAGCAATGGATGAACTGGGCTTGCCTAGTAGATAGCCTTCTCCAAAGTGGACCTCCTGCCCCTCCTCATATTACCATGGAAATTGGTGACCCAATGGGGGTATGGGATGAGGATGTTAACACCAAGCTCCATGCTGCTTCCCTTTGTGGCCATTTGCAGCATGGTGCTAATGAAGATGCTGTGGATGCAGAAAACCGTAGTCCATTGCACTGGGCAGGTGTGTGCAGGGGACTCATGGGAACAGGGCTGCAGAGACTACAGGGTGGGAAAGGGGAGGCGTGAGGAGGGAAGGGCAGCCAGGGCCAACCAATGAAATGGTCGGAGGGGATGTTGGGTCATAGTCTGAGTAGGCTTTCTTCATGCTTCCCCTTAACCCAAACATCTTCTCCCCAGCCTCCTCTGGCTGTGCCTCAAGTGTGCTCCTGCTGTGTGACCACGAAGCCTTCCTGGACGTGTTGGATAATGTGAGTGTCAGATGGGCAAGTGGGCAGTGTCCTACACAGAAGGGCTGCTGCTGTCTCTCAGCTTGACTGGCCAACTTCCACGACCTAGGGCTGTGTTAGCACCACCCTTCTCTTCCTTCTCCTCCTGCTTCTCCTCTTCTTCCTCACAGAGAGGTTAAGCCTTATCTTCTGGAGAGCTTCTAACCCTCCAAAAGGGAGTGTTCAGACCCAAGATCTGGGCTTTTATTTTTTTTGGACAGGTGTGAGGGGAGGGGAGCCGGTAGGATTGTCAAGCCTCTGCAGTCCCTGGCTGCTCATGAACCTCTTCCTACAATCTGTGCAGGATGGACGTACACCCCTGATGATCGCATCGCTGGGTGGGCACGCAGCTATCTGCTCACAGCTGCTGCAGCGAGGCGCCCGAGTTAATGTTACAGACAAGAATGACAAGTGAGCCCCCCTCGTCTATGCACCCCAATTCCCATGCCTGACCAATTTAGAAAGAAGCCAGTGGGCAACGTGTGTGTGTGTGTGTTTGTGTGTGTTGGGGAAGAAGTCAGGTTGGTCTTTGTGTTCTTGGGAACCTCATTCCTTCCCAGTGGAGGTTCTGAAGAGCTCTGCCTGCTGCCACCACCATCTTCATAGATAGATGACCCCAGAAGTAGAATCGACACTTCTGGACCCGTTGGCTGAATTTACTGGTTGTCAAATTATCTTTTATGCAAGAGGATCCTTTTTTCCAATAAAAAATGTATGTAGAATCCCTGTGATCCCAGCACTTTGGGAGGCCAAGGCGGGTGGATCACGAGGTCAAGAGATTGAGACCATCCTAGCTAAAATGGTGAAACCCCATCTCTACTAAAAATACAAAAAATTGGTCAGGCATGGTGGTGGGTGCCTGTAGTCCCAGCTACTCGGGAGGCTGAGGCAGGAGAATGGCATGAATCTGGGAGGTGGAGGTTGCAGTGAGCCGAGATTGCACCACTGCACTCCAGCCTGGGCGAGAGAGGAGCGAGACTCCGTCTCAAAAAAAAAAGTATGTAGAACCTTGATATACAGAGCAGATAAAAATGGAGCTCATCCAGTTGGCCCCCTAATTTCTGTTCCTGCAGCTCTAAGGAATGGCATTTGAAAAGCCTAGTCCTGGCCTGGTGCAGTGGCTCATACCTGTAATCCCAGCACTTTGGGAGGCTGTGGAGGGTGGATCACCTGAGGTCAGGAGTTCAAGACCAGCCTGACCAACATGGAGAAACCCTGTCTCTACTAAAAATACAAAATTAGCCGGGTGTGGTGGTGCATGCCTGTAATCCCAGCTACTCGGGAGGTTGAGGCAGGAGAATCGCATGAACCTGGGAGGCAGAGGTTGCAGTGAGCCGAGATCATGCCATTGCACTCCAGCCTGGGCAACAAGAGTGAAACTCCGTCTCAAAAAAAAAAAAAGAGAAGTCTAGTCTGGTCTAATGTTGGTCTGTTGTTCTCCTGACCCCACTGAATGAGAGCTTACCCTGTGAGTGGAATGTCTGGAACCAGGACTTCTGGGTTCCATGTGGAAAGTCTGTGCTCAGATTTGTCTCAACCCACAGATCGGCTTTGATCCTGGCCTGTGAGAAAGGCAGTGCCGAGGTGGCTGAACTGCTCCTGAGCCACGGAGCTGACGCGGGGGCTGTGGACAGCACAGGGCATGATGCTCTGCACTATGCTCTGCACACACAAGACAAGGCACTGTGGAGGCACCTACAGCAGGCCCTGAGCCGGCGGCGGCGGGGCGGTAAAGGCCCTTGTGTAACTTCCACGTTCTCTAAGAATCAGAGAAGTTTCTTAGAGTCCCATTTGTTTCCATGGAAGTAATCTATCTGACAAATAATTGTCACCTGGGTTGAGAGTTTACGTATTTATTGCTGCTACTGTGAGAGGACCCCAAATCCCCATCCCAAAAGTATGATCACAAAATTCTTTAATGCAGCCTGGTCTCTCACTGAGGACAGCTCTGGCTAGTGTTGTTTCTGGCGTTTGTGAGTTGTAATTGTACATCTATTTGTGTGATTTGTTGGTCACTCTCTCTTTCCTCTACCAGATTGTAACCCCCTTAGGTGACAGGCCATTTCTGTTTTGCTCACCATTGAAGTTCCAGTGCTTATTAAAGTGCTGGACATAGTGACCAATAAATAAATGAGCGAACAAAATGAATGAAGTGGCCCATTTCTGGGATAGGAAACCAAAGTTGCTGGATAGTTAGGGATCCACTAAACAAGATTGGCTTCTGGCACCAGGAAGATGTGCAGTGAGATTGATCACAGAGAGGCCACTCCTCTCAGAAAAAGTCTGAAGATAAGAATGTGGGCTGGAAGTACATGGAACCTGTCTTCTCTCTCATTTTCCTCATATCTTTTCTTATAGGTCAGAGGCTAGTCCAGCACCCAGATCTCGCATCCCAGGTAAGACCCTAAGTGCCTCCCCCTTTTGCTTTTGACACACCCCAGGCTATCCCACTGTGACTATTCCTAGTGGTCCTTGGGGTGTCAAGACATTTAAGAGAAGAAAGGCACTCCTAGGGCTCAGTTCGTTGCCTAGTGGCCACACTTTACTATTCTGTTTCCAACATAGGCCTCTCCATCTGAGCCCCAGGCAGGTTCTCCTCCTAAGAGCTCATGGAGAGCAGAGCCTGAAGAGGAGCAAGAGGAGAAGGAGGATGAAGACCCGTGCTCGGAGGAGTGGAGGTGGAAGTATGAAGAGGAGCGGAGGAAAGTTGTTCGGCTGGAGCAGGAGCTGGTGCAAAAGACAGAAGAGTGTAAGACTCAAGCTGCAGCCTATCTGGACCTTGAGAACCAGATTCGAGAGCAGGCGCAGGAGCTAGGGGTCCTCCTATCCTGGGAGCCCAGAGCTTCAGGAAAGCAAGGCTCTAGTCTCCGGCCTGGAGGGGATGGCATGGAGCAGGGTTGTCCTAAGGACCTGCTGGCTGAGAGTACACAAGAGCTAAAGAAGCAGCAGCAGGCAGCAGCCACAGTAAATCCAGTATTAGCTCCAAAGAAGGCTGAGGACTCAGCCCCAGGAAAGATCCAGTATGAAGTCCATGGAAGGTCCCAACCAGAAGAACAGGGGCCACCCCAGAGCCCAGCGTCTGAGACCATCAGGAAAGCCACAGGACAGCAACTGACTACCAATGGGGCACAGACCTTTGGCCCTGATCATGCTGACCAGCTGCCTGCTGGTCAGAAGGAGAGTTCCCAGGTTCTAGGAGTTGAACCAGGAGGCACAGTGGCTGAACCAGTGGGCCCAGCAGCCATGAACCAGCTTCTGCTTCAACTAAGGGAGGAGCTTGCTGCAGTGTGGCGAGAAAAGGATGCTGCCCGGGGGGCTTTGTCAAGACCGGTCATGGAGGGAGCCCTGGGGACTCCCCGTGCTGAGGCAGCAGCAGCTGCCTGGGAGAAGATGGAAGCCCGACTGGAGCGGGTGCTGGCAAGGCTGGAATGGGCAAAGGCAGGACTACAGGTGAAACCTGAGGTTCCTTCCCAGGAGTCCAGAGAGGGAGCCCTAAAGGCAGCCCCAGGGAGCATCAAACAGGATGAAGAGAAGGAGAAAAGGGTTCCTGGGGCTCAAGGAGAGCCTCTAGGGGCCCTTGGAGGGGAAAAGGCCCTAGGAGGCCTGGCAAAGGGACAGCTGGAGAAGGAGATGTCAGTACTGAGACTGAGCAACAGTAACTTGCTGGAGGAGTTAGGGGAGTTGGGGCGGGAGCGGCAGAGGTTGCAGAGGGAGCTACAGTCCCTGAGCCAGCGGCTGCAGCGGGAGTTTGTGCCCAAGCCACAGGCGCAGGTCCAGCTACAGCAGTTGCGACAGAGTGTGGGGCTGCTGACAAATGAACTGGCCATGGAGAAGGAGGCCACAGAGAAGCTGCGGAAGCTCCTGGCCTCCCAGAGCAGCGGTCTCCGAGGGCTGTGGGACTGCCTGCCCGCAGACCTAGTGGGCGAGAGGAGTGCACAAAGCAAAGCAGCGGAGTCCCTGGAGGAGCTGCGGGCCTGCATCAGCACCCTGGTGGATCGGCACCGGGAGGCCCAGCAGGTGCTGGCTCGGCTGCAAGAAGAAAACCAGCAGTTGCGGGGGTCCTTGTCCCCGTGTAGGGAGCCAGGCACCTCCTTAAAGGCCCCAGCATCCCCCCAAGTGGCCGCTCTGGAGCAAGACCTGGGGAAGCTGGAGGAAGAGCTGCGGGCAGTTCAGGCCACGATGAGCGGGAAGAGCCAGGAGATCGGAAAGCTGAAGCAGCTGCTCTACCAAGCCACAGAGGAAGTGGCTGAGCTAAGGGCCCGGGAGGCAGCCAGCCTACGGCAACACGAGAAAACTCGGGGTTCGCTGGTGGCCCAGGCTCAGGCTTGGGGCCAGGAGCTAAAGGCTCTGTTGGAAAAGTATAATACGGCCTGCCGGGAAGTGGGTCGGCTGCGGGAGGCGGTGGCCGAGGAGCGCCGCCGGAGCGGGGACCTGGCCGCTCAGGCAGCCGAACAAGAGCGCCAGGCCAGCGAGATGCGGGGGCGCTCCGAGCAGTTTGAGAAAACGGCAGAGCTGCTGAAAGAGAAGATGGAGCATCTCATTGGGGCTTGCCGAGACAAGGAAGCCAAGGTGAGCAGCTGAGGTAGCCCTGGGGAGCACTGGGGAAAGTTTCTGTGTATTTGGGAGTTTACTAACCTGAATCCAGCAACCTTTATTGCAGCAGTGGGTCAGATTAATACCCCAAACGGAGCACCAGTCCTTTGCAGGGACCACACTACTATGTTCTCGTGGGTCTGAGGGGGTTGGTGAGATTGGAGGTGAGGTAAGGTATAAGTGGAAGAGAGAAGGGGGCTTAGGTACTAAAATTTGGCACCCAGATTCAGAAGCAGTGTGCTCAGGGCTGCCACCAGTGCAGCACCATCGTTTATTAGCATTTGGACTTGAATTGCATATTAGCCTGGGAAGAGGCCTAATAGCATGATGGGTTGCTGTGGTTTTACTGAAGTTCTGAGGAGGTCACTCAAGAACTAATGAGTTAAGAAAAGTAGACCCAGCGAGAGCTGCTCTTCTCGCCTCCACTTCAGGGTGGGTTCTACAAAACGATGTCCATTGGCAAAGAGGGCACCAATGCAAAGAAAAAAATCTTGAGGCCGGGCGCGGTGGCTCACGCCTGTAATCCCAGCACTTTGGGATGCCGAGGCGGGTGGATCACCTGAGGTCAGGGGTTTGAGACCAGCCTGACCAACATGGTGAAACCCGGTCTCCACTAAAAATACAAAAATTAGCTGGGCGTGGTGCGGGCACCTGTAATCCCAGCTACTCAGGAGGCTGAGGCAGGAGAATCGCCTGAACCAGAGAGGCAGAGGTAGCAGTGAGCCAAGATTGCACCATTGCACTCCAGCCTGGGTGACACAGCAAGACTCTGTCTCAAAAAAAAAAAAAAAAAAAAAAAAAAAAGAAAAAAGAAAAGAAAGAAAGAAAGAAAGAAAAAAAGCTTGAAAACCACTATTAGATACCAGAGTTTCCTAAAGCTTGCTCTAAATGTGAGTCTACATGTTTCTATGAGACATGTTTTATGAACTCTAAATATCAATTTACACATGGATTTAGTACTTCCAGACTTAACCGTGAAATGAATGATTTCAGACTTCTTATTAAAACTTGGATACATGGTCAAATTTAGAATGATTAAAAAATATAAAAAGGCCGGGCATGGTGGCAAAAATTAGATGGGTGTGGTGGCATGTGCCTGTAATCCCAGCTCCCAAGAGGCTGAGGCAGGAGAATCACTGGAACCTGGGAGGTGGAGGTTGCAGTGAGCCAAGATCGCACCACTGCACTCCAGTCTGGGCAACAGAGCGAGACTCCTCCTTCTCCTCAAAAAACGTTATATATATATATAAAAGAATGTATGTTTTCTATAGTGTGGAGTACATAAAAATAGAAGGAATGTTATCCAGAATAGGAATCAGTGCGGGTTGAGGTTAATTAAAGAAAGTATTTTTATGTTGCATTGAAGGAGAAGTTGAAAGTAGACAATCGGGTGAAAGCAAACATAGTGTCATGGTTAAGAATGTGTTCTCTGGACCAAGATTGTCTGATCTTGGGCAAGTTATTTAACATCTCTAGTCCTCAGTTTTCTTATCTATAAAATGAGGATAATAAAATGGTTGTGAAGATTGCATTAAATAAGAAATTATATTTATTTAAAAGATTTGGGGCTGGGTGCGGTGGCTCATGACTGTAATCCCAGCACTTTGGGAGGCTGAGGCAGGCGGATCACGAGGTCAGGAGATCGAGACCATCCTGGCTAACACGGTGAAACCCCGTCTCCACTAAAAATACAAAAAAATTATCCGGGCGTGGTGGTGGGCGCCTGTACTCCCAGCTACTCGGAGAGGCTGAGGCAGGAGAATGGTGTGAGCCCGGGACGTGGAGCTTGCAGTGAGCTGAGATCGCGCCACTGCACTCCAGCCTGGGCGACAGAGCCAGATTCTGCCTCAAAAAAAAAAAAAAAAAATTTGGAACTCTTGGCCCATGGTAAGTACTCAGTAAAAGGTAGCTATCATTATTCCTACTACCACTATTCCTATTACTGCTAGTTACCATTAACTGCATTTGTGCCTCTGCCTCAATAAGCCATAAGGACTCATCTCCATTTCCCTTAGTGGTCAGTAGCCAGGAGTAGGTTAGGATCTGATACCAAGTTAAGAGCATCGGCCAAGGAGTCAAAGAGATTGTGGTTCAAATCATGATTTCATCACTTATTAGCTGTGTGATTTTGACAAATTACTTAATTTAGTCTCTTTATCTACAAAACGTAGATTATAATACTTCCCTCAGGCGGAGCACAGTGGCTCATGCCTGTAATCCCAGCACTTTGGGAGGCCAAGGTGGATGGATCGCCTGAGCCCACGAGTTTGAGACCAGCCTGGACAACATGGCAAAACCCCAACTCTACAAAAAAATACAAAAATTAGCTGAGTATGGTGGCATGTGCCTGTTCCTGTGCTACTCAGGAGGCTGAGGTTGGCTTGAGCCCAGGATTTAGAGGTTGCAGTGAGCTGAGATCACATCACTGCACTCCAGCCTGGGTGGCAGGTGAGACCCTGCCTCCAAACACAAAACAGGCTGGGCGCAGTGGCTCACACCTGTAATCCCAGCACTTTAGGAGGCTGAGGTGGGCGGATCACCTGAGGTCAGGAGTTCGAGACCAGCCTGGCCAACGTAGTGAAACCCCGCCTCTACTAAAAATACAAAAATTATCTGAGTGTGGTGGCGCATGCCTGTAATCCCAGCTTCTTGGGAGGCTGAGGCAGGAGAATCACTTGAACCTGGAGGCAGATGTTGCAGTGAGCAGATGGTGTCACTGCACTCTAGCCTGGGTGACAGAGCAAGACTCAGTCTAAAAAACAAACAAACAAAAAAAAACAAAAAAACAAACTTCCTTCAGAGAAGTATTGTTCCTCCCGGAAGAAAAGCTGTTTTTTTTTTAAATTTTTTTAAGTTTTCAATGTTTTATCATATTGGATAGCAGCTTTTTTTTTAATTGGTTACAAAACCTAAGCCCATATACAAAATTAGGAACACATTTAGATGCCTCTTTTGAAAGAACATTTTAGTCTTTTTAAACTGAGTTTTAAAAAAATAAAAACAATGCAATTTTTAAACACTGTTTTGAAAACTTAAAAGTGCAGCAATATAGTTAGTTTCCTTTATCTACGAAATGGGGCAATTCCAATTCAGAACTGGTAAGGTCACAAATTGAATCAAGGAAATGCATACAAATGTCTGCACTACTTGATGCTAATGTTCACTTAAATGTTAGTTTGCACTTTAAAACATGAGAGGAAATAGGAATCATCACAGTAGAGGCCCACTTTTAATCATAATGTGTGCAAATTTTAAAAGGTAACTGACAAGTAAGGAAAGTCCAGAAGAAACTAAACTGGAAGGGGTATAGTTCACAATATCAAAAAGATTTGGACTTTTAAGGGTTTCACCGAAGTTTGTGACCTTAATTAGCTTTTACGTTGTTATTCCTACTTTTAGTGAACACCACACAGAAGAAAAGCTGTTTTGAGTGTTAAATGAGACAATTTGTATAAAATTGGCACATATTAAATACTCAGTAAAAGGAAGCTGACCTTGACCCTTGTGGGAGAAATGACTTGGAGCCTCATTGGTTGCCTCTTTCCTCTTGGCCTCAGATCAAGGAGTTGTTGAAGAAGCTGGAGCAGCTTTCAGAAGAGGTTCTAGCAATTCGGGGAGAAAATGCTCGCCTTGCCCTGCAGCTGCAGGTATGTTTTGGCTGTCAGGGATGGTGCTGGAGAAGAAGGTCAGCAGTGGAAGTGATGTATATGTGGGAGACATTCTAGGAATTACTGAGGGAGACATTCTAGGAATTACAGAGGCCTGGCTAGGCAGTGGTCCAGGATGGGCCAGTGATGGGCCAACGAGCCCACCTGGTACTGCTGACCACTTCATTGTGTTGCTCCTCATGCTTGGGTGACTGAGGGTGGACATGTGACTTCCCATTGATGTTCATTCCCAGGATTCCCAGAAGAACCATGAAGAGATCATCTCCACCTACAGGAATCATCTACTGAATGCTGCTCGGGTGAGCATGGTGGAGTTTTGAGGGAGGTATAGACATAAAGCTGAGTATAGGGTATTGCATTTAGGGTCCCTCTCTCTTCTCCAGGGTCCCTGTACACACTTGCTGTTTCTCGGAAAGCTGGATCCAGTGCTAGGTCTCTGATCTCATTTGGTAGATCAAGAGAGGTTGTGCATGAATGTGAGAAGGAGAGGTGTTTCCCCCTCTGTTTCAATTCTCTGGCCTATAGTAAGGACTTTTCCTGTCCCCAATACCCTTTCTCAGTCTCCTCCTGGAGCCACTTAGTCCTAAACAAGGAAGAAGAGGTAGGTGTCTTGCTCCCTTGTTAGGAATAATAACTACAAAGAATGGAATGAACACCTATTGTGTACCTGGTGCTTTGCTTCATATTCATGGTTGTAATCCTCAGAGCAATCCTGAAAAGTAGACATCATTATCTTCCCTGTGAAGATAGGGAAAAAGCCATGGAGAAGTTAAATACTATAAGTGAAGGTATATAGTAAATAAATAGCCTTCCACTGTACCACAGAACCTCTCCCTCACCTCTCTCTCTCCATTTTCTGTTCTTCATCTCCTTTTCTTCCTTTCCTGACATCTACAGGGTTACATGGAACATGAAGTGTACAATATCCTGCTGCAAATCCTTAGCATGGAAGAGGAGTGAGGCAGCCTCACTGTGTGCCCTCAGGGATACGAGATTCTCTGTTGTGAGTTGTGGGTTAAGGGTGATGAGGGAAGGAGTTTGGGAGAAAGGGCTTGGGAAAGGTGTATGGAATGAAATTAGTCCCTTTTGCCCCCGTGGTGGCTGACAATGGGGAGCCTTTTGGGGCATAGAGCATTTGAGGTGACTGAGAAGACAGAACATGGAGAATCACTGGGTGGAGTCAGGAATCAGTGAGCAGGTGGACTAAGGGGGCTGACTTATGAGATGGAGACTGAAAAGAGGGGTTGGGTCTGGGGTAGGGAGATGCCAGTGAAAGATGAGTGATGGTAGGATAGTGGTAGACAGTTGTTCCTTAGGGCAGGACTCTACAAAATCCAGAATCTCTTCACTTTGATACCATTCATTCAAAGAGCAGTCATCCCCCAAACCTCCCCCCACCCCAATGCAGATAGTCCCCTTCTCCAGTCCAGATAGATGAGGGTCCCTTTTAGCATGTTGATATGAGTGGGAGGAGACTGAGGATATGGAAGTGGGTGCATTTCATCTTTGAATTTCTTCTTTCAGGGAATAAGAAACCCTGGTTGACAGAGGCTTCATCAGGCTGTGGTGGGCGGGGGTGTTGGCCACTAGGCAATGGTATGGGCAGGGCTTCACCTGACATTATGGACCTCAGACCTGAGAACCTGGACCCTGGAATCAGCATGGATGAGACCAGAGGAGGTATGGATGGAAACAAGCTCTATGGAAAATAAAGCATGAGGCAGGACGGGGCTGAGTGTAATTTTTTTTTTTCTAAAGGGGAGTGGGGAAAGGAATATCTTTCATCCCTTTATTCTTTTCTTTTTTTCTGGAAACAAATATTAACAGTATGTCTTTATTTTTAAAAACATTTTTTTACAAGTAGATTTTTTTTTTGAGGCAGAGTCTTGCTCTGTCGCCCAGGCTGGAGTGCAGTGGCATGATCTCAGCTCACTGCAACCTCTGCCTCCTGGGCTCAAGTGATTCTTGTGCCTCAGCCTCCCAAGTAGCTGGGATTACAGGCATGTGCCACCATGCCCAGGGATACAAGTAGATTTTGTTTTTTATTTTGCAAATAGACTTTATTTTTAAAGCAGTTTTAGGTTCACAACAAAATTAAGCAGAAGGTACAGAGATTTTCATATATTCTCTGCCCCCATGCAGGCACTGCCTCCCCAATTATCAATATCCTCACCAGAGTGGTTTATTTGTTATAATTGATGAACCTACATTGACACATTATTATCATTCAGAGTTCATAGTATACATTAGGGTTCACTCTTGGTGTTAGAGAGTCTGTTGGTTTGGACACATTTATATTGACATATATCCATCATTATGTTATCTTTTTTTTGTTTTTGTTTGTTTGTTTGTTTGTTTTGAGGCAGGGTCTTACTCTGCTGCCCAGGCTGGAGTGCAGTGGCATGATCATAACTCACTGCAGCCTCAACTTCCTGGGCTCCAGTAATCCTCCAACTCAGCCTCCCAAGTAGCTGGGGCTACAGGCGAGCACCACCACAACTGGCTGATTTTTCTGTATATTTAATAGAGACCAAGTTTTGCCATGTTGCCCAGGCTGGTCTCAAACTCCTGGGCTCAAGCGATCCACCTGTCCCAGCTCCCCAAAGTGCTGGGGATTACAGGCATGAGCCACTGTGCCTGGCCATCTCTATATTATCATACACAGTGGTTTCGCTGCCCTAAGAATCCTCTTTGCTCTGTCTGCTCATCTCCCCATCCCTGCTAACCCCTGGCAACCACTGATCTTTCTCCCATCCCCAGTTGTGCTTAGTTGGAATTATACAGTATGTATCCTTTTCAGACTGGTTTCTTTGAGTTAGTAATATACATTTAAATTTCCTCCATGTCTTTCCATGGCTTGATAACTCACTTATTTTTAGTACCGAATAATATTCCATTGTCTGAATGTGTCACAATTTATTTATCCATTCACCTACTGAAGGACATCTTGATTGTTTCCAAGCTTTGGCACTTTTTTTTTTTTTTTTTTTTTTTAGCAGAGTCTCACTCTATCACTCAGGCTGGAGTGCAGTAGGGCAGTCTCAGCTCACTGCAACCGCCGCCTCCTGGGTTCATGCGATTCTCCTGCTTCAGCCTCCCGAGTAGCTGGGATTACAAGTGCATGACACCACATCCAGCTAATTTTTTTCTATTTTTAGTAGAGACGGGGTTTCACCATGTTGGCCAAGCAGTCTTGAACTCCTGACCTCAGGTGATCCACCCACCTCTGCCTCCCAAAGTGCTAGGATTACAGGCTTGAGCCACCATGCCTGGCCTTGGCAATTATTTAATTTGTTTTTGAATGAAATTCACAAATGGCCCTATAAGTCAGCAACTTTCAAACTTTTTGATCCCTAGTAAGAAATAAAAAAAAATTTTTTTGAGGCAGAGTCTCACTCTGTCACCCAGGCTGGAGTGCAGTGGTGTGATCTCAGCTCACTGCATCCTCTGCCTCCTGGGTTCAAGGTATTCTCATGCCTCAGCCTCCTGAGTAGCTGGAATTATAGGCGTGCACCACCATGCGTGGCTAAGTTTTGTACTTTTTGAAGACACAGGGTTTTGCCATGTTGGCCAGGCTGGTCTCAAACTCCTGTCCTCAAGTGATTCTCCTCCCTAAGTACTGGGATTACAGGTATGAGCCACTGCATCTGGCCAAGAAATACATTTTGTATCTTGTGTATACATAGCTCGAATAATACTTTACTATTTCTCTTCTATTCTTTGCTAATATACTCCATCAAAATGCATCCACTAATGGGTCAAGACCCACGGTTTGAAAAATAGCCCTCAGTGAAAATGGGGTTTGACACTCTTCCTTTCCACTTTCTCGAATCTGTCACAGCTCTAATCTTTTTTCTCTGCCTTGGGACTGTTGAATCCATGATTTTTTTTTTTTTTTTTTTTTAAGGGGAGATTGAGAGACCTGGATTTTCTTCAGGATATACTTTCTAAAGTATTTTATCAAGTGTTAAACAATGTGTCTATATTTGACACACATGGTCTCACTGTTCTTTGTCCCAGGTGACAAAAGGGATGAAAAGTCTGATTCCTGGGTAGAGGATGAAGGGATACCCAAGTTTCATTTTTGCCTGTGATTCCATTCTCAGACTGAAAAAAAAAATGTATCTCTCTTGGCCACTTCCCCTGGGTCTCCTCCTCTGCCTGCCCTTCCACCAGGCATGCTGTTAGGTGAAAATGAGGCAGTGAATTCCTCTAAAATCTGGAATTGCAGTTTGGTGGCCCGCACGCTGATCCCTCCCCATTCCTTCTCTCAGTCCACCCTCTGCTTGGTTACACTGGGTCAGACAGCAGCAGTTTTGGCAGTAAAGAGGCTGGGTTGAGAAAAAAGAGTGGGGAGGGGCTGCCATGGAAGACAGGGGGCTACACAAGGGCTGCAGAGGCCAGCTCCAGAGTTTGGCCAAGAGTGAAAAAGAGCATCTGAGATATCTGGATCAGATCCTAGAGAAGGTGCAGAGGTTTTACGTGGATGGGCACGGGACTGCTTTACGGCCAGGAAAATGGAAAAAGGAGGGATTGATGGAGAAAGGGGGAAGAGGTGCAGCTATTGAAGAAAGATCATCAAAAGGGTCTGAGTCATTTCTATCAAGGGGAACAGAACCTCTCCTTGCCTTCCTGCTCTCAATTACCAATGTATATTAAAGGACTATTACATTTCTTGTTATATATGACGTGTGGGGTGGGGAGAATGAAGAAACTGTAGAGAGAAGGGTCCAGAAAGGGGGAGATCATTGGGCTAAACTCAAGAATGAGTCAGGAAGCAGCTTTGGTAATGGAAGCCAGGACTTTGGCTCCCTCCGGGGCTCCTGGAAACTGATTCCAGGATGGGCTGAGCTATGGGAGTGGTGAGTGATGTTAATGTTAACACAGGAGTAGAAACTTCCTTAGCCCCTGGTTTTCCCAGTCTCCCTCCCTAAAACTCCACAAACTTACCTCAACAGCCCCAGTCTTAAAATTTTTCTTGAGTTCATAAATTTTTTTCCCCAAAGTAGCTATAATCCTAATGTTCCCTTTATTCCTCCTGGGCTCTCTAATGGGACTTAGCAGGGACTTATGATTCCTGCTTCATCTCCCCACCCCATTCCCCAGGCTTGAGATGTAGGAGTATGTGGGTGAAAGTAGGTGAAACCCGATGGGCCATGATCAGGTTCAGACTATGTTTTTGAATGCCTTCAATCTGGAACTTTGCTTCTGATTCACAGTTTCCCTCCTTTGGTAACATTAATTTATTAAACAGATATTTAAGGAGTCTACTATTTGTCAGGCACTGGGAATAGAGTAGAGGCAGCACAGAAAACCTTCTTATCCTTTTGGAGCTTGCATGCAGGATAAGATTCAGGTTCCCCGGTTCCGTCATCCTGTAGGGATGCTAGAACTTATAACCTCAAATTAACTTTTTTCCAATTTATTTTTTCTCTCTTTCAATAACTTTAGTAACCTCAAATTAATTTTTTTTAGATGTATTATTGCTCTGTCACCCAGGCTGGAGTGCAGTGGTGTGATCTCAGCTCACTGTAATCTCTGCCTCCCTGGTTCGAGTGATTCTCCCACCTCAGCCTCCCAAGTAGCTGGGACTACAGGCATGCGCCACCACACCTGGCTAAGTTTTGTATTTTTAGTAGAGATGGGGTTTCACTATGTTGGCCAGGCTGGTCTTGAACTCCTGACCTCAAGTGATCTGCCTGCCTCGGCCTCCCAAAATGTTGGGATTACAGGCGTGAGCCACCATGCCTGGCCTTCAAATTAACTTTTTTCGTTTGTTTGTTTGTTTTTTGAGACGGAGTCTTGCTCTGTCGCCAGGCTGGAGTGCAGTGGCACGATCTCAGCTCACTGCAACCTCAGCCTCCCGGGTTCAAGCAATTCCCCTGCCTCAGACTCCCAAGTAGCTGGGATTACAGGCACACGCCACCACGCCCGGCGAATTTTTTGTATTTTAGTAGAGACGGGGTTTCACTGTGTTGGCCAAAATGGTCTCGATCTCCCAACCTCATGATCCGCCCACCTCGGCCTCCCAAAGTGCTGGGATTACAGGCGTGAGCCACCGTACCTGGCCCAAATTAACTTTTAAAGGAGATTCTTCCTTCATGAAATCACTAGAACTCAAGGTGAGGTTTTCTCTTAAATGTTTACAGCTTTATTTATTTATTTATTTATTTATTTATTTATTTATTTATCTAGAGATGGAGTCTTGGTCTGTGCCAGGCTGGAGTGCAGTGGTGCAGTCTCGGCTCACTGCAACCTCTGCCTCCTGGGTTCAAGCAGTTCTCCTGCCTCATCCTCCTGAGTAGCTGAAATTACAGGCGTGCGCTGCCACGCCTGGCTAACTTTTTTGTATTTTTAGTAGAGACAGCGTTTCTCCATGTTGACCAGGCTAGTCTCGAACTCCCGACCTCAGGTGATCCGCCCACTTCAGCCTCCCAAAGTGCTGGGATTACAGGCGTGAGCCACCGTGCCCAGCATTTACAGCTTTACTTATTTTTTATTTTATTTTATTTTATTTTTTTGAGACAGAGTCTCTGTCGCCCAGGCTGGAGTGCAGTGGCGCGATCTCGGCTCACTGCAAGCTCCGCCTCCCGGGTTCACGCCATTCTCCTGCCTCAACCTCTCCGAGTAGCTGGGACTACAGGCGCCTGCCACCACGCCCGGCTAATTTTTTGTATTTTTAGTAGAGACAGGGTTTTACCGTGGTCTCGATCTCCTGACCTCGTGATCCGCCCGCCTCGGCCTCCCAAAGTGCTGGGATTACAAGCGTGAGCCACCGCGCCCGGCCATTTACAGCTTTATTGACGTACAACTGATATACGTCAATATGTCTCTCCATGTAAAATGCATGTATTTGAAGTATACAATTTGATGTGTTTTCATATGCATATACACCCATAAAACCATTACACAATCGAGATAATGAACATATCCATCACTTCCGAAAGATCCCCGCTTTGTCTCTTTTTAATAATCCTCCCTACCTTCCTCATCCTGCAACTACTGAAAATTCTTAGAAATACAAACTATAGTAACTTTTGATCTAGAGGACTGAACAGAACAACAGCAAAAAAGATCTCAGGACCTGATGAAGACTCAGGTGTTGGAAGGGAGCAGCTGGAATTTAGAACTAGTTGAGTCTGAGTTTAGCTTGAAGCGCTCACCAATTTGGGTAGCAAAGCAGCAAGGAAAGAACCTGAGTGTTAGGAGAGGGTGGCATCTTCCCTAGGGACAAAAACCACAAAGTAACTGGGCCTAGTTCCAGTTCAACTGGCACCTTCAATCTTTGGCCTGGGTAGGGTCTTATGAGGAGGATTATACTGAAGGCTTAAGCTAAATAAAAGGATTTTTCCTATTTATTAAAGCCCTTTTTTGGTGTGCTGATTATAGGTTTAACATGTCTTGTCTCTGCTGCTAGACTGTGAACTCCTGCAAGGCTTTTATGTCCTCAGCACCTAATGATCCCTGATAAGCACTCAAATATTTATTGAACAAATTGCAGCCAACTATAAAATGCTGTGAGTTTCTCAGTATGTAGTGCGGGTACATTTCCCTTAAGTTGGTATTTTCTGGGTCAGGCGCGGCGGCTCACGCCTGTAATCCCAGCACTTTGGGAGGCCAAGGTGAGGCGGGCGCATCACGAGGTCAGGAGTTTGAGACCAGCCTGGCCAATATGGTGAAACCCTGTCTCCACTAAAAATACAAAATTAGCCGGGCGTGGTGACGCAGGCCTGTAATCTCAGCTATTCGGGAGGCTGAGGTAGGAGAATTGCTTGAACCCGGGGGGCGGAGGTTGCAGTGAGCCAAGTCGCGCCACTGCACTCCAGCCTGGGTGACAGAGTGAGACTTGGTCCCCCCCCAAAAAAATAAAAAAATAGGTATTTCCATGGATACAGAAACAGATTTAATTTGGTGCCTGCATGTGAGTGATCAGCTTGGTTGGGATGGGGCCTCTGGAGGGTCCAAGGCTTTGGAGGAAGGAGAGTGGGTAGGCAGTTCAGAGAGGGACAGAAAGATCCCTTTTGTGGGTAAGAAAACCCCTCTGTTCATCTTCAGCTACACCAAAGGTATGGGGGCTCTGGTGGAGGTATTCTGCACGTGTATCTAGGGTAGTTACTGTTAGGTACACTTTGGATTCAGTACCCCAGGCTTTGCCCTAGGGAGGGACAGTTGTCATTTCAAGGAAGACTGCTTTATACTGTCAGATACCTGGTTCACACCGGCTTAGCAGCAGTGTGCCACCACCCCAATCCCATACGTAAGCGTTGAGGGGTCACAGAGGTAGTGAGAATGATGGGATCCAAGGATCTCGTCTCTCCAGATCCACTCACACCAGGAGTTAATCTCTCCAACGTCGAGCTCTGAGTCCCTCCCTCTCTCGCCCGAGCTCCGCCCCCCTTCCCTCTTGGCGGTCCTGGCGGGCTTCCCCTGGAGGGGGCGGCCCCAGCCCGAGCGCTAGGCCGGGCGGAGCTCCGGCCCGGGCGGAGCCGCGGCCGCCGCGTCCGGCTGCTGGACCGAACTTCTGCCGTGCGGACAGCAGGAGCAGCGCCGAGCCCCATTCCCCCACCTCTCCAGCTCGCCCTCTGAGCCTCCCGAGCCCTCTCTCCATTTCCCACAATTGTGCTGGTAAGTCCCGCTCCCCGCACCAAACTTTTTTTTGCTGCCGAGTTTGAGTCCTACGATCGGACCACGAGCTGCACTGTAGTTGGTGTATGGGGGAGGAGGAGAGGGTGAATTACTGAATGCCGACTCCACGGCTTCCCTAAGACGGATCAGCGCTCGCCCATTTCCCGAGTTGGAAGACCTCTCGATTTTAGTTGATTAAACTTATGCAGAGATGGAGATGAGGGTTTGCGCTCCAACTTCGCTACCCCCTCCCCCATTTCTCTGAGCTCTAGCAGTTCCCGATACTTTCCCTCCATCTTTCAAGTATCTTTGGCTCCCTAAAAGCTTGTCCCCTCCCAACTCTGCCGTGGCAAAGCCCCCCTCCACCAGGCACTTCGGGCCCGCCTCCTCCCCGTTGCCCTAGGGACCCCGCGATCTTGGGGGCCATACACTCCCTCCGGGGCTACGCGTCCTGCCAACCGGCCGCAGACGTGTAGCTGCTGGGTCGGCTGTGGAGGGAGGGGCTCAGGCTGGGGCTTGTCCGAAGCCAGGCGGGCGGGGCCGGGAAGGGGAGGTATAGGGGGCCGGACTGGGCGGAGCAGGCGGCATTTGCGGCCGGCGCCAGGGTGGAGAGTTGTGCGCCGGTCCCTGGGCCTGAGCTCCGGCTCCGGCTGGGGCGCCTGCGATGTCTCAAGATGGCGGAGCTGGGCGAATTAAAGGTACCGGCCCCCTCCCCCCATCCCCATCTGGACTCAGCCCGGCGGTACGCCGTGTCCGGGAAGCGACCGAGACTGGGTGCCGGGGCTCGGGTGGGCGCCGACGACGTGGCAGGCACGAGCTGCTGAGGATGGGAGAGAAGTAGCTGAGAGCGAGGAAGGGGCTGCGGCGGGGCTCCGGGGGCGGGGCTGCGGGGCAGATGTAGGGGTGGGGCCGAGGGGAATTGCAGCTGTTGGGGGCTGAGGCGCAGGGGGCGGGGACGAGGGGTAGAAGTCGGATTTAGTAGTAGGGGCGGTTGTTGGGGTAGGGCCAGGGGGAAAAGGTGCTGTAGAGGCACTGGGGGCGAGTCGATCAAGGCCAAGAGATGCAACAGTAGGGGGCACATGCAGGGATGGGACCGCGGGGCAGACGTAGGGGAGGCTCCGGGGGAAAGGCAGCTGAGAGGATAGGGTCTTTGGGGCTACTCTCGGGATCCGAGCTTTGGGAAATACCAGTAGGCTGCTGAGATGCAGGGGGCGGGGCTGTGCGGGCCGATACCTCGAGGGGTGGGGCAGAAGCATCCTGGAGGCTCAGAGGAAGGTCCTGCCGTAGTGAATCGCGGTGTTTGGGAAGAGGCAGAGGCATGTGAAACTATGGGATAGAAAGGTGGGAAGTTATAGGGGAAGCTAATGGAGAAAAAAAGACAGGACAGAGGAGATAAGGATGGGGAGAAAGAGGAGCAAGTTTCTCATCACATTCCATAAAAGGGGTCCAAGACAAAGCCTCCTATGAGAAGAATTGTGTAGGGCTAGCAAGCCCTGCACATGACAGGATCTCCTAGAGATTCACAGAAGGGAGTCTTCTAAGGAGAGCGCTCCCCTCCTGCTACATAGAGTTTGGAGGGTGACCACATCTGAGGACATCTCATAGAACCTCAAACTACCGAGTTCATCCGCCTGCCTCCTGGTTTTCTTCTGCCCTTTGAAATGGGAGCTATGGTCCTGGGAAGGCTGGAGGTCTAGCCACTGGGCCCAGCTACCTTCAGGGGATTTGCGATTCTGTGCCCTGACTCAGAGGCTTTTCCTTCATCCACCCAGGGTCTCTGTTTAGAGCTCTGCCCTCTCCTCTTCCACCCCTATAGGGGGGCGCTGTAAGTTGTAGAGGAGTATTAATTTCTCTGTGTAGGAGAGATGCCAGATTATGGTTCCTGGCAGATAGAGTAAACAGGCAGGATACTTGGACTCAGTGATTCACTGTTAATCTCCCCGACCCAAGTTTTGGTCCTGTTTCCCTTCCAGAAAAATAGGACTAAGTTGTGGGGAGGGGGTGGTTATATAAACGATTCCAAGAAAGGATCTGGGGAAGTTATGAGCATTGAACCCTGACCTGAAAACCCTGGCCACAGAAGCTTCAGAGGCTTGGGGGAAATAGCTGAGGTGAATTAAGGTGGTTGGGAGGGGTGGGCTGAAGGGCACAATCCTCCAGCCACCTAGCCCCTTTCTTCCCGTGGGGCTGTCTGGCTTGAATCCTCTTGTCTCTCCCTCCTTCTCCCTGTCTCCTATCCTGTTCCCAGGAGGCTGGGATGGGTTTGAGAGTCTGAGAAAGGGCAAGAGAGGAGATAAGCAGCTTAAAGCAGAGTCCAGGGATGGAGGCGGGAGGCTGCATGGACTCGGAGGTGTGTCTGAGGGTGGCTTGCTGTCTGCCATTCCCTGCCCCACTCTGGCTGCTTCCAGGCCTGGGGAAATAGTGTTGCTCAAGCTCGGGGGTGGTGGTGATGATGCTGACCTGATGGTTGCTAAAGTGGGACTGAGATGTCCCTTTGGATAGGTCGACTACCTGGCAGTAATCCACTAGCTGCGAAGCATCATCTTTCCCATCAGTGCTGGAGAGAAAGGCACTGCCCACCTGGTAGCTCAGCCCATGTCTTGGCAGGGCAGGCCTGTGCAAGGGAGGATGCTCAAGCTTCTCTGTTTTTCTCCACAGCACATGGTGATGAGTTTCCGGGTGTCTGAGCTCCAGGTGCTTCTTGGCTTTGCTGGCCGGAACAAGAGTGGACGGAAGCACGAGCTCCTGGCCAAGGCTCTGCACCTCCTGAAGTCCAGCTGTGCCCCTAGTGTCCAGATGAAGATCAAAGAGCTTTACCGACGACGCTTTCCCCGGAAGACCCTGGGGCCCTCTGATCTCTCCCTTCTCTCTTTGCCCCCTGGCACCTCTCCTGTAGGCTCCCCTGGTCCTCTAGCTCCCATTCCCCCAACGCTGTTGGCCCCTGGCACCCTGCTGGGCCCCAAGCGTGAGGTGGACATGCACCCCCCTCTGCCCCAGCCTGTGCACCCTGATGTCACCATGAAACCATTGCCCTTCTATGAAGTCTATGGGGAGCTCATCCGGCCCACCACCCTTGGTATGGCTCTTTGTGGTCCCTTAGTCTTCTGGACTCCCTACCTGTTCCCCAAACATTTCTTAGGCTTTAGTCCTATGGGATCAGTGACCTGGGATGGGGGCGATTTCTGTGGCTGCCTGTGCATGGGCTTGGAATAACTGCCCCTTTGTATCCTCAGCATCCACTTCTAGCCAGCGGTTTGAGGAAGCGCACTTTACCTTTGCCCTCACACCCCAGCAAGTGCAGCAGATTCTTACATCCAGGTACATCTCTTCCAGTCTTCCTGCCTCATCCCTGGTCTCTGCTTTCTGACTTTCTTCTCTTCTGCCCTGTGCTCTTCCCTATCCCTCCTCCTATACCTACTTGTCTCTTGTTCTTCTGTGTGTCTCTTCTCTATCTCCTGGACATCTGACTTTCAGCCTTTCTGTGCATTCACCCTTGCCCTCTGGGGGCTACATGCTGACATCTCTTCATCTCCCTCCCTGTTACAGAGAGGTTCTGCCAGGAGCCAAATGTGATTATACCATACAGGTGCAGCTAAGGTGAGTTCATCCTCCCTGCCTATCCTGGGTACCCACTGGGGGTAGGAGTGAAGTAGGGGTATGACAGATACCCTTACGAGATGTCCCTGCTCTGCCACTGCCTACTGCAGCCCTGCGACTCTTGTTGGATGCTGAGGGCTTCAGGCATCTATGACTGATTTTCTGGGGTTCCCTGTCTCTCTGCCAGATTCAAGTTAAGAAATTTCTTCCCACTCTTTCTTCCTTTCTCATCTCTTACCAGGTTCTGTCTCTGTGAGACCAGCTGCCCCCAGGAAGATTATTTTCCCCCCAACCTCTTTGTCAAGGTCAATGGGAAACTGTGCCCCCTGCCGGTAAATGCTCTCCCCTTCTTCTGTCAGTAATCCCTTACCGTTTCAGTTCATAAATATTAACTACAAACCTATTCTGAAAGAGACATGCCTAGCACAGTGCGTGGCACATAGTAGGTGCTCAGTTTACTGACTGAATCAATAGAATCTCGAGAGTATTAAGATAGGGCTGAACAAAGGTTTTGTGAGAACTCGGAGGAGGACATTAGTTCAACCCGAGATGTAAGAAAGACTTCTTTTTTGTTTTTTTTTTTTGAGACAGAGTCACTCGCTCTGTCACTCAGGCTGGAGTGCAATGGTGCAATCTCTGCTCACTGCAACCTCTGCCTCCCTAGTTCAAGCAATTCTCTTGCCTCAGCCTCCCAAGTAGCTGGGATTACAGGTGCCCACCACCCTGCCCGGCTAATTTTTGTATTTTTAGTAGAGACGGAGTTTTACCATGTTAGCTAGGCTGGTCTCGAACTCCTGACCTCAGGTGATCCACCCACCTCGGCTTCCTAAAGTGCTGGGATTACAGGCATGAGCCAGTACACCCGGCCAGAAAGACTTGACCCCAGAGCTGAGAGTTAGAAAAGGTGAGGCATCCTTATTCCTCCTCCTCAGGGACTCAGTGAGTTCCTTTTTTCTCAGTCAATAAATAAGCTCTCCTTTCTCCCCAGGAGTGAACCCCACACATAACCCTAGACAGTGCTCCAGTTTTGTGAGCCACTGAATGGGCCTCCATCCCCTTGGTCAGTGAGTGAGCGAGTTGGCCTTCCCTCCAGGGATTGAATAACCCGAGACAAGATATCTTTTGTTCAAAGAGCAGAGCCCCTTCCCAGAGCCACTTCTCCACTGACCAATCCCTCCCTTCTCCAGGGTTACCTTCCCCCAACCAAGAATGGGGCCGAGCCCAAGAGGCCCAGCCGCCCCATCAACATCACACCCCTGGCTCGACTCTCAGCCACTGTTCCCAACACCATTGTGGTCAATTGGTCATCTGAGTTCGGACGGGTGAGCACAGCTAAAGCAGGTGCCTGGAAAAGCCTGCTGAGGGTGAAGGGGAACCATCCAGTGTCCTGGGTTGGGGAAGCATTTTCCTCTTTATGAGTCTGTCTCTGGTCCTCATGGAACAAAAGTGGGCAGTGGTGGTATGAGAAGCAGAGGCTAATTGTCTACCCCCTGCCTCCAAGTAGAATTACTCCTTGTCTGTGTACCTGGTGAGGCAGTTGACTGCAGGAACCCTTCTACAAAAACTCAGAGCAAAGGGTATCCGGAACCCAGACCACTCGCGGGCACTGAGTGAGTAACATCTTTCCTCTCTTCCCCACCTGATCTGGATTCAAGTCTTCCTGGCCCTCCAGCCTTCATAATTAAACCCATACCTCTTTTTTGACAACTTACTCCCCTTCTCACATGAACCCCAACCCTCCCCCTCTACCCCTGACCAGTCTTCCAGTCTTTATAGTTGAAGTTGGACCACTCCCAGGCACCCTTGAATTTCCAATCATGTATCTGCTTTGCACCTCACAGTCCCTAACTCCAGCCCTGCTAGAATATGGGCTCTCCGGACTGGAAAGAATCTTAGGGGTCCTCTAATCTAACCCTCACATGATGCTTCAACTCCTCCAGATCATCTCTAACATAGCCAGAGTGTCACGCTATGTTTAAGCATCTTCAGGGATGGGAAAATCCCCCACACCCAGCCTTCATCATCCATATCCCAGACCACTTCCATGTGACGTCCCACTGGCCCCCAAAGACGCTCCACCCAGCAGCCTCTCAGCCAGAGCCATCTGTTCCTGGCCTTACCAACTCCTGGGCTTCCTCCAGCCTTGCTGACCCCATGGCTCTGGCCTCACTTTTGTTTCAGTCAAGGAGAAATTGACTGCTGACCCTGACAGTGAGGTGGCCACTACAAGTCTCCGGGTGTCACTCATGTGCCCGGTGGGTAAAAGGGGAGAAGGGAACAGGGTGGGAAGGGAGTTGGGTTTAGCCTGTGGACTTTGATGAGGGTTCCTAGGGATACTGGCGTGAAGTTTTCTGGGATGAAATCAGAGTAGGGCCTCTGACAAGAGAACTTGCTTCTCCTCAGCTAGGGAAGATGCGCCTGACTGTCCCTTGTCGTGCCCTCACCTGCGCCCACCTGCAGAGCTTCGATGCTGCCCTTTATCTACAGATGAATGAGAAGAAGCCTACATGGACATGTCCTGTGTGTGACAAGAAGGCTCCCTATGAATCTCTTATCATTGATGGGTAGGGCCATTTTGCTTCCTCTTACCTAGGACATCCACTAGAACCTCTTTTCTTGGTTATTTCTTTTTCTTTTTCTTTTCTTTTTTTTTTTTTTGAGATGGAATCTTACTCTGTTCCCCAGGCTGGAGTGCAGTGGCACAATCTTGGCTCACTGCAACCTCCACCTCCCGGGTTCAGGCGATACTCCTGCCTCAGCCTCCTGAGTAGCTGGGATTACAGGCACCCACCACCATGCCTGGCTAATTTTTGTATTTTTAGTAAAGACTGGGTTTCACCATGTTGGCCAGGCTGGTCTTGAACTCCTGACCTCAGGTGATCTGCCCACTTCAGCCTCCTAAAGTGCTGGGATTACAGGCATGAGACAACATGCCCAGCCTATAATATTTCTTTTTTCTTTTAGCCACCACCTCCTTCAGGGTTTTTAATTCATATGGCTTACTTCCCCTCACATGAACTGCAATTCTCACCTTATCTATCCCTTTTACCAGTCTGTGTGTGTGTGTGTGTATGTGCATGTGTGTGGAGGGGGAGGGCAACATTAAGGACTTAGTATATACAAGGCATCTTGCTGAGCACTTTGCATGAGTTATCTCATTGAATCCTCACAATAACCCTATGGACTCGGCTCCTACCTGTAATTCCAACACTGGAAGGCTGAGATGGGAAGATCATTTGAGGCTAGGAGTTTGAGACCAGCCTGGGCAACATAGTAGACCCTCTCTCTATAAAAAATTAAAAAAATTAGCCAGGCATGTTATAATAGCTCATGACTGTAGTCTTAGCTGCTCAGGAGGCTGAGGCAGGAGGATGGCTTGAACCCAGGAGTTTGAGGCTGCAGTGAGCTATGATTGCATTACTGCACCCCAGCCTGGGCAACAGATTGAGACCCTGTCTCAAAAAAAGAAATAATCCTATGATTGGCTAGTGACACTCACCCAGAAAAAAAAAAAGAAAAAAAAAAACCCTATGAGATAGGTAGTATCATTACACATGAGGAAACTGAGGCCGAGAGAGATTGAGCCTTGCTCAAGGTTATATTGTTAAGTGGCAGAGCCAGTGTACTGAACTGTCATAATATATCACCTATAACAACTACCTGACTTCCCACTGAGCATTGCAATAAGGTTCTTTTCAGGGCCTGGATGTTCTAATCTTTTGATCTTGCTAGTCTTAACCTCTTTTTGGAATCTACATTATGGTTCCTGTTCCCAGTGCTCCCCCACTTTTTGTTTGTTTGTTTGTTTTTGAGACAGGGTCTCGTTCTGTTGCCCAGACTGGAGTATAGTAGCACAATCATAGCTCACTGCAGCCTCGACCTCCTGGCCTCAAGTGATCCTCCCACCTTGGCCTCCCAAAGTGCTAGGATTGCAGGCATGAGCTACCATGCCTGGCCCCTAGTGCCTTTATTTATTTATTTTTACACAAGTGTTTAGAAAGCCAAAGACCCAGTGCCTTTTGGAGATGGTTTATGGACTTCTGTGTCTCTGCTCCTTTTGTTCCTTATACTACACGTAAGTGCTCAGATTTTTTTTTTTTTTTTTTTTGAGACGGTGTTTCACTCTGTCACCCAGGCTGGAGTGGTATGGCACAGTCTCGTGATCTCAGCTCATGCAACCTCTGCCTCCTGGGTTCAAGCAATTCTCCTGCCTCAGCCTCCTGAGTAGCTGGGATTACAGGCATGTGCCGCCACATCCGGCTAATTTTGTATTTTTGGTAGAGATGGGGTTTCACCATGTTGGCCAGGCTGGTCTCGAACTCCTGACCTCAGGTGATCCACCCACCTCAGTCTCTGAAAGTGTGATTATAGGCGTGAGCCACCACGCCGGCTTTTTTTTTTTTTTTTTTTTTGAGGCAGAGCCTTGCTCTGTTTCCCAGGGTGGAGAACAGTGGTGTGGTCTAGGCTCACTGCAACCTCTGCCTCCTGGGTTCAAGCGATTCTCGTGCCTCAGCCTCCTAAGTAGCTGGGATTATAGGCATGTGCCACCACACCTGGCTAATTTTTGTATTTTTAGTAGAGATGAGGTTTCACCATGTTGGCCAGGCTGGTCTTGAACTCCCAGCCTCAAGTGATTCACCTGCCTGTACCTCCCAAAGTGCTGGGATTAAAGGCGTGAGCCACTGCACCCAGCCTCAGATTGTATTTATTTTAAAACCTATTACTTACTTTGCAAAGCTCTTTTACATACCTTGTGTTATTTGATTCCAACAACTCAGAGCGGTCCAGTAGGATGGATAATGTTCTTATTTTACAGATGAGGAAACTGAGATACAGGAAGGTGAGTTACAGAACTCTGGCTACTGTTCTGCTCATCTCCCAGCCCCGTGAATTTTCATCTCTCTCTTCCCCCAGTTTATTTATGGAGATTCTTAGTTCCTGTTCAGATTGTGATGAGATCCAATTCATGGAAGATGGATCCTGGTGCCCAATGAAACCCAAGAAGGAGGCATCTGAGGTTTGCCCCCCGCCAGGGTATGGGCTGGATGGTGAGTGACCCCCTGTTCCCCAGCTAAGCTAAATCTTGGATGGCCTCTTCTCTGAGACGTAGTCTTCTTAATACCCACAGGCCTCCAGTACAGCCCAGTCCAGGGGGGAGATCCATCAGAGAATAAGAAGAAGGTCGAAGTTATTGACTTGACAATAGAAAGCTCATCAGATGAGGAGGATCTGCCCCCTACCAAGAAGCACTGTTCTGTCACCTCAGCTGCCATCCCGGCCCTACCTGGAAGCAAAGGGTATGAGAAAATAGGCTGAGTCTACAGCAAAACGGACAGGGGAAGAAGTCAGGATTGCTTTCTGATCATTGGACAAAGCCTGGGGCAAGAGAAATGTGGAGGGGACAGAGAGGGAACCTGGGGACCTGAGCTGGGTGAGGGCATCTGTGGTTTGCTGGCTGCCTCAGCTCCTCTCTACCCACAGAGTCCTGACATCTGGCCACCAGCCATCCTCGGTGCTAAGGAGCCCTGCTATGGGCACGTTGGGTGGGGATTTCCTGTCCAGTCTCCCACTACATGAGTACCCACCTGCCTTCCCACTGGGAGCCGACATCCAAGGTATGACATGGGTCATAAGATGGACCCTGCACTGCCACACCCTCCCCAGAGCTACATCAGAACCCCTGTTCCTTCTCAAAGCCTCCTGCTTCTCCTGCAAGGGGCCACAGTCCACAGTGCTTTGTCTTTTGGTGGTAAAGGGGTCAGATAGGAGGTTAATTTTGATTTTTCTTTTCCTGCCAGGTTTAGATTTATTTTCATTTCTTCAGACAGAGAGTCAGGTAAGTGGTTCTTTCTTCAGAAGGTCTCAGATCTCTGAAGCTTCCTTTCTAGACACTGATGGGGCCCCTCCCTCTCTTATGATCTCTGGGGATGTAAATCTGCTTTCCCGTGAGGGCAGTGGGGTGTAGGTATCTTATTATCTCCTCAGCCCCACTGGTAGTTCCTGAGATTCCTACTTAGGCCTCCTTCCTAGATCCCCTGTTACTTTTCTGCCCTGGCCTACTCACCCCTACCCCCGTGTGCACTTAGAGCACCATGCCTGCTCTAACCGGACATTCCACACATTTCAGACGCCCACAAAGCCAAGAACCTAACAAGTTGGAGGAGCTCTCTCAAGGCAGGGAAAGGGGAAGGGTGTAGGGAAGTAGGGGAAAGAGGGAGAGGCTCTCCTGCTTCTCAAGAGAATACCTTCGGATCCACAGGGGTTGATTGCTCTCATACGGCATTTCTGAGATGAGTGACTGGGAGGTGGGGAAGTCGGGATTGAGATCTTAAACTATGCCCTTGATTCTTCCTAGCACTATGGCCCCTCTGTCATCACCTCACTAGATGAACAGGATGCCCTTGGCCACTTCTTCCAGTACCGAGGGACCCCTTCTCACTTTCTGGGCCCACTGGCCCCCACGCTGGGGAGCTCCCACTGCAGCGCCACTCCGGCGCCCCCTCCTGGCCGTGTCAGCAGCATTGTGGCCCCTGGGGGGGCCTTGAGGGAGGGGCATGGAGGACCCCTGCCCTCAGGTCCCTCTTTGACTGGCTGTCGGTCAGACATCATTTCCCTGGACTGAGTTCCCTGGATTATGGAAACTTCGCTGTCCCCCAACACTGAGCAAGTATGCTGTGGAGTCCCAACCCCAGCTACTCTGATCCCTCTGGGGGCTCTGGCCAAGGGCCAGACAGACCTTCACAGATGCCTACTTTTGGCCTCATCTCTGCCTGACAAGGCCAGCACCCAAAGGGTTAATATTTAACCTCTTTTTAAGGACACTGGGGTCTGTTTCTGGAAATGTTCTTTAGATGGTGGCACATTCCTTTGGGTATGTTAACCTAGGCAGTGGGAGGCAAATGGGATGGTATGTGAGCTAGGAGAAGGGCTGAACCCTCAGCCTTGACTATGTCTAGAGCCTCTTGGGGAAGGGGCACCTCTCTTGAACCCCAAATGCTCTCTCTTCTTATTACCCAAACCCATGGCTCTATTTCTTCTTCACATCCATTGTCTCTTCATGTCTATTCCATTCCCTTCGGCCAAACAGACAGGTGGAAAAACTGAGACAGGCAGTTTCAGAGATGGACAGAGAACTTTATTTTGGATTGTGGATGTGGACTTTTTTGTACATAAATAAGAAAAACCAAAATACTCCAAAGATGACTTCCCCTGCCTCCTACTCCAGTATGACAGAGGAGGATGTAAGGCCTTAGCCATGATCTGCAGGGGTCTGGGAGTCAGGCCCGGCCTATTGCTTGGGTCTCTCTCTATTTATATATCTAAGTTCACAGTGTTTCTTATTCCCCCCTAAGCTTCTAGAGGCTCATGGCCCTGTAGTTAGGCCTGGCTCATTCTGCACCTTTCCAGGGAGGTGGAAGGACCCTGTGCCCTCCTTCCCAATCTTCTTTTTCAGGCTCGCCAAGGCCTAGGACCTATGTTGTAATTTTACTTTTTATTTCTAAAGTTGTAGTGAAGCTCTCACCCATAATAAAGGTTGTGAATGTTCTGTGAGTGTCATGGAGATGGGCTAGGGAGGGGATTTTACACTTCACTTTCCAGACCCCTGGTTTGGGGGAAGAGGGTCCATGTTCCATTCTTCCTTTGCTGGCCCTGGGTCCAGGTAAGCTGCACTTTTACACGGTGGGGGTGTTCTGTGGAGGAATTCCAAGAGAGGTTGTCCTTTCCTGCTTTCCCCCGTGCCTGTAAAAACTAGACCATTCCAGCCCAGTACTGTGGAGCTCTCCAGTCCTTTTTCACTTTTACCTGCCCAGATGTTGCAGCCAGAGCTTGAGGGCAAACTTGGTTCCAGTGCTGACTCTCTCTTTGTCCTCTGCCATGGTTGGGATCATCCGCAGGAGGGTGGACATGTGCAGGACCAGAGGTCGGGCTCTTCCATCCTCCTCTAGTTCCACTGCACTGCATGGTGACAACTCCTGTTGGGGCTGTGCCTTGTAGCTTACAAAGAACTTACATATATGTTAGGTCCCCGAATCCTCCCAACTACCACAGGAGGTGGGTGGGTGTTGACCTCATTTGCAGAAAGGAAACAGGTTCAAGGAGGGTTAAATGACTTGCCCCTGTGTTAGAACTGACACTTAGACCTTCAATGCTAGCCAGTTAGAGCAAGAATCTTTGGGGTTTGATGGTCAGTGTCTTAGATTTCATGTACCTTCTTAATTATCAGCTGACCCACTCTCCTTAAATCTCCCCCACAACACAAAATTCCATCCTGAGGACAGGATAGACGCTGAACTTCTCAACATGAATATGTTGGTGTATTAGAGGCTGAGGGAGAAGCTCTTACTTACAGGACAGAGGGTGGTAGGTCCTGGGGGAGAAGTCCGGGTGTCTCTGTCCCATCCTCTGCGGCAGCCACTGCAGCAGCTACATCTGGTGTCAGCCACATAAGGGCGCTCACCTCATTTGGGTTTGGTTGGATCCGGGCCTGGGGTCAGACATGGTGACCCCTCAGTCATTGCCTCTCCCTGGGCTGCCTGTTCGTGATCAAAACCTACCCGCAGGTTTCATGGAGAAAGGCAGGAGCAAGGGGAAAGGGCATTGCATATTCTTCGTTATCTCTGACTACCCCCGCCACCCCCGCCCAGCTCCTAATCACAGTCAGAACCAGGTTGCTTGGGCTCCCCTGAGCCCTGTTTCCTTCCCTCACTGCCAGCCCTACCTGCAACTGCTGCTGTGATTCCTGGGAGATCACGAGTAGATACAGAACAATGTGATGGTATTTGGGTAAACCCCAGCTCAGCCTAGGAGGGTAGGCAGACTAGGAAAAGAAAACAGCAAAAGTGAGAACTTTCCGTCACTTTTTTTTTTTTTTTAAGATGGAGTTTCGCTCTTGTCGCCCAGGCTGGCATGCAATGGCGTGATCTTGGCTCACTGCAACCTCTGCCTCCTGGGTTCAAGCAATTCTCCAGCCTCAGCCTCCAGAGTAGCTGGGATTACAGGCGCCTGCCGCCACGCCCAGCTAAAATTTTTGTATTTTTAGTAGAGACGGGGTTTCGCCATGTTGTCCAGGCTGGTCTCAAACTTCTGACCTCAGGTGATCCGCCCACCTCAGCCTCCCAAAGTGTTGGGATTACAGGCGTGAGCCACCGCACCCGGCCCTTTGTGTCACTTTTTGAGACTTTGTTAATACAGCTTTAGGGTGAAACAAAATGGTGGCCAAAAGCTGAGGGCGTGGATGGTACAGATGACACAGCAGGGACATGGGTGAGGGTTATGGATTTGGGGATTCCAGCCCACTTATGTGCTATTGTTTCCCTTGTAGCCAAGGCAGGTAGGGGCTGATCTATGGAGGAGCTTCTCCCAGCTACTTGTCTCACCTCCCATAAACCCAGAGGGACCCAAGAGAACTGGCCCTGGGGCAGGTGTAGTCCACTCTCCTCCCAAAGTTCTCGAAGCCCTCCGTCCAGCAGCTGGGAGTCAGAGAAGACACATCAGAGGGGCCAGTGCCTGACTCTTCCAAGTCCTTTTGCTTGCCTCTCCCTCAGCCCACACCCAAGATGGTCCCAGGCATGGGTCTCTTGGCTCAGGTTGGATCAGCTGACTGGTTACCTCCTCCTCAAGTTCCACGTGCCCACCTGCAACAACAGTGGGGCCAGTAGGTGAATGGTGGTGGTCTTGGCCAGGGAGCCCCCACTCACTGTTGACACTCCTCTCCCCTCCAGTGGACACAGAGGGAGTTGCAGTCCCTTGTGACTATGAACATGCCACATTTTGGGGCCCACTTTATCCTTCTGAGACTGGGAAAAACATTGTTGCGGGGAAAGGGCAAATTTCTTCTCTGTACTTGGGGCCTTGTCCCCAGAATACTCACCCGGGGGTACCCAGAGGTTGGGGGAAACGCTCAGGGTGCGTGCCCTTCGGGTTAGCAAGACAGTCTTGTCGCTGGACTG
The DNA here is from genome assembly GCF_000001405.40 of Homo sapiens. NCBI lineage: Eukaryota > Metazoa > Chordata > Mammalia > Primates > Hominidae > Homo > Homo sapiens. The sequence goes on along the minus strand of NC_000001.11, from coordinate 145,846,117 downwards.
CAGAATGACGGCCACACCCAGGTCCACACCTCGATCTGTGGGCAGCTCAGCCCCAGGGACCCTGGGCCGCTCCTCCAGGGCCGCAAAAGGGCAGAAAGGGGGTCGCTGGCAGAAGGAAGCCAGCTGGGTTAAGGCTTCAGAAGGGCGGCACTGGGTGGGCGTGACTTCCAAAAATGGGGCTACACCGCGCGTTGGGGGCGGGGTCCTCGCCGCCAGTTCCCACCCGATTTCAGTCCCCATCTTTGGCCCTTCACTGCCCCCGCTCTGGGGCCCCCTTCTGCCGACCTGGAGCGGAAGCCTAGCGGAGGCGCCTGGGAAGGGCCTGCTCGAGAGGACAAGCCGTCCTCGCTTCAAGCTGCAGTGAATGGGCCACGTCCCGAGCCCTGGTCCGGCTCCCAGGAGGCCACACACACTCCGTGCGAAGCTCACCGACTCCGGACGCCGGGACAGGAGCAGCTGCACCCGCACCTCGGCCATAACGCGACTCTGGAGTCGCTGCGGCCCGCCTGGCGCCCTCTGGTGGCCTAGAGAAGCTTCCCCTCGGAACGTTCCGCGGGGTCGTAGCGGGGTTTCCGAAAGTCCCCGGGGAAATAAGGGCACATCTTTTGAGGATGACCCATGGGTATAATATTAAACCACAAAGAAGAATACCTCTAAATGCTCAGCTCCTATTCCTTCCTATCTTCTCTGTTTAGGACAATGACCCCCAGACCGAATGACTTCAGGACCCACATGTTACTTCCAACCAGCCCTAAGCTGAACTGTAAGCATCCTCTACAGCACTATGCACACCTGTTACAGCAGGCATCACTTCGAATTAATTATCTCCAAGCGAAACACACCAAATAACATTTTCGATACCACTTCTCCTTTCACTTCACTCAAATGGCAACCAAGTATGCAGATGCTATCTCCTTAAACTTCCTCAAACCCATGTTCTCTCCAGCCTTCATTCATTGCCCTAGTTTAAGCCTTCCTCGTATTTTGCCTGAAATATTATTGCAAGTCTCCAAATAGTCTTGCCCCTACCAGTTCATTCTCTACAGTGCTGCCAGAGTGATGTTTTGTTTTGAGAGTCTCACTCTACAGCCCAGACAGGAGTGCACTGGTGTGATCCCAGCTCACTGCAACCTCCATCTCCCAGGTTGAAGCGATTCTCGTGCTTTAGCTTCCGAAGTAGTAGCTGGGATTACAGGGCGCCCACCACCACGCGCGGCCTTTTTTTTTTTTTGAGACGGAGTCTCGCTCTGTCACCCAGGCTGGAGTGCAGTGGCGCCATCTCAGCTCACTGCAACCTCCACCTCCCTGGTTCAAGCGCTTCTCCCGTCTCAGCCTCCTGAGTAGCTGTGATTACAGATGTGCACTACCCACACCTGGCTAATTTTTAAATTTTTTTGTAACGATGAAATCTCACTGTTGCCCAGGCTGTTCTTGAACTCCTGGCTTCAACTGATCCTCCCAGTGTGTTGGGATTACAGGATTTAGGCACCATCAAAATTATCTTCTAGCTGTTTTGAAATGTACAGTAAATTAATAACTATGCCACCCTGATCTATCCAACACCAGTCTTACTTCTTCAAACTGTATTATCTGTGCCCACTAATCAACCTCTCTTCATCCTCCCCATCCTTCCTAGCCTCTGGTAACTACCAATCTATTCTTTATTTTCTTGAGATCCACTTTTTTAGCTCCTATGTGAGACAGAACATGCAATATTTGTTTCTGTGCTTGGTTTATTTTACTTAACATAATGACCTCCAATTCCATCCATGTTGCTGCCAATGACAGGATTTCATTCATTCTTATGGCTGAATAATACATTTTCTTTAGCCTTTCATCTATTGATGGGCACTTAGGTTGATTCCATGTTTTGGCTATCGTGAATACTGCTGCAATAAACATGGGAGTGCAGGTATCTTTTTGATACATTGATTTCTTTCCTTTTGGAGATATATATATACCCAGTAGTGGAACTGCTGGAGCATAGTTCTGTTTTTAGTTTTTTGAGGAACCTCTGTAGTCTTCCACAGTGGCTGTACCAATTTACATTCCCAACAGTGTACCAGGCAGGGCTCTCCTTTTTCCACATCCTCACTAGCATTCATTCTTTCTTCTTGATAAAAGTAATGAATTGGGGTGAGATGTTATCTCATTGATTTTGATTTCCATTTCTCTGATTAGTGATGTTGAACATTTTTTGATGTATCTGTCGGCCATTTGTGTATCTTCTTTCGAAAACTACCTATTAAGATCTTTTGGCCATTTTTAAGTTGGATTGTTCTTTTTGCTATTGTTTGAGCTCCTTATATATTCTGGTTACGAATCCCTTGTTAAGATAGTTTGCAAATAAAGCATCCTCATCTTTCAAACTATACATTGTCACTCTCTGTGTTCCCTTCCCTGCCTGACCCTTTTCCCTTTCTGGCCTCTCTGTACATAGTGTTTACTCTTCTACTGTAGCACCCCTAATACTTCCTGGTACTTATGTACTTATTTGTCTCCTCCTACTAGACTGTATGCTCAAAATTTATTAATCTTTATATCCCCAAGGCTTACCCCAGTACTTAGCACAAAACAGGTGCTTAGTAAATGATGGTGACTGGCTTGAGGGCAGAGATGGTGTCTTATTTATCTATCCTTGTATGTTGTGTTTAGTATGGTGGCTGGCAATTGTTTGACACTCAAGTGTTTAAACAATTAGAAAACACATTGGTGAGAGAAAACTGAAGATATTATAAAACATCTAACTGCTTTAAATGAATTAAAGCTGCTGGGACAAATTATATCCGTGATACTGAGAGAGAGAATTTAGCGTTGCCAGTTTTAAGGAACCATGGAGAAGAGGAAGGCGCTAATTTACTGTGTGCTTACCATATGCCAGGCATTGAGCTAGCTGTTCTACATACACAGTTTCAGATGTGTTAGAAGCCTGGAGCTGGCAAATGTGGCTTCAGTCCACAGATTCTAGTGTGACTGCTTGGGACAATCCACCTGCTAACCCTGAAAATAATTTTTTCTTCTACTCTGTGATAGTCTTTCACATTCCCTACACTGTGTGTGTTAAAAATTACAGTTCATCAGCCTGGGCAACACAGGGAGGCCCTGTCTCTACAAAAAAATAAATAAATAAATAAAAAATAGCTGGGTATGTGTGGTGCATGCCTGTAGTCCCAGCTACTCCAGAGGCTGAGGTGGAAGGACTGCTTGAGCTCAGGAGGTCAAGGCTGTAGGGAGCTGTGATTGCGCTATTACACCCCAGCCTGAGTGACAGAGTGAGATCCTGTCTCAACAACAACAAATTATCTATCTATCTATCTATCTATCACCTATCTCAACAAAATAAAGAACAGGCATAGACATCTGAAAATAAAATTAACTTCTTAGGAAGTTTCCTATTGCCAGGGATATAGGTAACCATAGGTGTGGGTAACTTCTTTATGGGAACAGATGCATCTGATAGATGATTAACCTTGTTGATTTAAGGTTCTTCCCACTGCCAAGATTTGATGAGGGGAGACTACAGCAATGGATCTAAATATGCCAAATTCTTTCAGGTGTATCCTGGGCTGCAGGGGATAGAGAGGGGGGTTTAGTTGAAGACTCTGCGACTTATCCCACTGCAAATAATGCATCCAGGCACCTCCTTTATTTTGCTTTCCATCCCCCCAGATCTTCTGAGGAAGATGCTTCTTCTGGATCACTGTCTCTTCATGGTGCACTCAATGTAAGACTCCAGCAGGAAGATGGTTTCGTCCACCTGGATCTCACTGGCATCCAACCTGAGTGAAAAGTAAAGGCATTTGCCTAGACTGAATGTTCATTAGCATATTTAAGATTAGAGGTTAGGGTGGGTGTGGCCATGGATAACTGCTTGGTTACCCTTGAGAGTGGATGGAAAGAAAGCAGGAGAACCAGTAGATCATTTTGCTATTTACCGAGCATCTTTATGTGCCAGACACCATGCAAACTGCTAAGAATACAAAATACAGAGCCTCTGTCCTGGGGGAAGGTAGTCTTCATTTGCAATCAGGAAAACGAACGTAAAGGCACAGGTATAAAAGGACCTAGTGTGTTTTAAAATAGCAAGAAACTAAGAGTGTCTGAAGCTTAAAGTGAGTGGTGATTAGGAAGAAATGGAAGCTTCTTCAGCCTGACAAAAGCCATCTAGGAAAAACCCACAGCTAACATCATACTTAATGGTGAAAGACTAAAAGCTTTTCTCCTAAGATCAGAAACAAAACAAAGATGTCTGCTTTTGTACTTCTATTCAACCTTTTACTGGAGGTTCTAGCCAGGGTAATGGGGCAGGAAAAAAAAAAAGTAAAGGCATCTAGATTGAAAAGACAGAAGTAAAACTCTCTCTATTCATGGATGACATAATCCTATTATAAAAAATCTCAAAGAATCTGCAAAAAAACTACTAGAATTAATAAATGAATTTAGTAAAGTTGTGGGATACAAAATCACAACACCAAAGTTGGTTGTTTTTGTATAACACTAGCAATGAACAATCTAAAACTGAAATAAGCGACCACTAAACTAGTATCCAAAAAAATACTTAAGAAATAAATTTAATGAAAGAGGTGCACAAATTGTGCACTGAAATGTGAAGGTCTAGGAAAGAGGTGATGAAGGCCTGCGTGTGGACCAAGATGAAAGGCCAGATTTGAGACACATGACTCAAGTAAAATTAAGCCAGCGCAGTGGCACTTGCCTGTAGTCCCAGCTACTTGGGAGGCTGAGGCAGGAAGACTGTTTGAACCTACGAGTTCAAGGCCAGTCTGGGCAACACAGCCAAAACCCCGTCTCTTAAAAAAAATTTATCAGTACTTGATGAACAAGAGAGTGTATATGGTGATGGAGAAGAAGCTCAGAACATCTTCAGAATTGCTAGTTTACAAAAATAGGTGGATTAAATTCTGTTAAGTGAGCTGGAGGAGACAGTGAGTTTAGGTTTGCTCATGCTAAGCTGGAGGGTTACAGGAGGTCAAAATGGATTTTCTGGATGGTATTCTGAAATGCAGGTCTGAAGTTTATGATGCTTACTTGTTGACATTACGTTTCAGGGTCTCTAGCTGCTGACGTTCAGGAGCTGTGATCATCTCCTCTATTTCTTGTAACTGTGCTTCCTCTGCACCAGTAGCCTGCATAGATGCAATGATGGCTTCTACCCTCTGAGATTTTTCTAGTAGACGCCTGTCAAACAAACACAACTCTGAGACATCTTCCCTAACCTGGGAGATTCTCTTACCACGTGTGTCTGAGGCACTACCCACCACCCTTTACCATTTTCCTGATCAAAGTAGATAATGTCACCTTCTAAGGACATTTTCTACAAACTTATTTGGAAATATAACTTCACTCCTGAAATTCTTATTGCCTCTCATTTGCACTTAAAAGTTTGGTGCTTTTGTACGTTTCTCACAAATTTAATCTGAAAAATTATTTCACTGGGAGCATGTTAGAAAAGTGTAGACTAATGCATGATTTACACTAATCTAAGCCAATGATTCAATGCAAGTAGACTGGTTGCTATCTCTACTGGTTCCTACTTCTCAAAAAAAAAATTTTTTTTTTTGAGATGGAGTCTCACTTTGTCGCCCAGGCTGGAGTGCAGTGGCGTGATCTTGGTTCACTGCAACCTCCACTCACTGGGTTTAAGTGATTCTCCTGCCTTAGCCTCCCGAGTAGCTGGGACTATAGGTGCCCGCCACCATGCCCAGCTAATTTTTGTATTTTTAGTGAAGACAGGGTTTCACCATGTTGGCCAGGTTGGTCTCAAACTCCTGACCTCAAGTGATCCACCTGCCTCAGCCTCCCGAAGTGCTGGGATTACAGGCATGAGCCACCCTGCCAGGCCCAGCGTCTATTGATTCCTATTTCTAGAGGAAATTTCCCCTGAGGCCCTTGATCTTGAAAGATGTAAATAACTCAACTGAAAATGTTACTTACTTATTCTCTTTGGTTTCAAATTGCCTCCTTTCTATCAAGTTGGCTATGCTCTGAGGAAAGAGAAGACAGACAAGGAATGCACATAGTTCTATTTCAGCAGCTCAGGGCGAAGTGGGCACATGAGGGGTACTTGACCGTATGGAGGAAATGGGGAGAAGGTCCAGATTGAGTTACCTTGTAGCACCTGTGCAACAACATTCGGGCAGCTGACAGGATGTTCACAGTATATAAATAGAAGGTCCTGGATGGGGCATGGTCTGGTGTTTTGGGAATTTCCTATTTGTCCAATAGAAAGAAAAATAGCAGAAATTATACTGTTTTAGAACTGGCAAAGCACACACTCATTCTACCTGGAGTTACTTAGCCCTCCTTTTTACTTACACTTTCCTGTTTCCTAGTCATTCAGTACCTGTGTTTATTTTATTTATTTATTTTGAGACTGGGTCTTGCTCTGTTACCTAGGATGGAGTGCGGTGGCATGATATCAGCTCACTGCAACTTCCACCTCCGGCTCAAGCAATCCTCCCACCTCAGTCCCCCAAGTAGCCGGAACTACAGGCATGCACCACCATGCTCCGCTAATTTTTTAATCTTTTGGGGGTGGTGGAGACATGGTCTCACTATATTTTCCAGGCTGGTCTTGAATTCCTGGGCTCAAGTGATCATCCCGCCTTGGTTTCCCAAAGTGCTGAGAATACAGGTGTGCCCGGCCCAGTCTTTGTGGTTTATGTCATAATCAGTCAAATGGAGAGCTGGGCTTCCCTGTTTTTTCCATTTGACTGTCAGCATCCTGAGCTGGGGAAGAAAGGGAGGGCAACTAACATTTACTGAACAACTCTATGTGCCAGGTAAATTCTATTTGATCTTTACAAAAAGTCGTATTATTATTATTTTTGAGACAGAGTCTTGCTCTGTTGCCCAGGCTGGAGTGCAGTGGCACAATGTTGGCTCACTGCAACCTCTGCCTCCCAGGTTCAAGCAATTCTCCTTCCTCAGCCTCCTGAGTAGCTGGGATTACAGACACACGGCACCACGCCCAGCTAATTTTTGTATTTTTAGTAGAGACAGGGTTTCACCAGGTTGGCCAGGCTATTCTCGAATTCCTGACCTCAAGTGATCCGTCCGCCTAGGCCTCCCAAAGTGCTGGGATTACAGGCATGAGCCACCGCACCTGGCAACCATATTATTTTTATTATCACCATCCATCACTGTTTTATAGATGGGAAACGTGGTAACTTGCTTAATGTAACTGGGTAAGGCAGAGCTGTAATCTGACTCCAAAAATCCATTCTATCTATTTACTCATATGCTCTACTAAATAGCCCTGCAAAGACTCAGTTAGATGTGTTGATAAATTTAAACTATAACAGAATTAAGGCTTAAGGAAGGACAGAAATGAGAAGAGAAAAAAAGGCAGGGTGGGTTTGGGGTGATGTCCTGGCTCTGCCTCTTTTTTGTTTTTTGTTTTTTTTGTTTTTTGAGACAGAGTCTCACTCTGTTGCTCAGGCTAGAGTGCAGTGGCTTGATCTCGGCTCACTGCAACCTCCCCCTCCTGGGTTCAAGAGAGTCTCCTTCCTGCCTCAGCCTCCCGAGCAGCTGGGACTATAGGCGTGTGCCACCAGGCCCAGCTAATTGTTTTGTATTTTATTAGAGACGGAGTTTCACCATGTTGGCCAGGCTGGTCTCGAACTCCTGACCTCAAGTGATTTGCCCACCTTGGCCTCCCAAAGTGCTGGGACTACAGGCGCGAACCACCGTGCCCGGCCACCTCTTTCTCACTAGGGCAGTTAAGGCCCCAAATTATCCTCCAAGTGCTCGCTATGTCTCTGTGAATCATGTTTTTCTGTCTCAGAGCTGGATATAGAGTTTGCTTGGGGGTTCAGTATGTTTGCCTAAGAAGCTTCTCTCACCCTAGGCCAGCTTTGCTGGTTGGCAATTATTACGCCCTTGGTTGGTTACCTGGAGTGACATGAAATTTTCTGAGAGCATCTTATATAGCATATCCTTTGCCTCCTTTGCAGGAATCATTGCAAAGTCTTCCACTTGCTTCTGCTCTATGTGTTTCTTCTGCAAAACTAGACGGAATATTCTAGCACAGCGAGACCCAAATCTGGAAAGGAATGAAGAAAGCAAATGGCATGCTAACATAGATCAGCTTTAGTTCCCAGTCATAGATGGGGTGGTTGTTCTATTCCATGTGTGAAGCCAGTACCAGACAGGAACAGTGATCAGAAAATTATTCTACAGCTCCATAGGTTGGTGATGGTAAGGCATCACCAACTGCTGTTAATCATAAGGCAGTCACCAACTGCTGACTCATTTGAGTGCCACAGTTCCTACATTTGTAAGCAAAGGCTTTAGGGAGGCTGGTTAATTTGCATCGGTAGGAATTAAACAGTAGGTTATTTTAAGGTAAAGAGCAGTATTACATGAGATCCATAGGAGTCCAGTGAAAAAATGGGGAAAAGTATGCCAAGGTGTGGTTATATTGGTGGCTTACATAATGATCAAATTACTTCACTGGGGATAGGAAGTATGTGATCCCAAACCCAACCAGTGTCCCCCTTACCTCTCCTGTACGACGGACTCCAGAGTGGCTGTGGCTAGGGATGCTAATGCCTTATGGAGGTCTTTATGTAGAGAATTAAGGTCACTCAGTAATGTTTTGGCCTAGTTATTGTGATCTGAGTTTTATTCCTAAGTTTCTAATTTATAATTAAATTTTAAATGCTATTTTGTTTTTCATGTTATAATTTATGGTTTCAGTCATGGTACATAAATATTCCAAAACTTTAATACAAGTGTTTAAGTAAGGGTTTTGCTTAACTAAAATTTGGTTGATTAAAAGTCCTTTTTCCTTTTCTTTTTTGAGACAGGGTCACCCAGGTTGGAGTACAGTGGCATGATCTCAGCTTACTGCAACGTCTGTCTCCTGGGCTCTAGCGATCCTCCCACCTCAGCCTCCTGAGGAGCTGGACTACAAGCATGCATCGTTACAGCTGGCTAGTTTTTGTATTTTTGGTAGAGATGGGGTTTTGCCATGTTGCTTAGCTGATCTTGAACTCCTGGGTTCATGCAATTCACCTGCCTCAGCCTCCCAAAGTCCACCATGCCTGGCCTCTTTTTACTTCATCATCAATGCAGTTCACTGAAAATTCATAGAAAAATTTATTTAACAATTACTTCAATTTTCTAATTTATTTAGTATAATAAACATTACCAAATCTTTCTTTCCTAAGGCACCATTCTGATTTATAGGTCAGGCTGCCTGACTCTAAGGAAATAACTGGTAAGGATACTGATGACATACATTCCTCCACCACTGTCGCCAGACTTTCCAACAAACTCTAGCTATTAAGAAAAAGAGAGAGTGTTAACTGAACGGAAAGTCCAGTGATTCTGTTTCCAATGGAACAAATCTGACCAAAAGTCTGCAGCAGGTAGCCCTCCTATCAAATGATGTGGAGAAATTGTCTGGGCTGGCTAGGTAGAGAATAACTCTGCAGGAGGATGACACTAGGTATCAGTGCAGAAATAAATTATCAACAGTACAGGCTAAAGAAAAAAGAAAAAAAGCAAAAACAGACTTACTGGATCATCTGCCAGCAGAGTGAGATACTGATCAAGAACTTGCTTAGAGATGTTATAGCCAACAGGTAGGGATCTGAAGATCTATGGAGCAAAGGACACTTAAAATGGGTTTGGGAACTTAGAACTCCTGACCTTACTGAAATAAAGATGTTTTAGGCCGGGCACAGTGGCTAAGGCCTGTAATCCGAACACTTTGGGAGGCTGAGGCAGGTGGATCACTTTGGGTCAAGAGTTGGAGACCAGCCTGACCAATATGGTGAAACCCCGTCTCTAGTAAAAATACAGAATTAGCTGGACGTGGTGGCGCATGCCTGTAATCCCAGCTATTTGGGAGGCTGAGGCAGGAGAACTGCTTGAACCTGGGAGGCAGAGGTTGCAGTGAGCCGAGATTGCGCCAATGGACTCCAGCCTGGGCTACAAGGGCGAAACTCCGTCTCAAAAAAAAAAAAAAAAAAGTTTTAATTTTAGTTACCACAAAACTGTCCAAAAATATTCACAGCAGGATTGTTTGTAAGAGTAAAAAACTAGAAACACCCAAATGACCAGTACCGAGTACACTAAAATAAAATATAGCACGGCCATTAAGTGGAATATGATACAGTCATTATGAAGAGTGAGACAAATCTACAGAAACTAACATGAAAGGAAGTTTTACATACACTGTCATATAAAAAATCAAGTTATAGAACAGTATGACTAGGTTGGGTGTGGTGGATCACGACTTTGTAATGCCAGCACTTTGAGAGGCTGAGGTGGGAGGATCACTTGATGTCAGGAGTTCGAGACCAGCCTGGCCAACACAGTGAAACCCTGTCTCTACTAAAAATACAAAAATTAGCCTGGCGTGGTGGCATGTGCCTGTGATCTCAGCTACTCGGAAGGATGAGCAGGAGAATGCCTTGAACCCAGGAGGCGGAGGTTGCAGTGAGCTGAGATTGCGCTACTGCACTCCAGCCTGGGTGAAAGAGTACAAGACTCTGTCACAAAAAAACAAAAACAAACAAACAAAACCCAACCAAAAAGCCATATGAATAGTCCCATTTTGGGGTTAAAAAATACATATACCCACATATATGTTAGAGTATGCAAGGTCTGAATAAAGATATATACCAAACTTTTTTTTTTTTTTTGAGACAGAGTCTCACTCTGTTTCCCAGGCTAGAGTGCAGTGGTGCGATCTCAGCTCACTGCAACCTCCCATTCCCGGGTTCAAGCGATTCTCCTGCCTCAGCCTCCCAAGTAGCTGGGATTACAGGCGCCCATCACCATGCCTGGCTAATTTCTGTAATTTTAGTAGAGATGAGGTTTCACCATGTTGGACTATGCTGGTCTTGAACTCCTCAGGTGATCTGCCTGCCTCGGCCACCCAAAGTACTGGGATTACGGGTGTGAGCTGCTGCGTCCGGCCTTTTTTTTTTTTTTTTTTTTTTGAAATAGGGTTTTGCTCTGTTGTTTAAGCTGGAGTGCAGTGGCATGATCATAGTTGACTGCAACCTCAACTCTTGGGCTCAAGCAATCCTCCTGCCTCAGCCTCTCGAATAGCTGTGACTACAGGCATATGGCACCACACCCAACTAATTTTTTAAAAAAATTTTTTGTAGAGACGGGGGTCTTGTCATGTTGCCCAGGTTGGTCTTCAACTCCTGGCCTCAAGGGATCCTTCTGCCTCAACCTCCCAAAGTTCTAGGATTACAAGTGTGAGTCACTGCACCTGGCCATAGAACTTTAAAATAAACAATATAAAAATATAGGAATATTTAAACACAGTCATGCACCATATAACATTTTAGTCAACAACGGACCGTGTGCAGCTGTGGTCCCATATTATACTGGAGCTGAAAAATTCCTACTGCTTTGTGATGTCATAGCTGTTGTAACATCATAGCACAATGCCGTTGTGAAACACATTACTCACATGTGTGGTGAGGCTGGAGTGCAGTGGTATGATCTTGGCTCACTGCAACCTCTGCCTCCTGGGTTCAAGCAATTCTCCTGCCTCAGCCTCCCGAGTAGCTGGGACCACAGGCGCATGCCACCATGCCCGGCTAATTTTTTTTTTTTTTTTTGTATTTTAGTAGATGGGTTTCACCATGTTGCCCAGGCTGGTCTCAAACGCCTGAGCTCAGGCAACCCACCAGCCTGGGCCTCCCAAAGTGCTAGGATTACAGGCGTGAGCCACCCCGCTCAGCCTGTTACTGGTTTTTAATAAATACAGTGTAGCCTGAGCGTGTAGACCATCACATTCACATTAATCTGCCATTCATTCACTAACTCCCACAGGGCAACTTTTAGTCCTGAAAGCTCCATTCATGTTAAGTGCACTAAACAGGTGTGGTTTTTAATTTTTCATACCATATTTTTACTGTACCTTTTCTGTGATTAGATGTTTAGATACACAGATGCTACTGCGTTACAACTGCCTACAGTATTCAGTACAGTAACATGCTGTACAGGTTTACAGCCTAGAAGCCATAGGCTATCCCGTTCAGTCTAGGTGTGCTGTAGGGCTACACCATCTAGGTTTGTGTTAAGTACACCCTATGATGTTCACACAATGATGAAATCACCTAACGACACATTTCTCAGAATGTATCCCTGCTGTTAAGTGATGCATGACTGTATTACTATGAAAGTAATATAAATAACACATATTGGATATATTAAATATCGATATTTTAAGTACAGGGGGTCAAATAATGTCCTGAATGCCAAGGCTCTCAGAGTCCAAATTGTGGATTCTTAAAATAATTAGGAATAGGCTGTACTTGACGAATAGATACTTTGACTAAGTGAATAGTGTAGATTTTTAAAAGCTGGATCCTAAGAGACCAAACATTTCAGTGCTCATCACTTGAAGATAATCCCTGCTCCACATCAAATGCCCTTCTCTTTCAAGGCTCAGACCTCAACCCAAACTCAGGATCTGTGTATAATAAACGTTGATAACACCCAAGAATCTGTCAGAAAGTTAGTGCAAGAACATGAAACTCACCTCATTGGAAGACAATGGCTGGGTGAAGGGAGCACTAGAGGAAGTGGTAATCTCACTCATTCGGAGCATGGTTCGCACAATCTCGCTGCTTGTCTGTTTGAAAAGTAAACTAGAATTCAGAAATCACAGTGCTGCCCCTGGCTCTATGTGCCAATGGCCATATCTGACAAATAAGTAAATGTCCCTGATGACCAATGACAGACCCACTTAGGTATTACCTGGTCCATCCTGTTAGCAACTGCGCTCACAATGGCTTGGTCACGGAAGTGTTGGTGGAATCTGTCAAGGTTGGCCTGCCAATAAATCCCATCATCTGGAATGGGCTGAGGAAAAGATTTAGAGAAACATTTAGCTATAGTGTAAAGTTTTCTGGTGAGGAGCTTGGATTTAATGGTTCACCATTTCTTTTCCTACACAGTAACAATTACATTGGTTGGAAAAAAATCATTCAGTCATGTAGACTGGTGTCTAGACAAATTCCGACTTCAAACAGGTTTTCTAAGCTCATCTCCAATCTTTCTCTCCCTATTTTATTATTTAACATTTATTTTAATTTTTTTCTGAGACGGAGTTTTGCTCGTCACCCAGGCTGGAGTGCAGTGGCATGATCTCGGCTCACTGCAACCTCTGCCTCTCGGGTTCAAGTGATTCTCCTGTCTCAGCCTACTGAGTAGTTGGGATTACAGGCAACCACCACTGCGCTAGGCTAATTTTTGTATTTTTAGTAGAGTTGGGGTTTTACAATGTTGGCCAGGCTGGTCTCGAACTCCTGACCTCAGGTGATCTGCCTGCCTCGGACTCCAAGTGCTGGGATTATAGGTGTGAGCCACCACATCCGGCCTTTCTCTCTCTATTTTAACTCTTCTCCATTACTTTCAAGTCTCCAACTTGACCCTTCTTCCTTCTCACTCTCGGCAGATGACTTTGCCTCTCATTTCACAGAGAAAATAGAAGACACTAGGCCAGAACTCACTCAGCTCTGTGCACATCCTCACCACATTTCTTTTTTGTTCTTGATTCATATTTTCACTCACTTTTATCACAGCTGAAAAATGCTCCTTTTACCTAAGGTTAATGCCCATATTGGTATTCCAAATCTTACTCTCTCATTCATTCTTGGGGATCCAGCTCTATTTTACCCTGTCCTCTAACATCTTCAGGCTTTCCTTCTCTACCGCCTTCTTATCAGCCTTTACCCTGTCCAAGTCTCTTTCTACTCTAGAATTCTCTTTCAACCCTATGCCTTCTCTTCTTTTCCTTAGTGTCACAGCCAAGCTTCTCAAACAGTTGGCCATCTCAGTTGTATCTCTACCTAGATTTACGCAACCCATTTCCACTATTGTACTGAAATGTCAATTGTCACTCGCATTCCAGTGAAATTCCACAACTGTCCTTAAGGATTCTATGTTGTTAAGTTCAAATAATAATTTCCACTTCTGATCTTATTTAACCTTTTGGAAGCATATGACATGGTTGGACATTTTTTCCTTCTTAAAACTTTATGTGGCTCCTTGGTTTTATGACACCATTTTTTTTTTCCTTTTAAAGACAGGGTCTTTGTCACCCAGGCTGGAGTGCAGTGGTGTGATTGTAGCTCACTGCAGCCTTGACCTCCCTGGGCTCAGGTGATCCTCTCATCTCAGCCTCCCAAGCAGCTGGGACCACAGGTGCGTGCCACCACGCTTGGGTAATTTTTGTATTTTTCTGTAGAGACGGTCTCACCATGTTGCTCAGGATGGTCTCAAATTCCTAGGCTCAAGCGATCTGCCCGCCTTGGCCTTCCAAAGTGTTAGGATTACAAGTGTGAGCCACTGGGCCTGGCCGACACCATTTTTTCTTGGCGTTACTTTGAACCTTTCTGGCTACCTTTCCTCAGTATCCACAGATTCCTCTTTCAGATCCCAACTGTAATCCTGGTGTTTTGTCAGGGTTCTGTCCATACCTTTCCTTTCTTTTTACTCTACATGCTCTACTTGGGTAATTTTATCTGCTCTCCAGGCTTCAACTATTGATGCATTTCCAAATCTGTTACTCTATCCTAGAACTCTCTCTTTTTTTTTTTTTTTTTGAGATGGAGTTTTGCTCTTTCGCCCAGGCTGGAGTGAAGTGGCACAATCTCCGCTCACTGCAACCTCTGCCCCCCAGGTTCAAGCGATTCTCCTGCCTCAGCTTCCCAAGTAGCTGGGATTACAGGCCTGCGCCACCATGCATGGCTAATTTTTGTATTTTTAGTAGAGACGGGGTTTCGCCATCTTGGCCAGGCTGGTCTCGAACTCCTGACCTCAGGTGATCCACCTGCCTCTGCCTCCCAAAGTGCTAGGATTACAGGCATTACCGCACCCGGCCTATCCTGGAACTCTCTATTATGCTCCAGATGCATAGACTCAGCTGCCTATTTGACACTTCCATTTGTTCCCCAAACTGTTCTGTTTTGTAAGTTTTCAGGTAACTACACTATAACCAACCCAATTTTTTTTTTTTTTTGAGACAGGGTCTTGCTCTGTTGCCCAGGCTGTAGTGCAGTGGCACCATCATGGCTCACTGAAGCCTTGACTTCCTGGGCTCAAGTGATCCTCCCACCTCAGCCCCTGAGTAGCTGGGACTACAAACATGTGCCACCAGGTCTGGTGTTTTTTTTTTTGGTACAGATGGGGTCTCACTATGTTGTCCAGGCTGGTCTCAAACTCCTGGGCTCAAGTGATTCTTCTACGTCAGCCTCCCAAAATGCTGGGATTACAGGCACGAGCCACTGTGCCTAGACAACCCAATTTCTTTTTTTTTTTTGAGATGGAGTCTTGCTCTGTCACCAAGGATGGAGTGCAGTGGCGTGATCTCAGCTCACTGCAACCCCTGCCTCCCAGGTTCAGGCCATTATCCTGCCGCAGCCTCCCAAGTAGCTGTAATTACAGGCACCTACCACCATGGCCGGTTAATTTTTGTATTTTTAGTAGAGACGGGGTTTCACCATGTTGACCAGGCTCATCTCGAACTCTGACCTCAGGTGATCCACCTACCTCGGCCTCCCAAAGTGCTGGGATTACAGGTGTGAGCCACTGTGCTTGGCCAGCCAACCCGATTTCTTAAGCTACAAACTTGGGTATCACCCCTAGTCCCTTGCTCTCCATAATCTACCACCCCATTACCAAGTTCTATCTATTCTTTATATTTATCAGATGTCTACTTTTCTTTCTCCTATCATTACCTTATTTCAGACTCTAAATCTTGGCCCATCTGGATTACTACAATAGCCTCCTAACTGGGTTTTTTTTTTTCCCTTTAAAACATAGCAGACACTATAAAAGGAGTAACTGGGTTTTCTCCTTCTAATTTTGTTTTGCATCATTCTTCCCATTTCTTAGAGTAGTGCTTTTTTTTTTTTTAAACTGTTTTGGGTCACAGTTCCTTTGAAGAATGTAATGAAAGGTACGGAGAGCTTCACTGAAAAATGCACGTAAGTATAACTGGACTCTCTGAAATCCATCCATGGAGTAGAACAAGTTAGGAACTGCTGTGCTATAATAATCTTTCTAAAATATAAATCCAGTCACTTCATTTCCCTGCTTAAAATCCATCAATGGCTCTCCTTTGCCTTCAGGATAAAGCCCAAACCTCTTAGACAAACATGTACACAAATAATAAATAATTCCAGTTATAAATATAAATGCTGTGAAGTATATGAAATGAGAAATGTGGTAGGAACTAGTGTAGGAGTGGGCAATGGTGCTTGAAGTCTATGAAAACAGCATTTAAGATAGAAATGATAAAAACAGAGACCACTACATGAAGATCTGGGGACAAACATTTGAAGCCGGAGCCAAAGTCTAAAGACCAGAAAGAGTTTGACATGTTTAAGAGATAAAGTCAGTAGAGGGAACACAGTGAGTAAGATGGAGACGGGGCAGAGGTGAGGTTGAAGAGCCCTGTCTCCAGCAGATCATACGAAGACCTAGATCACGTAAGGCTTCCTAGCCCGTACCTTGGATTTCTTCTAAAAGTAAAGGAAAGCTATTAAAGGAGTCTAATCAGTGGATGTGTTGTTTTGTTTTGAACAACTTAGAAAGTCATTTTGGCTACTAAGTAGGTAAGAATGCAGCTAGGGAGACCATTAACGAAAGCGTTTGCAAAGAGTTGAGAGATGGCAGTGAAAAGATGAGAAATGGTTGGATTTGAGGTAATTTTGGAAACTGGGCTGATATGTTTTACTGTGAGATTAGAGGGTTCCAAGGATTTTGGCTTAAGCAGAAATGGTGGTGTCCTAGGCGGCTGGCCTACGTGGTAGTGTCTTTTACTAAGATGAGGAAGTTTATGAGGGAGCAAGATATTTGGGAGGAGGAATCAATTATTCTGTTTTGGCCACACTAAATTTGAGATGCTTACTGACATCTTTATAGGTACGCTAAGAAGGCATTTGAATATGAGTTCAGGCCTATGTATAGTTTTTAGACCCATTTTTCATCACTGGCCCCTGTAGGTCTTTAGGTTCTCGCCATATTGAGCAACCTAAACTTTTTCTAGGCCCCTTTTTACATAAGCTGTTACCTCTGTTCAATGAAAGAATTAAGTTAAGGCTCAGAAGGGAGACAGTAATGGTTCATTCTTTGTTAGTCTATTCCTAATATTTAATGAGGTTCATAATCCTACTGCTTCTTAGCTCAGGAAGCTTTAAGCTCTCTTGGGGCTTGTTATCTGAGTGCTCTTTCTGGCCTGCTTCAGGGTGAGGACTTCTAATCAAGAAGCCCCATTACCTCCTTGTTATCTGTAGTATATTTTGGTCTCTTGGCCTTGGGCTCCCCAGCAGCATCTTCATCAGATGATCTCCTCCTTTTACCTTTCCCTGCCAAACAAACAATTAAACACTTAGACTATATCTCATATGATGACAGGAAATGACCAAACATGAGAGCAGGTGTCTTTCATTCCAAAGACATCTGTAGCTGCCTCTAGATCAGAGTTGCTTAGGGGGCTGAAGAGCTATAAGAAACTCAAGTAACTGATGAAATAATCTGAAACTCAACATGTTCAAAAAGAGTCTTATAGTCTTTCTCCTCCAATGCTCTCTTTCATGGCCAGTGATATCATCCTCCCACATGTGCAAGTCAGACACACAGATGTCACTCTTAGTACTTGTTTCCTTCACCCTCTCTCTTTCATTTTCCACCAGTCTGTCAACATTTACCTTTGCCCCATTCTCCCATCCTTTCTGTAGACAAAAAATCTTTTGAAAGTGCAAATTAGATCATGTCATTTCCTTAAAAATCCTTCAGTGGTCTTCCTTTGCTCTTAGCATAAAGAACAGATGCTCTATAAGGTCTTACTTGATTCAGCCCCTGCCTGTCTCCCATCCAAGTACTAAGCAGGTTGATCCTGATTAGCTTCTGAGATCAGACCCCTGCCTAGCTATGTCTCTAACCTTACCTCATGCCTCTCTTGCTTTGCTTACAATGCTTTAGCTATACTGACATTCTTTCATTTCCTCAAATGCTATTTTTTTACTACATACTATTCCCTCTGCCAAAAATGCTTTTCCTGTTACCTCACTGTTAGCTTCTACTTCAAATCTTAGCTCAAATGCCACCTTCTCAAAGAAACATGAGGCCTAAACTCCCAGATGAATCCCGTCTCTCGTTATATATTTTCTTTTCTTTTTTTTTTCCCGAGACAGAGTCTCACTCTGTCACCCAGGCTGGAGTACAGTGGTGCAATCTTGGCTCACTGCAATCGCTGTCTCCTGGGTTCAAGCAATTCTCCTGCCCCAGCCTCCCGAGTAGCTGGGATTACAGGCGTATGCCACCATACCTGGCTATTTTTTTTTTTTTTTTTTTTTGAGACGGAGTCTGGCTCTGTTGCCCAGGCTGGAGTGCAGTGGCACGATCTCGGCTCACTGCAACCTCCGCTTCCCGGGTTCATGCTATTTTCCTGCCTCAGCCTCCCAAGTAGCTGGGACTACAGATGCCCGCCACCACACCCAGCTAATTTTTTGTATTTTTAGTATAGACGGGGTTTCCCGGTATTAGCCAGGATGGTCTCGATCTCCTGACCTCGTGATCCGCCCACCTTGGCCTCCCAAAGTGCTGGGATTACAGGCGTGAACCACCATGCCCGGCTACCTGGCTAATTTTTATAATTTTAGTAGAGATGGGGTTTCAACATGTTGCCCAGGCTGGTCTCGAACTCCTGGCCTCATGCAATTCGCCTGCCTCAGTCTCCCAAAGTCTCCATTATATATTTTCATAACACCTCATACTTTTCCTTCATGGCACTTATTACAGTTTAATTATATACTGATGTGATTTTCTGATTAATGCATGTCTCATAATACTATGACAGTTCCTTCATAGGAATATTTCCTTCATAGTACTTATCACCGTTTAATGATATATCGATGTGATTTTCCGATTAATGTATGTCTCCTATACTAAAGCCCCATGGCAGAGACCATGATTTTTTCATTGTTATACACCACGATGTCTGGCACATAGCAAATACTTGGTAAATACAATCACATTTCATACACTTGACAATCAAGAAGAATCCACAATTAAGGCAAGTCACAGTTCCAGGGGTTAAAATTCCTTACCTATCAAGCTGAGTTTAGGAACCAGGTACATGTCCTTTTCATTAATGACAAGTGTGGGGGCAGGTGGTGGTGGCCCAGGGTCTGAATTCTCAGTGGTAGGTACCGAAGGGCAGCGTTGTACAAAGTGTGTGTCTGCCAGTCGCACAAATGTGTTTGATACTTCAGCATAGTCCATGGTCTTGCCATCTGTATAACAGGAGGAAAAAGGCAGATGAGATGGCCTAAGATAGCTCAGGGTTCACTCCCATAGCCAGCTGATCTATGCTTTTGTTAACAGCTATGGATACCATACTGACCCTCCATGGTCTCTGTGAGCCGGTCTGCCACTTTCTTCACAACAGCTGACATTGTCAGTTTGCCGTTCAACAGAAGCTCCTCAACAATCAGCTCTCCAGTGTCACTGTACAGAGTTTTGGTAGTATAGATGTACCGGGGATATCTAAGCATTCGCAATACCCGGCTGCACTGGGCTTCATACTCCACCACACCACGTTTGTGCACTTGATAACTCACCAGGTTATGTTGGACGAGGACACACAGGGCTTTCTTCACCTAAATGGAACATAAAGAGAAGAAAGAGAGGAAAGACCTGAAGATATAGCTCATTACTGCTGGCAATTTTTTGTCCAACAGCTTAGTAAGCATCAGAAAATGGCTAGATAATTTCTGCACTTATTTCCTCTCTCCACTGGAGGAGCTAATAAGAATCACACATCAATACAATAAATCAGGAAGATTCCTTGCTATATTTCCTCTGATCCTTATCTCTCAAAACACAATTTACTTTCATCATTCTCATTCCTTAAAGGCAGTACTGAGATTAATAGACTTATTGTGAATAAATGAGGTACGGCATGGGAAGAGCAAAGATTTGCCTAAAAGCTGTGATGAACTAGGAACACTTTGAGAAACAAAATGTTGATGTCTAAGTCTCATCCTTTTCTCCCCGAAATAACATTGTTCTGCTCCAAGGGCAGGCTTTCTTCATTTTTCCTTTTCTGGGGTGAGAAGAACAATATTCAAAGGTGGGTGAAATAAATTAGTGAAAGAAATGAGAGAAAATGAATGTCATTTAGACATACCTGATCCAGTGATGTTCCTGTGTCATGGGCAATTACTCTTAGTGGCTGGCTGCCGGTTCTTATCAGATGGACTCCAATTTTTTCTACAATCTCTCCAAAATGCTCTTGCAGCAACAAAGAACAGAGCTTAATTTCTGCTTGAGTCATTGTACTGGGGAGTCTGAGAGCTAGGGAAAAAACACCAAAATGGTACAATAGAAAGTCTTTCACGCTGGAAGCAGAGCTGCTGAGTGTAAATTCATGTATTCTTTCTGGAGGGCAATTTGACAATACATATCAAAAAGCCTTAAAAATCTTGCATATCTTTGAAACAACAATTTCTTTTTGGATATTGTGTCCAAAGAAAGAAAAAGCTAATAATAATGAAGTCATTAGTTCTCTTTATAATACCGACTTAGTGGAAACAATCTAACGTCTAACAATAAATGATGCCATACCCATACAATGGCATACTACACCAACATTTAAAGTTATTTAGTACGATGCGTATTCATGTAGAAAATTATTCATAATAGGCTGGCGCGGTGGCTCAGGCCTGTAATCCTAGCACTTTGGGAGACCGAGGTGGGCGTATCATGAGGTCAGGAGTTTGAGACCA
The DNA here is from genome assembly GCF_000001405.40 of Homo sapiens. Lineage (NCBI taxonomy): Eukaryota > Metazoa > Chordata > Mammalia > Primates > Hominidae > Homo > Homo sapiens. The sequence continues at coordinate 145,825,325 of NC_000001.11, read as the reverse complement.
GCCTGGCCAATATAGTGAAACCCCTTCTCTACTAAAAACACACAAAAAAATTAGCTGGGCGTGGTGGCGGGTGCCTGTAATCCCAGCTACTAGGGAGGCTGAGACAGGAGAATCGCTTGAAGCCGGGAGGCAGAGGTTGCAGTGAGCCGAGATCGCGCCACTGCACTCCAACCCGGGCGACAGTGCGAGATTCTGTCTCCAAAACAAAAAAAAACAAAAAAAATTACTCATAATATATTAAGTGACAGAAGCAAGCTGAAAAAATATAAAAATTCAATTATTGTAAAAAAAAAGGAAAAATGTATGCATAGGAAAAGACTATGCATCAAATTTATCTCTATGGGATTATGCGTGATTCTGATTTTCCTTAAAGATTGGGAGATGATTTTGCGGTCTGTCACAGACCTTAGTTTCTACACTTCACTGCTTGGAAGAATTAAGGTCACTGTTCACAGCTCGGTGGGAGTGAACAGGCAGTGTTATTCTCAGTCCATAAAGGAAATGATAATTTCGAAAAAGAAATTTAGGAGGTAAAGGACTGCTTCTCAACAGGGTGTGTCAAACAGGAGATGAGGTTACGTTGTTTGCAGGACAGTATTCAATTCTTAAACTTCTACTCCTTGACAAAGTTGACACAATCAGAAACGGACGTAGTTAATTTTATGATTACTTCCTTATTACAAATTGCTACCAAACATTGTTTACTTATTTCTTCCAATTCCTAAGAAGCCAAGTCTTTGCCTCCCCGTCCCCACCCCGCCTCAGTATCACCAGAGACCTATTTCGTCCATCCACATATCTTTGGAGAAGCATTCCCAGATCCTTTGCCATCCTCGGAAAGGGCTTCCAAGGCGCTTGGCTCCTAGCTCTACACTTCCTTTACACAGGTTCCCGTTTCGGACGTGGTCTCTTGGTCCAGTCAGTGCCGCCACGTTCAGACAGCATTTTCCACTAACCTCAGGGTCAGCGCAATCCGGGGGCTCCAACTCCAATTCGGCTGAGCTTCCCGCGACGGCTTCCTACGGCTCCCGCTGGCCTTCTAGGCCGAGGTGGAGCCCACCGCCCTTTCTAGGACGCGGATCGCCACCGAAGAAGACGCGGAAAAGCAAAAAGCGCGTGCCACTCTACCCCAGAGTTTCGGCGGCTTCCGGGGACGCTCTTTCTTTCTTCTCGCTGGAAGACTGGAGGACCAGCGAGGGGCTGTTTGTGGAGCCGGCGGGCGGGCCGTTTGTCTCTCCTTCCTGCGCCTCTTTGGTGCTGGGAGGCGGGCCGCAGGGTAGCTGTTGGCGCCGCCGCGTTTCTGGGCCTGGCCAACTCACGTGACCGACGCGGGCTCTGAAGCGGTGGGCCGCACCGAGGCGGCGGCGGCGGCGACGACTGCAGCTCGGGAGGTAGCGGCCTGGCGAGGGACGGGCCGGCTGCCCTCTCGGACGGCCGCGGCGGAGGGCAAAAATGGCGGAGGCTTCGGCGGCCGGGGCGGACTCGGGCGCCGCTGTAGCCGCCCACCGGTTTTTCTGCCACTTTTGCAAGGGCGAGGTCAGCCCCAAACTACCGGTAAGAGCGCTGTGTTCTCTATACTTGGGAACCTCATAGATTCCTGGCCCCGATTTCCCGGAACTGGGTCTGGAGCTTTCTGCACATCATTGACTCGCCCGACATCGGTCTGCCGAATACCTGCTGCCCACTTCTAAGCCGCCGGCCCTAAACCCTGGGCATCACGGCCTCGGCCCCGTACCTCCTGCCCACCTCTTAATTCATCCTGGGCTGCTCCACCTGACCTCACCTCTTTACCTCCCGTGTCCTTAATTTTTTTTTTTCTTAGCAAGTTTCCCTCTGATAACTCTCCCCTCAATTTTCTTGCATTCTTTTATACCTGGTCTTTTTCCTACGATGACCTCCCCCCACACTTCTTCCACTGTGTCTTCTCACCTTCCTCTGTGTTCTTTTCCACTTTTCACCCCCCACCGCCCCCGCCACCTCCCTTGTCAGTGAAGCGAAATAGCGGATTGCTGAGGATTGTCACTCTTCGGTTTTTTCTAGGGAAGGAAGCACAGAAAGGGGGTTGGAAGGTATCTGTGGGGCGAAAAGGGGGATTTTGCTCTTCAGTGGTTTCCAGGGTCCTTGTGACAGTGAAGACAGCAGCGTACTAATGACTTGCAGACGGTCTGCACTCCTATCACTGTTGAAGGAAATGGCTTTAGGAAGAAGGCAGGACGTACTGTTTCAACTTCGTTTATTTTGGTTGTCATGCTGCCAGTGTCTTTAATATCATTGTTCCGCCCCCCGCCCTGTCCCTTTCTTCACCTAAGAAAAAGAGCCGGGACAGAATGTTGGGGATGCTTCCTCTGACGTGAAATTGGTTTTCACGAGTTTCTGCCAGAGTGTTAGCCCCTTGAGAGGCAGTGCTGTGGTTGGGAAGAAAACACTTTTGTAGGTCAGGCGCGGTGGCTTAGGTCTGTAATCCCAGTGCTTTGGGAGGACGAGGCAGGAGGATTGCTTGAGGCCAGGAGTTTGAGACCAGCCTGGGCAACAGAGTGAGACCCCTCTCTACAAAAACAAACAACATTTATGCAGCATACTAGCCAGCACCAGCATCACAAACCCAGAAACTGTTTTGGGTTGGGTTGTAGCTACTACGAGGAGCTCCCCCAGAGTGAATGTCAATCCTGTCCTTGGCCAACTGTCTTTATGGTTGTTCCTTTCCTTACAAGTGTCCAGGTTCAGTCTTGTGATAGAGTGGCAACATAATGTATGTTTCTATTTATGGTGTCTCAGATACAGTGTAGGAGAAAACCTTCTGAAGTGAGTCTGTATATCTTATTTCTTAGAAACACAAATGGAGTCCAGTGAATAAGTGCTTAAAGGGTGTTTTATAGTCTTCTCTCACTCAAAAGTTTTGTTTAAGGCATTATGATACATTCTTTCCTCTCTACTTGCCGCACCCCCTACTTCAGAGTCATAGTTTCATCTAAATGCTACTTAGCTGTTTTTCTTTTTTCTTTTTTTTTTTTTGAGACAGCCTCTGTCTATCACCCAGGAGCATGATTTCGGCTGACTGCAACCTCCACCTGCCGGGTTCAAGAGAGTCTCCTGCCTCGGCCTCCGGGTAGCTGGGACTATAGGTGCACGACCACCGCACCCTGGCTAATTTTTGTGTTTTTAGTAGAGATGCAGTTTCACCATGTTGGCCAGGCTGGTCTCGAACTCTTGACCTCAAGTGATCCACCCGACTCGGGCTCCCAGAGTGCTGGGATTACAGGCGTGAGCCACTGCTCCCCGCCTAAATGCTACTTAGCTTTGTTTGCTGATTTTGCTGTGTGTTTATGTTTTTTTTTTTGGCCATATTTCAGTGCTGGGAAGAGCAGGTGTCTAGTTTTTTTCCAGCCAACATCAGAGCCTGCAGAACTCTTCTACCATAGAGAGGGAGTCTGGAATTCAGCCAGTATGTGTGTGACCAGTGGTGTGTTGTTGAATGTGATGCCTTGTTGAATATTCCATCCTTAGCTTTTTTGATCTTTAAGTTGCTGTTCACTATTTTGCCTTTAAGAGTGAGAAGTTGGCCAGGCGTGGTGGCTCAGGCCTGTAATCCCAATACTTTGGGAGTCCAAGGCAGGCAGATCGCTTGAGCTCAGGAGTTCGAGACTAGCCTGGGCAACATGGAGAAACCCCGTCTCTACCAAAAAATAAAAAAATTTGCCGTGTGTGTGGTGGCATGCACCTGTAGTCCCAGCTATTCAGGAGGCTGAGGTAGGAGGATTGCCTGACCCCAGGAAGCAGAGGTTGCAGTGAGCTGAGATCGCACCATTGCACTCCAGCCTGGGCAATAGAGCCAGACCCTGTCTCAAAAAAAAAAAAAAAAAAAAAAAAAGAGTGAGAAGACAGTCTAAACTTCCCCAATTGATTATATCTTTTCTTCTCACCTTTAAGTCCTTACTTCAAAGGGATAATTTGAAAAGCTGAATAGGTGTTTTTCTAAGCCTTAGTTAATGCCTGGAGAAGTTTCTTGATCTTTTTGGTGTGATATATTATTTGTCATATCTGATTTGTAAATTGAGGCCTAACACAATTGAGTATAACCGGATTCTTCCTAAATATATCCAAGGTTCTCTGCTGAGTGTCCTGGAGGTGATAGGGAGTGATATGTGGCTCCTGCCCTTAAGGATCTTACAGCTTTTGGGGAAAGACAAGGCAAACATAGAAAAAGTAACAGCATAAAGGGAATGAGGATATGTGCTTTAGGATTCAGAGAGGGGAATTTCATAGCATTGGTGTGGCCAGTGGGATTTAAATTGAGTTTTGAGGGATGGGTACATTTCAGATTGAGAATTCCAAAGACTGTGAGGTAGCAAAAGGAAGAGGGAGTTGATGAAGAAGGGAGAAATATTTAATAAATCATGTTTTTTTCACAACTAAAAGTTGTATACTATATTTTTTATAGTGTTCAGCATGATTTGATATATGTATACACTGAATGGTTAAATCAAGCTATTTAACATGCATTACCTCACATACTTATTTTTGCGTGGTGAGAACACTTAAAATCTGTCTTAGCAATTTTCAAATATACAGTATATTCCCTTTTTCTTTTTTTGAGACTGAGTCTCGCTCTGTCACCAGGCTGGAGTGCAGTGGTGCGATCTCGGTTCACTACAACCTCCACCTCCTGGGTTCAAGCAGTTCTCCTGCCTCGGCCTCCCAAGTAGTGGGGACTACAGGCACGTGCCACCATGCCCAGCTAATTTTTGTATTTTTAGTAGAGACGGGGTTTCACCATGTTGGCCAGGATGGTCTCCATCTCGACCTTGTGATATGCCCACCTTGGCCTCCCAAAGTGGTGGGATTACAGGTGTGAGCCACTGCACCCGGCCTCTTTTTTTCTTTTTAAATAGAGACAGAATTTATTCTGTCTTGTTGCCCAGGCTGTTCTTGAATTTGTGGGCTCAATGTGTCCTCCCACTATATCCTCCTGAGTAGTAGTAGATAGGTGTGTTCCACCATGCCTGGCTAATTTTTTTTTCTTTTTTGTAGAGATGGGATTTTGCCATGTTGCCCCGGCTGGTCTCAAATTTCTGGGCTTAAGCAATCTGCCTGCCTCAGCCTCCCAAAGTGCTGGGGTTACAGGCATGAGCTATTGCGGCTGGCCTGATATGTGGTATTTGTTTTTAATTCTGTTTATGTGATGAATCACATTTATTGATTTGCCTATGTTGAACTAACCTTGCATCCCAGGAGTAAAGACTACTTGATTGTGGTAGATTAGCTTTTAATTTTTATTTATTTATTTTTTTGAGATGGAGTCTTGCTCTTTAGCCCAGGCTGGAGTGCAGTGGAACGAGCTCAGCTCACTGCAACCTCTGCCTCCTGGGTTCAAGCGATTCTCGTGCCTCAGCCTCCCAGATACCTGGGATTACAGGTTTGCACCACTAGACCTGGCTAATTTTTGTATTTTTGGTAGAGATGGGGTTTCCCCGTGTTGGCCGGGTTGGCTTTGAAATCCTGACCTCAAGTGATCTGCCTGCCTTGGCCCCCCAAAGTGCTGAGATTACAGGTGTGAGCCACCACACTGGCCTGCATTAGCTTTTTAATGTGCTGCTGGTTCAGTTTGTTAGTATTTTATTTAGAATTTTTGTGTCTGTGTTCATTAGGGATATTGGCCCGGAGTTTTCTTTTTTCATTGTGTCTTTGCCAGGTTTTGGTATCAGAATGCTGCTGGCCTCATGGAATGGGTTAGGGAAGAGTCCCTCCTCGATTTTTTGGAATAATTTCAGTAGGATTGGTACAAGCTCTTCTTCGTGTCTGGTGGGGTTTGGCTGTGAGTCCGTCTGGTCCAGGGCCTTTTCTGATTGGTAAGTTTTTTATTTTTCATTATTTTTTGAGACAGGGTCTCACTGTGTCGCCCATACTGGAGTTCAGTGGCATGATCACGGCTCACTGCTGCAGCCTCGACTTCCCAGACTCAGGTGATCCTCCCACCTTAGCCTCCTGAGTAGCTGGACCTACGGGTATGTGCTACCACACCTGGCTGTTTTTTTTTTTTTTTTTTTTTTTTTTTTTGAGAGATAAGGTTTCGTCATGTTGCCCAGCCTGGTCTTGAACTCCTAGGCTCAAGCGATCCGCCTGCCTTTGCCTCCCAAAGTGCTGGGATTGTAGGCATGAGCCATGGCCCTGGCCAGGTTTTTTATTACTGATTCAATTTTGGAACTCGTCATTGGTCTGTTCAGAATTTCAGTTTCTTCCTGGTTCAGTCTTGTGAGGTTGTATGTTTCCAGGAATTTATCTGGAATTTTAGGTTTTCTAGTTTGTGTGCATAAAGGTGTTTGTAATAGTCTCTGAGGGTTCTTTGTATTTCTGTGGGATTGGTGGTAATGTCAGTTTTGTCATTTCTGATGGTGTTTATTTAGATCGTCTCTCTTTTTTTCTTTATTAATCTAGCTAGTGGTCTATCAATTTTATTTTTTGAAAGAACCAACTTTTGGTTTCGTTTATCATTTATTTGTATGGATTTTCGCATCTCAATTTCATTCAGTTCAGCACTGATTTTGGTTATTTCTTCTGCTGGCTTTGGGGTTGGTTTGTTCTTGTTTTTCTAGTTTCTCTAGGTGTGATGTTAGGTTGTTAATTTGAGATCTTTCTAGCTTTTTGATGGAAGTGTTTAGTGCTATAAACTTTCCTCTTAATACTGCTTTAACTGTATCCTAGTGATTCTGGTATGCTGTATCTTTGTTTTCATTAGTTTCAAAGAACTTTCTGATTTCTCCCTTAATTTCATTTTTTACTGAAAAGTCATTCAGGAACAAGTTGTCTCATTTCCATGTAATTGTATAGTTTTGAGAGACCTTTTTAGTATTGATTTCTATTTTAATTGCACTATAATCCGAGAGTGTGGTTGGTATGATTTTGGTTTTTTTGCCTACGCACTTCTCAAAAGAAGACATATATGCAGCCCAATAAGCATATGAAAAAATGCTCAGGATTACTAATCGTCAGAGAAATGCAAACCAAAACCACAGCGAGATACCATCTCACACCAGTCAGAATAGCTATTATTAGAAAGTTAAAGAATAACAGTTGTTGGCAAGGTTGTGGAGAAAAGGGAATGCCTATACACTGCCGGTGAGAATGTAAATTAGTTCAGCCACTGTGGAAGGCAGTTTGATTTCCCAAAGAACTTAAAACGGAACTACCATTCTGCCCAGCAATCCATTACTGGGTATATACCCAGAGGAATATAAATCGTTTTACCAAAAAGACACATGCACTTGTATGTTTATTGTGGCACTGTTCACAAGAGCAAAGACATGGAATCAACCTAGATGCCCATCAGTGGTGGACTTAATAAAGAAAATATGGTACATATACATCATGGGATACTATACAGCTATTTAAAAAAAACAAAACCGAAATCATGTCCTTTGCAGCAACATGGATGCAGCTGGAGGTCATTATCCTAAGTGAATTAAAGCAGGAACAGAAAGCCAAGTACCACGTGTTCTCACTTAAAAGTGGGAGCTAAACATTGAGTACACATGGGCATAAACATGGACACGAGGGCTTACTTGAGGTGGTGAGGGTAAGAGGAGGATGAGGGTCAAAAAACTGCCTATCTTGTACTATGGTCAGTTGCTGGGTGACGAAATAATCAGTACACCAAATTCCAGTGACACAGTTTGTCCGTGTAACAAATGTACATATGTGCCCCCAAACCTAAAATCAAAAAAAATATGTGTAGAAAACAAAGAGCAAAATGAAGGACCTAAAACCTAAAAACCATTTATAGTCAATATATAAAAAGGCTTAATACCCCAGTTAAAATCAGATATGGATAAATTTTATAAAAACAAAGTAAACAAAGAGGGTACTGACTCTTGTGATAGTTGGATACCAAGAACCATCCCTCACTGGGGCATGCTGTGGCTCACACCTGTTATACCAACACTTTGGGAACCCAAGGCAGGAGAGGATTGCTTGAGCCCAGGAGTTTGGCACTAGCCTGGGCAACAAAGTGAGACCCTATCTCTACAAAAATTAAAAAAATTAGCCAGGGGTGGTGGTGTGTGTCTGTGGTCCTAGCTACTCAGGAGGCTGAGTCGGGGAAGATTGCTCAAGCCCGGGAGGTCGAGGCTGCAGTGAGCTGTGATTGTGCCATTACACTCCAGTCTGGGTGACAGAGCAAGAGCTTATCTCAAAAAAGAAAAAGACTCCATGATTTAATCTAATCAACTTCAAAAACCCAACTCATTCCTCCACACGCCCTGTGCCTTGGCCATAGCATTTACCTCACCATTCTCCTATGCATTATCTATTTTTAGACCTCTGTCTCCCTTTGTTTAAAATGTTCTCCCAGCCTGGATAACATAGCAAGACCCTGTCTCAACAAAAAAAATAAAAATTAGCTGGGTATGGTGGCATGTGCTTGTAGTCCTAGCTACTTGGGAGGCTGAGGTGGAAGAATTACTTGAGCCCAGGATATTTGAGGTTACAGTGAGCTATGGTTGTGCCACTGTACTCCAGCCTGGGCAACAGAGACCCAGTCTGGATGAGAGAGAAGAGAGAGGGGAGAGAGGAGAGAAAAAAGAAAAGAAAAGAAAAAGAAAAAGAAAGAAAGAACCCATCATCTATGAGTGCTGTCCTCACTGAACACCAGAGGCTGGGTATTGAGTTTACATCAGCTTTTAATGAGCTCTCACTAGGTTTCTTCACCCATTCAATGGGAAGGTCTGCTTCAGAGCCATAATTGTGTTCAACGGGACTAGGTTGCAAGGTTTAATAACTCTTCTCTTCTTTTTAAAATTTAATTACTTTATTATTTCACCTTTTTTTTTAAAGCCACATGTAGGCTGAATTCATTTAATTTGACAGAATAACACTCCTTACTGCTAATCCTGATCAATTTTAGCTTTGTGTGTCTTTGGGTTGGATCCACTCAGATAAGAGGACAAAAGAGGGCCGGGCATGGTGACTAGTGCCTGTAATCCTAGCACTTTGGGAGGCCAAGGTGGGCGGATCACCTGAGGTCAGGACTTCAAAACCAGCCTGGCCAACATGGTGAAACCCCTGTCTCTACTAAAAATACAAAAATTAGCCTGGCGTGGTGGTGGGCGCCTCTAATCTAAGCAATTTAGTGATTTGAGCTGGGCTCGGGAGGCTGAGGCAGGAGAATCGCTTGAAAACCCAGGAGGCGGAGCTTGCAGTGAGCTGAGATCGTGCCATTGCACTCGCAAAAAGAGCGAGACTCCATCTCAAAAAAAAAAAAAACCATTCAAAAAGAGGACAAAAGGTTCATTTGGAAAGAGGATATTAAGAAATAAGGAGAAATCATGAAGGGAATTTTAAAATGAAAACATATTTAGTGGCATTGTTTTCTGTTAGGTTTCAAAAAAGTCTCCATTCCAAGTGAGTATTGGTTTAGGAATTTCTTTCTCCTTATTAAAAGTGTTTTCCTATTTACAGTGAAAATAACTTTAGTAAAATTTTGTGAGTACTAAACTTGGATTTTAAAATCAGAGATTTCGATTATATAGTCTGGAGCCTCAGGATTTTAAGTTTCTGTAGGATTGGGTAAAATGCCATTGTAGATTTTTTGGTCATCAGATTATAGAATAAATACTTAAAGTAACTTCAGATTATTATTTTCAAAACCATAGCAGAAACTCTTACCTTACCTATCTTATTGAGAGACAATGTGAAGCCAAGACTAATGGAGTTAGTGTGCTACATTGATGATGAATGACTGGGTAGTACACCACAGAGGGCTGTGTCATGGAGTGTAAAGGTGTTATTCCATTCCTACACCCTACCATCCGTCTTTCCCCATTAAATCAAGGTCAGGGAATGTTACCTTATGTGATTAAATCTGGTAGAGTCATCATTAAACAGGTGAGATAAATCATATGCAGAGTAACCTACTTTTGGTATTGATGAGACTAGGGTGGTTCTTAAGTATTTTATGGAGATCAGGGTATCTTCCTAAATCCAGATGAAGAGATCAGGTTAAGAACTGCTCGCTTTCAGGCTCCACCTGAAGAAACTATGTAGTAGGCTTCTCTCCCTCTACTTATTTTATCATCTTCTTTGATCTAATAAAATGTTTTCCTTATCAATAAGTAATGTTATCTAGTTTGGCTCTACCAGGTGCTAGAGAAGGCATTCATCATTGTATTGTACTTGCAATAACTCTAATACAGGAAAATGTTCAAACCACCCATAATAAAAGTAGCTAAAAAGCAGATTTCTTAAAGACTTTGTGACCGTTTAAGCTCAGCTGACCTTTCTAAGTTGCATGATTCTTAGAAAGGTCCCAGAGAGATGTCTATCTGGTGCTATATAGCAGTTGCTAATTAAATATTTTTTAATTGAATGATTGATATGAGTTGAACACCCAGTAATTATATTTAAAAAGTGATGACTTCAGTGTTTTGACGCCTTTAAAAGGCTACAGTGGTACAAAATGTAGGTGCTACCATGTGAAATTTGAATGTACAGTGAAGTACATATATTCACTGCAATATCTAGAAATAAATATGTATTCTTATAGGTAGAGGCTAGTTTATCCTTGTAATTCTACTGATAAATATAAATGTATATATTGGGGAAATTTGTGGGACTTTTTCAGTATAAGGAAGAAAAAAATCTGAAAATTGAACTCACTGCAGAAGAAATTTTTTGTATTTTCGGGGGAAGTACCAACTAGATGTGCTAACACTTTGTATTTCTTTATGTTTAGTTGCCTCTTTTTTTTTTTTTTAAACGGAGTTTCCCTCTTTCACCCAGGCTGGAGTGCAGTGGCACGATCTCGGCTCACTGCATCCTCTGCCTTACAGTTTCAAGTGATTCTCCTGCCTCAGCCTCCCAAGTAGCTGGGATTACAGGTGCCTGCCACCACGCCTGGCTAATTTTTGTATTTTTAGTAGAGACGAGGGTTTCACCATGTTGGCCAGGTTGGATCTCTTCACATCCTACTGAGCAATAAATGAGATAGCCTAGAGCAGTGGTTTTCAATTTCAGGTAGTTTTGTTTCCCAGGGAACATTTGGCAAAGTCTGTAGACAATTTTTTATCTTTTTTTTGGAGACAGAGTCTGACTTTGTTGCCCAGGTTGGAGTGCAGTGGCATGATCACGGCTCACTGCGGCTTCCACCTCCTGGGCTCAAGCAATCCTCCCACCTCAGCCTCCCAACTAGCTGTACCACCACACCCGGCTAATTTTTTAATTTTTTGTAGAGACAGAGTCTCACTGTGTTGCCTAGGCTGGTGTCAAACTCCTGGCCTCAAGCAGTCCTGCTTCGGCCTCCCAAAGTATTGGGATGGTAGGTGTGAGCCACCACACCCAGCCTGTAGACATTTTTGATTTTTGGAACTAGGGGCTGGAGGAGGGTTGCTACTGTCATGCAGTGGGTGGAGGCCAGAGATGCTGCTGAACATGCTGCAGTGCACAGGATAGACCCCTCAAAACAAAGAATTATATTGGGCCCAAAAAGGTAAGAGGGCTGAGGTTGAGAAACCCTGGGATAGATAGAGGGATAGTCAGTGTCATCTTGTGCTAATTGTGTTTAAGGTTTTGTTTTGGTGTAGGTTTGATTTTTAATTTTGGGATCCCAGTGAATTTTCAGTAAGAAAATTGAGACCGTATAATTTTAGGCAAACCTCTGATGGGAGAGAGTGTTTAGAACAGGAACTAGGGCTCAGTTAGTGGCTGCAATTCCATTATAGCAGTATCTATTGGAGTTACTTTCTGTCTTTGGAGTTACTGAGACCAGAGGAATTGGATTACCCCTCTCAAGTTACATACTGTAAGGGCAACTTATAAAAGAAAACTATCCACATTTTTTTGTCAGTTGGGAATTAATTGAGATAGAAACACTGCATGTAATTTAGTAAGACAGCTGGAAATCCCAGTTTGAAAACAAAATGAAAAGCAGACAACAAGCCTAACTTTTAGTTTTGCTTTCTGTGTTTCTCTTATACCTCTCAGAAGTTTCATAAGCTCCAGAAATTTTGTGTTTAACCTTTTAGTTTCTTCAAATTCTTGGTTGAGAGGGTATATTGGAGTTATTAATCTTTGTTCTAAAATTCTTCGGGTGACTTCTCGCTGAGTCATCTGACCGTCTCAGTTTACCTAAGTATATCCCATTGTAAAATGATACTTAGGTGCACGTATGGGAAGCTTGAATGAGGAATGGAGCTGTATAATCCTAATTGAAAGGCAGTGTAAGAATCATGAGCAATCCTTATTTGCAGAGAAATAGGGCCATTACCGTATTAGAAGCATTTTAGGTTGTTGTTATAGTTTCACATACAGAAGTTTAGGTGCTGAAAAATTATTCTTTTTTAGAAATTTCTTTTTTCAATTGTTTGCTGTTCAGAGTTTCTCAGAGGTCCCCAGATGCATGTATATCAGTTAGAAGTAGGACAGGTATGGTGGCTAACACCTGTAATCCCAGCACTTTGGGAGGCAGAGGTGGGTGGATAACTTGAGCTCAGGAGTTTGAGACCAGCCTGGGTGATATGGCGAAACCCCATCTCTTAAAAAAAAATTAAAAAAAGATAGAAGTGAGTTGGCGCCAGTGATTTTTAAACCAGGCATACTTTTCTTGTATGATAAGTAGACTGTTGGTGACTCTTTTCCCAAAACAGACCAGTTAGATTTTGTTTTTTGGTTTTTTTTTGAGACCTGAAGCCTCACTCTGTCACCCAGGCTGGAGTGCAGTGGTGCGATCTTGGCTCACTGCAACCTCCGCCTCCCACGTTCAAGCAATTCTTGTGCCTCAGCCTCCCGAGTAACTGAGATTATGGGTGTGCGCCACCACACCTGGCTAATTTTTGTATTTTTAGTAGAGGCGGGGTTTCACCATGTTGGCCAGGCTGGTCTCAAACTCCTGACCTTGCAAGTGATGCGCCTGCCTCGGCCTTCCAAAGTGCTGGGATTACAGGTGTTAGCCACCACGCCTGGCCAGACCAGTTAGTTTTGTCTTCCTTGAAAATCTGTTAAGACAGATTAATCTCTCTCCTTGATAATTTGAACAAGTGTCACAGGAAACTTCTTAGTAGACAAGGTAATGTTTACCTCCTTGCCACTCACTTTGATGTTGTACAGATTTGAATAGACTTTTAACCCATAGTACCATCTTCCAGAAGTTTCATTTTGCTTACCTTTCACCATGCTTAGAATTTACATTCTCAAAAGAAAAAACAATTATAGTTACATGCTCTTTCTTACCTTTTGCTGGATTAACTGAGACCTGCAGGTATCCTACAGTGATGCTGATCTTCTAGCCCGTTAATTCTCAGACCTCTCAGATTCAGTGCCCTCTTCTTATAAGTATTTTGAAATACTCTCTTTAGTGAAATGAAATCCACAGGTAATACAGCTTTTCTACATATATGTGTGTGTGTGTATATATATATATATATATATATATTTTTTTTTTTTTTTTTTTTTTTTTTGTGAGACAGAATCTCTGTCAACCAGGCTGCAGTGCAGTGGCGTGATCTTGGCTCACTGTATCCTCTGCCTCCTGGGTGCTTCAAGCGATGCTCGTGCCTCAGCCTTCCAAGTAGCTGAGATTACAAGCGTGCATCACCACACCTGGCTAATTTTTTTGTATTATTATTTATTCTTTGTAGAGACAGGGTTTCACCATGTTGGCCAGGCTGGTCTCGAACTCCTGGCCTCAAGTGCGCCCACCTCGGCCTCCCAAAGTGCTGGGGTTATAGGCGTGAGCCACCACACCCGGCCCTACATATATAATTAAAAAAATTATCTTGCAGTAAGATAAAGGATAAATAGAAAATATTTCTGACAGATTAGCTTGACATGACAGCTACCTGAGTAGACTGCTATAAGGGTATTTGCAACTTAAATACCAGGAGAAGCAAACCAGTACAGTGAACAATTCTTTGCAAATGTACAAATAAAACTCAAGTACAACTTCTTTCTTCTTCTTCTTTTTTCTTTTTTTTTTTTTTTTTTTTGGTAGTGATGGGGTCTCACTTAGTTGCCCAGGCTGGTTTTGAGTTAGGCTCAAGCTGTCCTCCTCCTTGGCCTCCCAAAGTGCTGAGATTACAAACGTGAGCCACTGCATCTGCCCCAAAGTACAGTTTTCTCTTACTTTATTCAGCAGTTGCTTTTCTGGACATTTAGTGCATATTAAAATTATGGACTGGGCACGGTGGCTTACGCCTGTAATCCCAGCACTTTGGGATACCAAGGCGGTTGGATCACTTGAGCCCAGGAGTTGGAGACCAGCCTGGGCAACATGGTAAAACCCTGTCTCTACAAAAAATTTTTTTAAAAATTAGCCGGGCTTGGTGGCACGTGCCTGAAGTCCCAGCTACCTGGGAGGCTGAGGTGGGAGGATTACCTGAGCCCAAGAGGTCAAGGCTGTAGTGAACCGTGATCACACCGCTGCACTCCAGCCTGGGTGACAGAGTGAGACCCTGTCTCAAAAAAAAAATAAATAAATAAATAAAATTATGCAGAAGGACTTGGTGCTTATACGTAGAATGTAATTAGGTTCTAGGCTTTGGTAATTATACAGATTTTAAAAATCCAGTTAACTATTCATAAGGAAGTTTGAGAATAAAGACATTTTTTCTTTGTGCTGGACTTGCCTATGCTTTCCTGGCCTCTGCCAATTGAATGTCAGTAACACTTTTTTTTTTTTCTGCAACTTTTATTTTAAGTCCCGGGGCACATGTGCAGGATGTGCAGGTTTTGTTATGTAGGCAAACCTGTGCCATGGTGGTTGGCTGCACAGATCAACTCATCACGTAGCTATTAAGCCCAGCATCCATTAGATATTCTTCCTGAGGCTCCCTCAACAGGCCCCAGTGTGTGTTGTTCCCCACCATGTGTCCTCCTCATTTAGCCCCTACTTACAAATGAGAACGTGTGATGTGTGGTTTTCTGTTCCTATGTTAGTTTGCTGAGGATAACGGCTTCCAGCTCCATCCACATCCCTGCAAAGTAATCACTCGTCCTTTTTATGGCTGAATGGTATTCCATGGTGTATATGTACCACATTTTCTTTATCTAGTCTCTCACTGATGGGCATTTGGGTTTATTCCATGTCTTTGCTATTGTGAATAGTGAGAAGCACTTCTTAACTGCTGTGACAACCAAAGCACTTCCATAGATGTCCCAACTATCCCCTAGATGATTGTGTTGTCCTCATTAAGAATGACCTCTAGTCATACAGGAAAACATTTTTCTGTTTTATCATTCACTCTTCTTTTTTTTTTCTTGCTTATTATTCACTACTTTAGCACAGCCTTTTAGTCTAAAAGACAAAGATTTACTTGGCCTTTAGACAATTCCTATATGTCTTTAAATTTCTTATTTCCTCACCACTCTTATTATTGATGTTTTCTTTTCCATAAGTGTTAGGACAGTGCCTTGGTACATAGTAGATACTCAATTAGTATTTGTTGAATGAAGGAAACTTAACTGTAGGCTTTTTCTTCTTGCCACTTTCTGCTTTTTGTACCTGTTGAAAATGATGGAGGTACCAGTGTTCATAAAAACCTTGAAAACAGGCTGGGTGCAGTGGCTCATGCCTGTAATCCCAGCACTTTGGGAGGCCGAGGCAGGCAGATCACTCGAGGTCAGGAGTTCAAGACCAACCTGATCAACATGGTGAAACCCCGTCTGTACTAAAAATACAAAATTAGCCAGGTATGGTGGCGCATGCCTGTAATCCCAGCTACTCGGGAGGCTGATGCAGAAGAATTGCTTGAACCTGGAAGGTGGAGATTGCAGTGAGCCAAGATCGCACTACTGCACTCCAGCCTGGGCAACAAGAGTGAAAGTCTTGTCTCCAAAAAAAAAAAAAAAAAAAAATTAGCTGGGTCTGGGTGCAGTGGCGCACACCTATAATCTCAGCACTTTGGGAGGCTGAAGCGGGCAGATCACCTGAGGTCGGGAGTTTGAGACCAGCCAGCATAGTGAAATCTGCATCTACTAAAAGTACAAAAATTAGCTGGGTGTGGTGGCACATGCCTGTAATCCCAGCTACTTGGGAGGCTGAGGGAGGATAACCACTTGAACCCAGGAGGTGGAGGTTGCAGTGAGCTGAAATTGCACCACTGCACTCCAGCCTGGGCAACAGAGTGAGACTCTGTCTCAAAAAAAAAAAAAAAAAAAAATCCTTGAAAACAAAGCACAGACCTGTAGACTAATGACTAAAGGGTTGGCTCAAAGCAGCAGTTTGATGGACCACTTGCCATTAGTTAGTGGCCAGTAGAGTGGAGCCTCTTGTGGAATACGGCTTTATTTCTGCATATGAGAGCTTATAAGAAGAGGAGTCATCCCATAATTACATGCCTTTCAGATAAACAGCTGATGGGCTTTGTAGGCAGAGTTACTTTAATGAAGTCATTAATAGCTGAATTTGTTGAATGAAAGCTTCTTCTAGAGAATCTTTTCTAATTTAGGTACTACTGTGAGGTATTTTTGCTCTCAAACTTATTAAACTGTTGGTTCCCTGATTTTGAATTTATGGTGCCAGTTATTAGATCCTGATCTCTTAATATGGTCACTGCTAAATGTTTACAGGTATTAGCATACCTAGTTAAGACAAGTTAGGTTGGGGAACAGAAATTTTTATATCTTAGCCTCGTTGGTTTGAAAAAAAATTAGTTATTTGGATTGCTGATATAGTGCAAAAACTATTTATAATGGTACATTTACTTTCTGTTTAATAACATGTAAAAGGCAAACAGCAAATTAATTTTCACTGCTAGTCTTGATTTGTATGTTTTAGATTAAAGGGTTGTTGAAACTATAATAAAAAACCAAATAATGGTTGGGCAAAGGAGGACATGATTAGACATTTCTCAAAAGAAGGCATATAAATGGCCAACAGGTATATGAAACAGTGCTTAACATCACTAATCATCAGAGAAATGCAAACCAAAACCAGAATGAGATACCATTATACCCCAGTTAGAATGGCCATTATTAAAAAGACAAAAATAACAGATGCTGACCAGAATGTGGAAGAAAGGGAACTCTTAAACACTGTTGATGAGAATGTAAATTAGTATGGTCACTATGGAAAACAGAATGGATATATTTCAAAAAAAACTGAAAACTACCATACAATCCAGCAATCCCGCTACTGGGTAGTTATCCAGAGGAAAAGAAATCAGTATATCAAAGGGATACTTGCACTTCCATGTTCATTGTAGTACTATTCACAGCAGCAAAGACGGAATCAGAGTATCCATCAGTGGATGAATGGATAAAGAAAATGTGGTATATATATATATATGCAAGAGAATAGTGTTTGGCCATAAGAAAGAATCAAGTCGTGCCATTTGTAGCAACATGGATGGAACTGGAGGTTATTATGTTAAGTGAGATAAGCCAGGCACAGAAAGACAAATATTGCATATTCCCACTCATATGTGGGAGCTAAAAAAGTTGATTTCATGCAGGTAGAGAATGGAATGATATCTGAGGCTGGGAAGGGTGTGTGAAGGCAGAGGGGGTGAGGTATGTGGATAAAGAGAGGTTGATTAATGGGTATAAACATAAAATTAGATAGAAGGAATAAGTTCTGATGTTTGATAGCAGAGTAGAGTGACTAAAGTTAACAACAATGTATATTTCAAAATAGCTAGATGAGAGGATTTCAGATATTCCCAGCACATAGAAATGATAAATATTTAAGGTGATAGATGCCCTAAATGCCCTGACTTGATATGCATGTACCAAAATATCACATGTACCCCATGAATATTTACAGATATCTGTAGCAATAAAAAAGTGGTTGAAAGTAATATTAATAAGTGAGAATCATAAAAATGTTTAATTTGCTGAATTTTTCAACCTTAGTTTACTAATCTTTAAAATTGTTGGTTTATTATTCTCTATCAAGTGCAGGTGCTGATTGAATGGATAGGGAGAAGTTGTTTTAATATTATATTAGCATCCTATTTTAATATGCAATCAGTATTAGATGGACAGATTCAGAGTTCCTAAGGTTTTTAATAAGATTAGCAGTATAATATAGGTCTATCTCGTCCTGTAACACTAGTACTGTAAAAGGTTTCCAGAAGTATATCTATTTCTATTCCTGAGTGTGATTGATTCTGGATATTTTCTTTGAGGACACACACATATACTCTATTTGTGAAGTACAGCACTTCGAATTTAGTTTGTATTTGATAATAACATTAAAATAACAGGCACTAGATTATGCAACAGTAACAGCAGTCCATTTTTATTTATTCAGTAACTGTATTGGTACCTTCTATATTCCAGGAGCTGTTCTAGGTACTTGGGCTGTTGTCTTAGTCCATTTTGTGTTGCTTATAAAGGAATAACTGAAGCTGGGTAACTTAAAAGAGGTTTACGGCTGGGCGCAGTGGCGCGTACCTGTAATCCCAGCTGCTCAGGAGGCTGAGGCAGGAGAATTCTTGAACCCAGGAGGTGGAGGTTGCAGTGAGCCGAGATCCTGCCACTGCACTCCAGCCTGGGCGACAGAAAAAGACTCTGTCTCAACAAAAAATAAACAAAAGAAGTTTACTTAGCTCATTACTCTGCAGACAGTACAAGAAGCTTCGCACCAGCATCTGCTTCTGGTGGGACCTCAGGAAGCTTCCAGTCATAGTGGAAGGCCAAGGGGAAGCAGGTGTTCCGCAAGGCAAGAGAGAAAGGGGAGGGGTACCACACTCTTTTAAACAACCACATCACTCATTCCTGTAAGGACTGCACCAAGACATTCATGAGGGATCTGCGTCCATGACCTAAATACCTCCCACTAGGCCCTACCTCCAACATTGGGGATCAAATTTCAACATGAGATTTAGAGGGGACACATATCCAAACTATATCAGCTATATTCAGGAAGAAGTACGGAGATTAATAAAATGTTGAGAAAAATGGGTAGTAAAATCAGGATTTAAATATTTTCTTCTCCTTTTGGCTTTCTTTAAATTTAATATTTATTTATTTATTTATCTATTTTATTTTTTTGAGATGGAGTCTTCCTCTGTTGCCCAGGCTGGAGTGCAGTGGCACGATCTCAGCTCACTGAAACCTCTGCCTCCCGGGTTCAAGCGATTCTCCTGCTTCAGCTTCCTGAGCAGCTGGGATTACAGGTGTGGGCCACAATGCCCAGCTAATTTTTGTATTTTTAGTAGAGACGGGGTTTCACCCTGTTGGCCAGGCTGGTCTTGAACACCTGACCTCAAGTGATCCACCCGCCTCAGCTTCCCAAAGTGCTGGGATTATAGTCGTGAGCCACTGTGCCTGGACTTAAATTTAATATCTCATTTAAACATTAAATTAATGTAGCTATCTCTGGATTAGAGCAAATGCCTTTTTGCCCATTTCAGGTCTGAGATATTGTTGTTGTAAGAACTAACAACTAGCCCTCATTTTGCAACTGTTGTCAGCCCTTTTTATAGCTGATTTTATTTATTTTAATTAATTATATATAAATTGTATTCTAGTACTGTGGGAAAAAATGTTTTATTTTAGCTGTTAAATTATTGAACCTTTCAGGGTCTTCATTTTCCTTGTCTGTAAAATGAGATAGTTGTGTTTATTCCTGCTAGCTACGGTTTAGTGATTTGAGCTCTGGGGTATTTTTGGATTTTGTGTAAGGGAATTTTCTTCTGTAGTTTTTCCACATAGATCATGTGGTAGCCACTGACATACTAGGATTTAAATTTTACCCCTGAAATAATCTCCTTTATGAGTTACAAACTATTAGTGCATATTTTATCTTATAATGATGAACAGTCTTGAAAATGTTAGGATGGAGGACATAATGCAAAGCAATGTCAAAATTTTCCTTTTATAAATCAAACAAAGCAATAATGCTGGTAATGTTGACTGAATAAATTAAAACTTCATTTTTTTTTTTTTTGAAGACTTGGGATTCAGTAACAGGTAAACTTGGCCTGGATAATTTTTTTTTTAGAACTATTTTATAAATATTCTTTGTTTGCTTTGAGGTTGCATTTACATTGCTTTTGTTTTTAAAGTTGTATTCAGTTAATTAATTGTTTTCTTAATCCAATGGTCAGTGGCTACTGTTAACAACCAGTTTGTATGTGATCTTTCCTGACTTGAATGTTCCTGCTGTGAGTTGAATTAGATCATACTTGTGAAATTCTCCTATGTCATTGATGGCAAGTCAATGCTAGAATTCCAAGTATTACTTTTATTTCGATGAAGAGTTCTCAGTCAGAAGCTCTGATTGCTCTGTGGGTACATGGTAAAATAGTACTTTTTAAAATGAAATGGTGATGGTAGATGGTTTTTTTTTTAATATTTATACTTGGCAAAATAAAAAAGCTGGCAATCCTTGCAGGTTTCCAATTTTTTAATTTGAAAATTGAACTGCTTTATGGGAACCAAAAGTATGGAAATCAGTAGTCTAGATCAGTGTTTCTCAAACTGTGTGCCAGGAGATTTAATAGGAGTTCAGAATTATGGTAAAATATTGCATACCAAATTGTTGCCCTATCTCCATCCCTCCACTTCCCCTTTTATGACATGGAATGGCATATTAATGGTTCTGAAAAATCATTCATTAAAGCAGCATGTTTGATATTTAGTTCAGGCTTTTCTAAATCTAGTTTTTCTCCCCACCTTAACCACTGGTTAATATCCTGTGAAACGTGGTTTGAGAAATATTCCATATCCAAATCACTCAGAATAATTTATTAGAACCTACAGTTTGTTGAGAATTTAGTATATTCCCGGTACTATCTCATTTAGATGAAGTGAGCTACCCAGTGTCACACAACTGGTTGGTTATTCTGTGTTTCCAGTCTGATTGTGTGTGTGTGTGTGTGTGTGTGTGTGTGTGTGCATGCATGCATGCATTTAAGGTGGACAACATGATGTTTTGAAGTGCACATACATAGTTGAAATGATTACCAGTCCAGCTTTGTTTTGCTTCACATTCATTACTCTAACCACTTAGGCTGTTCTGAAGCATTGCTTAGTTCTCATTTCGAGGCTAAGTACCTAAGACTAGGATATTCAGAAGTTCATTTTATATGCCTTTTGACTTCCCTAACTACTAGAATATGGTTAAGGGAAGTATGATTTTATCAGAGCATATACTTTGTAGGTGATTTTAGTGACTTTTAATCCCAGGTTATTTTTCTTTCTACACAATGCTTGGAATGTAGAGCTTAGAATTTTTGCTGAGTGAATGAATGTTGTCACTTTGTCAAAGAAGATTCTGTCAGCCTAAGCTAAAAGCAAGAAAGTACATTTTACTTCTAAACTATTGTGGTACACATCAGAGCTAAACATCTATACTTTTTGGCTCATTTATCATTTTATATTTATGCCACTGGGTTGTTCCCTTTCTTGCTGCCTTTAGTGTGAGCAAGCCAAAAACACTATAAATCTTTTCTGCTATATTATGTTGTCTGAGGTTAATTAACATTTTCTCTGGTAATTCTTGTAGTCCTGTGTGTTTCTTCCTTAGAAAATTTGGCTTCTTGACCATCTGATCAAGCTTGTATCAAGTAACACTTTGTCTTGTGACCTGATTTTCTGCCTTGGTACACAATGAGCTAAAGAAGCTTGGTTGATTATGCACTCCTGTTTGGAATCTGTAATGTCAGTGTTCAATCATGGCCTGAATTAAGGAACAAAATGATAAAGGTGGCTGGGTGCGGTGGCTCACGCCTCTAATCCCAGCACTTTGGGAGGCTGAGGCAGGTGGATCACTTGAGGTCAGGAGTTCAACACCAGCCTGGCCAATGTGGTGAAACCCATCTCTACTAAAAATACAAAAATTAGCTGGGCATAATGGCGGGCACCTGTATTCCCACCTACTGGGAAGCTGAGGTGGGAGAATTGCTTCAGCCTGGGAGGCAGAGTTTGCAGTGAGCCAAGATCACGCCACTGCATTCCAGCCTGGGCAACAGAGTGAGACTCAGTCTCAAAATAAATAAATAAATAAAGGTTGTGAATGTGAATGTTACTATTCTTAGGGGGATGAAACCATAAATCAAGGTAGTTTTATTGGCCTGGAACTGAATCACAGCCCTTCAAACAGTATTTAAATTGTATAGGTATCCTTGTGTAACACTGAAACTGTGGCCTATTGTTTTCCTTTTTAGTAAACTGATTTTCTTTATTAATAGCCAAGTGAACAATTGCTTACAACTCCTTGAGCTCAGAGAACTAATTTCAAAATGTTTAGACTGGAAACTTTCTCTTTCTTGTAATGAATGAGAGGTATGTCTTCCTTAATTTCTTGAAGGAGAGTTGAGAGAAAGAAGTCAGTGAGGACAGTATTTGTACTCTAGAAAGAGATTTTCACAGAGACCTTGAGGATAATGGTGGAACTGGGAACAGAACTCAGAAGTTCTGTTGTCTTTGTTTTGGGGTTCACTTGATGCTTTTGAAAAGGGAGGAGGATGTATAACCTGGCTTGAAAAGGGAACCAGTCTCTTTGACCTAGTGACGAGACTTAGCATCAGAGTAAAAGTATAGTGGGTACTGGCCTAGGAGCTGTGATGTGTGGCAAACATTTTGTGTTCTTAATCCTTCTAATTAGAAATTTCTGACTGTCTTGCCATGTGATACTCAAAGAGAGTATAAACAATAGAATGTGACTAACTTAAAATTGTGGCTGTCAGACTAGACAGAAAATGGGCTTCTTTTTTTTGACACTTTAATCACCATTGGAACTTCTGTTTTAGATAAAATAAACACTTTAAGTTGATAACGAAGAGGTAGAAAAACATAGCTGTGAAATTAGGAAAAAAGTAGTAAGTCTTTATATTACATTTGATGTACTGAATAAGTATTGGATACAAACTTGTATAGGTTTCAAGAGTATTTAAATTTCACATTATGTGACCTGATATAAATAGGTCTGAATTTGTAGCTCCTTGTCCTCTAAGGTGTCACGTATTGTGATAACTAATCCTTTGAAATACGGGAGGCAAAAGAAATAATGCATTAAAACCACCCTTTTCCTTTCCTTCCTATATTTCTAGTGCTTTGTGTCCTCTTGGGCTGTTCTTTTAAGTGGGTAAGCATCAGGGCTAAGCTATGCTTAGGGAGTTGTTCTCGATTCAGAACCTGCCACTGAGTATCTTCACTAGAGTTGTTTACAGTAATCTTTTAGAGCCTAGGGGGAAAGCAGCTTAGTTTGGTGGAAACAGTTGGGTTCCTGTTTCCAGTGATTCTAGGTAAGTAACTTAGGTTTTTTGTTATGCTTTTCTTTTACAGATGGGATGATAGAAATGACTCGGCTGGGCGTGGTGGCTCACGCCTGTAATCCCAGCACTTTGGGAGGCTAACATGAGAGGATTGCTTGAGCTCAGGAGTTCGAGACTAGCTTGGGCAACATGGCAAAACTCCGTCTCTACAAAAAATATAAAAATTAGCTGGGCGTAATGGTATACACCTGTAGTCCCAGCTACTCGGGAGGCTGAGGTGGGAGAATCTCTGGAGCCTGGGAGGCAGAGGTTGCAGTGAGCCGAGATGGTGCCACTGCACTCCAGCCTGGGCAACAGAGCGAGACCCTGTCTCAGTTTAAAAAAAAAGAGAGAAATGAGTTACTGAATTAGAAATGAGTTACTGAAAAAGAGAGAAATGAGTTACTGAGGGGTAAGATTTTGTGACTGCATACATTGGAAATATTTTGGGGAGAGGTTTGTTGTGAAGACTTGACGTATTAATAGGTAAGCGTAGGATAGATTTCCATAGTGCCTGACATATAATTGGCATTTGATTATTATTCTTGATTTAGTGTTCCTCCCTTTAAAAGCATAGTTATTTTCTTTCTTTCTTTCTTTTTTTTTGACATGGAGTCTCACTCTTTCACTCACTGCAACCTCTGCCTCCTGGGTTCAAGCAATTCTCCTGCCTCAGCCTGCACAGTAGCTGGGATTACAGGCATGTGCCACCACGCCTGGCTAATTTTTGTATTTTTAGTAGAGACGGGGTTTTGCCATGTTGGGCCAGGCTCGAACTCCTGGCCTCAAGTGATCCTCCCTCCGTGGCCTTCCAAAGTGCTGAGATTATAGGCTGAGCCACTGTGCCTGGCCTAAAAGCATAGTTATTTTCAATCAGCATGGTATAATGAAAAGAAGATGGAATTTTGGATTCAAGAAAGACCAAGGTTTAAAGCTCCTTTTCTTTTTCTTTTTTTTTGAGACGGAGTCTTGCTGTGCGCTCTGCGCTGTGCCCAGGCTGGAGTGCGGTGTCGTAATCTTGGCTCACTGCAAGCCCTGCCTCTTGGGTTCATGCCATTCTCCTGCCTCAGCCTCTTGAGTAGCTGGGACTACAGGCTCCCAACACCACGCCCAGCTAATTTTTATGTATTTTTAGTAGAGATGGGGTTTCACCGTGTTAGCCAGGATGGTCTCGATCTCCTGACTTTGTGATCTGCCCGCCTTGGCCCTCCCAAAGTGCTGGGATTACAGGCATGAGCCACTGCGCCCGTCCTAAAGCTCCTTTTCATCCCTTGGGCAATGTTCTGATTTTCTATTATTGCCTAACAAGTCTATCCAAAATGTAGTGGCTTAATACAATAACTTATTATTATCTCTCATGTTTCTGTGGATTGACAGGGTTCAGCTGGACACTTCTCCCCTTAAGGTCTTTCATGTGGTTGTGGTCAGATAGTACCTGGAGATGGGGCCATCTGAAGACTCTGCCCTAGGCTGGATCCAAGATGGTGTTTTCCTTTTACTTGTCTGATGTCTCAGTGCTCTTTGAGATGGCCTCTTTATCCAGCAGAGTAGTCTAAACTTATGTGGCTGCTCAGGGTTCCAAGAGTTAGGAAGTAGAAGTTGCCAGGCAGTTAAGGGCTTTGGAACTGGCATAGTATTGTATCTATTAAAGAAGTCACAGGGCCTCCCAGATTCAAGGGGCTTGAGAAATAAACTGCATGTCTTTAAAGGGAGTGGGAAGGTCACATTGCAGAAGAATATATGGGCTGAGAGGTCTTATTGGGGCTGTCTCTGGAAGGCCATCTGGGCACAATTTTTTTTCATTTTCTTGTTTGTAAAATAGCAATAACAATATTTACCTCACAGAGTGGTTAAGTGGAATAGCACAGTGTCAAGCACATCATGTGTTTAGTAAATATAAGTAGACTTCCCCCCTTAATTCTCTAATGTAACAAATTACTTCTGATCTACTTTTATTTTAAATGGCCGCAAGTTTGCTCAGTATATGGTTTGGTTAACTGTTTCTTCACCCGACTATGTTTCTCAGACTGTTGTAACTTAAAACAAACTTTATCATGGAAAATTTCAAACACATCAAAGTAAAGAGAATACCACATTAACAGAATAAGGGACAAAAACTGCATCATCATCTCAATTCATGCAGAAAAAGCATTTGATAGATCCAGCATACTTTCATGATAAAAACACTCAACTAGGAATAGAAGGAAACTCAGCATATCAAAGTGTATTTATGAAAAGCCCACAGTGGCTGGGCCTGTTGGCTTATGCCTGTAATTCCAGCACTCTGGGAGGCCAAGGTGGGAGGATCACTTGAGTCCAGGAGTTTGAGACCAGCCTGGGCAACAAAGTGAGACCTAATCTCTGCAAAAAATAAACACAATTAGCCAGGCATGGTGATGTACGCCTATAGTCCTAGCTACTTGGGACGCTTTGGTGGGAGGATTGGTTGAGTCTGCAGTGAGCAAAGATCGTACCATATCACTTCAGAATGGGCAACAGAGCAAGACCCTTCCCACCCTCACCCACCCCCTCCCCCCAACAAAAAAAAGCCCACAGTGAACATCTCATTCAGTGGTGAAAGACCGAAAGCTTTCCCCCTAACATCAGGAACATGGCAAAGATGCCCATTCTTGCCACTGCTATTTCAACATAGTATTAAGAGTCCTGGCCAGAGCCAATTTAGGCAAGAAAAAGAAAAGCACCCAAATTAGAAAGGAAGAAGTAAAATTATCTCTGTTCACAGATGATATGATCTTATTTGTTGAAAACCCGGAAGCTGGCTGCAGTGGCTCATGCCTGTAATCCCAGCACTTTGGGAGGCCGAGGCAGGCGGATCACGAGGTCAAGAGATCGAGACCATCCTGGCCAACATGGTGAAACCCCGTCTTTACTAAAAATACAAAAATTAGCTGGGCATGATGGCAGGCATTTGTAGTCCCAGCTACTCGGGAGGCTGAGGCAGGAGATTTGCTTGAACCCAGGAGGCAGAGGTTGCAGTGAGCCGAGATTGCGCCACTGCACCCCAGCCTGGTGACAGAGCGACACTCCATCTAAAAAAAAAAAAAAAGAAAACCCTAAACATTCCACAAAAAACCCTGTTATAACTAATAAATGAATTCAGCAAAGTTGCAGGATACAAAATCAACACACAAAAATTAGTTATGTTTCCATACACAGTGAACAACTTGAAAAATTAAGAAAACAATTCCATTAACAGTAGCATCAGAAAGAATGAAAGTTAGGAATGACCCTAACCAAAGAAGTGAAAAATTTGAATATTAAAAACCGTAAAATACTGCTGAAAAGAATTAAAGAGCATACAAATAAATAGAAAGACATCCTGTGTTCATGGATTGGAAGACTTAATATTGTTAAGATATGAATTCTTCCCAAAGCGATCTACAGATTCAACAGAATACCTATCAAAATCCCAACAGCATTTTTTTTGCAAATAGAAGTTTCATCCCAAAATTAATTTGGAATCTCACGTTACCCCTAATAGCCAGAACAGTTTTCAAAAAGAAAAACAAAGCTGGAGGACTCAAACTTTCTGATTTCAAAATATATTACTAAGCTATGGTAATAAAACTAGTGTGGTACTGGCATAACAACAGACATATAGACAATGGAATAGAGACTCCAGAAATAAACCCTTGCATATGTGGTCAGATGATCTTGGACAGAGGTGCTAGGACCCCTCTGTGGAGCAAGGACAGTCTCTTCAGCAAACAGTGTTGGGAAAACTGGACTTTCACATACAAAACAAAAATTTGGACTCATATTTTACACTATATATAAAAATAAACTCAAAGTGGATTAAAGACCTAAATATAAGACCTAAAACTGTAAAACTCCTAAAAGAAAACTTAGAGGAAAGGCTTATAACTTAAAACTTAGAGGAAAGGCTTTATAACTTTGGATTTGGCAGTGATTTCTGGCATATGACACCATAAGCACAGGCAACAAAAGCAAAAATAGGCAAATGGGACTGCATCAAACTTAAAAACTTTGGTGCATCAATGAACACAATCAACTTGAAAAGGCAACCTGTGGAATGGGAGAAAATGTTTGTAAATTGTGTATCTGTTAAAGTATTAATATCCAGAATGTAGAAAGAACAACAACTCAACAACAAAAAATCAAATAAACAGATTAAAAAATAGGCAAATGACTTGAATAGTCATTTCTCCAAAGATGATAAACCAATGGTCAAGACACATTTGAAAAGATGTTCAACATCACTAATCATCAGAGAGATCCAAATCAAAACCACAATGAGATATCACCTCACATCCATTAGGATGGCTACTATTAAAAAACAAACAGGGAATTACGAGTGTTAGTGAAGATTATGAGAAATTGGAACTATTCTTGTGCACTGTTGGGACTGTAAAATGGTGCAACTGTGATGGAAAACAGCATGGCAGTTCCTCAAAAAATTAAAAATAGAATTACTATGTAATCCATCAAACTCATTTCTGGATATGTATCCAGAAGTATTCAATGCAGGACCTCAGAGAGATATTTGCACACCTATGCTCATAGCACATTCAGGATAGCTAAGAGGTGAAAACAACGCAGATGTCCTTGATGAATAAATAAAATATGGTATATACACACAATGGAATATTATTTAGCTTTAAAAAGGAAATAAATCCTGTCATATGCGACAGTGTGGGTGAACCTTGAGGATATTGTGTTAAGTGAAATAAGCCAGTCAAAGACGAATACTGTATGCTTTCACTTATATTAGGTATTATTACTGAAACACCAGGGATGTGTTCTAGGTTATGCTGCTTGCTGCACAGAAAGCCAGTTGCTGAGACGATGAGTTTTGCCAGAGAAGGAGGTTTTAATTGGGTGCTGTAGCTGAGGAGAGGGTAACTCAGTCTCAAATCCATCTCCCTGGCTGACTACAATTAAGGGCTTATATAGCAGGGAAGAACTGTAACTACATGCAGGAAAATAGGAATTAGGGAGAGATAAGGAAGAGAAGTTGGTCAACAGGAAGCAGGAGGTCACTTAGGCAATCATGATGGGTTGAGGGGTTTGAGGTTTCATTGTTTAGATGCAGTGATCTGGTACGTTTCAGTTCCTTGATATCATCTGGGAGACCTGATGGTTGGTTTCCTGAGAAAGGAACTCAGATAAGACAAATGTAACTTTTTCAAGTTTTAAGACTGGGAGGGTCAATTTCTATCTTTATTCAAAAGAAACTATAATGGTCAGTTCTATGGGACAGTTAGGTTGTTGGTGTCAGTATCAAAAATTATAAATTCATAGAAACAGAGGTAGAATGGTGGTTACCAGGGAATGAAGGGGAGAAATGGGTTGTTGTTGTTTAATGGGTATAGAGTTTCAGTTTTGCAAGATGAGAAGGTTCTGGAGATGTTTCACAGCAGTGTGAATATACTTAACACTTCTGAACTGTACACTTAAAAATGGTTAATATGGGCTGAGTGTGGTGGCTCATGCCTGTAATCCTAGTATTTTGGGAGGCTGAGGCAGGCAGATTGCTTGAGCTTAGGAGTTCAAGACCAGCCTGGGCAACATGGTGAAGCCTCATGTCTACAAAAAATACAAAAATTAGCCAGGTGCAGTGGGATGCACCTGTAGTCTCAGGAGGCGGAAGTTACAATGAGTTGAGATCATGCCACTGCGCTCCAGCTTGGGTGACAGAGGGAGACCCTGTCTCAGAAAAAAAAAAAAAAGTTAAGATGGGAAATTTTTATGTATTTTCTACCACAAAATGTGTAGACAGAATAATACAACAAATCTACATGTATACAGCTTCAACAATTATCAACTTATAAACAATCTTATTTTATTTCTGTCCTCATCTAACACCTTGTCTCTTGATTAGTTGGAAGCAATTGATAGAGTTTTTGAGCTCTTAGAGTGAAGGGGTGGACCCTTAACATAGCTGGAAATCATGGGAAAGCTAGTGACTTGTGTGAATCCAGAAGAAAAGTGGTACTAGTAAGTGGAGTGATATGAAGTCTTTATAAGGAAAATCTAGAAACAGGAAATATAATAACTTTAGAGTATCATTTTGGGGTTTCCAAGTATCTAAGAGGCAGATTAAAGAAATGGAAGTGAGATAGTTTTTTGAGACCAGACTTTGTTCTGAAATCAGACTTAAGATACAAATGTGCATTTTTTACTTTGATAATTAGAGAATGAAGATCTTGTGTATTCTAAAAAGTTCTCTGTTTTTCCTGTAATGTTGATTGCAGGAGGATAGTCCAGGGCTGTGTGGTTTGTTTTATAAGTAGCTACTTTTATCAAGAATAATTAGCAGAGCATTTGGGAAGAGTTTTGGCTTTTCTTCCCTGAAATCAAAATATAACTATTTAGAAAGCTTTTATTGTCGCTTATAAATGGAAGGAGTACTTGTCACTTCCAAATGACAGGAAGAACCATAGAGCACTTCTACAGTTTGATTTATATCTCTTAAGTGTCATGTTCCTGTGCGGGAGCTGTAGTGGTTGACAGCCTGGTTCCTAGAACTGAGAGGTGAAGCCCGCTGAGCTTCTGGATTGGGTGGGGACTTGGAGAACTTTTGTGTCTAGCTAAAGCATTGTAAATGCGCCAATCAGTGCCCTGTGTCTAGCTAAAGGATTGTAAACACACTAATCAGCACTCTGTAAAAATGTACCAATCAGCACTCTGTAAAATGGACCAATCAGCGCTCTGTAAAATGGACCAATCAAGCAGGACGTGGGCGGGGACAAATAAGGGAATAAAAGCTGGCCGTACCAGCCAGCAGCAGCAAGCAGCTTGGGTCCCTTCCGCGTTGTGGAAGCTTTGTTCTTGGCTCTTCTCAGTAAAACTTGCTGCTGCTCACTCTTTGGGTCTGCACTACTTTTATGAGCTGTAACACTCACCTGGAGGGTCTGTGGCTTCATTCCTGAAGTCAGTGAGACCGTGAACCCACCGGGAGGATCAAACAATTCCGGACGTGCCAACTTTAAGAGCTGTAACACTCCCTGCGAAGGTCTGCGGCTTCACTCCTGAAGTCAGCGAGACCACGAACCAACCAGAATGAAGAAACCCCAGACACATCTGAACATCTGAAGGAACAAACTCCGGACACACTATCTTTTTTTTTTTTTTTTTTTTTGAAATGGAGTCTCGCTCTGTCACCCAGGCTGGAGTGCGGTGGCGCGATCTAGGCTCACGGCAAGCTCCGCCTCCCGGGTTCACACCATTCTCCTGCTTCAGCCTTCCCAGTAGCTGGGACTACAGGCGCCCGCCACCACGCACGGCTAATTTTTTGTATTTTTAGTAGAGACAGGGTTTCACCGTGTTAGCCAGGATAGTCTCAATCTCCTGACTTTGTGATCCACCCTCCTCGGCCTCCCAAAGTGCTAGAATTACAGGCGTGAGCTACTGCGCCTGGTCAGGACACACCATCTTTAAGAAGTGTAACACTCACCGGGAGGGTCCGCGCTTCATTTTTGAAGTCAGTGAGACCAAGAACCCACGGGAAGGAATAAATTCCGGACACAGAACCGTGACTGGGACCATGTGAAGTGGGGACTTCACATGATTCCAATAGGAGATCGCACCACTGCACTCCAGCCTGTGCGTCAGAGTGAGACTCTGTCTCAAAAAAAAAAAAAAAAAAAAAAAAAGAAAGAGATTAGATGCCCCTTGCCATGCAGAAAGTTAGGGAAATAGTGTTCTAGTTACAGGAAGCTTTTAGGCAGTGCTGAGCTTGATGAGTTCAAAGAATCAAAAGAAGTCCAGTGTGTGGCTGGAACACACTGAAGGAGGGGAGGGGTGACAATGAGATTGTCAAGTTGAGCACAGACCAGCCTTGTAAATCATGTTAAAGAATTTAACTTTAAGTGTTTTTGTAAATAATTGAAATATTTTAAGCTGGGTAATGACATGGTCTGTTTTATGCTTTAAAAAAGATGGTTCTTTTTTGATTTCAGATTGGAAAGGACTAAAAGAGAAGCAGGACACGACTTAAGAGGGAAGATATTCGGGCTGGGCGTGGTGGCTCACGCCTGTAATTCCAGCACTTTGGGAGGCTGAGGCAGGCGGATCACTCGAGGTCAGGAGTTCGAGACCAGCCTGGCCATCGTGGCGAAACACCGTCTCTACTAGAAATACAAAAATTAGCCGGGTGTGGTGGCACATGCCTGTAATCCCAGCCACTCTGGAGGCTGAGGTGGGAGAATTGCTTGAACCCAGGAGGCAGAGGTTGCAGTGAGCCAAGATTGTGCCATTGCACTCCAGCCTGAGTGACAGAGCGAGACTTCGTCTCAAAAAAAAAAAAAAAAAAAGAAAGAGGGTAAGATATTTAGTGCTCAGAACCAGTGCTGGCTTGGGTTAAGGTAGCAGCAGCGGCACAAGGAGTATGTAGATGTGGGAAATGTGTTTGTGTTTGGAGTACCAGGACTTAGTGGTGGGAGGTGAAAGAGAGGCGTTATGAATGACCCCCGGGTTTCTAGTATGAGCAAACTGATATGCCACCTCTCGAGGGTGTGTGTGTGTGTGTGAGAAAAAGCATGTGAGAGAGCATACATATAAGAGTAATTGAGTCTGGAATTCAGAAGACTGGCCTGGGATAGAGATACACATTTGGGGGGAGTTGGCATGTAGAGAGATTTAAAGCAATAGGAATGAGTGAGAGAGGGAGAGAGAAGAAAGAGGGCCTAGCACTGTGATTTCATTTTTCTATTGACTCTGTTTTTTGAATTTAATTTTAGACATTAGAATAGATAAGGTTAGCTTTCCAAAATCAGTCTCATTTGTATTCGGCATTCAGATAAACTCATATATTTGCATATATTATTGTTATTATTTTTTGATACAGGGTCTCGCTGTGTTACCCAGACTGCAGTGCAGTTGCACCATCACAGCTTACTGCAGCCTCAACTTCCTGGGCTCAAGTGATCCTTTGGCCTCAGCCTCCAAGTAGCTGGGACTATAGGCATGCGCCACCATACCTGGCTAATTTTTAAATTTTTGTAGAGACAAGGTCTCACTATGTTGCCCAGGCTGATCTCAAACTCCTGAGCTCTAGCAATCTTCCTGCCTCAGCCTCCCAAAGTATTAAGATTATAGGCGTGAGCCACCACGCCTGACCAGATAAATTTTCAGAATGGGAAAGGGATGGAGTTGCAGCTTTCTGGGAGGGTAGGGGATGAAGGAGTAGAGGAGGACTCAGGGATTTATGTGGTCTCCAGATTACTTCATTTCTGGAGTAGTTTACAGTATGCCCATTATGAATGTGTCTCATCCTTTATGTGTGTAGTGGAGAAAAAAGGTTGAGTTTCTGATCCTCAAGGTAAAGTCGATATTAATAGTTAACTAAAGTTTCCTACATTCTGGCCCCTATCTGCCTGTCTGCATATCCACATTCATACCATTCCCTTCCAACCTCCATGCATGCTGTTTTCTATCATCATGGTCCTAGACCTAGAATTTCCTTTTTCATTGGACAAATATTTTAGGTCTCTGTTTCAGTCAGAGCTTTCCCTAGTTCCCCCAGGCAAACTCTGTATTTGTTTCTGTTTCTAGTGTTCATTGGTTATAGCAATTATTGTATTAAATTTGCTGTTTCTTGGTTTGACTGTCTCCTCAAGAAACTAATCTTTTTGACATGAGGGATTTTTTTTTTCTTTTAAAAAAGCACTTGAGGGCCAGGCATGGTGGGTTTTGCCTGTAATCCCAGCACTTTGGGAGGATGACTTGAGCACAGGAGTTCGAGGCTGCCTTGAGCCGTGATTGTGCCACTGCACTCCAGTCTAGGTGACAGAATGAGACCCCATCTCTTTAGAAAAAAAGTGTTTCAGTGTTTGAATTACCATCCTGTCTTTCTTTGAAGAGCCAAATACAGCTTACATCATCTTCAGGTAAAACAAAATTTAGGGTTCAGAAACTATATGGCATAAGAAAATAGTTGAACTGGGCACAGTGTTTCATGCCTGTAATTCCAGCACTTTGGGAGGCCAAGGTGGGCAGATTGCTTGAGCTCAGGAGTTCTTTCAGACCAGCCAGGGCAACGTGGCAAGACCTTATCTCTACCAAAAATACAAATAGCTGGTCATGGTATGTGCCTGTGGTCCCAGCTGAGGCCGGCAGGATTGCCTGAGCCCTGGAGGTCAAGGCTACAGTGAGCCAAAACTGTGCCACTGCACTCCAGCCTGGGCAACAGAGTGAGATCCTGTCTCAAAAAAATAAATAAATAAAATAAAATAAAAAATAAAAAAGAAACAAAATGGTTGAAAATGTCTTTCCCATGCCTTTGGAGTCTAGGATGAGGTTTAAAAAAAAATGTGTTTCTCAGGTCTATTTTAATAGGTAGTTAAAATATACTTTAAAAAATTATTATAAGGCAGTCTCTAAAGTGTATTCTTATCCCCAAAGCTTGATATTACTTAAAAGAAAGATGTATTACTGAAGGAAATAGAAATTGAATTAATGGAATTGTTTTGGTTATTTGAATTGCCATTTCTGTAGGGTATTTGAGAATTGTTAGGTCTTGTTTGGAACCATTGATAAACAGAAGATAGAATAGAAATATTGTACTGCCTCATTGTTCCTAGTCTACAAATTGATTTATGCTGTTATTCAGTTTATGTCTCTCTTTCTCTTTTTTTTTTTTTTTGAGGTGGAGTTTCGCTCTTGTTGCCCAGGCTGGAGTGCAATGGCGTGATCTTGGCTCACTCCAACCTTGACCTCCTGGGTTCAAGCGATTCTCCTGCCTTAGCCTCTCGAGTAGCTGGGATTACAGGCATGTGCCACCATGGCTAATTTTTTTTTTTTTTTTAAGTAGAGATGGGGTTTCTCCATGTTGGTCAGGCTGATCTCGAATTCCCGACCTCAGGTGATCTGCCTGCCTGGCCTCCGAAAGTGCTGGGATTACAGGCATGAGCCACCACACCTGGCCCAGTTTATGTCTTTTGTATGTACACAGTAAAAAGTAGTAGTCTCTTTCTTTACATAGTAAAAAGTAGCAGTTTCTTACTTTTTTTTTTTGAGACAGAGTCTCGATCTGTCGCCCAGGCTGAAGTGCAATGGCACTATCTGGGCTCACTGCGACCTCTGCCTCCTGGGTTCAAGCAGTTCTCCTGCCTCAGCCTCCCAAGTAACTGGGACTACAGGCACACGCCACCACACCCCAGCTAATTTTACATTTTTAGTAGAGATGGAGTTTCACCATGTTGGCAAGGGTGGTCTTGAACTCCTGACCTCAAGTGATCTGCCCACCTTAGCCTCCCAAAGTGTTAGGATTGCAGGCGTGAGCCACCGCGCCCAGACTAAAAAGTAGCAGTTTCTATACCCATCATTATTATAATGTTTTACTGCGTTGATATGTATATAGTGGAGCTTTTTTGTTAGATTTGAAGAAAAAATTGGACGATGAATTCATTCTAATTAAAAAAATAGGCCAGGCACGGTGGCTCACACCTGTAATCCCACCACTTTAGGAGGCCAAGGCAGGCAGATCACCTGAGGTCAGGAGTTCGAGACCAGCCTGACCAACATGGTAAAACCCCGTCTCTACTAAAAATACAAAATTAGCTGGGCATGGTGGCAGGTGCCTATAATCCCAGCTACTTGGGAGGCTGAGGCAGGAGAATGGCTTGAGCCTGGGAAGCAGAGATTGCAGTGAGCCAAGACCGTGCCATTGCACTCCAGCTTGGGCAGCAAGAGCGAAACTCTGTCTTAAAAAAAAAAGGCCGGGCGCAGTGGCTCATGCCTATAATCCCAGTACTTTGGGAGGCTGAGGCAGGGGGATCACCTGAGGTCGGGAGTTCAAGACCAGCCTGACCAACATGGAGAAACCCCGTCTCTAATAAAAATACAAAATTAGCCAGGCGTGGTGTTGCATGCCTGTAATCCCAGCTACTCGGGAGACTGAGGCAGGAGAATCTCTTGAACCTGGGAGGCAGAGGTTGTGGTGAGCCAAGATCGCACCATTGCACTCCAGCCTGGGCAACAAGAGTGAAACTCCGTCTCTAAATAAACAAATAAATAACCTAAATTTTAAAATAAAAAAATCTTTGACACTCTACCTTTCAGCTGTCAGTGGAAACCACTTAGGTAGCTATGAAGCAATTCTGCAAATATTTTATGGAATTCTATATTTGCCAGAGTATAATAGAAAAAACTAGGCCGGGACTGGGCGTGGTGGCTCGTGCCTGTAATCCCAGCACTTTCGGAGGCCGAGGCGGGTGGATCGCCTGAGGTCAGGAGTTTGAGACCAGCCTGACCAACATGGTGAAACCCTGTCTCTACTAAAAATACAAAAATTAGCCAGGGGCTTGTAATCCCACCTACCTGGGAGGCTGAGGCAGGAGAATCACTTAAACCCAGGAGGTGGAGGTTGCAGTGAGCTGAGATCACACCATTGCACTCTAGCTCCTGGGCAAGAGAGCGAGACTCCATCTCAAAAAAAAAAAAAAAAAAAAAAAAAGAAGTCCGGGTGTGGTGGCTCACACCTGTAATCCCAGCACTTTGGGAGGCTGAGGCAGGTAGTTCAGCTGAGGTCGGGAGTTCGAGACTAGCCTGACCAACATGGAAAAACCTCGTCTCTCCTAAAAATACAAAATTAGCCAGGCGTGTTGTCGCATGCCTGTAATCCTAGCTACTTGGGAGGCTGAGGCAGGAGAATCATTTGAACCCAGGAGGTGGAGGTTGCCGTGAGCCGAGATCATGCCATTGCACTCCAGCCTGGGCAACAAAAAGAAAAACAAAAAAAAAAGAAAAAAAACTAGGCTGGGCTCAGTGGCTTATGCCTGTAATTCCAGCACTTTGGGAGGCTGAGGCAGGAAGATCACTTCAGTTCAGGAGTTTGAGATCAGCTTGGGCAACATAGCAAGACCTCATCCTCTACAAAAAATAAAAAAAATTAGGTATGTTGGCATGTGCCTGTGGTCCTAGCTACTCTGAAGGCTAAGGCAGGAGGATCTCTTGCGCCTGGGAGATGGAGGCTGCAGTGAGCCATGATCATACCACTGCAGTCCAGCCTGGGTGACAGAGTGAGACCCTGTCTCACAAAAGAAAAAAAAAAACAAAAACTACTTGAGTCAGCGAGTACATAGAACATTTCAGAGCCTCAGCTTGTATACTGCATGTTATTCTGAAACTACAGATACCACGTAGCTTTCTAATGAAAAAGTTTTATTTGTTTCTTCCTTTCTTTTATAGGAATATATATGTCCCAGATGTGAATCAGGCTTTATTGAAGAAGTGACAGATGATTCCAGGTATTGTACAAGCTCATGAATAAATCAGACATTCTATTATCAAAACTATTTTCTCTCAGCATGGACTGAGTAAGTTGAATTTGTTTTACAACTTACACTCTACAGAGAGAGCGAGAGTGAGAGAGAGAGAGTGAGTGCATGAGCTTGCACAAGAGAGGGCAGAAGAATGGGAGAGGAAAAAGAAAGAAAAATGGGAAAATTTGGAAAGTGATATCATAGCAGATGTGGTGATACGCACTGCTCCTGATTGTATGTGGCATTCCATGTACATCTGTACGCATGTCAGAGTAAATCTGGTAAGTTTTCATTTATTATCTGAGACTTGGGGCTTCTCTTAGATTATTAGTTGGTTTTTAGTGACCACTCTGCTGTCTGAAGGTAAACTGCTGTTATACCTCTTTGGCGGGTTAGGGAGTGACTTCTGACAAAGATACCTAATCAGGTAAACAGGCTGTTCTAGCCAGGAAAACCAATTGTTACTCTGCTTTGAGGAGGCCTTGAATCTCTTGTTCTTATTAAGGTTATTTGGCCAGTGTGGTGGCTCACGCCTGTAATCCCAACACTTTGGGAGGCTGAGGTGGGTGGATCACCTGAGGTCAGGAGCTCAAGACCAGCGTGGTCAACATGGTGAAACCCCGTCTCCATTAAAAACACAAAAATTAGCTGGGTATAGTGGCGGGCGCCTGTAATTCCAGTTACTTGGGAGGCTGAGGCAGGAGAATCACTTGAAACCGGGAGGTGGAGGTTGCAGTGAGCCAAGACTCCAGCCTGGGCAACAAGAGTGAAACTGTGTCTCAAAAAAAAGAAAAAAGAAAAGATTATTGCTGTCAAACTTAGGCCATCTTTCCAGGGTGATATTAATATATGGGTTTGTAATGCTTGGAATTTGTTCTTATTGGCCTTCATAAAGGTATACAGCTGATAAAAAGGGGAAATATTTCTGAAAGTGACTATTACATATTCCTTTTTTGTTTATGTGAACAAAACTATAAAATCTTTTTTCTTTTTTCTTTTTTTTTTGAGACAGAGTCTTGCTCTGTTGCCAGATTGGAGTGCAGTGGTTCGATCTCGGCTCACTGCAACCTCTGCCTCCCAGGTTCAAATGATTCTTGGGCCTCAGCTTGCCCAGTAGCTGGGACTACAGGTGTCTGACACTATGCCCTGCTAATTTTTGTGTATTTTTAGTAGAGATGGGGTTTTGCCGTGTTGGCCAGGCTGGTCTTGAACTCCTGACCTCAAGTGATCCGCCTGCCTTGGCCTCCCAAAGTGCTGGGATTACAGGCATGAGCCACCGTGCCCAACCTAAAATCTTTTTCTTTTTTTTTTTTTTTTTTTTGTGACGGAGTCTCACTCTTTTGCCCAGGCTGGAGTGCAAGGGCACGATCTTGGCTCACTGCAATCTCTGCCTCCCAGGTTCAAGTGATTCTCCTGCCTCAGCCTCCCAAGTAGCTGAGATTACAGGCATGCACCACCACGCTTGGCTAATTTTTGTATTCTTAGTAGAGATGGGGTTTCACCGTGTTTGCCAGGCTGGTCTTGAAGTCCTGACCTCGTGATCCGCCCATCTTGGCCTCCCAAAGTGTTGGGATTACAAGTGTGAGCCACTGCACCTGGCCTAACTTAAAATTTTAATAAATTTTAGAATAGCATTGATAGGATGGCCTCTTTTGGCTAAACAAAATGGCACATTTGTTCTTTTGGGGCTATTTGGTTAAACATTCGTCTGAAAATTGAAGAAGTACCGACTGGTCAAAAAGAATCTGTAATCTGAAGCCTCTTAATCTTGGAGTGACTTTGGAGATTTTAATGGCAGTAGGTAATTCCTTTACTGTTACTGTTGGCAGAATCTAAAGTTGAAGGTCCCTTCCACAACCAGGAAAAACTACACATTTTACAGTATGTACTATTAGTTTTACTTTACTAATGATTGGTGATTATATGTGTAAATAAGCTGGAGCTTCTGGGGCAATATGTGGCATGGGATCTATTTTGATACAGTTAAATGTCATCTTGGTTTTAAATAGTACAATACCAACACTAAACGTGTAAGATTAGCATGACTGCAAAATTAGCAATTTTGTGTGGATGGCATGCTAACTTGGGATAGCTTTTTGTTTGTGCCATTATAATTGCATCAAATAACTTATTTCAGGCACTTATGCTCTGCATGTGCTAATTAAAAGATATATTGGTTGTGGGAGAACAATTAATGGGCTTATCTTTTGCCAACTTTTCAAGTAGTAACCCTGGTTTCTTTAGGCAGATAGTACTTTTATGCAAATACAGTTATAAATGAGAATGATTAACTGTAGGATGAATCTTTGTCTAGCAGGGAACTGTGGATTCTGTGGTTTTTGTTCTTAATTCTTTTATGTGTCTTTGTAGATCAAAGGTTGTCTTATATAGGTGCTATTGGTAGCAATTTACTCAAATACAAAGACTCTGTGGTTTGAAAGAGATTAGTGTTTTAAATGAAAGACGAAATCTTTTTCTTAGAATCCTTGTCTTAGAGGCAGTATGATATTTCCTTCTATAAAGTTCATAAACATTTGCTGATTTAAATACTTAGCAATTGCAGTGGTAAGTAGTGGAGGGTAAAAACCAGTAAGAGGAGGGCCTTGCATGTAAATATTAGATAATGGGCTCCATCTGCTCTTAAACTTCCATGTAGAGGAGCACCTTGTAAGTTTTCTTAAGCTTTGTAACATTTCTCAGAACAATGTGGTGGTTTTTATTATCCCTTCTCTATGATTAGCTCTATTATTCTTTAAAGGAATTTTAAGGAAAGGGAACGGTGAGGTAGCTTCAGGGAGAGCAGAACCCCAGAAAATAAGAGTTGCGGTTTCAATTACCAAGGATGTTTGAATCCCTGAAACTGTGTAGTAAAGGCAGGAAGGAAGAGTCTTGGAAGCCTGTCTGGGCTTGAGCAATCAAATGGATACATAGCCACTCAATGTAGTTTTTTATGGTATGTGGTAGTTCAATTAGCTGTTTATTTAGCATAGATGTACAAGTACTTTTGGGCTTGTTATACATTTGGAGTGATTTTTACAAAAGCGTTTTTCTGAAATTAATGCAGGTATTAAATGGTTTCTTATCAGGGAATAAGGCTTGAGAATGGTTGCATAAAGAGTGGCATTAGCTTTGCTTTTTCACTTTTGGTTTCAGACTAACTAGGGTGTGTTTGTTTCCTCAGTGAGCTCAGCACAATGCCTGGATTGGTATTGTAATCCTACAAATGAAAACTATTTGTAGTAGTTTGTGAACTTACCATTGGGGTGAGTGTTTGTATGTTTGTGTGCTTAAGTGTGTCTCTTGAAGTAAAAGTGGTATCCAGCAGTTCCTGTGATTCTTTCCATCCCCTCTTCCCGGATGTGTTAACTTGTTTTCTTTGTTCTTTGCAAATTTCATGGGGACAATGGGATTTAATATTTCTCTCCACTCTTCAGGGTCTTTGGGAATAGATAGTTATTTTATCATTTTCACATGTGATTAATTCAACAACTTTTGAGTGTCAATATAGGATATTGACATTGCAGGATTTTAAAAGGTGATAGTACTGTGTAATGTCTGACACTTAAACACTCTACATGTATTTGAGGCATTAATAAATTGCAGTCTTT
Source organism: Homo sapiens (assembly GCF_000001405.40). NCBI lineage: Eukaryota > Metazoa > Chordata > Mammalia > Primates > Hominidae > Homo > Homo sapiens. The sequence goes on along the minus strand of NC_000001.11, from coordinate 145,785,284 downwards.
GCCTTCTGAATTTATATTAATGAAGGAGGGAAATGGGTTGAAATGGATGTGGCAAATCCTAGATATTTATAATACAAGGTAGGTTTTAGAATCAAAGTGAGAGTGCAGAAGGGTGTGGAAGAGTCTTATTTGGTTGGTGAGTTCAGAAGGGCTTGATGGAGGAGGTAGCATTTGAGATGGGTCCTGAAAGGTGGGTAGGGGGAGAAATATTTATTGAATCCTTTTATAATGTTTTAAATACAGTACCAGGCCCCTTACATTACTACATTTAATCATTCCTAAGAAATATTAACTATTGTAGCCTCAAATGTTGTGTTCATCTGGTGGTTGAATGGTTTTTTAGTGAAACATTTTGTTTTGTTAGCGTTCTTGAGGATAAATATTTGTCTTTTGATAGGTCAAATCCGAATTGCATTGCTGCCTGTGGGTCCTCCTTCCTTCTCTATGGTGGCTTCTCCAATTTTTCACTGGATTTAGCCTTGAAAACCACTTGATTTTGTGGTTTATGATACTTTTCATAGATTAATTCACATGCCAGTTATTCATAATTTCCTTTAATAGGTGTTGTGTTGGGATGAGTTATTTTTCCTTATTGGGCTTTGTTCTCATTATGCCATTCTATATTTAGCTTCTGGGAGGGGAGCTTGTTCCTGGGAATAGAATCACCACTCATTCCTTTTCTCTTTAGTTTTTTAGGTGGTGGCGGCAGTCGGATAGACAATACCACAACAACACATTTTGCAGAGGTAAGTTTTCCTTTAGCTGTAGGAATTCTTTAAGAAGTGGTTAGGTGTTAAAATCATGGCAGATACTAACTTTCCAGTGTGGCACAACATCAGAGTTTAACTGAATGTATAAGAAAAAATGTGGGCCGTAGTAACCCTTGGGAAGATTTGTGTTTTCAGTAGCTGGGGCTTGGGCGTGTTACCTTTGATAAACCCTTGATTAGGAGAAAGTAATAGCCTCAAACTGTATTCTTTTAAACTGGTAGTGTTTTTAATTCTTGTTTTCTACTTTGTTATTGTATATACAGTGTGAGAATAAGAAGCTTTTGCTGTTTTTGAAATAACAGTGTTGCAGACTCTGCTTTAGTGGTGTGACAACCAGGTAAAGTGCAGGCCAGGATAAGTTGTCGAAGTCACAATGAAATAGTCTTCAACCTTGTACAGAGGTACTGATTTCCAGGGCTTACCTCTAGTCAACACAGTAGTTTGGTGTAGATTAAGGATGTTTACTTGCCTTTCAGATCCCAAGATGGGGTCTGTAAATAATTTCTATATCTTCTTATAATGTGGCGTCCATATTTTTTGGGAAAAACAAATCTTAACTGTGATTTGAAAACAGGGCATTAGTCTTCATTCTTGAATACCATTTTATATTGAATCCAGAGTAATTTTCTTTTTTCACTTCGTCCATTGACCTAAAGTCTCTTTAGTTGTGTTTTTTTTTTTTAAAAAAAGAAACCATTGTAACTGTTCTTAAGTGTATAATTCAGTGGCATTAATACTCTTTGTTTTTAATCATTTAGAGACTACAACCCAGAAGGTACCAGTCAGCCTATAAAAAACACTGACGTTTTTCTTTTGCTTGTTTGTATGTGTACCCTATATTGCCATACAACTTGTTCAGCTCTAGAAAGCTGACAGATGCTAAAAGGAAGAAATAAGTTAAATCCCATAATCAGGATTTCTTTATGTTTTAGGATCACATTAGCCTTTTCCAGAGATAGCCGAAGTGCCTAGAGAGATAGCAAAATATTTCACTGTTTTGTATGTAAATTGAAATTGTACTAGTAGTATATTTGAAAAGTGATATTTAATAAGAAGCCTGTAAAACCCTAAGCTTCTCTCCCTTATTATTTGAAAATTATTTTAAGACCTGTAGCCCCCACATTTTGATGTTGTTAGATTTATCAACATTGTCTGGGTAATGGTCCTGTTCTATTTAGGGTGGTTTTTCTGCTTATGGTCTGTGCTACTTCTTAATATACAGTATTAAGAGTTTTGGTTAACTCTGAACTGCCCGGGTTGATTAGAGTGATTCCAGACAGATCGTGTTTTGAACTTGCATTTTTATTTTCCCATTTTAATGGATTGAAAAACATTATTTAATATGTGTTCTGGGCCAGGCACAGTGGCTCACGCCTGTAATCGCAACACTTTGGGAGGCCGAGGTGAGCAGATCACCTGAGGTCTGGAGTTCGAGACCAGCCTAGCCAACATGGTGAAACCCCATCTCTACTAAAAATACAATAAATTAGCTGGGCATGGTGGCATGAGCCTGTAATCCTAGCTACATGGTAGGCTGAGACACGAGAATCGCTTGAACCCGGGAGGCAGAGGTTGAGGTGAGTCGAGATCGCACTACTGCACTCCAGCCTGGGTGACAGAGCGAGACTCCATCTCAAAAAAGTAAAATACAATAAAATGTATTCTGTTTGCCAGTCCTGGAAGCCTTTATGATTTCAGTATTCTTTCCTCTTGTGTGTGCTATTTGTGATAACACAGATTGTCACTTACTGATTAGGCATATGCAGAAGAAGAAATTTCATTTGATTTTTCTTTAGTGTTCTCTTTTAGGTAATGGAAATAGATCGGTCTGCCAATTTTGTAGGTATGACTCACCAGAAAGAGATGCATTGAGTAAGAAGAAAAACAAATATATGTAGTCAGTTTCCTAACTTTAGTAATGCTAAATCCAACACTGATGGCATGAGTTATCCTTCAGGTGTTAAAGTATTTTTGCTGATTCATAGCTTGTAACTTCGTGTTCTTTAGATGTTGCCAGGGATTTTTAATAAATTAGCTAAGAAGTGTGTGTGTGTGTGTTTTTAAGAGATGGGGCCTTATTGCCCAGGCTGGACTCGAACTTCTGAGCTTAAGTGATCCTCCCACCTCAGGTTCCCTAGTAGCTGGGATTACAGGCAGGTGTCACTGTGCCTGGCTGAAAGTATATACTGAATGTTTCATACATAGCACTCTCCTAGAAATAGGGGCAGGAAGTAAATGTCATGGTTGCCTTGCCTGAAAGGAACTTAATTTTGTTGTGGAGCAAGTGCAAACACTTAAGAAAACAAGGAAGGCTGGGCGTGGTGGCTTACGCTTGTAATCCCAGCACTTTGGGAGGCCGAGGCAGGTGGATCACGGGAGGTTGGGAGTTCAAGACCAGCCTGGCCAACATGGTGAAACCCCATCTCTACTAAAAAATACAAAAAATTAGCCAGGCATGGTGGTGGGCGCCTGTAATTCCAGCTACTTGGGAGGCTGAGGCAGGAGAATTGCTTGAACCCAGAAGGCGGAGGTTGCAGTGAGCGGAGATTGCACCACTGGACTCCAGCCTGGGCAATAAGAGTGAAACTCTTATCTCCAAAAAAAAAAAAAAAAAGGAAAAGTGTACAGAGTATAATAAATTTATTCTGGGGTATATGTAACAAGTATAGTAGAAGGAAGAGTTAAGGTGGGCCAGGGTCTTGAGGAGAGGTCATATAACAGTGATTAAGAACACAGCCTCTGGAACCAGATTGCCTGAGCTCAAATCCTGTGTCTGCCACTTATTGGCTGTGTAATCTGGGCAAAGTTACTTAGAATCTCTCAGTGCCTCTCTTGTCCTTGTCTGTAAATTGGGAAATAATCATCCTTCCCTCATAGGGATGTTACGAGGATTAAATGAGTTAATACATGCTAGGTGTGTAGACCGCAATGTGCCTACCATCTAGTGAGTGCTTGATACATTTTAGCCATTATTAAGACTTCATAGTGAAGTTAGAACTTGCACTGGAGCCTTGAAGAGTAGGTGGAATTTAGATAAGCAAAGATGTGAAAATTATCTCAAAATAGTATTCATAAGCTATAAGGTTTTATGCTCATGTCCCTGAAGAAAAAACTTAGAAATAAAATTATATATAGAAACTAAAGTTGTTTTTCTTTTCCCTGCTTTAGTTGGTAATTTCGGCAAAGACTTATGCTCAGTTTTGCTCTATTTTTCTTTAGCTGGAGCTGCTTGTACAATGAAGTGGTTATTTTCTATAAGTAACATTTACTGATAGCTGAATTCTTAAAATACTGTCTATATTAGAAGAGGCTTATTCCAAGAAAATTTCTGTCAAAATCAGTATTGACTTTTTTTTAAAAAAATGAGACTGGGGTAGGAGATAAGAGACTAATGGGATAGAGAGAAGGTAGGGGAGGGTTGCCAGTTACATGGGAGCAGTGTTTGAATAATGTGTGAGGGCCGGTGGAGAGTGAATCTGAAAATATTGCTAGCAGTTTGTAGAGAGAAGACATTGCTATACTAAGCTTCCTGGTGGTAATCTAGAAAGTGAGCCCCATAGCTACCTGAAGGTTTCATTGATTACTTGCAAACTTCTGACCACGACCTGGTGCCAGTGGGTCATCTGATCTTAGAGTCTCAGCTTACCTGAATGGATTGCTTCAGTGCAAGAGTGGCTCTGGCTGCTGCCTCAGATTGGGAGAAAATAAGATACATGGCTTTCTGGAAAAAAGAGCTCTCAGGTATGCACAAGAGGGCAGGGTGCTCTGAGCTGATTTATATGTATTTAAATAAAATTTGTTATTTGTTTTTGTTACATAAGCAGCATTATAGTGGCAGTAAAAAATTTAAAAATATGTATCTTGAGTTTCACTTTTTTTTTTTTTTTTTTTTTTTTAGACGGAGTCTCACTCTGTTGCCCAGGCTGGGGTGCAGTGGCGCAATCTCGGCTCACTGCAACCTCCGCCTTCTGGGTTCAAGCGATTATCCTGCCTCAGCCTCCTGAGTAGCTGGGACCACAGGCGCGTGCCACCACGCCTGGCTAATTTTTTATATTTTTAGTAGAGACGGGGTTTCACCGTGTTAGCCAGGATGGTCTCGATCTCCTGACCTCGTGATCTGCCCGCCTTGGTCTCCCAAAGTGCTGGGATTACAGGTGTGAGCCACTGCGCCCGGCCGAGTTTCACTATTCTAAGAGCTCCCTTTTCCATACATTTCCTTTCAGATTTTGTCCTAAGGCATAGTTACTGAAAAATAACAACCTTAAGCTCTTTTTTGTTTGTTTTTTTGAGACGGGGTCTCGCTCTGTTGCCCAGGCTGGAGTGCAATGGCACGATCTCGGCTTACTGCAACCTCTGCCTCCTGGGTTCTAGTGATTCTCTCACCTCAGCCTCCCGAGTAGCTTGGATTACAGGCCCCCGCCGCCAAACCTGGCTAATTTTTGTATTTTTGGTAGAGATGGGGTTTTACCACGTTGGCCAGGCTGGTCTGGAACTCCTGACCTCAGGTCATCCTCTCGTCTTGGCCTCCCAGAGTGCTGGGATTACGGGCTTGAGTCACCGTGCCTGGGCCTAAGCTTTTTTAAAAATGAGAAATATTGGCCGGGCATGCAGATCACTTGAGGTCAGGAGTTCCAGACCAGCCTGTCCAATGTGATGAAACCCTGTCTTTACTAAAAATACAAAAATTAGCCAGGTGTGGTGGCGGGCACCTGTAATCCCAGCTATTCGGGAGGCTGAGGCAGGAGAATCGCTTGAACCCAGGAGGCGGAGGTTGCAGTGGGCTGAGATTGTGCCACTGCACTCTAGCCTGAGCAACAGAGCGAGACTCCGTTTCAAAAAATAAAGAAATATCCCATATTGTCATTACTTGATTATAGCTTTATGCATTTTTTAGCAAAATACTTCTCATTTCTCATGTGCATACCTCATAACTGTTTAGAGTTGCTGTCATAAGAGTATATTGTATTTCTGCCTCTAAAAATTTACTTGGTATTATGTCATAAACCTTTTACTTGTCTCTCTATAGTTATTAGAATTATAGCTGGACGTGGTGGCTCATGCCTGTAATCCTAGCACTTTGGGAGGGCGGAGGCAGGCGGATTGTTTGAGCCCAGGAGTTCAAGACCAGCCTGGGCAACATGGTAAAACCCTGTGTCTACAAAAATAAAAATAAAAAGCCAGGTGTAGTGGCATATGTGTGTAGTCCCAGCTACTCGAGAAGCGGAGGTGGGAGAATCTCTTGAGCCTGGGAGGCAGAGGTTGCAGTGAGCTGAGCTCGTGCCACTGCACCCCAGCCTGGGTGTCAGAGTGAGACCCTGTCTCCAAAAAAAAAAAAAAAATTAGGACTTCATATTCTTTAATGGCTACATTATATTTATTAAACTATTATCCTGTGTTAGGCATGTCTAGTTATATATGATGGTTGATCATCGATCATACTTCCTTTACCTGAGTCTAGAACATACTGAGAAAACATAGAACACCAGACAGATGGATATAAAAATTTAATTTTTATTCAGCTGAATTGGAACACAAAGTTGAACTGTGGTCAAATGGACATCCTAAGTTTATACAGGATGACCTACCTGAGAATTAGAGGCTGCAAAGCAGGCACACATAATCAGAACAATGTACTTTGCATTTGTGCAACTTCCTAATACATGAACTCCACTTGCTGGAGAAATGCGAAATCACTAGAGATTAGACTTTGCTATTCACTAATCAGCTACATCATTCCTCTGTTGAAAAGTACATACAATATGATGCCCTTTACATAAAATTCTAGAAAATGCAAACCACAGAAAGATCAGGGGTTGCTTGGGGATGGGAAGGGGCAGGAGGGAAGGATTACAAAGGCACACGAGGAAACATTTCGGGGTGATGAGTATCTTCCTTACTTTGCTTTAATGTTTTCACAAAATCGCCTGTGAACTTTTTCAAGATTACATTTCTAAGGTTAATAATTATAAAATTATTTACCCTTAATTGACTCATCTTTATACACTCTAATATTATTTTTTGAGATATAATTCATATACTACGTAATTCACCCTGTTAAAGTGTACAGCTAAGTGGTTTTAGTATATTCACAGAGTTATACAACTATTACCACTGATTTAGAACTTTTTCATCATCCCCAAAAGAATCCCCATACACATTAGTAGTCACTACATATTTCTCCACAGTTCTCTCAGCCCTAGGCAACCACCAATCTATTTTCTGTCTCTATGGATTTGCCTATATAGGATATTTGTTATAAATGAAATCATGCAATATGTGAACCTTTGTGACTGACTCTTTTCTAATTAGAATACTGTTTTCAAGGTTCATCCATGCTGTAGCATGTATCAGTACTTCATTTTTATGGCTGGATAATACTACATGGTATGGATATTCCACATTTTATTTATTCATCAGTTGATGGACATTTAGGTTGTTTACACTTTTTGCCTGTTATGGATAATAATGCTGCTGTAAATATTTTTGTACAAGTTTTTGTGTGATCATATGTTTTTAATTTTCTTGGTTATATAACTAGGAGTGAAATTGCTGCGTCATATGGTAACTGTTCAACTCATTGAGGAACAGACCATAATATTTTAAGAAGTGCTGATGTGATCATGGTTAGTGTAGAGCAAGTTCTGCCAAATGGAAGATATTGTCCATCCTGTTTTTTATTTTGAATGTGTAAATAGTTCACCCCAAATATTTTCAGAAATACTGTCATTATACTTACATTCAGAGTAATGTTTTCAGTTTTTCAAGGCAAAACTTGTCAAACTGTCTCTGTGATTCTTTAGACTGTTTTAGCAAAACTCTATGATAGTGTTCCCTATTAGTTTTTACTTATGTAAGCTGTGTCCTGAATACCCAGTTTTGTTGTATGAGCTATTTTTTTTTTCTTTTATGCTTATCTAAGTCTACTCAGAGACAAATGACCTGAAGCTATTTTTATCCTTAGTGCTGATTTGGTATAAATTTGTGAGGTGTGCTTTTCCATCCTGTGTTCTTTGGTCAGGGTACACTATTATTTTGAGATTAAAATAGGCCACAAATACATTGACTGTTACTATTAATTTGCACTAATTTGCACTTTGTATACTAGTAGGAAAATGCCTCATGCTGATGTTGAAGCTGTTTTTAAGCATGGATCCTTTAGAAATTTTGTATATTATTAGGTGTGGTAACAATTTATAGTCATCTAAAGTATGTTAGTATCAAAGCAGAGTATTATGAACTTGGTGCTTGACTTTTCTGCCAGTCAAGATTTTAAATATTTCATTTTTATATTATAATGAAACTAATGGTTACTTTGAGAGTTGTCTTCTGTGAGCAAATGTTGTGGAATTGTATATAGTAAGGGAATCATAGATTTCTTATAATTCACCTTAGTGAGATAGATGATTGAGAACATGGAGGAGTCTGCTCGTACTTTTTCACTTATTGAAGACAAGTATAGTTTTAGGTTTTTAAATGTCGTGTTTACTTTGGAATTTTGGGTCAAGAGAATTCTTGTGTTCTAGACCGTTTTTCAGACTAGAAACCAGTGATCTCTAATAGATGAAGACTATAATTAGAAAGTAAAGGGAAATAAGGCAGATTTGATAAGAAGCGCAAATGGCAGTTAAAATGAAAAGGTGTTTTATGTCACCAGTATTTAGAGAAATCTTTTTGTTTGGAGACAGAGTTTCACTCTTGTTGCCCAGGCTGGAGTGCAATGGCGCGATCTTAGATCACTGCAACCTCTGCCTCCCGGGTTCAAGCAATTCTCCTGCCTCAGCTTCCCGAGTAGCTGGGATTACAGGCATGCTCCACCACGCCCAGCTAACTTTTTGTATTTTTAGTAGAGACGGGGTTTCACCATGCTAGGCTGGTCTTGAACTCCTCACCTCAGGTGATCCACCCGCCTCAGCCTCCCAGAGTGCTGGGATTACAGATGTGAGCCACTGTGCCTGGCTGAGAAATCTAATTGATGTTTTTACTCTGCATATTACTCTTTGTTCTTCAGCTTATATATTAGAATTTTTAAAACTTTAAAAAAATGTTGGTCAGGCTGGGTGCAGTGGCTAATGCCTGTAATTGCAGCATTCTGGGAGGCCGAGGCAGGTGGATCTCCTGAGGTCAGGAGTTCAAGACCAGTCTGGCCAACATGGTGAAACCCCATCTCTACTGAAAATAAAAAATTAGTCGGGCATGGTGGCAGACACCTGTAATCCCAGCTACTCTGGAGGCTGAGGCAGCAGAATGGCTTGAACCTGGGAGGCGGAGTATGCAGTGAGCCAGGATGGTGCCACTGCACTCCAGCCTGGGTGACAGAGCGAGACTCCTTCTCAAAAAAAAAAAAAAAAAATGTTGGTCAGAGTAGGGGTAAATGTAAGCATTTATACTCTGGTAGGAGTCTGAATTGGTACAGTAGCCCCCCCCTTACCCTGTGGTCAACCATGGCCTGAAAACAGGTGAGTATAGTACAATAAGATATTTTATTTTATTTATTTTTATTTTTATTTTTATTTTTTTGAGACAGGGTCTTGCTCTGTTGCCCAGGCTGAAGTGCCATGGAGTGATCTCGGCTCACTGCAACCTCTGCCTCCTGGGTTTGAGTGATTCTCATGCCTCAGCCTCCTGAGTAGCTGGGACTACAGGCATATGCCACCATGCCCGGCTAATTTTTTAATTTTTTTAGTAGAGACAAGGTTTCACCATGTTGGCCAGGCTGATCTCGAACTTCTGGCCTCAGTGATCCCCCCCACCGCCTTAGCCTCTCAAAGGGCTGGGATTATAGGCTTGAGCTACTGCGCCCGGTTACAATAAGATATTTTAAAGTGGGGCACAGAGGCTCATGGTTCAATCCCAGTACTTTGGGAGGCCGAGGCAGGAGGATTACTTTAAGCCAGATGTTTGAGACCAGCCACAAAATTAGACCTTATCTCTAAAAAGAATTTTTTTTTTTAATTAGCTGAGTGTGATGGTACATCCCTGTAGTCCTAGCTACTTGGGAGATTGAGGTGGGAGGATCACTTGAGCCTAGGAGATTGAGGCTGCAGTGAACCATGATCACGGCGTTGCACTCCAGCCTGAGCGACCGAGTTGAGACCTTGTCTCAAAAAAAAAAAAAAAAGGCCACATTCACAAAACTTTTATTATTATATATTGTTATAACTGTTCTATTTTATTATTAGTTATTGTTGTTAATTTCTTACTATGTCTAAGTTATAAATTAAGTTATAAGTTATAAATTAAACTTTACTGTAGGTATGTGTGTATAGGAAAAAACATAGCATATAATTAGGGTTCTGTATAGCTCACTGTAACCTTGACCTCATGAGCTTGAGCTCAAGATCCTGGGTTCAAGTGATCCTCCCCACTCAGCCTCCCGAGTAGCTGGAACATCAGGTGCTTGCTACCACACTTAGCTAATGTTTAAATTTTTTGTAGAGACAGGATCTCACTCTGTTGCCCAGACTGGTCTTGAACTCCTGGGCTCAAGCGATCCTCCTGCCTTGGCCTCCCAAAGTGCTAGGATTACAGGCATAAGCCACTGTGCCCAGCCTGTTTTTGGGTTTTCTAGGTACACAAATTATTAAGAGTTCAGCAAATTTTCTGTATACTAAGGTCAATATACAAAAATCAGTTGCGTTTCTGTTAGCAGGAATTAACTATTAAAATATAGAATTTTAAAAAAAAGATACTAAGGCAATTAGAAAGTCAGTTCAATAGGAAAATGGACAAAAGACATGAAACAAGATAAGACATAAAAGAGAAAGAATAGAGATTTAAAACTGATTTAATTGAAACAACTGATGAGTACTGAAAAAGTAAACTCAGTGTGATTTAACACTGAGTTTAAATTTAAGAAATAAATGTGGCTGGGCGCCATGGCTCACGCCTGTAATCCCAGCACTTTGGGAGGCCGAGGTGGGCGGATCACTTGAGGTCAGGAGTTTGAGACCAGCCTGGCCAACATGGTGAAACCCCATCTCTACTGCAAATATAAAAAATTAGCGGGGCGTGGTGTCACATGCCTGTAATCCCAGCTTCTCGGGAGGCTGAGGCAGGAGAATGGCTTGAACCCAGGAGGTGGAGGTTGCAGTGAGCCGAGATCGTGCCACTGCACCCCAGCCTGGGCAACAGAGCAAGACTCCATCTCAAAAAGGAAAAAAAGAAAAAAAAAGAAAGAAATGTCTGGATTTCTAAAACACCAAAAAAAAAAAAAATGTTGGGGGAAAGAGAAGACATATGAATGGCTGGTAAATATTACATGACAAGATGTTTAGCCTTATTGGTATATTCGTATCAGGGAAAGCAAACTAAAACCACAATGACAGGGTGATGTCAGCGAAAATGGTAGAGTAGGACTTCTGTGGGTCATCCCTCTGCAGAAACACCAAACACCTTGACAGAAAAGTCAGAATTTAGCTTATCAAAACTCTGGAAAGGTAATCAAAGGTTTACAGCAGCCAAGCAAATACTTCGCCAGAAGAAAGGGCACTGAAACAAGGTAAGAGATCTTTGTGGCATTTTAGCTTACCCTAGCCTCACCTCCCTTCCTGGTATGGCTGCAGTCTTGAAGATGACAGCCTGTGTTCCCCATGCTGGTGCCTGATTCCAGAGAGTGGACACTCTTCCTCCTGAGGGATTCTGTGTTCTGTTTTGTCCTTTCTCCAAAGGACTGCCACCAGGGGCAAAAAACAAACAAAAAAACCAAAAAAAGAAAAAAAAAAAACAGGGCAAACAATAAGATATTGAAAGCCTGAGAGGAAAAGCTGTAGAGTGAGTTTTTGTAGAGGAATAGGAGCTTTGAAAAGCTATTGTGGATGAGAAACTAGAAAGCCAAGTGCACAGCTCAGGGCAGTATGTGTGCTCAGAAAAGACCTGAGAAGGCCATTAGCTTTCACCTCTGGCTTGTCTTTAGGTTCAACACAAACAGGAAGTGAATATTAAGGTAGATTTATAAAGGCCCTGGGTAAGTTTTGAAGGAGTGCCCCAACAGCTAATCAGTAGAGACCTGGCGAGCATTTTACTTTTCTTTTTCTTTCTTTTTTTTTTCTTTTTGGTTTATTTGTTTTGAAATGTGGTCTTGCCTTGCTCAGGCTAATCTTGAACTCGTTGGTTCAAGCGATCCTTCCACTTCAGCTTCCTGAGTAGCTGGAATTACAGGCACACACCACTGTACCCATCTATTTTTGTTTTTATTTTTTACACATTATAAATGTTCAGTTTTTTTAAAAAAAATTACGAAGCATGTGAAGAATCTAGAAAATATGCTTCATTCACAAGAAAAAAGAAATGAACAGAAACTACCCCGAGGAAGCACTAATACTAGAATTACTAGACAAAAACTTTAAATCAGCTGTCTTAAGTATACTCAAAGAGCTAAAGGACACCATGGACAAAGAAGTAAAGGAATTCAAGATAATAATGTCTCAACAAATAGAGAATATCAATAAAGAGAAATTTTTAAAAGTAGGCAAAGAGAAATTTTGGAGCTGAAGGTTACAATAATTGAAATGAAAATTCACTAGGGGAGCTCAACAAAAGATATGAGCAGACAGAAGAATCAGCAAACTTGGAGATAGGTCCACTGAAATTATATAGTTTGAAGAGCACACATTTAAAAGACTGAAGAAAAATGAACAGAGTCCAGGAGATGTGTGGGATACCAACATATATATCATGGTAAGGAGAGGGAGAAAGGTGCAGAAAACATGTTTAAGAAGTAATTGCCAAAACCATTTCAAATTTGACAAGACATGAATATACACATCAAGAAGCTCAGCTAACACCCAAGAAGGATAAACTCAAAGACATCCATACAAGACACATTATAATTAAAATTTCCGAAGCCAGAGATAAAGAGAGAATCTTGGAAGCAGCAAGAGAGAAGCAACTTGTAAAATATAAGGGATCTTAAATAAGATGAATTTCTGTTGATTTCTTAGCGGAAACCATGGAGGCTAGAAGGCAGTGGGATAACATATTTAAAGTGATGAAAGACAGACCTGCCAACCAAGAATTCTAAATCTGGCAAAACTATCCTTCAGGAATTAAGAAGAAATCATGACATACCCAGATAAACAATAGCTGAGGGGGCTTCATTGTTAATAGACCTGCCCTGTAAGAAATGCTAAAAGGAGTCTTCAGGCTCACCACAGATCTATTAAATTTTCTTTTTGGCATAGGACCGAAACATGCATTTTAATTAAACATTCGTAATTTTTCTTACACAGCAAAACCAAAAGCCCCACAATGGAAAATCATTTTCTGTTCACTGATTGTTAAAAACTTTTTTTAAAAAAAGTCCTGTGACATCAAGTGCTTGCCAGGATGTGGCACAGTAGAAACTCTTAAACACTTGGTGGGTGTTTAAATTGCTACAACCAGTTTGGAAAACAATTTGTCATTACCCAGTAAAGTTGAAGATGTATAGATCATGTAATAGTTTTACAGACCAAAAATATAGAAACTCTGGTACCTCTGCAGAAGAAGACATACAGTAATATTCACAGTGGCCATTTGTAATATAAAAAACTGTAAACAATCCAGGTGTTTATTGATTGATTTTTCTAACATGTGACTTATTTCTGGTCTTTACTAGCTTTGGGGCCATTTGGATCACACGATGTTTTTTCAAGATTTTAGACCCTTTCTAAGTAGCAGTCCACTGGACCAAGATAATAGAGCCAATGAAAGGGGTCACCAGACTCACACTGACTTCTGGGGAGCAAGACCTCCACGGTTGCCATTGGGTCGGAGATACAGATCTCGAGGAAGTTCTCGTCCTGACAGATCTCCAGCTATTGAAGGGTGAGTTGTTTTATTTTAAGTTCTTTTTAAGGTAGTTTCAATGAAGGACAAATTGGTATAATCTAATCTTTATAAGGGTCTCATACTTATTACCTTTGTGGACAAGATGGACATATGTAGAAAGGATGAAAGTGAAGCTAAATTGAATGTTAGTACTCACCCGATGATAAACCAGAGAGTGAGAAATGCTATGTCTCTGATTAACATTTTTATTAATGGCTCAGATTAATTTATAGATGATATGTGTCTCAGTCCATTTTGTGCAGCTATAGCAGAATACCTGAGACTGGGTGATTTATAAAGAACAGAGATTCATTTCTTATATTTCTGGAGGCTGGGAAGTCCAAGGTTGAGGGATCCACATCTGGCGAGGGCCTTCTTGCTGTGTCATTCCATGTTGGAAGGCAGAAGGGCAAGAGAGCATGCATGAGCAAGAAAGAAAGGTGCCACACTCATCCTTTTATTAGGAACTCACTCAACAATAACTAATCCACTTCCAGGATAAAGGCATTTAATCCACTCACAGGAGATTCATCTCTTAAAGTCTCCACCTTTCAACACTGCTCCACTGGGGATTAAGTTTCCAACACATGAATTTTTGAGGAGGGCACATTCAAACTATAGCAGTATATTTATCAAAATTTCAAAAGGGTATCAAATATATTAGGCATTAGGATTAAATATTTCAACAGATTGGAACAGTGGACTTAACATGAAATTTAATCAAGTATCTGCTTTTTGTGAAGAAAGGAAAAAAATTTAATAGGATAAATATGAAGTCTTGTGACTGTAAAAACATTCATGTAATAAATGTTTGTTGAGTGTCTTTTGTATGGGACACTGTACTAGACACTAGGAACACAATGATGAGTCAAATAGATGGTTTTGCTCATGGATCTCATTTAGTTGGAATAATAAACGTTAATTTTAAGTGTTTACCATATGCAGAGGACTGTGCTTCATGCTTTATCTGCTTTATGTTGTTTAATTTGTGTGAAGTAATAGGTGCTATTGCTGTTTTCATTTTATAAAATAATTAACTGAGTCTCAGAAATAAAGTAACAGCCGTTGGTGGATCTAAGACTTGAATCTAGGGCTATATGAATCTAGTGCGACATTGTCTTATATGGTAGCTGCTAGCCACATGTAGCTATATGTTTACATTTAAGTTAACCAAAAGTTAATAAAACTCAAAATTCAAAGTACCTCAATCCCAAATAGCTATATTTTGAGTGCTCATTGGCCACATGTAGCTAATACTTATCATATTTGACAGAACATATTATAGAAAATTTCCATTATCTTAGTTCTATTGAACAGTGCTGTTCTAGAGCCTACACTCCCCCTTTCCCCCAACACACACCTTCTAGGCTTTATTAACATTTTACTATACTTGCGTTATTACATATCTATCCATTAGTGTTTCTTTGTTAAACTTGTTTGCTTTTGGTTCCTAATATATGCACTATCATACTAAGAAAGTTTAATTTTATTCATAATTTATTAGGGGCTTTTAATTAAGAATGACTAATGATTTTGTCACATGCCCTTTGCAGTCCTATCAAAATGACCTTAGAGTTTTTCTCCCTTAAACAGTTAATGCATTTTATTAACAAGTAGGTTTTCTAATGTTTTCTAGTGTTTTTATTCAAGCTGCTTTGTCAAGGAGCACTAAAACCTCTTTTTTAGGGGTCGGGGTTGGGGAAACAGGGTCTCACTTTGTTTCCCAGGCTAGAATGCAGTAGCAAGATCATGTTTCACTACAACCTCAAACTCGGTGGGCTCAAGCAATCCTCCCACTTCAGCCTATGAACTAGGTAGGACTACAAGCATGTGCCACCACGCCTGGCTAATTTTTCAATTTTTGGTAGAGACTAGGTTGCCCAGGCTGGAGTCTCTTAACACATTATTGGAGTTGATTTGTTCCTTATCTTTTTTTTTTTTTTTTTTAAGGATTTTTACATTTATTCAAAAGAGGATGAGTCTCTTTATCAAGTTTTGGTGTCAGGATTATATTAGTTTCATAAAAGGAACTGGGAAAACTTGCTGTATTCTTATGCTTGGAAATAGTTTACATAACACAGGAATTACCTATTATTTAAAGGTTTAATGCAAGTTACCTGTAATTCCATCTGGACCTGGTATCTTTTTGGGAACTAGATCTATTACAGTCTTTTCAGTTACTTCTGTGGTTGATAGTATAGGGTAGTGTTTTATTTATCTCTGTATTCTCAGCTTCTAGTGCAGTATCGGTTTTATAGTGGCTACTAAACATGTTTGTTTTGAATAAGTGGATAATTGTAATTATGTCTCTAAAAAGTATAAAAAACATATGAATTAATAGTAATAATAGCTAAGAGTATGTGCCAGAAACTAGTCTAAATGCTTTACAGGTATTCATTTGTTTAATCCTCACTATAACCATGTGAAGAAGGTATTGTGAATATCTCCATTTTACTGGAGAAACTGAGGCACAGAGAGTTTAGGTAAATTGTCTAAGAGTATAAAGGCAGTTAAATATTGGAGCCAGGATAGTGCAATAATCAAAGTATTTGTATTTGGTGAGATTTTTAACTGTTTACTTATACTAAAAAATTTTAGTATAACTATTTAGTATAAGTCAAAAATTTAAAATTAAGTAGCCTTCTCACTTATTTTTTAACCAAAGATTTAAGCATTTCCCTAATTTTCTCAGAAACTTTCCTTCCAAGGCACCAGTATATCAGTAAATAGAACTTGAAAGTTTTTAATTCAGTTTCTTTTCTCTTTTCTTTCATAGAAGTATAAATAAACACAGTATATCTTTGGGGCCTATTACTATACCCAGCTAGCAGGCCTGCCTAGATTGTTCCATATGGTTGTTACTTTACAGTAATTGTCATTATGATGTCACTGTATGTTTTGAAAGTACAATTTCATGTTTTATACATTTTTAAAAATTGATTGAATTTTAGCATGGCTTCTTCCTGATAACAGTTTTGTCCTCTTGCTTTGAGAAGGAGCATATGGGCATTCCACTTATGGTTTCCATGGGCTGCATCTCAGATTCCTGTTCATTCTACGGGTTTCACTGTAGACAGAGTACTTTGTATTTAATGGCCGGGTGCGGTGGCTCACACCTGTAATCAGCACTTTGGGAGGCCGAGGCAGGTGGATCACTTGAGGTCAGGAGTTCCAGATCAGCCTGGCCAACATGATGAAATCCCATCTCTACTAAAAATCCAAAAATTAACCAGGCATGGTGGCGGTTGCCTGTTATCGCAGCTACTCAGGAAGCTGAGGCAGGAGAATCACTTGAACCTGGGAGGTGGAGGTTGCAGTGAGCCGAGATTGCGCCACTGTACTCCAGCCTGGGCGACAGAGCAAGACCTCATTTCAAGAAAAAGAGTACTTTGGCTGGCGCCAACAGGGTCCAGGTCTGTGCCTGCCATTGGAGAGGATGCCACAGCCACAGGGGTGGGCGCTGGCCTGGAGGCCTCCAAGGGGCATCTCCTGTGAGCCCAGGGGATGGGCAGGATCTGAGCGGAGAAGAGTGAAAGTGGAGGAGTGAGGCCAGAACAAAGGCTTTGCCGTGAAAGAGGTGGTTTCCCGCCTAGGCTCTGACCTTCACTCACTGTGTGGCCCAGGCCAAGGGCAAGCGTCTGACCTCGCTGGGCCTTTGTTTCTCAGGGGTAAGATGAAACAATGGCTCCCTCTCCCTCTCCCTCTCCCTCTCCCCACGGTCTCCCTCTCCCTCTCTTGCCATGGTCTCTCTCTGTCTCTGATGCCGAGCCGAAGCTGGACTGTGCTGCTGCCATCTCGGCTCACTGCAACCTCCCTGCCTGATTCTCCTGCCTCAGCCTGCCGAGTGCCTGCGATTGCGGGCGCGCGCCGCCACGCCTGACTGGTTTTCGTATTTTTATGGTGGAGACGGGGTTTCGCTGTGTTGGCCGGGCTGGTCTCCAGCTGCTAACCGCGAGTGATCCGCCAGCCTCGGCCTCCCGAGGTGCCGGGATGGCAGACGGAGTTGCGTTCACTCAGTGCTCAATGGTGCCCAGGCTGGAGTGCAGTGGCGTGATCTCGGCTCGCTACAACCTCCACCTCCCAGCTGCCTGCCTTGGCCCCCCAAAGTGCCGAGATTGCAGCCTCTGCCCGGCCACCACCCCTTCTGGGAAGTGAGGAGCGTCTCTGCCTGGCCGCCCATCGTCTGGGATGTGAGGAGCCTCTCTGCCTGGCTGCCCAGTCTGGAAAGTGAGGAGCGTCTCTGCCCGGCCGCCATCCCATCTAGGAAGTGAGGAGCGTCTCTGCCCGGCCGCCCATCATCTGAGATGTGGGGAGCGCCTCTGCCCTGCCACCCCGTCTGGGATGTGAGGAGCGTCTCTGCCCGGCCGCCCCGTCTGAGAAGTGAGGAGACCCTCTGCCTGGCAACTGCCCTGTCTGAGAAGTGAGAAGCTCCTCCGCCGGGCAGCCACACCGTCTGAGAAGTGAGGAGCCCCTCCGCCCGGCAGCCACCCCGTCTGGGAAGTGAGGAGCGTCTCCGCCCGGCAGCCACCCCGTCCGGGAGGTGAGGAGCCCCTCCGCCCGGCAGCCGCCCCGTCTGAGAAGTGAGGAGCCCCTCTGCCGGGCCAGCCGCCCCGTCCGGGAAGGAGGTGGGGGGGTCAGCCCCCTGCCCTGCCAGCCGCCCCGTCCGGGAGGTGAGGGGCGCCTCTGCCCGGCCACCCCTACTGGGAAGTGAGGAGCCCCTCTGCCCGGCCAGCCACCCCGACCGGGAGGGAGGTGGGGGGGTCAGGTCAGCCCCCCGCCCGGCCAGCCGCCCCGTCCGGGAGGTGAGGGGCGCCTCTGCCTGGCCGCCCCTACTGGGAAGTGAGGAGCCCCTCTGCCCGGACAGCCGCCCCGTCCGGGAGGGAGGTGGGGGGGTCAGCCCCCCCCCCCCCCCCCCCCCGGCCAGCCGCCCTGTCCGGGAGGTGAGGGGCGCCTCTGCCCGGCCGCCCCTACTGGGAAGTGAGGAGCCCCTCTGCCCGGACAGCCGCCCCGTCCGGGAGGGAGGTGGGGGGGTCAGCCCCCCGCCCGGCCAGCCGCCCCATCCGGGAGGGAGGTGGGGGGGTCAGCCCCCCGCCCGGCCAGCCGCCCCGTCCGGGAGGTGAGGGGCGCCTCTGCCCGGCCGCCCCTACTGGGAAGTGAGGAGCCCCTCTGCCCGGCCACCACCCCGTCTGGGAGGTGTACTCAACAGCTCATTGGGAACAGGCCATGATGACAATGGCGGTTTTGTGGAATAGAAAGCGGGGAAAGGTGAGGAAAAGATTGAGAAATCAGATGGTTGCCGTGTCTGTGTAGAAAGAGGTAGACATGGGAGACTTTTCATTTTGTTCTGTACTAAGAAAAATTCTTCTGCCTTAGGATCCTGTTGATCTGTGACCTTACCCCCAACCCTGTGCTCTCTGAAACATGTGCTGTGTCCACTCAGGGTTAAATGGATTAAGGGCGGTGCAAGATGTGCTTTGTTAAACAGATGCTTGAAGGCAGCATGCTTGTTAAGAGTCATCGCCACTCCCTAATTTCAAGTACCCAGGGACACAAACACTGCGGAAGGCCGCAGGGTCCTCTGCCTAGGAAAACCAGAGACCTTTGTTCACTTATCTGCTGACCTTCCCTCCACTATTGTCCTATGACCCTGCCAAATCTCCCTCTGCGAGAAACACCCAAGAATGATCAATTAAAAAAAAAAAAAAGAAAAAGAGTACTTTGTATTTGTATTTAAGAAATCAGATGTCAGAGATTAGCCTTTGTGGGATTATTAGTGTGTTCCTCACACCAACTTAATAAGTTTCCCTGAAATGAGGTCCATTTTCTTTGACTTTTTCATTGGCATGAGTAAAACTTTTTTACTAACACAGAGACAGGGAACTCTCACATTGTTCATTCATTCTGCAAATATTTATTCAGTGTCCCTAAAGTATGTGCTTTATCCTCTAATCTGCAGCTTTTGAATGATAGTTAATTAGGTCTTGAATAGACTAGCTCATCTTATCTGACTTTAAGTGCATCTGACCTGTGCCAGCAGATTAATTTATAAATTTATAACTGAGGGTATTCTGTTTCAGTGACTATAAAACTCATTTGTTTGTTAGCATACTCTTGTCTTTGAATTTCTCAAGTATCAAGAAATCAAAAGCAATCAGATGGTTGTTTAGTACATATAGAATCAGCAAGGAAATTGCATGATCTTTAAGAGAAATTCCATCCAGATTGTGATAAATGCTAAGGAATTACTCATATTTCACTTCAAATAATTTTTTTTTAATTTTTTTTTTTTTTATTGATCATTCTTGGGTGTTTCTCGCAGAGGGGGATTTGGCAGGGTCATAGGACAATAGTGGAGGGAAGGTCAGCAGATAAGCAAGTGAACAAAGGTCTCTGGTTTTCCTAGGCAGAGGGCCCTGCGGCCTTCCACAGTGTTTGTGTCCCTGGGTACTTGAGATTAGGGAGTGGTGATGACTCTTAACAAGCATGCTGCCTTCAAGCATCTGTTTAACAAAGCACATCTTGCACCGCCCTTAATCCATTTAACCCTGAGTGGACACAGCACATGTTTCAGAGAGCACAGGGTTGGGGGTAAGGTCATAGATCAACAGCATCCCAAGGCAGAAGAATTTTTCTTAGTACAGAACAAAATGAAGTCTCCCATGTCTACTTCTTTCTACACAGACACAACAACAATCCGATTTCTCTATCCCTTCCCCACCTTTCCCCCTTCTCTGTTCCACAAAACCGCCATCGTCATCATGGCCCGTTCTCAATGAGCTGTTGGGTACACCTCCTAGACGGGGTGGTGGCCGGGCAGAGGGGCTCATCACTTCCCAGAAGGGGCGGCCGGGCAGAGGCACCCCCCACCTCCCGGACGGGGCGGCTGGCCGGGCGGAGGCACCCCCCATCTCCCTCCCGGATGGGGCGGCTGGCTGGGCGGGGGCTGGCCCCCACCTCCCTCCTGGATGGGGCAGCTGGCCGGGCGGGGGCTGACCCCCCACCTCCCTCCCGGACCGAGTGGCTGCTGGGCAGAGACGCTCCTCACTTCCCAGACGGGGCGGCTGCCGGGTGGAGGGGCTCCTCACTTCCCAGACGGGGCGGCTGCCGGGCGGAGGGGATCCTCACTTCTCAGACGGGGCGGCTGCCGGGCGGAGGGGCTCCTCACTTCTCAGACGGGGCGGCTGCCGGGCGGAGGGGCTCCTCACCTCCCAGACGGGGTCGCGGCCGGGCAGAGGCGCTCCTCACATCCCAGACAGGGCGGTGGGGCCGAGGCGCTCCCCACATCTCAGACGATGGGCGGCCGGCAGAGACGCTCCTCACTTCCTAGATGGGATGGCGGCCGGGCAGAGACGCTCCTCACTTCCCAGACGGGGTGTCGGCCAGGCAGAGGCTGCAATCTCAGCACTTTAGGAGGCCAAGGCAGGCGGCTGGGAGGTGGAGGTTGTAGCGAGCCGAGATCAAGCCACTGCACTCCAGCCTGGGCAACATTGAGCACTGAGTGAACAAGACTCCGTCTGCAATCCCGGCACCTCGGGAGGCCGAGGCTGGCGGATCACTCGCGGTTAGGAGCTGGAGACCAGCCCGGCCAACACAGCGAAACCCAGTCTCCACCAAAAAAATACGAAAACCAGTCAGGCGTGGTGGCGCGCGCCTGCAATAGCAGGCACTTGGCAGGCTGAGGCAGGAGAATCAGGCAGGGAGGTTGCAGTGAGCCGAGATGGCAGCAGTACAGTCCAGCTTCGGCTCGGCATCAGAGGGAGACCATGGCAAGAGAGGGAGAGGGAGACCATGGGGAGAGGGAGAGGGGGAGGGGGAGGGGGAGGGCCAAATAATTTTTTAAGACGGTAAAATATTAATGCTTGTTAGGTTTTTTCCTTTGTGTTAGGTCAACACCAGCACATTCATGTTTTCCAGACAAGTAATAGAGATTACCACCCATTAGTCTGCACTTACTACATTAAAACCCATCTTTATTTTATTTTGTTGTTTTTGTTTTGTTTTGTTTTTTTGAGAGGGAGTCTCACTCTGTCACCCAGGCTGCAGTGCAGTGGTGTGATCTCGGCTCACTGCAACCTCTGCTTCCCAGGTTCAAGCAATTCTCCTGCCTCAGCCTCCCAAGTAGCTGGGACTACAGGCATGAGCCACCATGCCTGGAAAATTTTTTGTATTTTTAGTAGAGATGGGGTTTTGCCATGTTGGCCAGGCTGGTCTCGAACTCCTGATCTCAAGTGATCTGCCTGCTTTGGCCTCCCAAGGTGTTGGGATTACAGGCGTGAGCCACTGCGCCCAGCCCCATTTTTATTTTATTGTGCTTTACTCTTTTGTTTTTTTGTTACACTTTAGCTTGGTAGTTTAGTCTCCTTCCTGGTTATATAAAGGAAGCCTCTTTGATTTTAGCAGTAAGCTGTTTCTGATTCGCTGTGTAGGGTACATTACTTCTAAGAAGGTGTCCCACCTAAATAATACGTTCTTTTAAAAATTTATTATTTTTATTTTAGATTCGGGGGTACGTGTACAGGTTTGGTTTTTATTTTTTAATTTTTAAAAATTTGCTTTCCTGGTAACTCACAAAACAGCAGGTTTATTACACGGGTATATTGTGTGATGCTGGGGTTTGGGCTTCTAATGATCCCATGGCCTAAGCAGTGAACATAGTACCTATAGGTAGTTTCTCAACCTTTGCCCTTCTCCCTCCCTCTCCCTTTTGTGATCTCCAGTGTTTATTATTCCTTACTTTGTGTCCTTGTGTACCCAATGTTTAGTTCCCATGTATAAGTGAGAACATGTGGTATTTCTGTTTTCTGTGTTAAGTTGCTTAGGCTAATGACCTCCAGCTATATTCATGTTGCTGCAAAGGACATGATTTCGTTCTTTTTTATGGCTATGTAAAGAATATGTTTTAAGATTTCCCACCTAGAGAATATGTTCTTCTGAAATTAACCCTAGGTTCTTGGACCATAGATTTCTGACCACTGATCACATCTCAGATTTTGAGAACTGACTTTTTTTGGTTAACTTTTTTTTTTCTTATTAAAAAAAATTTGTTTTGGTATGGAATAAAAAGACAGCCTTATCCAGAAATAGCCATAGTTACACCTTGATGTATAATCTTGTAGACCTTTTTAAATACATATATATGATAATTACATCTATATAATTGAAATTGAATTGATTATACTACACATATTTTATAATCTTTTTTATCTTAATAGATTGTATATATCTTTCAAGATACATTTGATTGGGGCCTGTATTAGTCTGTTTTCACACTACTGATAAAGACATACCTGAGACTGGGAAGAAAAAGAGGTTTAATTGGATTTAATAGTTCCACATGGCTGAGAAGGCCTCAGAATCATGGTGGGAGGCTAAGGCACTTCTAACATGGCAGCAGCCAAACCATGTCATTCTGCCCCTGGCCCCTCCAAATCTCATGTCTTCACATTTCAAAACCAGTCATGCATTCCCAGCAGTCCCCCAAAGTCTTAATTCATTTAGGCATTAACCCAAAAGTCTGAAGTCCAAAGTCTCATCTGAGATAAGGCAAGTCCCTTCTGCCTGTGAGCCTGTAAAATCAAAAGCAAGCTAGTTACTTCCTAGATACAATGGAGGTACAGGTATTTCGTAAATACGGCCATTCCAAATGGGAGAAATTGGCCAGATCAAAGGGGTTACAGGTCCCATGCATGTCCAAAATCCAGCAGGACAGTCAAATTTTGAAGCTCCAAAATCATCTCCTTTGAGTCCAAGTCTCACATCCAGGTCATGCTGATGCAAAAGGTGGGTTCCCGTGGTCTTGGGCAGCTCCACCCCTGTAGCTTTGCGGGGTCCAACCTCCCTCCCGGCTGCTTTCACTGGCTGGTGTTGAGTGTCTGTGGCTTTTCCAGGCGCATTGGTGCAAGCTGTCAGTGGATCTACCATTCTGGGATCTGGAAGATGGTGGCCCACTTCTCACAGATCCGCTAGGCAGTTCCCCAGTAGGGACTCTGTGTGGGGGCTCCCACCCCACATTTTCCTTCCGCACCGCCCTAGCAGAGGTTCTCCATGAGGGCTCCGCCCCTGCAGCAAACTTTTGCCTGGGCATCCGGGTGTTTCCATACATCTTCTGAAATCTAGGCGGAGGTTCCCAAACCTCAGTTCTTGTCTTCAGTGCACTCGCAGGCTCAGCACCACATGGACGCTGCCAAGGCTTTGGGCTTGCACTCTCTGAAGCCACAACCCAAGCTCTATGTTGGCCCCTTTCAGCCATGGCTGGAGCAACTGGGACACAGGGCACCAAGTCCCTAGGCTGCACACAGCACGGGGACCCTGGGCCCAGCCCACAAAACCACTTTTTCCTCTTGGGTCTCTGGGCCTGTGATGGGAGGGGCTGCTGTGAAGGTCTCTAACAGGGCCTGGAGACATTTTGCCTGTGGTCTTGGGGATTAACATTAGGCTCCTTGCTACTTATGCAAATTTCTGCAGCTGGCTTGAATTTCCCCTCAAAAAATGGGTTTTTCTTTTTTGTCACATAGGCTACAAATTTTCCAAATTTTTATGCTCTGCTTCCCTTATAAAACTGGTTAACAGCACCCAAGTTACCTCCTGAATGCTTTGCTGCTTAGAAGTTTCTTCCACCAGATATTCTGAATCATCTCTCTCAAGTTCAAAGTTCCACAAATCTGTAGGGCAGGGGCAAAATGCTGCCAGTCTCTTTGTTAAAACATAACAAGAGTCTTCTTTGCTCCAGTTCCCAACAAGTTTCTTATCTCCATCTGAGACCACCTCAGCCTGGACCTTATTGTCCATATCACTATTAGCATTTTGGGCAAAGCCATTGAACAAGTCTCTAGGAAGTTCCAAATTTTCCCACATTTTCTTGTCTTCTTCTGAGCCCTTCAAACTGTTCCAACTTCTGCCTGTTCCTTAGTTCCAAAGTCAATTCCACATTTTTGGTATCTCTTCAGCAATGCCCCACTCCTGGCACCAATTTACTATATTAGTCCATTTTCACGCTGCTGATAAAGACATACCCAAGACTGGGAAGAAAAAGAGCTTTAATTGGACTTACAGTTCCACATGGCTGGGGAGGCCTCTTAATCATGGTGGGAGGTGAAAGGCACTTCTTACATGGCGGCGGCAAGAGAAATGAGGAAGAAGCAAAAGCAGAAACCCCTGATAAACCCATCAGATCTCATGAGACTTACTGTCATGAGAATAGCATGGGAAAGATCGGCCTCCATGATTCAATTACCTCCCCCAGGGTCCCTCTCACAGCATGTGGGAATTCTGGGAGATACAATTCAAGCTGAGATTTGGGTGGAGACACAGCCAAACCATATCAGAGCCCATCTAGGGGAGGTTTCTTAATTAATTTTTTCCTGGGCTCAAGTGATCTTCCCATCTCAGCTTCCTAAGCATCTAGGACCACAGGTGTGCAGCACTAGGCCCAGCTAATTTTTAAATTTTTTTTGTAGAGATGGGGTCTCCTTATGTTGTCCAGGCTAGTCTTGTATTCCTGTCTTGGCCTCCCAATGTGCTGGGATTACAGGTGTGAGCCACTCTGCCTGGCCCCATAAGAGGTCTCTTAATTTATTCAGCAGACATTGTGTATTACTGTGTGCCAGATGTTGGGCATACAGTAGTCAATAAATAGTCAAGAATGACTGCCCTCGTGGAGCTTAAGTACTAATGGAGAAAGATAGATGATCAAAATAAATAGAATTTTAAGCAGTAGTAAGTGCTATGGTGGAAGAAAAGCAGGGATGGGAGATAGGGAATATGGTTGAAGTGAAGTTTCAAAAAGAGCATAGTCAGCAAATGTCTTATTGAGAAAGTATCTGAATAGACACCAAGGAAGTGTAGGGATGGACAAACAAGGAGAGACCAATGTAGGGCAGAGAAGGTGAGGGGAATGGTAGGAGAAGTTGATGGGAGTGGGAATGGGGAGGTGGGTATTAGATTATATGAAGCCTAGTTGGCAATTATAAGAGCTTCTGTTCCAATGGAGAGTTAGGTGTCATTTATATCTTGAAATGATTGCTCTAACTGCTGTGCTGAAAATAGAATGGGGGGCTGCGAGGTGTGCGAGGCAAAGACACAGCAGAGAAACCATTTAAGAGGCTATTGCATTAATATAAGCTAGAGATGCCAGTGGTTTGGGTGAGAGCAGTGAAAAATGGTTTGGTTTCAGATGCAGTTTGGCAATATTCATGATAGGAGTTACTGACAGATTGGATGTGGGGTGTAACAGAAAGAAGAGTTATGACACCAAGGTTTTTGGCCTGAAAACAAGAAGAATGGAGCCACCATCCACTGACATGGGGAACATTAGGAGGAGTAAGTTTGGAGGAAAATATTTAAGAGTTCATTCAGTTTGGGACATAATAAGTTTGAGGTGCTTATTATACAAGTGGAAATGTTGAATAGGCAGAGGTCTTGGCTGGAGATAATATTTGGAAGTTGTGGCCTATATATGATATTTAAAATTATAAAGCTGGATAAAGTGGTCAAAGAAGTCAAGATAGGAAATAGCAGAGCTCAGAGAATTGAGGCCTGGGCCCTCGATGGTTAGAAGTTTGGAAGATAAGGAAGAATAAGCAAAGGAGACTGAGAAGAAACAGCCAGGGAAGTACAAGGAAAACCTAGAGAGGCTACAGCTCTGGAAACTATGTGAAGACTCTTACCTGGTTTTAGCATGTGACTTCCCTTCCAGACCCAGTGGGTTGATTTTTCTCGTCTGTGAGTTTCTAAAATTAAATGTATACACTATCTTCCTTCCCTCCACATCTTCCCCAGACATTTAGCTTTAACAAGAAAAGATTTTTTTTTAATAAACAAAATTCATTGTAAATACTCTGTCAACTATTGTTCTCTGAGCAACAGCTCTTATGCATTGGGGCCACCCTCAGCAGTCTCTGTTACTGCTACAAAAACATGGGACTAACATCTGACTTCCAGAGAGTAAGTAGCCAAGAAAGAGAAATCATCAGCTGATCAGCTGCTGGTGAGTTGTCCCTCGTAATTCCAAGCATTCATATAGGATTGACTTTTACAGCTTCAAGAACTAGGCTATCTCTCAAACTTGATTATTACCATTTACTTATTGGTCAGTGTAAGCATAAGATAATTTGCCCTTCTTGTCACTGACAAATAGGTGGGTATATATTAGTTACCTATTGCTGTGTAACACTTTACCCCAGAATTTAACAGCTTATGACAATATTTATTATCTCAATATTTTTGAGGGTCAGGAATTTGGGAGCAATTTAGCTAGATGGTTCTGGTGAAGGGCTTCATGAGGTTATAATCAACATGTCAGCTGTGGCTACAGTCAACCGAACACTTAACTGGACCTGGAACATCCACTTCCAAGATGGCTCACTCACATGACTGTTGGCAGGAGGCCTTAGTTCCTCACCATCTGGGCCTCTCCATAGGGCTCCTTGAATGTCCATATTACTTGGCAGCTAGCTTCTCTTGGAGTTAGTGATCCAAGAGAATGATAGAGGAAGCAGGAAAAAAACCCATAATATCTTTTTATATCCTAATTTTGGAAGTCACACACTGTCATTCCTGCTACATTTTGTCTGTAAGAGGTGAATCACTAAATCTAGCCTACATTCAAGGAGAAGAGAATTAGCTCCACCTCTAGAGAATTTATGGATGTATTTTAAAATCACCACAGTTTGCCCTCTAGCCACAAATTATTTACACTTCTTCTATGTGCAAAATGCACTCACTTCCTCCCAAAATCTATCAAAAAAGTCTCCTTCTTCTATAGCATCAGCTTGAAATATAGGTAGCTGTCCTTTTAACTAGGTCCAAGTGTGGGTGTGGCTCCTTGGGTATAGTTCCTCAGGTATAGTTCCTTTTGTTGTGAAGACCTGTAAACTAAAGAGACAGGTTAACTACCTATCACACACCCAACATACAGTGATATGGACAGGCAGTGATTCTGAACAGGTATAGAGATTTCCTGTTCCAAAAGGGAAAATGATGGCACAAAGAAGTTGCTGGTTCACAGCAATTCTGATAGTTGTCTAGACAAATGTCAGAAGTTCCTTGACTAGGACTTCTACTTCTGCCCAGGAGTTCTTCTCTGTGACTCTGGAATCCACCCTGTTAGTCATCCTTTCTTTTCCATTAAAAGTAGTTCATATTTGTAGCTGCATAGCTTTCTTAGCTTGCTTCTTGCCAGTAGAAATTTCAGGGCCCAGAGACCGGTTTTCATTTTGTACTATTTTTCCACCTTTCAGTTTAAGCTGGCAGTGTTTCTTTTTAAAACTTCGAGTATCCTGTGAATCTCACTGGGATTCATGCCATTAGGCAAAAGCCACATCCACCAATCTCTTCTAAATAGGCTTTTTCCACCTTGGGTTTCTGCTGGGATTGCTGAGAGATACCACTTGTAATGGGTAGAATTGTGTCCCCCAAAAAGCTGTGTTCAAGTCCTAACCCTGATAAGGTCACCGTGAATATGACCTTATTTGGAAATAGGGTCATTACAGATGTAGTCAAGTTATAGTAAGATCACACTGGATCAGGAAGGGCCCTAATCCAACGGTTGATAGTCTTATAAGGAGAGAAATTTGGCTGGGTGCGGTGGCTTACTCCTGTAATCTCAGCACTTTGGGAGGCCAAGGTGGGAGGATCACCTGAGGTCAGAAGTTCGAGACCAGCCTGGCCAATGTGGTAAAACCCCGTGTCTACTAAAAATACAAAAATTAGCCAGGCGTGGTGGCCCATGCCTGTAATCCCAGCTACTCAGGAGGCCGAGGCGTGAGAATTGCTTAAACCTGGAGGCAGAGGTTGCAGTGAGCTGAGATCGCACCACTGCACTCTGGCCTGGGCGAGAGTGAGACTCTGCCTCAAAAAAAAAAAAAAAAAAAAAAAAAGAAGCTAGAAATTTGGACATGAACACAGAAGACAGAAGAAAGCCATGTGATGACAGAGGCAGAGGTTGTGGGGGGCATACATCTACAAATCAAGGAATGGCAAAGATTGCTGTCAAACATCACCAGAAGCCAGAGAGAATCATGGAATTGATCTCCCTCAGAACTTCCTGAAGGAACTAACCCTACTGACACCCACATCAGTGAACGAATAAATTCCTTTTGTTTTAAGCTACCCAGTTTGTGGTAGTTTGTTATAGCAGCCCTAGGAAACTAACATAACACCCTTAAGCTTCTTAGTCCGATTTTCTAATTGAATGATTCTTTAGGTACCATTCTAGATCTTTGTGAGGTTGTGTTTTTTTTGTTTTTTTTTTGAGACAGTCTCACTCTGTCACCCAGGCTGGAGTGCAGTGGTGCAATCTCGGCTCAGTGCAACGTCCGTGTCCTGGGTTCAAGTGATTCTCATGTTTCAGCCTCCCGAGCAGCTGGCATTACAGGTGTGTGCCACCATGCCCGGCTAATTTTTGTATTTTTAGTAGAGACAGGTTTCTCCATGTTGGCCAGGCTGGTCTCAAATTCCTGGCCTCAAGTGATCCTCCTGCCTTGACCTCCCAAAGTGCTGGGATTATAGGCGTGAGCTACCGTGCCTGGCCCTTTCTGAGGTCTTAACAAAGAAGTGTTATAGTCTGATCCTTGGCTTCATCTGAAATCAGTCTTTTGGCAGTGCCTTGGATTCGATCTTTGCTTGAAATCTCTTAATTTTAGTGTCATTTACTAATCTGGAGATGCTGGGAATTCTCAGAATTATATAATTCTGTCCTTTTTGTTTAACTGTTCTTCCTTTAATTCATCCCTCTTTTGCATTTTAAAGTAAGCAGCAAGAAGCCAGGAGGTACTTTCAAAAGTGAAATCACTTTAGCTAGATTATCAACCAGTTTTTGGACCACAACATCTACTTTCCATGTTATGGTAAGGCCACAGCTTTGCCATTATATAACAAGGATCCTTTTCCCTCCAGTTTCTAATCAGATTTTTTCTGCCTTTTCTTAATCTCTCACCTTTAACTTCCTCAAAGGCCATAGTGCTTCTGTTTTTTTTTAAGGCTCTTCAAACTTCACTGATGCTCTCCTCAAAGTCCTTTTAACTTCTGCCCCACTGCTGGGTTCCAAAGATACTCTCAAGTTTTGGGTCTTTATTGTGGCGGCACCGGTATCCAGATATCGAAATCTGTATATTATCTATTGCCATATAACAAATTATCTCAGAGCTTAGTGGCTTAAAACAACAAATATTTATTATCTCACAGATTCACTGGGTCAGGAACAGGTTCAGTTGGGAGTAGCATGGCTGAGTGGTTCTGGCCCAGGATTTCATGAGCTTATAGTCAAGATGTTGGCCATTGCTGCAGTATAGGATTGACTAGGCTTTACACATATTCTGGCAGGTTTGTTCTGGCTGTTGGCAGTACTCAGTTCCTCATCACATGGACCTTTCTATAGGACTGCTTGATATGGCACTCTCCCAGAGCAAGTGATTGATCCGACAGAAGTACAAGGAGAAAGCACTGCCCCCCGCCCCCCACCTTTTTTTTTTTGAGGCAAAGTCTCTGTCACCCAGGCTGGAGTGTAATGGCACAATCTTGGCTCACTGCAACCTCCTCCTCCTGGGTTCAAGTGATTCTCCTGCCTTATCCTCCTGAGTAGCTGAGACTATAGGCACGTGCCACTAATGCCTGGTTAATTTTTGTATTTTTAGTAGAGATGGGGTCATGTTGGCCAGGCTGGTCTCGAACTCCTGACCTCAAGTGATCCACCCACCTCAGCCTCCCAAAGTTCTGGGATTATAGGCAAGAGCCACCACACCCGGCCATTTCCCCCACTTTTTTTTACCTTGTCTTGGAAGTCACAGATTATCAATTCTGCCATATTCTATTGTTAAGTGAGTCACTAAGTCCAGCCCACACTGAAGGGAAGATTATCAAATAATTTTTGGACATATTTTTAAAACAACACGAAGCATTCTAAAAAAAAGAAAACACAATGAATTCATAGAAGCAGAGAATAGAATGGTAGTTACTAGGAGCTGTGGGGCAGAGGGGGTGGATTAGAGAGATGTTGAAGGATACAAAATTTTAGTTAAAAGTTCAAGAGATCTGTTGTACAACGTGGGTGACAGTAGTTAATAACAATGTTTTCAGCCAGGTGGGGTGGCTCATGCCTATAATCCCAGCACTTTGGGAGGCCAAGGCGGGCGGATTACTTGACAGCCCGGCCAACATGGTGAAACCCCATCTCTACTAAAAATACAAAAATTAGCCAGGCGTGGTGGTGTGCATCTGTAATCCCAGCTACTTGGGAGGCTGAAGCACAAGAATTGCTTGAACCTGGGATATGGAGGTTGCAGTGAGCTGAGATGGTGCCTCTGCACTCCATCCTAGGTGACAGAGCAAGACTTCATCTCAAAAAAAGAAAAAAAAAAAACAACCAGTGTTTTGTACATCTGAAAATTGCTGAGAGAGTAGATTTTAAGGGTTATTGTTGCAAATAAGTTTGTGAGGTAATGCATATGTTGATAGTTTGATGTAGTCATTCCACAATGCATACATATTTCAAAATATGTTATATACCATAATATATGCAATTTTTGTCAGTTAAAAATAAATAATGAAAAATAATACAAAAAAGCAAGCAAACAAACGGAATAGTGTAGTTAGCTGCTGTTGAACTTTAGTAGCAGGGAAAGTCTAATGTTGGCTATTGCCATTGTTATATTAATTGGCCTAATAAGTAAAGTGGGAACCAGGGACTTAAAATTGCATATCATTGCTGGGCGTGGTGGCTCACACCTGTAATCCCAGCACTTTGGGAGGCTGAGGTCAGGAGGTCAAGATCAGCTTTGTCAACATGGTGAAACCCCATCTCTACTAAATCTACTAAGTATACAAAAAATTAGCCGGGTGTGGTGGCAGGTGCCTATAATCCCAGCTACTCGGGAGGCTAAGGCAGGAGAATTGCCTGAACCTGGGAGGCAGAGGTTGCAGTGAGCCGAGATCGCTCCACTGCACTCCAGCCTGGGCGGCAGAGCGAGACTCTGTCTCAAAAAAGAAAAAAAATTGCATATCATCCAGAACACAGAAGATCCAGTGAAACAATTTCTTCAGGTTTTTCTTTTGCTGAGGCATCACTCCAGTATCTCTTTGGGTAACAAAGACTCATTCGTGTAAAGAACTGTGTACCTGTGCCATCTTAAGTATTCAGAGTGACAAATGCTAAGCATGTGTGTGTTTATATGTGTTTGTGTTATAATCATCTGAAACAACCTTAACATAGAATTATTGCTTAAACTTTTTTTTAAAGGACTCTTTAAATGATATCTTATTCAGAAACCCAATGTGTACAACATACAAAAATGGAACTACCCTTGTTAAAGGGAGGTGGGTCCAGAGTTCCACTGGCTCGGCATCCCTTTTAACCCTTCCTTATGTTGATGTCAGATATTCAGGGAACATAGTTTGAAAAACTATACCATACCATCAGATCCCTTTCCAGCTTAATTCACAAAAATCTATTAATCTGTAAGATAGCAGAGCTCAGGAAGATAGCCATAATAGCAAAATAGCACACCGCTGTGTGGCAGGCTGATTTCTGATGCTGTCTCTTGTGTACTAGCCAATGAAAAGCCATTTTGGTTTAGGGAATTAGTTGGTGATTAGGCAGCCATGGATATCTGTAGAGTACTTTTCATTAGTCTGTTGTCTTATCTAATTTTTTCTTCTGTAACAGAATACTACAACACATCTTTGCAGGATTCTTTGCAAATTCTGCCATTCCTGGATCTCCACACCCTTTTTCCTGGTAAGTAACTAATTGTTTTCTATCTTACTCTATTGGAGTGACATATTTTAGGTGCTGTCATTTCTGTGCAGTAGAGAAAAAGAGCTGCATAGGCCGGGTGCGGTGGCTCATGCCTCTAATCCCAGCACTTTGGGAGGCCGAGGCTGGCGGATCACGAGGTCAGGAGATCGAGGCCATCCTGGCTAACATGGTGAAACCCCGTCTCTACTAAAAATATAAAAAATTAGCCAGGCGTGGTGGCATGCTTCTGTAGTCCCAGCTACTCGGAGGCTGAGGCAGGAGAATCACTTGAACCCGGGAGGTGGAGGTTGCAGTGAGCCGAGATCGCGCCACTGTACTCCAGCTTGGGCGACAGAAAGAGACCCTGTCTCAAAAAAAAAAAAAAAAAAAAAGAGCTGCATAGGTGAGTATGTAGATGTAACTGGAGGCTGCTACACTGCCATTATCTGCTAAGCCCAAACTTAATCAGAACTTTTTTTTTTATTATTATTCAGGCTCAGGAAGGCCGTCCTGGTCCCCCAGGATGTTTGGGTGCTAGAAATGTCTTGATTCCTTTTATATTCAGGTCTGAGAGTTGTATTGAGGTAGAGAATGAGATGGTCCCTGCCAGGCTTGGTATCTGATTTGTGGGTTTCCCCAGTAGACTACACAGGAATATTTTACTCCTTAAGAATTTCTGAAATTGAAAACATTATGCTGAACTTCATTTTTTTCAAAGTAAGAGGATTTGTCAGAAGAAACAATAGGCTGTAATTCAGTATCAGAGTGACACTTATGTATGATGGGATTAAAGATGGAATTTCTTCTTGTCTGAGAAATTATTTGCTGCTTCTAACTGTGGCCCAGAAGGTTTCTTTGCTCAAAGGAACCTCAGTCCTTTTAGGACCTCTGTCATCCAGTAGTCTGGACCTCTGCTGGTAGTGTACCAGCAGCTCTGAGGGAAAATAAAAAAAAACGGTGTTGCCAAGTCCCTTTTATAATTGCTCTAAGTTGTGATTCAGAGAGACTGCTATGGCTGCTTCTCTACTTGAAAGCTCCTCATTGTCCAGAACTGTGGGCGGCCTCTTATAATGAGGGATGTTTGCTGTAGATTTTGACCAGTCATGAAGGGAAAACTCTCCTTAAAAAGCAGCTCCATCTGTGTTTAATATCAGTGGGCACAGAAAACACAAATTTTTGAAACCAACAGGCAATGAGTCACTCTTTTTGTTCTGGCGTGTCATGTGGTACTTTAGGTAGCTTCACATTTTATGTTCTAGTTAAGTAAAATTCTTAGAGAATGAGGTACTATCTCTGGATAGTCTGTTTGATCTTGAAAATGTACAGAATTCTTTGCCTCTTGATCCTGGAGGACTAGTGACTTTCCAGCTCTGAGAGAGAACAGGATCCCTCTGCCAATTTTTTTCTGTGGTGTAAGGCAGAGCCTGGTCACTCCATCTAATGCTGTCTATCTCATCTCACGTATAGGAGCGGGATGCTGCACTCCAACCCTGGGGACTATGCCTGGGGTCAGACAGGGCTTGATGCCATTGTAACCCAGGTGAGGAGCTGCCTTTTGAGGGTGTCTGTTCAGTGTGTCTCATGGTTCCACAGGCTTCCTGCTTTCCTTCTGCTACTTTCTGAAATGGCAGTCACTCTGCTTTCTCTAATATTTTGAGCTTTGGGGTTTCCATTTTACTAAAGGGATGAATGATTTATGGGGTTAGCTCAGCATCCATGCACTTCCTAGGTCTGAGGGAATTTCTAGAAGATGGTTTCACCTCCATAGGAAGAAAAGACTTCTATAACAAATAGTATTTTGTATTTTTGTCTCTCTTGCTCAGTTCTATAAGGATTCTATTAACAAATATTTCACAAAAAAAGGAGGGTTTCCTCACATGTTGAAGCAGGGATTTCTGCTAGATGGAGCAAAGTAGGGGAAGGAAGCAGAGAAAAAAGTATTCCCATGCCATGTATAATTGCTTCCACTTGTTTATGTTCATTTTAATTTGATTGGTTTTTCATTTCCGTTGTGGATTTCTGAGACTAGAAAGCATGTCCTTTATATTCAGTCGTCTTATAGGCAGTAATTTACCTATTTCTTGGCTCACGTTATGCTACTTTTCATACTCTCGCTTTTTTCTTCTTCCAGAAGATGAAGCTTTTGGACCAGTTACATTTTACTTTTTATTAAGCTATAGTTTTACTCGTGACACCACAACCCTTTTGCTGCCTCTGAAGTTGCTTTATGCCTAGAGGTGGGCCTTGCAATCATGGGTTTGTCTGTAGGCTTATACGAACGTCACTCTGAAATTGTAAAGCAATTATGAGTGTTCTGGCAGCAGGAAAGGGGAAACCCAAGCCTCTCAGAGCCTTGCAGAAGTAAGAGTAACTAACATACCTAATGTCTGCACTGTTTGTTCTCAGCTGGAGCAGTTCCCTCTCCAGGGATATTGCGATGTCTGCCACTTCGTCTTTTTCTTTCTCTTTTTTTGTAGCTTTTAGGACAACTGGAAAACACAGGCCCTCCCCCAGCTGACAAGGAAAAGATCACATCTCTTCCAACAGTGACAGTAACTCAGGAACAAGTTGGTAGGTTCATTTTTATACTTATTCTGTCATCTTCTGATCTCGGTTCAAAATCCCGGTATCTTCTGACAGGTGAAAAGTTTAAAAAGTGAACAAAATAAAAAGACAAAAAAATAAGAAAAAAAATCCCAATACCTTCCTATATTAAGGACCTTTAAGTGAAGCTATAGCCCTCTAAAATTCCTATCTGGGTGCCAAATCTGGAAAGTTCCTACCCCTTTATTAGGTTAGTCAGTTGGTATTTCCTGAGCAATTATGTCTCTTTTTTAGGTGCCATTGGGAATAAAGAGGTACAAAGATAGATAAGAATTGATTGTAACAAGTTGAAGAAAAACTGATCAAATGATTAAAAACTGTGTTGGACACATGATACTGACATTGGGGAAAGGAGAAGAAAAAAATAGGCTGGGAGTTTGTTTCAAATCTACTTTGTGTCAGGTACAGTTAGGTATCTTAGTCATAGATACTATTTTATTTGTAAGCACTGGAGGAATTTAGTGACAAGGGACAGCATTTTGGTCTGGGAGTTTCTGTTCCCATCAGTTCGGGTTTAGAGTTAGAGATTTTAAAGACAAGGTGGGCTATCTTAGGTCATTCTATTTAAGGAAAAGTATGAACTAATATACGTGGTGTGTGAGTCAGGTAAAGTGGTCTTTAGGGAAGATTAGTCTAGGGGCAGTGTGTGAAACATTGGAAGTGAGAGAGAGCAGAAACAGGGATTTTAGAGTGTTGCAGCAGTCCAGATGAGGTTCAGTTGATGGTGACAATGCTAACAGAAAGGAAAGGATTCAGAAGATCATTTTGGAGAAATGCTTTCCTCACTCATTGCATAATGGGATGAAGAAGGGGAAAGAGTCAAAGAGAATTCTGAGATTTCACAGCTTTGTAACTATAAACATGGTGCTGCCATCTTAAGGGACAGGGAAATAGTGAATGGACCCTGGTTTGGGTAAGGAGATGAGGTGATGTTTTACATTTTTTAATTTGTTGATTTTTGAGGTGCCAGCTGAGAATCCAAGTGAAGAGGAGCTGGGGATTGCTGTGGAGCTGGTTTGAGGGAAAACTAAGTTGTAGCAAAGTATAGGATATATTTGGAGGGTTAAGACCGTGGAATTTGGGATACTAGCTGGGAGGCTGTTGCAGCAGACTAGGCATGAGAAGTAAAAGAATTAGGGCTAAGGTGATAGGAATGGAGAGTAAGGAGTGAATCTATTAAGTAGTAGTACTGCTCCAAATGCCTTATCTGCTGTTAGTTCATGGAGCATATCCCAGCCACTAGGCGTATAGACTAGCTGACAGTATTAGCCAAATTTGGGAAACTCAAAACTTGCTGCTTGGAGCTCCCAGTATAGTTCATGACTGTTTCTTCTCAGAGAAGAGGGCTTTCTGTCTCTTGATTTGGTGACCTGAGCTAGACTTCGACTTTGCAGTTCTGCAGCACCACTTCTGGTATAGCTTTTCTGGTATGGCTTCTGGTATTTTCTTCTTTTCTGGTATAGCTTTTATTAATAATTTTTTTTTTTTTTGAGACAGAGTCTTGCTCTGTCATCCAGGCTGGAGTGCAGTGGCGCAATCTTGGCTCTCTGCAACCTCCGCCTCCCGGGTTCAAGCAATTCTCTGCCTCAGCCTCCTGAGTAGGTGGGTTTACAGGCGCTCACCATCACACCCAGCTAATCTTTGTATTTTTAGTAGAGACAGGGTTTTTACCATCTTGGCCAGGCTGGTCTTGAACTCCTGACCTCGTGATCCACCCGCCTTCACCCTCATTAACAGTTTTTACAGAGGACTTTAGGACAGCCACACTGAAATAGGATGCTTCATCCCATGCTGAAAAGAGCATGGTGAAAGTGGCAAGTGGCTTGAGACGCTGCACTGATAAGATTGCTGAGATGAATCCCTTGGCTATGGTGGACAGATTCACAGTAGCAACTGACTGCCAGAGGGCTGTCACACATTGGGAAGATGTTTTTCCTGTTTTACTGAGCAGATCATCTAAGCCCCAGTTTATTTCTTCCAACTCTTTACATCAAAAAATAGGCCTTATATAGTTCCTATATAGGCCTTTTTGGAGTAGGCCCCATTCATCATTCCTTCTTTTCATGTCTCTGTCTACTACCACCTTTACCCTCATTTTGAAATACAAGTCATGCCTCTTAGCTGCCTGCTACTTGGGTGTACATTTTCTTTTGTCTCTTGTGTCTTTTCTTTATGCATTCGTAGGGTTGGTAGAGACATTGGGTTAGTTTTTTCTTCTTTCCTTTTGCCTGTTTACTTTAAAAGGCATTTCCTTCTTCAACAGATATGGGTTTAGAGTGTCCAGTATGCAAAGAAGATTACACAGTTGAAGAGGAAGTCCGGCAGTTACCTTGCAATCACTTCTTTCACAGCAGTTGTATTGTGCCGTGGCTAGAACTGGTGAGTACAGCAAGTCATGGCTTCTTTGGGGGATGATTCAGAGTAAAGGTATAGTTAACAGTTCCTCGAGATCCAAGTAGATCAGATTTTATCCCATAAATCCCTGGCTTACTCTGATACTGTTATTTGTTTGGAACTTTTCTGACCAAGGGTTGCAAACTATGTTCTACAGGTCATTGTGTCCTGCCACCTGTTATTGTAAATAAAATTTTATTGGAACACAGCTATGTTCATTTGGTTATAGATTGTGGCTACTTTTGTGCTACGTCAGCAGAGTTGATTAGTTGTAACAGCTGTGGTGTGGCCTGCAAAGCCTAAAATACTTATTTTCTGTCCCTTATGTATTTGTTTTGAGACAGAGTCTCACTCTGTCACCCAGACTGGAGTGCAGTGGCGTGATCTCAGCTCACTGAAACCTCTACCTCCTGGTTTCAAGTGATTCTTGTGTCTCAGTCTCCAGAGTAGCTAGGATTACAGGCGTGCACCACCATGCCCAGCCAATTTTTGTGTTTTTAGTAGAGACAGGGTTTCGCCATGCTGATCTCAAACTCCTGACCTCAGGTGATCCACCTGCCTCGGCCTCCCAAAGTATTGGGATCACAGGTGTGAGCCACTGCACTCGGCCAATTTTCCTGTCCCTTTAAACAAAAAGTTTGCTGACCTCTGCTCTAGACCATATTGGGAAGTAATGGGCAGTTACCCTCCTGTCATAGATCACTCACTGTTTCTGGTTCGTTCTGTTTGGTGGTATGTATTAGCTGTTATTAACTTGCTGGCCTAGAATTATTCCTGTCAGTTCTGCTTAAAGTTCTGTTTGGGAGATATCCTGGTATCACACCTTAGAGCCAGTGCATGCTCTATGAGGATGCATTCTCTATTGTTTTTCTGTTCCATGTCATAATTTTTGATGTGACAATTCTCAGGGTTATTTAAGTGTACAATACTCCCAGCTTCTCAGGCCAGGATCTTCACATAGACTAATATTTTTCTGTTTCAGCATGACACATGTCCTGTATGTAGGAAGAGCTTAAATGGTGAGGACTCTACTCGGCAAAGCCAGAGCACTGAGGCCTCTGCAAGCAACAGATTTAGCAATGACAGTCAGCTACATGACCGATGGACTTTCTGAAGCTAAAGACCACACC
This sequence comes from Homo sapiens, assembly GCF_000001405.40. NCBI lineage: Eukaryota > Metazoa > Chordata > Mammalia > Primates > Hominidae > Homo > Homo sapiens. Next base: position 145,746,849 of record NC_000001.11, on the reverse strand, counting down.
TGAATCAGGGCTGTGGTAATCATCTTACCATAGCTGTAAATTGTATCAAAACAAAAAATTAGTAGATGGATTTAGGAATATGTAAGAAACTCAACACATAATATAAATGCAATGAATGTTTTTCTTCTTTAAATTTAAAGTTAGTATCTACAGATGGAATTGTATCTACAACCAAATGCCTCTTATCCCTGAATTCAGAGTGATAATTTTATAAGTGTGAAACTTAATTATGTAGGGCTCCCCCCGTCTGAATAGAATTAATTCCTTAAAGTCTAGTTAGGGTCCTGCTGTCTGTCATGTTGCCTTGTAACGGATGTTTCCACCTCCTTCTCCAACCTCTACCCCACCATTAGTGTATTTTACTATAAAAACAGTGGAACCACAGCCCTAAAGTCCTGCTGATATAAAGTCCTTTTGTCTTAATTGTATTTAAAAAAAAAAAAAACTACTCTTGATCACATTAGCTATGAGGCGAGGTCAAATTCAGGTATCTAAGACTAATGATTTTGTTTTGTCTTGATCCCCAGAGAGCAAATCAAAGAAAAATTACAGCAAGAAGAGAAAAGTGGTTTATCATTGTGTGCTTTGGTTTTCTTATTTTAATTTTTTTTGTTTTTTTTTTTTGAGATGGAGTCTCGCTCTGTCGCCTAGGCTGAAGTGCAGTGGCACGATCTTGGCTCATTGCAAACTCTGCCTCCTGAGTTCAAGCGATTCTCCTACCTCAGCCTCCGGAGTAGCTGGGACCACAGGCATTTGTTACCATGCCCAGCTAATTTTTTGTATATTTAGTAGAGATGGGGTTTCACCGTGTTAGCCAGGATGGTCTCAATCTCCTGACCTTGTGCTCCGCCTGCCTCAGCCTCCCAAAGTGCTGGGATTACAGGCGTGAGCCACTGCGCCTGGCCTCTTATTTTAATTTTTAAAGACTACTTCAGTTGATGCAGTTTCCCAAGAAACCTACATAACATATATTGGGAGCCTTATGTTGATAGGAATCTGATTCCCATTCCTTTTTGGGAATGAGTTGGGCAGCATACAGGCACAGAAAGACAGATGTTTGAGACCTTTGCTTCTGAGATTTTAAAAAATGATTACCGCTGGGCGCGGTGGCTCACGCCTGTAATCCCAGCACTTTGGGAGGCCGAGGCAGGCGGATCACAAGGTCAAGAGATCAAGACCAGCCTGGCCAACAAGGTAAAACCTTGTCTCTACTAAAAATATAAAATTAGCTGGGCGTGGTGGTGCATGCCTGTAATCCCAGCTACTCATGAGGCTGAGGTGGGAGAATCGCTTGAACCCAGGAGGTGGAGGTTGCGGTGAGCCGGATCATACCAATGCACTCCAGTCTGGGCAACAAGAGCGAAACTCCATCTCAAAAAAAAAAAAAAAATCCCCAACTCACTGCTTTTTTTGTTTGTTTCTGTCGCCTAGGCTGGAGTGCAGTGGCACGATCTCAGCTCACCACAGCCTCGACCTCCCAGGCTCAAGTGATCCTCCCACCTCAGCCTACCAAGTGGCTGGGACTACAGGCGTGTGCCACCATGCCTGGGTAATTTTTGTATTTTTGTAGAGATAGGGTTTTGCCGTGTTGCCCAGGCTGGTCTCAAACTCCTGGGCTCAAGTGATCTGCCTGCCTCAACCTCTCAAAGTGCTCAACTCATTGTTTACTGTCTTTTTTCCTAGTAATCTTAAAATAATTTGCCTCACAGAAATAGAGACAGTAAGTGTCTGCAGCCAGTTCACTGTTTTTGGTAATTCATTGGTCTTCAGGAGTTAAGATTTTACATTGTCACATTTTAATTTTTAAGCCTATTTTTCATCTCTGAAACTTTCCTTTTCTCCTTGGTTCTGGCTATACTTGGACTCAAACTGATCAGTGTGATCATGTCCAAAACAGCTTGGCCTGGAAGAGGTAGGCCTTATTTTTTCAGCCTAGTAGTGTCCCATGCACATGCTCTTTGTAGCATTCAAGTGTTTAACATTGGATAAATTAAGAAGGTCAAGAATGTTGTTGAAACTTCAAGGTCTCAAAAGGAAATGATGGGGACATAGAACAACTGTTGGTGTACCAAAAAAAGGTACAGAGGGGCACCATTTGTATTGTCACACAACAATGATCAGAATGATCAGTTTAGAATGATCAGAACAAAAACACCACTCTTTAATGGGTCTTTTTCTTGGCTAGAAGTCTTTCCTCAGTTTTTGTTGACTATCATACGCTGATTTGTGGGTGACGGAAGGGGGCTAGAGATAACGTTTCTCTGTACTTTGGTAAAGGATGAAGGAGTCAGAGAGGGAACAGAAAAAGTGAGAGAGTGGCCTGCTGAAATAATAGCCTGCCTCTAAAAGTTGTGACCAGAAAGTATGATTCATTTGGGCCCAGAGGGAATAAAATATGTTTTTTCATATACCTCCCATATTACACCTCTGTAGTGATTGTTTATTTGGGGAATGAGATCTACTTACTGTGCGTTGCCCCTGAAATGTAGCTTGAGAATACACACTGGTTTTGAATTGGGGAGGAGGATGGAAGGAAATTAGAGGTGTATTATGAATATTTGGCCACTACTTAGATGGAGGAAGGCTATGTTGAACTTGGGACACATTGCAGTTTTCAAGTACACAATATCAGTTGTCTCAGAAAAATCATGACAGCCTGGACATATTTGCTTGTCAGTGTCTGGAGATGCCAGGACAGGCAGTTGTAGTTTTACGTACAGATAGAGAACCAATGCCTAGAGAACTAGAAAGGATCTGAGTACCTTTAAAAAGGGTGGAAACAAAGTACTGGATAGGGGTCTGCCTTTTTATACACAGTATAGCAAACAGCATCAGACAAAGTTACATGAAGTTTTCTTCACTTTTTTTGCTCTGGTGGATAGAGGATGTGAGACTCATTTTACTGTTTCCCAGACCTGTCCCACTTAATGGATCTGTTGTGTTTCTTCTTATAATGGCAGGCACCTCAGATGTCCAGGTTAATTTATGTTGAGGAGTTAGGATTCTTCAGGGATTTATTATTATTATTATTATTATTTATTTATTTATTTATTTATTTATTTATTTTTTGAGATGGAGGCTTGCTCTGTCGCCTAGGCTGGAGTGCAGTGGTGCAATCTCAGCTCACTGCAACCTCCACCTCCTGGGTTCCAGCGATTCTTCTGCCTTAGCCTCCCAAGCAGCTGGGATTACAGGCACCTGCCACCATGCCCAGCTAATTTTTTATATGTTTAGTAGAGACAAGGTTTTACCTTGTTGGCCAGGCTGGTCTTGAACTCTAGACCTCAGGTGATCTGCCAGTCGTGGCCTCCCAAAGTGCTGGGATTACAGACGGGAGCCACCATGCCCAGCCTGAGATTTATTATAAGGAATTGGTTCACACAATAATGGAGTTTGAGAAATCCCAAGATCTGCAGTGGGCCAGCTAGAGATCCAGGAGAGCTGATGGTGTAGTTCCAGTCTGAAGGCCAGCTTGGATACCCTAGAAGAGCTGATGTTTCTGTTCCAGTTCAGAGGCAGGAAAAGACTGAGGTCTTAGTTCAAGCAGTCAGGCAGGAGGACTTCTCCCTTACTTGTTCTATTCAGACCTTCAACTGATTGGATGAGGGCCACTTACATTAGGGAGGGCCATGTGCTGTATTCAGTCTACTGACTGAAATGTTAGTCTCTTCCAAAAACACCTTCACAGACACACCCAGAATACTGTATGACCAAATATCTGGGCATCATGTGGCCTAGTCAAGTTGACACATAAGATTAACCATCACAATGAGGAAAAACAGAAATGATACATGTATACAGAGTGCTCCTCATCCCAATTAAGTTTCACCAAGTTAATAATGTGTCTCTATGAGAAGTGGTTCACCATGTTGGTCAGGCTGTTTTCAAACTCCTGACCTCAAGTGACCACCCGCCTCGGCCTCCCAAAGTGCTGGGATTACAGGTGTGAGCTAGCACTCCCAGCCGACAGGTGCTTCTTAAATGTTTTCTTTGAGCAGGAATTGGTCCAGGAATTGGTTCTCAAGTTAGAAGGAAAATTTGAGGGGAAGAACTTGTTTTTTCTCCAATCAGTCTCTGATTAAATAGTTATTAGGAAAAACTCCTTGCTTATGTCTTTGTATTGCACATTTTTATATATGTATATATGTGTAAATAGAGATATTTATATATTCACAGACAAACACGTGTATGCACATTTCACAATGGAGGAAGAAGGGATATGGTGTGCACTGAGGTAAAGTGAGCAGGGATACAGAAGAGAGCTGGAGCCTCACAGTCTGATTCTCTCATTGTACATAACCTTTAGGGTCTTTGTTTCCCTGAGTTCTCTGGTATGGGGCACTGTTGGCTTGGGCTGGTACCCTGTTATTCTCTGTGATGAAGGGATTCACTGGAGGTAAAAACGTAATCATTTCCAAAGGTTGAGAATAAATGACTTTGAGGAAAGGGTGTTCATTATCCGTTGCTTCTATATTATAATCAGTTGAACTACAATACGGTTATCTATTGATTTTTTTTAATTTTTCTGACAAATTATTGACACCAAATTGAATAATTCATGACCTGCATGCTTCAGCTTCTTTCTCCCTGGTTTCCAGGTGCTATTCCCTCAAGAAATGCAAATTAAATATGTCGGTCTTAATAAATCAGGAGGGAAGCATAGTCTGTGTCTGTTTTAAATGACAACAACAACAAAACAGCTTTGGGGTTTAAGAAGTGGAAGACACATTTTTATTTTTTTGAGACACAATCTCACTCTTTCGCCCAGGCTGGAGTGCAGTGGCGTGATCTCAGGTCACTGCAACCTCCCGCTCCTGGGTTCAAGCGATTCTCTTGCCTCAGCCTCCCAAGTAGCTGGGATTACAGGCACGTGCCACCATGCCCAGCTAATTTTTGTATTTTTAGTAGAGATGGGGTTTTGCCATGTTGCCCAGGCTGGTCTCGAACTCCTGATGTCAAGTGATCACCGACCTCAGCATCCCAAAGTGCTGGGATTACAGGCATTAGCCACCACGCCCAGGTGAGAAGACAGATTTTAAGAGAAGGAGCAGGGCTGGTATCTGAATAGGTATTTGGATGTTAGGGGAAAACCCTTTTTGGCCTCTGTGGTAGAGCGATCGGAAGGTAAAAGTGCTGTTTACAAGAATAATCCATTGGAGATCTGGGGATTGGGGACGACTTATAGGATAGAGTCCTCTTGTTGAGAATTTCCCGAATGAATCTCATGTAGGTTCTGTCACAGTAAGATGGAGGAAAACTTTGATGGGGTAAGTATCACAAGTGGCTGTCCTATAGGGGGAAATCCTAGCCTGCAGTAATGTCAGTGTCTCAGTATTCAGCCAGCGAGCCACTGAGCTGCTCCAGGGGTTTAAAATAGAATGCATAGAATACAATGTATACAGCTGGTGATGCTTTCCAGGATCAAAATAGAGCCCTTGTCTGATCCCATTGACATTGTAAGGTTTCGATCTCTCATACCTGCCACAGACAAGTACATTGTAGGCATTCAACTTTTAAGGTTTTATACATGCAAACTTTATGTTTTCCTGCCACACTACACTTGGTGTCCACAGAAGTGTAGTTTGTATGTTGCCTCTTCTTCCTCTTTCAACCAGAACACTTAGATCTGTGATCATAGGATGTAAGCCTGTGATTCTTTACTTTTTCTAATAAGAAATACAATTTTCAAGATCCAAAAATTATTAGATTCTTGGCTGGGCATTGTGGCTCATGCCTGTAATCTCAGCATTTTGGAAGGCTGAGGCAGGCAGATCACTTGAGGTCAGGAGTTTGAGACCAGCCTGGGCAGCACAATAAAACACCATGTCTACTAAAAATACAAAAATTAGCCAGGTGTGGTGGCATGCACCTGTAGTCCCAGCTACTTGGGAGGCTGAGGAGGGAGAATCGTTTGAACCAAGGAGGCAGAGGTTGTAGTGAGCCAAGATTGTGCCACTGCACTCCAGGGCAACAGAGAGAGACCCTGTCTCAAAACAAAAACCCCCAAATTATTAGATTCCCTTCCAACAACTTGATAGCCATATTATTAGTATTTTTGATTAAAGAATACATAACAAAAAGCTGCTATGATTTCAGTAATGCTTTTAAGTTAATTTATTAGTCACACCAGAATCTACATCCAATTGAAATATATACAAATATTTGAAAGATATTTATTCAGGCTGAAGATTATGGTATATAGATTCCTTCTGATAACCTCATGGCCTCACAGGTTCAAAACCCGTGTTTGTGAATCACTCATACAGATTGGGGCTAAGATGCGTGTCCAGAAAACCACCTATTATGCATGAAAATTTGTAGGCTTATTTGAAGGCAATTGTATCAACACATTTTGAAAGCCAAGACACAAGTATTTTAAGTTTCTGTTTAACCAAGTCTCGAGATAAGCAGAGTAAATAAACTCTTTAGAAGCAAGACTCAGTTGGTATGTACAAAGTGGGATTGCTTTGTATATATTCCGCTTAGTTTGAGTCAGAGCTAGTAATCTGATGCTCTTAAATGTCTTCATAAACTTGGGCAGTGATGTTTCCTTTCTGTGATTATGTGTCACAGATTTTTATATGTGGACTATAATTAGTATAGTACAATGGCTGAAACTTTTCCTATAGTTGGATATATCTTCTGAGACTTCCAGTGATTGTATAATGTTGAGTAGCTCCAGAAGATTATTTGAATAGTAAAAACAAAAGACATCTCTACCTATGTGAGTTTATTATTTAGTTAGAAACACAGAACTAACTATTTAAAACAGGTAGAGAAAGATTAAGATGAATGTGATGTAGTGGAGAAAGCTTTGGAGACTTTGGAGTCAGAACTCAAATGGCTCTAGGTCCCAAATCCAGACTCTCATTTTGATTCTCAGAACAATTCTGTGGAAAGAGAAGATACAATAGGCAATATCCCTTTTTACAGATAGGTAAACAGAAATAGCATCTCAAAACCTCATTTGCACTGGGTGAGGTGGCTCACGCCTGTAATCCCAGCACTTTGGGAGGCTGAGGCGGGTGGATCACTTGAGGTCAGGAGTTTGAGACCAGCCTGGCCAACATGGTGAAACCCCGTCTCTACCAAAAACACAAAAATTAGCCAGGCATGGTGGTGCATGCCTGTAATCCCAGCTACTTGGGAGACTGAGGCAGGAGAATTGCTTGAACCCGGGAGGTGGAGGTTGCAGTGAGCTGAGATCATGCCACTGCACTCCAGCCTGGGCAACAGAGTGAGACTCCGTCTCAAAAAAAAAAAAAAAAAATTCATTTGCCCAATGACAAATAGCTGGTATGTTGCAGAGCCAGAATTTGAATCCAGGTCTTTTTGCCTCCATGGCTAGTCCTTTTATCTCCATGGGATACAGTCTAAAATCCTTAGTTTGAGGTTCAAGACTATCACTAATAAGAGTCTTACTCATCTACTTCAGCCATATCTCTTTCCGTTCCCACAAACCTTAGCTCCCACATTTGGCAGGTCCTTGCCAAGGAGCACAGGTAAAGTGTCTCTTTCCTTTTAATGGCTCACCATGGAGCTGTAGCTAAATTTCTGTGCTCTTACCCCTTTATTCATGTAGTTCCTCCTATCAGGAATATCCTGCCCACTCTCTGCTTAACTATGACAAGAGGTCATCTGTCCAAAGAGAAAGAAGAGAGTTTGTGGATTTAGGAGAAAAGAAAAGACTCCAAATACTGCTATGGGCATTTATTTAAAAAGAGAAATGACCAAAGAGGTTAACAAGTATTTAGATGAAGCTGGGCAGTTGTAGTCTGTGGTGCTCTTGGTCTGCACAAATCTTCCTCTTCCTCCAGCAGTGCTGTATGGATGTTGTTGAATGTTGAGGTCTGTCTGCATTTTCTCATTTTCATGCCAAGTCAATCACTGGATCTGGCTGTCTTCCTTTCTGTCCTACCTATCTTTGCTTGTTTTCTCTCTCTTTCCTTTGCAGTGTTAAATAAAAATTTATTCCCCCAAAATTTGGTGTTCTCATTTTGTTTGACTTATTTTACTATGTTGATGAAGAGGGAGGAAAAGTTTTTCTGGGGTACAAAAACGCATATATTTATCCGATATTTGAGGACTATACTACCCACTTTGGTGAAAGCTGTTCTGTTTATTTACTGGAGCTTAGGAGGGAAGAAGGCAAGTTTGCCCTGATGGTGAGGAGCAAAGTCAAGGATTACACTGATTTGCCCCAGCTTATATTTCCACAGATTCTTGGTATATTTAGCATCTCTTCCCCTGTGCCCTGTTGCATTCTTCTCTGTGCCTATTGTAATGAGAAAGATACTAAGCCATAGTCAGACTCATCTTGCTGTAGCTGTTTTAAAAGTTTCTTTTGGCACAAGGCTTACAAAGCTGTGGAAAGAAAGTTTGTATTACTGCCTTATAACTTAGAATAGCAACAAAATACCTGATATAATGAAGTCTCACCTGTCCTGAGATGCGTGCGTGATAGGCCCTCATGACTGTAAAGGGATTGGAAAAGGAAAGTGGGAACTATTTTATGTATTGCATCTTATTACTAAATTAGGGTTGTAATCTTGAGCAAATCTGATTCTGGTGGGAGTGGGAAGGGGGCTAGCCTTTGATCGCTCCTTGCTGGAAGGAACAATCAAAGAAGCAATAGATGCCACTCAAAAAGTTGAAGGTAGGTTTTCCACGTATAGCTCTGAATTGTTGGCACAGTGGTAAGACAAGGATATTCACTGAAACTAGTTCATGAGCTGAGAGAGGCACAGAGGTCCAGGAAACTCCCTCCTCCTTTTCCCCACATGTAAGCATGATAACTTGACCTATGTGGTGTTTCTGGACCTGAAAAAGCATGTGTACTATTCTACTGAATACTACCTCTTTCAATAATTCTACTAAGCCTTGAGTTGGGGAAGAAGGATAAAGAAAAGAAAGCTTCTAAGTAGTGTATATTTTCTCGTTTAATCAAATATTGAGCTTTGGTTTTTTCCTTTGGTTAACTTTAAAGCTACTTGAATTGAATATAGGAGAAAACAAAAAATTGGATTCAAAAGCTCATTCTCTTCACCTGAGTGGAAAAGGAAAAAAAGGCCAGAGATGATTTTTTTTTTTTTTTTTTTGCTCTAGGATGACTTGGGAATCAAAGATAGTAACTAGTAGTAGGTTGTATGGCTAGACTCAATTTCCCCTTTATAATTTTTATTCTAAAATAAAATTTATTTTACTGGTTACAGTGGCCTAACCAAGGGAATTTAAAGTCAACAAAAAATTATGTCTAAAGGTCAGACTGTTTCATATTCATGTTTCCTCCTGAAAACTGGCATAGGCTTAAATTTGGAAGATCCTTACCAAGGATTACAGATAAGGTCTCTGTTTTCTTTTTGAAATCTCTGTTTTCTTTTGATGACTTGCAAATAAGGGACTGGAATAGGGAATGTTTAGGTGGTCCTGTTTCTGGAAAGGGGAGGAGTCAATCTCAGAATGAATGGGGTGGTGAAGGATGTAAGAGGTGCTTTGCATATAGTAGATCATTACTGAGTGTAAGGTTTTAGAGTGAGAAGGATCTGTATTAATTGCTGTGACGGGCAACAATTAACTCTTTTTTTTTTTTTTTTTCCTTTGAGAAAGTGTCTCACCCTGTCACCCAGGCTGGAGTACAGTGGCATGATCATGGCTCACTGCAACCTCAACCAGCCTGGGCTCAGGTGATCCTCATGCCTTAGCTTGGGACTACAGTTGTGTGCCACCATGCCTAATTTTTGTATTTTTTTGTATAGTTGGGGTTTTGCCATGTTGCCCAGACTGGCCTCAAACTCCTAGGCTCAAAGGATCTGCCTGCCTTGGCCTCCCAAAGTGCTGGGATTACAGGCGTGAGCCACCGCACCAGGCCCTATTTAACTTCCTTGTGTCTGTTTCCTGATGAGTAACCAGGGGATGTTTGCTTGCAAGGGTTGTATAAGGTTAGAATCATCATGTGTAAAGCATCTGATTCATCATACAGGTTTTTTAACAAATTTATTAAGAGCCTGCCATATGTGTGGGACTTTTCGTTGGGGTAAAGAAGACAAAGTCCTTACATATATATAGAGCTTACATTCTGATGCCATTCAAAACAGTGGTAGTTATTGATTTGAGGAATGCCTAAATAAAATGGAGTTAAGAATGCCAAGGCCAGGCAAAAACCTGAATCAGTTGCTTGTTATGCAAAAACGTTATGACAAATTATTGGAAGTTTCACTTTTTGTTATCTAATAGGGAAAACGCTAATCTATATTGGTAAATGGTTTTCAGAGGACTCAGCTACATGTGTTTAATATACTCAATCTGGCCATCAGCCTTTGCTGAGGAGCCGCATTGTTCAAAACCCATCTCCAAACCAAGTCTGTCTCTTGCCTTTTCTTCCTCTAATAGCTGAAAATCTGTTGCTTCAACTTGTAGCCCTCTGTTCATGCAGTGAGTAGAGGTAGTTGTACTAACTTGCCTCTCTCACAGGCCTTCATTCCTAATGAGTCTTACCTCCTACCCATTGAAAAGTCTGATTTATCTGTCTTCCTCCTTAGTGCCTTTGGATCAGTGAAACTGGTTTGAACTTTCCTGTGGATAGCCAGGGCTTGAGTAACATTTTTCTCTCCCCCTGGACATCCTTTCCAACCTTCTCCTCCTGGAGAATAACCAAGGTGGCAGAAATATAATAGCACCCTCATTGCTTGGGGTGCTTACGGCTCTTTTGGACATACCTTGAAGGGCCACAAGGCTGGTGACCAGCATTACCCAGACCTTTTCTTGTAGGAAGCCTGAACTGAGAGTGCCTTCATTATGGCTGAACTCAAGGTGTTGTCTTTGTTTCAATCCCGTCACTGTGTAGTTCCCTGTCTCTGGTTCAAAAGAGAATCATGGATCAGGGGAGGGTTTCAGAAATCATCAGTATCTCCTTTTGCATCATCTCATAACATCTCTTTTATGATCTCCAAGGATTCCTCCCTCTGTAATTCGTTGCCCAAATAAGTATTTTTAACATTGTGGGTAATGATGATGTACTTAGGCAGCCATAAATAAGTATAGAATCTCCTGTGTGTCAGACACTAGGGATGCAGATAGATCTTAAAGTAATTCTAAAGTTTTGCCACAGAGATAGCTGAAACAGCTTAGTCGCCTTGGACTTGGGTATCCCCAAATAGCCCCATTTTCTAGAGTGGTTCAAGCAATCTAGCATAAGTTAAAATCTTGCCCTTTTGGAATAGATCTGGGTTTTTTTTGTTTGTTTGTTTGTTTTGTTTTTGTTTTTTTGAGACAGGGTCTTGCTCTGTCATCCAGGCTAGAGTACAGTGGCATGATCATGGGTCACTGCAGCCTCATGCCCCGAGCCCAATCGATCCTCCCACCTCAGCTTCCCTAGTAGCTGGGACTACAGGCATGTGCCACCACGCCCAGCCAATTTTTGTATTTTTTGTAGAGACAGGTTTTCACTGTGTTGCCCAGGCTGGTCTCGAACTCCTGGGTTCAAGTGATGCACCTGCCTTGGCCTCCCTAAGTGCTGGGGTTACAGGCATGAGACACTGCACCTGGACTAGATCTGGATTTTTATCCATCATTTACTGTTGGATGAACATAAATTATCTTCAAGCTTGAGTTATCACAGGACAATAGCTCAAAAGACCATGGAGATTAAATAATATAATATCACTTAGCACAATGCCTGGCCCACAGTAAGCACTCAGTAAATGGCAGACATTGTTTTTTATTTTATTTTATTATTTCTTTTTTTGAGACAGAGTCTGGCTCTGTCGCCCAGGCTCGAGTGCAGTGGCGCAATCTCGGCTCACTGCAACCTCTGCTTCCCGGGTTCAAGTGATTCTCCTGCCTCAGCCTCCCAAGTAGCTGGGATTACAGGTGCGTGCTACCACACTCGGCTATTTTTTGTATTTTTAGTAGAGACAGGGTTTCACCATGTTGGCCAGGCTTGTCTCGAACTCCTGATCTCAAATGATCTGCCAGCCTCAGCCTCCTGAAGTGCTGGGATTACAGGCGTGAGCCACCACCCACCCTGACATTGTTTATTACCTGTCTCTTCTTAACTAGTTTTACCTTCCAAAATGCACCTAATTTCCACACTTGGGGAACCATCTAGATGTGCTGACTCTAATACTTAAATATGCTGAGAAGATGAGAAAAGCATTCTTCCTTAGGGAGAATCTTCACAACTAAAACAATATATTAGGAGAACAGGATTTAGGTTATAAGGAGCAAGGACTGTGTTATACCTCATTCTGTTCTCCAAGGCATAGCGCTGGGCCTGGGATGCACAATACATATTTGTTAGATGAATGAAAGAGGAGTATCCACTAGTGCAGTTTAACTGAAGCAATGTATTCACATAAATAGAATGAAATGCTATAGAGTCTCTAGTGCCAGGCTAATGTAATTTAGACTTTATTCCATAGACAGTGAGAAGCCATTAAAACTTTGAGTGATGTGGCATGTACAAATTAGCATTTTGGAAAGACAAGCTGGTGGTAGTATGTAGAATGGATTGGAGGCAGAAACAGTATTTAGAGTTGCTGGACCATTAGGCAACAGCTCAGTGCTAGGCCCTGTGGTAGGTGTGGGAGATACAAAGGTGACTAGGGCACAGTTGCTGAACTCAAGGGACTCACTAGTTAGGAGACTATAGGAATATGTTAAGTGTGAGGTGATGAAGACCTGAAAAACACCTTTGGAAGGAAAGGAATAACAAAGTACTGCTATTCTTCCCCACTAAGTACTGCTGTGCGGAAGAACAGCAGTACTTAGTAACTCTCTGAATTGGGGGTTAAGAAAAAAGGAGGAACCAAAGTTGACTCCGTCATGAACAGAAATAGGGTCTCAGGAGGATAGCTTTGATACTGAGTTTGAGGAAATGGTGGGACATCCAGGAGCTAGGAGTACAGTTTTTAGTTTAAACGTTTAATTAAAACTTAGGAAAGGTGTTCAAGCTGGAGAAGTTGATTTGCTGGTCAGTTGCAGGGAGATGCTGGTTTAAATCGTGGGTAGATGAGAACTAGGGAGAGAGAGTAAAGAGAAAAGGTTGAAGGGGTGAGAAGTGAGTCTTGGGGAATACTCATGTTTGAGAGGTGGGAGGAGGAAATAGAGAAGACAAAAGAACAGCCAGGTGGGTAGAACAGCCAGGGGAGTACAGTCACAGAAGCCACTGGAGATGACAGTTTGATGAAGGAGGGAATAGTCAGAAGTGCTGAATGCTATAGCTAGGTCAGACAGGAAGACACCAGGAAGCAAGGAACAAAGTCAGTCAAACTAAACAAGTTGAAAATTTGAATTAACTAGGAACCATAGGAGGTGATTAGAAACATTTGTTCAAAGGCTCTGGGCCAGTTTTTCATGGGGGGAGGGTGGTGAGTGGGTAATTTATACTTGTTTTTCTTAAAAAGTAAGATAGGCCAGGCACGGTGGCTCACACCTGTAATCCCAGCACTTTGGCTAGGCTGAGGCGGATAGATCACCTGAGGTCAGGAGTTTGAGACCAGCCTGGCCGTCATGGCAAAACCCCGTCTCAACTAAAAATACAAAAAAAATTAGTTGGATGGGTGGTGGCGTGTGCCTGTAGTCCCAGCTATTTGGGCGGCTGAGGCAGGAGAATCACTTGAACCTTGGAGGTGGAGGTTGCAGTGAGCAGAGATCACGCCACTGCTCTCCAGCCCGGACCACAGAGTGAGAGTCTGTCTCAAAAAATCAAAGAAAAAGAAAAAAAAAAGTAAGATAGTTGTAAGTTCATGGAGAAGTAAGATAGTTGTAAAAGTTCATAGAGAATAATAGCAGTGCCCTTTTGTCCTCCTAGGCTTATTGTCTGAGACAACCACTGTCAACTCTTCGAGATGTCTTATTATATTCCTAAATAATATGCTCATATTGCTGCTTCCTAGTGATAAAATTTAGACATTTTCTATTGGCTTTCTGCTACAGTAGATGAAGATGTGCTAGAATATAGTAGATGAGGATTATACTTTCACCCATTTTCCTTCTCTGCATTCTTCTAAAAATAATTGTACCACAAATTTTATTTAAATTAGTCATGTTTACATAATTTGGATTCTGTGTTATTTTTTGCAAAATCAAGTTGTGCGCTATGTTTCTTTTGTAAAATTTAGTTTTTTCTAGAGCCTGATTTTATTTTTTTACTGGCAGAGTTTTCCATATCCATTTCTTTAATCTTTTTATTGGGTCTTTAATGGGCCTTTAGAAAGATGATATGTCGATTCCATTTTTACCTCCTAGAGATCTCCCTTCCAGAGTCGTCTTTCTCTTGCTCTCTTCTGGACTAACTGCCCTTTTTTAATTCTTGAATTTCCTTTTTTTTTTCTTTTCCACTAGAGATGGTGTCTCCCTGTGTTGCCCAGGCTTATCTCTAACTCCTGGGCTCAAGTGATCCTCCCACCTTGGCCTCCAAAAGTGCTGGCATGAGCCACTGTGTCCAGCCTAGAACTTCCTTGTTAGACTCCTTGTTTCCTGTATGTCATTTTATCCCCTTTATGGATTCACTTTCTTGTTTTACTGAAGCACATCCTCTGGTAGCTTCTTTGAAAAGATCACATGGAAGGCAAATTTTTTTGAGTCATTGCATCTCATGATAGTGTCTTTTTTCTTTCCTTACATTTGGTTTATAGTTTGGCTGAATATATAATTCTAGGTAAATTTTTTTTTTCCCACAGAATTTTGAAGGCTTGCTCTATTGTCTAGGAATATAGTTACACAGAGAGACACTTTCTGTTGGGCACAATTTGACTTAAGGAAGCCACTTAAAGCTGGGGCTGGAGTGGCCATATTTAGGATATGCCAAAGTAGTAATGGAGCAGGGGGAGCATGCATAGAGTGAAAGACAGATGCAGAAGCCAGAGGCCTTGCTGCCTCACAGTTTGAAACGGTAACTGTTTTGCGTCCTGTCCCCTTTCTAGTTTCTGATTCCAGGAGCTAGAACTCATGAGGGCCAGCTGTACTTTTTTATTTTTTCCTCCTTTAATCTATGGTACTTTGAATTGGTTTCTGTTTCCTCCAACTAAATGCTCCTTAAGACAGACACCCATATTATCTCAAACCTAATCTCGTTGTCTGCCTGAATTTAGAAATATAGCCACATTTCTGGGAGAGTTCTGAATTGGGAATCAGGAGGCCTAATTTCTTTCTTTTCTTTTCTTGTTTTTTATTTTTTTGAGACACAGTTTCGCTCTAGTTGCCCAAGATAGAGTGCAATGGCACAATCTCGGCTCACTGCAACCTCCGCCTCCCAGGTTCAAGCGATTCTCTTGCCTTAGCCTCCTGAGTAGCTGGGATTACAGGCATGCGCCACCACACCCGGCTAATTTTGTATTTTTAGTAGAGACAGGGTTTCTCCATGTTGGCTAGGCTGATCTTTAACTCCTGACCTCGGGTGATCTGCCTACCTCAGCCTCCCAAAATGCTGGGATTACAGGCATGAGCCACCATGCCTGGCCAGGAAGCCTAATTTCTATCTGTTTTTACTTTCACCAGTGAGTAGCACTGGACAAGTCTCTTCAACCCCTGTGTCACCATCTCCCTGTCAGTAAAAATGCAATGGCCACCCCAAGTAAGAGTTCTAAAATTAAAGACAAAATGAGATTATGTTTGTGTGTGCGCTTTGAAGAAAGGCAGCATCTGCCAATGGGGATGTTGGAAAAGGATTGAGGAAGAAGGAAACTGCCTTTCCAGGACCTGAACTATCTGGTTACATCTCCACTGTCAACCCTGCTCACTGTCCCACCTGGTGGCATTAGGAGTATTTGAGCACTCACCTGTGAATAGAATGGAGAAAAAATGGCCCTGAAGGCGGATACCTGACTTCTGGCTTCTGGCACAACACTGGTAGGTCCCACTGTGCAACGGTGTGACTTGGCTTATGGTGAACATCAACTGAGATGATATTTCACCAACACCATCTATCCCAGGATCCCTTTTAAGTCTCAGCTGTTTTAAACTGGTCTCAGGAGAACAGTCTCCAGACCTGTCCTTGCACAAAAACACTACAAACCCCTCAGCCTCTTCTTTCTTATGCCATACAGTACAGATTAAGTTTAGTCGCGTTCCTTCCTGGGAAGCTGAGCTGGTGATGTTAATGCATCCTGGAATGGAAAGGGAAGAATTACCCAGAGGTCAGGTAGCATTCTGTGAATTTCACCGTAACTGCTCCTTATCACTAGAAGTCTTCAAGGAAGGACTGAAGCAGAACCTGGCAGTAGTGCTGGCAGACAGGAAATACAAATTCCAGCTCTATCGATGGCTGTGTGACTGTAAGCAAGTTACCTAACTCCTTGGGCAGTAGTTTATTCATCTGGAAAATGAAAATTAAGGGACTAAATAATATGCTCAAAGCATCCATTAATTCATAGGTTTATTTGTTCCTCCACTTAACAAATACGTTTAGGTATTCACTCTGCCAAGCCCTGCTGGGGCTATGAGGACTAGGACGTGAGCCCTACTGTCAGAACTTTTTTTTCCCCTAACCATTAGATGACCGGGGATTTTTAATTTAAAAAATTTTTTTTTAAAACAAGGTCTTGCTGTGTCACCCAGGCTGGAGGGCAGTGGCACAATCGTAACTCACTGCACCTTTGAACTCCTGGGCTCAAGCAATCCTCCTGCTTCCGCCTTCCGAATAGCTAACACTACAGGTATGCACCACTATGCCTGGCTAATTTTTTATTTTGTAGAGACAGATTCTCACTATGTTGTCCAGGCTAGTCTTGAACTCTAGGCATCAAGCAACCCTCCTGCCTCTGCCTCCCAAACTGCTGGGATTACAGGCATGAACCACTGTGCCTGGCCACTCTCAGAGTTTAAAGCCTAATGTAAAAACAAATTAGCAAAAAGTTACAATTTAATTCCACAGTTATTATAATTGAGGAATCTTAGAGATTCCTGAGTCTGAAGCATCAGGGAAACTTCACAGTGAAGTTAGTGCTGGAGCTGACTTGAAGGATGAGTAAAAGTTTTTCTAAGAAATATAGGATGAGAGAGACCACAGAAATACCAGAGATGATTAAAAACAGCCACTGTGTGGAAATGGAGTGAGAATGGACTGGAGAAACAGACTAATTATTGAGGGACCATTGATATCCAAAGACCATGACTCTGATGGTGCCAGTCTGCCCACTTGATTTTCCCTGTAAGTAATCTGTAACCTGGATACAGAAGTGGAGAAAATAGTTGGGTTAACCCAGGATGTTTTGGCTCGATGGGTGTCTCTGACCTAATTTTGCAATGCATTGGCCCTGCCAACTTTGTACTGCCCCTCACTCTCCTCAAACTTCACTTCCTTCTGTAGTTTATATTTTGTAGTCCATTATTATAATCTCTCCCTTATATCCACCCTCAGCTCCCTTAGCTTTACTCCTACTGTGATGGATCCTCGCAAAACCCCAACCTCGGTTAAATCCAGCTCTCTGCTGAAAACTCATCCGGCAGATGCTGAGGCTGCCAGCCCCCTCCCCCACTCCCTTGGCAGCTTGATCCGCTATGACTTGCTTTTCCTTTTAAGACTCCCCTTGGTATACATAGTAAACTAAATTCACTCTCATGAAAACGGTGAAGAGGCAGAGATGGAGGCTGCCCCCTGCATATTGAATGCCATTCTCCTACAAGAGTAAGAGATATGGGTCTTCCAAGACCCATATCTGAGGGAGACCTGCAATCCCAGCCATTGATTCACTCCAAAATGGTTTATATTTTATTTCTACTTTCCAGCTGGAACTTCTATAGGGTCTCTGTTAGAGTGCTTTTCTGTATATCAAATCCTCAGTATAGCCATAGAGGGCAGGTATTACTCTTCCCATTTTATAAATACACAAATTGAGGCACAGAGTGGTTAAACTAGCTGCTGAAGTTAATGAAGATTGCAGTATCTGGATCTCAAACCTGGATTTCATAAATTTATAGTATATAAGAGCCTAAAGGAATCTTAGGTTGAGGCGCAGATTGCCAGGCTCTTTGAAACATATAGCAGAGACAGAGTGTCTGATAGAGAGGCAATAGTATCAGTTCTAATGAAAAAGAAAAAGACAATATATTCTTTACCCTTTCCTTAATGTCAAGGAGAGTGAGTCAGCCGGGCGCCTGAGGATCACCTGAGGTCAGGCAGAGTTCGAGGCCAGCCTGACCAATATGGTGAAACCCCGTCTCTACTAAAAATACAAAAATTAGCCGGCGGTGGCGGCATAAGCCTGTAGTCCCAGCTACTCGGGAAGCTGAGCCAGCAGAATTGCTTGAACATGGGAGGCGGAGGTTGCAGTGAGCCGAGATCGCGCCACTGCACTCCAGCCTGGGTGACAGAGCGAGACTCCCTCAAAAAAAAAAAAAAAAAAAAAAGAGTCCTTTGTTTCCCCACTAGAGAAAATCACGGGATCCAGCCCTTCCCACAAGCCCAGGATCCTCCCCATGGCCGTCTCTGCTCTAGGGTCTATCCTCACCACCAGACTGGATGTCCACAATTGCCAGCAGGATGGCCAGGGCACAGCAGCCTCTGCCGGGTTCCAACAGCATCCTGCACGCTGTCAGCAGGCCCAGGAACTTGAAGCAAATGTTGGCTCTGCTGGTATCCTTGGCTTCAGTCTCCTAAAAGCACAGGGGGACCCACTAGACAAAGCCTTCCAGGGTTCCAAGACCATTTCCCCATCCCAGGCTCTAGCTTTGATTGGCTAGAGTATGATGGAGGTAGAGGAGGGCTTGGGCATGAGAGTCCAGCTGGCTGGGAAGTGAGGCGGTAAACCAAGTGAGATACACTGGGAGCCGGGGAGGGAGGGGCATAGGGAGACACTAAAGGCTATTTTCTCATATATATTTTTTTAAGTTAAATTGGATTGCTGCGTCAAAGAATATGATGATTAAAACTTTTTTTCTACTATAATCAGATTGCTCTCCAAAAAGGCTGTTGATAATCAGATGTTCACCAAGAATGCTTGATAGTGTACATTTCCTCGTGCCCTTGCTAGCTCTGGGTATTATCTGTACTTTAACATTTTTGCCAATCTGATGGATGAAAAATTAGACCTGCTTTATGTTGCATTTCCATGATTAGTGAAGTTGAGGATCTTTTCATATGCTTATTGGTCATTAGTATTCCCTTGTCTGTGAATTGTGTGTTCATATTCTTCACATTTCTTAACTTTTAGGCACTTTCTCCGTATTAGAGATATTAACCCATCTGCCATTTTTTTAGGCAAATACTTTCTCCCAATTTGTTGTTTGTCTCTTCACTTTTTTTATGAGGCTTTTTTTTCACAAGGAAAGTTTACATTGTATGTAATTAAATACAACATATCTATCTTTTCCTTTAAGTTGTCTGGGTTTCCTGCATTGTTTAGGAAAGTTTCCCTCCAATTGAGGCTATAATTTTCTTTCAATATTTTTATTGTTTTACTTTTTATAGTTACATCTTCTAATCCTGGCTAAGAAAAATTACTCCTGTTTCAAAATAAACAAACTGAAGAAAAACAAACACTTGAATTTCATCAATAGGGAAAATGGTTTAATAAGTTTCAATTAATCTATGTGACAAAATATTATATATTATTAAAAGAATGAGATACTTCTATAAATATGGGCCTGGAGGGATGTTCATGATATAGCATTAGGTCAAAAAGGGCAAATTGCAATTATGTATATAAAATAAATACATTTTTATTTTAAAAAATCCTCTCTATGTGTGTATGTGTTTTAAAAATATATTTAAGGTTTTGTAGTTTATAACTTTTGAAGTGGTAATTACATTCACAGCATTTAAAATTCAAAAGGGGAAAACAAGAATTTTTCTATAAATTTATTTTTCTGATTTTTATAATCAGCTTGTCTAGTCTTGCCCTTCCTACTGTGTGTACCATCAAGAAAAAGTCCTATTGGTATTTTAAAATTGGGATATGTTCAATTTATATTTTAACTTAGGGAGAACTGAATTTGTTGTGACATTGATTCTTTTGATCCGAGAATGTGATATTCATTTTTCAAATATGTGTGTCTCAGGTATGTATAGAAGTTTTCTTCATAAAGTCCTCGTCCATTTCTTAGCTAAGTTTGTTTCTTGAGTAATTCATATTTTTTCACTATTGAAAATGTCATCTTTTACCCATTATATCTTTTTTTTAATATACTTTAAGTTCTAGGGTACATGTGCACAATGTGCAGGTTTGTTACATAGTTGTACATGTTTCATGTTGGTTTGCTGCACCCATCAACTTGTCATTTACATTAGGTATTTCTCCTAATGCTATCCCTCCCCCGGGCCCCCACCCGTGGAACGTCATCGGTGTGTGATGTTCCCCACCCTGGGTTCATGTGTTCTCATTGTTCAACTCCTACTTATGAGCGAGAACATGCAGTGTTTGGTTTCCTGTCCTTGTGACAGTTTGCTTAGAATGATGGTTTCCAGCTTCATCTATGTCCCTGCAAAGGACATGAACTCATCCTTTTTTATGGCTGCATAGTATTCCATGGTGTATATGTGCCACATTTTCTTAATCCAGTCTATCATTGATGGACATTTGGGTTGGTTCCCAGGCTTTGCTATTGTGAATAGTACCACAATAAACATACTTGTGCATCTTTATCGTAGAATGATTTATAATCCTTTGGGTATATGCCCAGTAATGAGATTGCTGGGTCAAATGGTATTTCTAGTTCTAGATCCTTGAGGAATCCCCACACTGTCTTCCACAGTGGTTGAACTAATTTACACTCCCATCAACAGTGTAAAAGCATTCCTATTTCTCCACATCTTCTCCAGCATCTGTTGTTTCCACTCGTTGTATCTTTTAACTTATTTTTTCAGTCTCTTTATATCATTCATTATATCTTTTAATTTTTCATTATTGTTCATATATGAAAGGCTATTTGTTTTACTAGATATTAATTTCATACCCAGCTCCCCTCCCTTAATTCTATCATTTTTCAGTTGATTCTCTTGGATTTTCCAGTTATGCAATCATATTATGTGTACATAATGATAATTACTTCCTTTTCTATTTTATATCTCTGATTTCTTTCTTCTAATTGTGTTGGTTAATATCTCCAGAAAAATATTAAATAATAATGGTAATAATGAATCTCTGTCTTTTTTCTAAGTTTAATGGGGGATGCTTAAATGTTTCCTTATTAAGTATTATAGTAGCTTTGAGAATGAGATGTATTTTATTATGTTAAGGAATATACATTTATTTCTATTTTATTAAGAGTTTTAAAATGTCAAGGATGGATGTGAATGTTTTATTAATTGCCTTTAAATATCAACTAAAATGATATTATTTTTCTTTAAGATATATTAAGATGGCGATCTACATTAATAGATTTCCTAAAATTGATACATCTTTGCAGTCCCAGACAAACAAACAAAAACTGAAGCCATTTGGTCATAGTATGTTGTTATTTTCTTTTGAGACAGAGTCTCACTCTGTCGCCCAGGCTGGAGTGCAGTGGCACGATCTTGGCTTACTGCAACTTCCACCTCCTGGGTTCAAGCGATTCTCCTGCCTCAGCCTGCCGAGTATCTGGGATTACAGGCGCCTGCCGAGTATCTGGGATTACAGGCGCCTGCCACTGCGCTCGGCTAATTTTTGTATTTTTAGTAGAGACGGGGTTTCACCATCTTGGCCAGGGTGATCTTGAACTCCTAACCTTGTGATCCACCCACCTTGGCCTCCCAAAGTGCTGGGATTACAGGCGTGAACCACCACGCCCGGCCTAGTATGTTATTCTTTTCATGTGCTGCTGTATTCTGTTTTATAATATTATATTTAAATTTTTAAAAATTGAAAGGCCCAGTTGCGGTGGCTCACGCCTGTAATCCCAAGCCTTTGGGAGGCCGAGGTGGGAGGATCACTTGAGCCCAGGAGTTTGAGACCAGCCTGGGCAGCAAAGTGAGACCATGTCTTTACAAAAAATACAAAAATTAGCCACGTGTGGTGGTGCGTACCTGAAGTCCCAGCTACTCAAGAGACTTAGGTGGGAGGAGCCCGGGAGTTCACGGATGTAGTGAGGTATGATCTTCACTGCACTCTGGCCTGGTTGACAGTGAGACCCTGTCTCAAGAAAACCAAAATCAAAAATTACACACACACACAAATTAACCAATCATACAAGATATTAAAAATATAATACACCATGACAAATGGAATAAGGTTTCATTTTTAGAAATTCTTGGATGATTTAATATTAGGAAATCTATTAATTAACATACTACTGGATAAAAAAGAAAGTCAATATTACCTTCTGATAACATCTTACATTAATTCCCACTAAAATCCTAAGTAAAATGGTAATGGATGAATACTATTCAATATAATGGAGAAATGTATATCTCAGATAAAATTGCAGCATCATATTTAATGGTAAAATATGGGATAATTTCTATTAATATTAGGAGCAAGGCAGAGATGCTTCCTATTATTTCTGTTATTTCACATTGTTCTGAAAGTGTTTGCCATTATATTTAGACAAGAAAATAAAGCAAAGGGTATAAATATTGGAAATCTTAAGGCAAATTTATTACTATTTATATGTGATATAACTTACATCTAGAAAACCCAAGAAACTTAATTGAGAATTATTAGAAACAATAAAAGAGTATCTGAATAGGCAGTTCACAAAAGACGAAATGCAATAAAAAGTTTTTCAGTTTTACAAGTAT
This sequence comes from Homo sapiens, assembly GCF_000001405.40. Lineage (NCBI taxonomy): Eukaryota > Metazoa > Chordata > Mammalia > Primates > Hominidae > Homo > Homo sapiens. The sequence continues at coordinate 145,724,192 of NC_000001.11, read as the reverse complement.
TCAGGGAAGTACAAATTAAAAATTCAGAGTTCAGAATTTCAGAATTACCACCTGTTAAGTGAACAAAAATTTAAAAGATAAATCAAATTTTGGTAAGGGTAAGAAGAAATATGTGCAATCATTCACTCTAGGTAGAACTATACATTGTTACGGAGCTTTGGGGGAATACTCATTATATATTAACATTTCAAATGCACATACCCTGTCCCTTTGGCTATAGCTTACAGAAATAAAAGCATGAGTGTGCTAGTATAGATGTACAAGGATATTCACTGCAGCATTTTTTATAATACCAAAAAAATAGAAACAGGTGAAGGCCAGGTGTGGTGGCTCACACCTGTAATCCCAGCACTTTGGGAGGCGTGCGGATCACCTGAGGTCAGGAGTTCGAGACCAGCCTGGCCCACATGGTGAAACCCTGGCTCTACTAAAAATGCAAAAATTAGCTGGGTGTTGTAGCAGGTGCCTGTGATCCCACCTACTCAGGAGGCTGAGGCAGGATAATTGCTTGAACCTGGGAGGCAGAGATTGCAGTGAGCCAAGATCACGCCACTGCACTCCAGCCTGGGCAACAGAGCAAAACTTTGTCGCCTTCCTGCCCCCATAAAAAAAGGAAACAGGTGAAGACCCACTGGTGAGAATGGTTGAATAAATTATTGCAGATCCACAGAATAGAATGTTATGTAATTATAGTTTGTATAAAACAATAAACTAAATTAGTGTATATACATACAATTTAATAAGGTACTTATTAATACATAAGATTAAAAATTTTCCTGGATATAATTATTAGTCAGAAAATATGGTAGAAGGAAAAGTTCCATTCATTATAGCAACCAAAAAACCCATCAAATGTCCAGAAAAATGTAACAACATTCCGAATAGGACCTATAGGATACAAACTATACAGTACTATTAAGGAACATAAAAGAAAATCTAAGTAGAGACGATTGTTAAATTCTTCTGTACTTATCTATACATTTGTCACAATCCTAATAAAACATCCCAGCAGCAGCTCATGGTATGGCCCCAATGTCCTTTCCTAGCCTTGACCTCTCCTTGTTCCTTCTCCTGTGTTATCATACCTTCATGCTACACCAGAATGTCCTGGTGACTCTTGAAACATGGAATATTAAGTGACAAAGAGGATAAATGAATAAAATGACAAATCATTTTATTCAAAGAGGAAGACAAAGAAGGATTGCAATTATTCATTCAGCCCAGAATTATGGTTAAAAAGCGTAGACTCTAGAGCCAGAGTGTTTGTGTTCAAATCCTGGTCCTAAAACTTAATAGTGGCGCCGGGCGCGGTGTCTCACGCCTGTAATCCCAGCACTTTGGGAGGCCGAGGTGGGCAGATCACGAGGTCAGGAGATCGAGACCATCCTGGCTAACACGGTGAAACCCCATCTCTACTAAAAAAAATACAAAAAATTAGCCGGGCGTGGTGGCGGGCGCCTGTAGTCCCAGCTACTCGGGAGGCTGAGGCAGGAGAATGGCGTGAGCCCGAGAGGCGGAGCTTGCAGTGAGCTGAGATCGCGCTACTGCACTCCAGCCTGGGCGACAGAGCAAGATTCTGTCTCGAAAAAACAAAAATAAAAACAAAAAAAACTTAATAGTTGCATGACTCGGTCAAGTTTCTTAGGCTCCTGGGCCAGGCGCTATGCTCAGCCTTTAATAAATAGACATATTTCAGAAACACGGAGCATCTATAATGTGTCAGACACCATGGGGCACAGAGAGATCACTAACACAGCAGAGGCGGACGTTTTAGTGGTTAAATGGTCTCTAGAGTCAGACCAGGATGTTTCAGATCTGGCTTTGAAACTTAACTATCTGTGTAATATTGGGCAAGTTTCTTAATCTCTTAATGACCTATAAAATGGTGACAAAATATTCTCTTCCTTGGGTTGTGAGGGTCAAATGAGGTCACCTATGTAAATTACTTAGCACAGTGCCTGGCAGAGAGTAAGGGCTCAATAAATGATAGCTATGATTAGTTTTATGCTTTCTTATATTGGAATCAATGGACAGTGTTCCAGGCACATCTACCTGCAAGACTGTGTTTAGTCCTTATAAAACACTAAGCCATTATTATTTTCTAAAATTTATTATTTGTACGAAGCATATAGAGGCTTGGAGGGGACTTGTGACTTGCTTAAAATCACAGCTCCTAAGTTGGGGAGCAGGACTCTAACCCAAGTTATGAGAGTCTTTCTCTTGGAGTCCCCTTTGTCCCTCTCCTCACAGCCGCTCATCCATTCACGAACAGCTGTTAACACAAGAACGACTGTACTAAGTAATAAGGTCATAAAGTGTCAAGGGGCAGCACAGGAGAAATTCTGGATGAGGGATGTGGAAAGGCTGCAAGATGGCAATGAAGTTAGGCCTTCATAGTTGTTTGTGGGCTCTCGGGAGCTGGTGACTAAAGAATACGGTGGGTGAATTAAGGTGGGGAATGGGCTGAGGAGATCTGGCTTCCAGTCCTGGCTCCGCACTAGGTAGCTGTGGAATGTTGACAAGGTCGTGTCCCTTCTCTAGGCGTGTTTCCTAAGGGACTGGTGCAGCGGGATGGGAGGGGCGCAGGGTAGGGACCGCTTCCAAGGAGAGAGAGGACAGGCGGGAGGGGCTGATGCAGCTGGTCACTCCGCTGGAGTGGCCAGACTTCGCGGTGCCTAGGGCCGAGTTGAAGAAGAGCATGTAAGTCTGTTGTGGGCCCCTCACCAGCGCTGGGGGGCAGCGAGGTCACTGGGCAAGGATGCTCTGGGAAGTGACCTTGGTGCCCGGGAGGGGAGCACCCTGTTGTGATGCAGGCGGGGCAGCGCGGAGCCGGCGGCGCTGATTTCGCACTCTGGCCGCTAGAGGGCGCTGCCTTTCAGCCAAAGCCGAGTGACCCCCTACCTGCCCCGCGTTGGCCCGCGTCACTCCAGCCATGGGCCATCCAGCGAGCATGGGGGCTAGCCAGGGAAAGTCTAAACTAGGAGGGGAGATGAGGGGGTGCAAAGTTGGGCCTGGTGGGTCCTGGGGACGCAGCATGTACTAGAGCGGCACCTGGCCCTCAACAGAGGGGAGAGCGGGTGGTCGTGAGAAGTCTGGGAATTTTCCGGGCCCACTACACGCCAGGGGCGGGTCTCCCCTCTTAAAACGTTGTGAGCCCCAGCGCGGGCAGGGGGGAGGGTGCCCGTGGAGTTGGCATCCTCATCTTTGATGGTCCCCGGGGCTCCTGAGCTGCGCTGGTGGCCCCAGGGCTCGGTGCCTCTCTCAGGCGACAGCTCACAGACGGCGGGAAACTCTTCCCTCCCGCACCTTCGGAGGCGGTCCTGGAGTCTTGTGGACTCCTGGGTTCAAATCCAAGCTTTGTGTGACCAGCACATTGCTGGACCTCACTCAGCCTCACATTCCTCTTGTGTTTAAAACTACCTCATAGGAATGTGGTGACGGTTAGATGACACATAAAGCTTTGCCAGAGGTTTTCTGGGGAGGGTGGGGACAAGAGGGCAAGGAAGAGTCTCCATTTCCTCTGCCACCGGAGCCCGGATCTAACCTCTCAGAGGAGCTGGAAGGTCAGCTCTGAGCTCCACAAATACCTCTGTATACAGATCTCCCACGACACTGAAAAAGATGCCCAGAAAGATCTCATTTGCAGCTGTGAAGGGGCTTCTTTTTCAATCTCCACAACCCCAACTGCCTTAAAGTAGAACCAGACTTGTTAGTAGACAGAGGTTTGGGCTGGGGGGCCCTTGAAGCTCTTGTCTGAGATCTCAGGCTTCCTGCTCAACACACCAAAGCAGGTGCCTGACATAAAGGCGCCATGGACCTCTTTGGTGGTCTGGGAAGGCATATGGAGTCCCTTCTCAGAACAACATTTAAAAATTAATAAGATACATGGGATAATAAAGGGAACAAATTATGACAAGACAGTTGTCAAAACATTAGAAGAATGTGTGGTAGAGCAGTACACATGCTTCTTTAGATTTGACATCAGCCTAATAACTGTTGTAATTCTGTAGTAGTGCTGAGCGTTAAGGACATTTGGAGAAATCTATAAAAACTGTAATGAGATTTGAAAATATTTGTGTTTTCTATTGATGGCAAATTCTATTGTGGTTCATTGTCTACATTCATAACTGAAGCAAGTGCTGACTTTCAATTAAAGATTAGTGAAAATAAAGATGTATTTTTCCCCCCAATTCACAAATCCCATGAATAAATCTATTCACGGACCTCCAAGAGGTCCATGACGTGAACCACCTAGGACATGAACTTCCCCCGGAGGTGCCTCACAGGGCCAGCTCCAAGCCCCGTGGCACCTCCCGGCTTGTCTCAGGCCAATCCTTGAAGAGCTCCAGCAGATCTAAACTTTGGTAACTTTCCTCTGGTAATTTGAGGAATTCCTCCATTTGAGGAATGTCAGAATGGGGCCAGGATTCCTGAATGCCCATGGAAGAAAAGCGAGCATGCTGGTCTGGCGGGCAGAAATAACCTTCTCCCCAGGCTCCAGAGGGCAGAGGACATTTCCCTCCAAAAGGCAAGTTTCTCAGGGACCTCATGAGAAGCCTGTCCTCACCTGAGCAGTTCTGTCAACCATCCCATCCCTTCACCTGGACCCCAGGTCCCCAGCAGGCCTTTTTACCTCGAGACAGAAGTTCTTCTTTCTTGTTCTCAGACTGGGGGCTCACGTTGAAATGGCTCTCAGTCCTCAGATTGTCCTTGCATCTTGTTAAAACCCTATCTCTCCAGTTTCGTCATTGCTCACACTTTCATAGCTGTTATTATATTCGCTCTTTGAAAACCACAGAATGGGTTGTTAGAAGTCATAGATCTTCCGCCACCCCCACTGTGGATTTTTTTCTCCTTTCTCTCCTGCAACTGGTCCTCCATCTCCTTCTCCTTTCCTCTCCCTTGTTTTGTCTTTTTGGTGTTAGAAATAGACTAGGGTGCTGAGGGGGCTAAGAAAAACCACTTCTTAAAATTCTTTTCTTTACCCTGGGGAACAAAGATTTTGTATTTGCTAATTCATAATAAGGAAAGGACTGATGATAGAATAACTAGAAGATAAAAGGACAGAATGTCCTCTCAAGTATAAAGAAAGGTACCAAGTCTTCTCCTGAGAGTAGGTTTTGGTTAGAAGTAGGACAGAGAACACAGCTGCTCCAGGCTGAAAGGGAAGAAGGTCAGGGAGCTGTCAAGAAGGCTTGGGTGAGGGTGGTGGTGAGCAGGGGAGGCAACGAGTGGGGGCACCAAAATGGTCCTGATGTGGTGGGGGGAGGATGAATGACTGACCTTATCTTCCCACCCACCCATTTTTTTTCTTTTTCTTTTTTCTTTCTTTCCTTTTTTTTTTTTTTTTTTTGAGACAGGGTCTTGCTCTGTCACCAAGGCTGGAGTGCAGTGGGGCAATCATGGCTCACTGCAACCTTGACCTCCTGGGGTCGAGTGATCTTCCCACCTCAGCCCCTCAAGCAGCTAGGACCACAGGTGTACGCCACCACACCTGGATAACTTTTTATTTATTTATTATTTATTTATTTATTTATTTATTTATTTATTTATTTATTTAGAGATGGAGTTTCGCTGTGTCACACAGGCTGGAGTACAGTGGCGTGATCTCAGCTCACTGTAACCTCTGCCTCCTGGGCTCAAGTGATGCTCCTGCCTCAACCTTCTGAGTAGCTGGGATTACGAGAGCCTGCCACCATGCTGGACTAATTCTTGTATTTTTAGTAGAGACAGTTTCATCATGTTGGCCAGGCTGGTCTCAAACTCCTGACCTCAAGTGATCTGCCTGCCTTGGCCTCCCAAAGTGCTGGGATTACAGGCGTGAGCCACCACGCTCGGTTGATAATTTTAAAAATGATTTGTATGGATGAGGTCTCCCTATGCTGCCCCGCCTGCTCTTGAACTCCTGGGCTCAAACAATCCTCTGGCCTTGGCCTCCCAAAGTGCTGGGATTACAGGCCTGAACCACCACTCCCAGCTTCCCATCCATTTCTATTCTGTTCTGTTCTTCCTTGGTCAGTGATGGCTTGGGAGATTACAATTGTTCCTAAATTCTAGGGTTGTGCCCTTAGATGGCAGGAACATTAGTCTGAGAATTAGAAGCATTGGGCTCTAAGTCCTGCAAGGCTGGGCCAGGCCCTGTGCCAAAGGGCACAGCACACCAGGAAGCCCCACGGTTCTGGAGGAACACCTGTCATGATTGCCACCCAGTGCCAGGCTACCCAGGAATTCAAGGGTGGAGGGAGGGTGGGGGAAAATTTTTCATAACTAGTCTAGAGACTCTCTTTTCCTTCTTATTCCTGTTATTGTAGTACTCTGTGGTCCTAAAAACAGTAGGGTGCTCTGGGGTTTGAGAACTCCCAGATGGCTCCACTGAAGCCATCGTCAAATGAGACAGATATTAGAAATATTTCTTCACTCCAAGCCAGGCGCAGTGGCTCACACCTGTAATCCCAGCACTTTGGGAGGCCGAGGCAGGTGGATCACGAGGTCAGGAGATTGAGACCATCCTGGCTAACACAGTGAAACCTGTCTCTACTAAAAATACAAAAATTAGTTGGGCCTGGTGGTGGGTGCCTGTAGTCCCAGCTACTGGGGAGGCTGAGGCAGGAGAATGGTGTGACCCCCCGGGAGGCGGAGCTTGCAGTGAACCGTGATTGCGCCACTGCACTCCAGCCTGGATGCCAGAGTGAGACTGTGTCTCTAAAAAAAAAAAAAAAAGAAAAAAGAAAAGAAATACTTCTTCACTCCATCAAAGTGTTAGCTTTCACTGCAGAATGAGTCCATTCTGGGAGCCTGGGGGTTGGGAACCCATGTTGGGAAGAGGAGTGTCTCACCATCATCCTGGTCACAGGACCAGTCCACCACAGCCCACAGGATACTGGGTCCCACTGGCATAAACTGCTAAACTGGGCCTGGTCTCTGCTCTCCCAGTATCCTTATTTGCTGTCTCTATGATAGTGTTCAAACAGATGACCTCTCTGCTCTCTAAAATGGAGACTTCTCCCTCCTTGGGTCTATGAGAACCTTTCAAAGGTTGGCTCTGAGAGCACTCAGCATTCCTTATCATCCAGGAGCTGTAAAACAGTGATTATTAGCAACATGAAGAGAAGTTAAAGGCAACCAGAGTTGTGGGTGAGTGAGGTTGGGGCCACTTAAGTACTAGCTGACACACATGTATTCATACTGGTTATTGCAAAAAACCTCAAAGTTCTGCAAAGACCTCAGGGCTCAAAAGTGAATCGCAGCGCGCTTCCTTTTCACCAGCCATGTAGTGTCTGTCCATCCTGCAAACGGTTGCATGCACAGTTTTCTGCAAATGTTGCTTTTGGTCGCTTCTCACAAGGTTATTGTGTGCCAGGCCCTGCGGGGTTGACGATGACTGAATGGGGCCTGCTGTCAAGGCGAGCACACTGCTGAGAGAGGCCTGCATTCCCGTGAGATGAAGCAGAAGCAGAATGCACCAAGAGCTCTAAGTACCCCAGAAGTGAGAGAGAACCCAGGAAGCAGGGGAGGTTGGGAGGAAGAAAAGGAGACTGCCCTGTGGGCGCAGACAGTGTTAGGCACTCTGTGTGGACAATGTGACATTTAAATTGAGCTTTGAAAGAAGGCAGGATTTCAAAAGGCAGGGGTAGAGGAACAGTATGAACCAGCAAGGAGCAGGGACATATGGGGCTGGTTTGGAAGTCAGTGAAGCAATGAGGTGGCTGAAATATAGGCTGCCTCCTGGTCATCCACAGCCTCCCAAATATGTATCCTGTGGGCCTTTCAATGTCTAAGGTGTATGAGTCCAGTTACACAATTTAGCAACTGATAGATTGTTTTCAAGATACTAATAGTAAGTGCTCGACATTAAGACAAAGAAAAACTGAGTGGACATTGAATTGTATTTCCATCTTACTTCTGTAGAATTATGGGGTTTTGGAAGCAGAAGAGACTGCAGCAGTCTTCCAGTCCCTGGAAGTGTGCAGACACTTGCATGCCAGTGTTTCCCAAACTTGAGCGTGTATTAACATCACCAGCAGGGCATCTTTGAACAATTCGGATGGCTGGGCCCAGCTGCAGAGTTTCTAATTCAGGGACTCAGGGCAGGGGTGGGGGTGGTCCAAGAAGTTGTATTCCTAACAAGTTCCCTGGTGCTATTGTTGCTGTAATGCTCCTTGCGAACTGTTCAGGGTAATACCTCTTGCATCCTCTGCTTGAATCTGTCTACTGTTCTGCAGCTCACTACCACCCAAAGTATCCACACAATATCCCTTGTGGAATACTTCCAGTAAAATTCTTCCTTGTGCTGCTGTCAGTCCTGCCTGCCTTTAACTTTCAATGAAGTCTGCTGAGGGCCCCACATGGGAAATGTCTATGGATGGCAGGCAAGTCTCAGGCACATGAGGCAGACTGCCTGGATTTACGTCCTGACTCCACTTACTACGTGACCTTGGATAAGTCATTCAACCTTTCTGTGTTTTCCTCAACTGTGGAATGGGGATAATAATTGCAGTTATATCACAGAACTGCTGTTTAGAGTAAATGAGAAAGTGTGTAAAACAATTGGCATGGTGCTTGGCATATAAAAGTACTCAGGTGTGGGCTAGTATCATTACCTAGTGTTCTTTTTCTTTTTCTTTTTTCTTTTTTTTTTTTTTTTGAGACAGAGTCCCACTCTGTTGCTCAGGCTGGAGTGCAGTGGCACAATCTTGGCTCACTGCAACCTCTGTCTCCTGGGTTCAAGTGATTCTTGTGCCTCAGCCTCCTGAGCAGCTGGGATTGCAGCCACCGCTCCCACGCCCAGCTAATTTTTTGTATTTTTTAGTAGAGAAGGGGTTTCACCATGTTGGTCAGGCTGGTCTCAAACTCCTGACTTTAGGCGATCCACCTGCCTCGGCCTCCCAAAGTGCTGGGATTACAGGCGTGAGCCACCGCGCCTGGCCAGCATTACCTAGTTTTCCTTTCTACTCAGGAGTCTATCAACTCTCTGAAGAAAGTTAATCATTCTAAAGTTTCTCCTTTCTGGGCTAAATATCCCCAGCTCCTGCAATTATTTCTTACAATTATTTTAGTGCTTTCACGGTTCCAATATTTTGTTTGTCCTTTCTCCTCTTCTCTGAACAGAGTCCAGTTTGTCAGTCTCCCTTGTTAGATACATGGCTCAGACCTGCTACCTGCCTCGGCTTAGTCCAAGTCTCGTGTGTTCACTGCAGCCAAAGGTCACTTTAGCTTTGTAGCTATTTCTACATTTCACTGGACTGTGTTAGACTTCCAGGCCACGAAGGTGCCAGAGGCTACACCCGCATGTAAAGAGTAGAGCTCATTCTCCTGTCACATTTCCCCTTGTTGCTTAGCATGTGTGAGTTTGGGGAGTGTGGGTGAGGGAGAGTAACTCTGACCTTGGCCCAGTTCAGGGCCTACTGTGATGGTTGGTGAGCAGCCCCAGTGGCTGTGAGGGAGCACATTTGAGGCTCCAGGGGCTGGTGCGAGGCCCAGCTTCTCCCCTGGAGAAGGGTGAACTGACACCTAGCACAGCCAACAGTTTTCTGGAAGGAAACCAAGCCTCAGAGCCAGAGGCACATACAGCAAAGCTGTGCAGGCATCTCAGCCCCTGTCCCAGCCACTGTCACTGCTGGCCTTTAGCCCAGGGTCGTTGGTAATAGAATAATGATAAAATATGGAGAGGGAGTCAGGGCTGGGTTTTTTTGGTTTTGCTTTTTTTTTTTTTTTTTTTGAGACAGAGTCTCGCTTTGTCACCCAGGCTGGAGTGCAGTGGCACAATCTCAGCTCACTGCAACCTCTGCCTCCCGGGTTCAAGCGATTCTCCTGCCTCTGCCTCCTGAGTAGCTGGGACAACAGGCGCGTGCCACCATGCCTGGCTAATTTTTGTATTTTTAGCAGAGACGGGGTTTTGCCATGTTAGCCAGTCTTGTCTTAAACTCCTGACCTCAGGTAATCCACCTGCCTCGGCCTCCCAAAGTGCTAGGATTACAGGCACGAGCCACCACACCTGACCTCAGGGCTGTTTTATTGTGGAGACAGAGGTGGCAGCTTCAGGGGTTTGGGTATCAAGATGACAGGGCAGGCCTGGAAAAAAATGTCTCTCTCAGCCTCTATTCTAATTTCCAGTCTGTAGTGAATGGCTCACCAGGTACTCTCAAGTTATGTCTTTTAAAACAGAAGGCATAGAAAAATGTGCCCAAATTACTTTGGTGTCCTATAGAGCCTGTCTTGTCCCTCTCCGGTCATAGAGGACACCAAGTTCCTTTGCGGCCAGGCCTCCTCCTAAGGGAGACCAGGCCTGTGGGGCTGCTCCGAGAGCTGCCTGCAAGCCACACTATGTGAATCCCAGTGCAGGGCTCCTCTGAAAGGCACCTGCGAAGCTGTCTTTGGCTGAAGAAGTTGGGGAAACTGGTCTCCCACACTTGGCAATGGCCATTCTTTCTCAACCTTCCCTCAGGCACGAAGAGTCCCAGGTCTTGATGCCTCATTCTTCCATCAAAGATTTAACATTTACCCTCCCTGGTATTTTCAATTGATCCAGAGGAAATGAATAGGTAGTACTTAGCAAAGGGTGCTTAGCAAAAAAATACTCTGCTGAGTGGAATTGCAGGCACTTCTACAGTTGTCTGGAGGCACAGAGGCTGCACTCTACCCTAAGGCAAACTGGATGGTGCCATCCTCATGCTGACTTGGGCTTTAGAGGAGAAAATGTACTTTCTTCAGTGGATAATAAAGACAATCATTGGTCAGGTGTGGTGGCTCATGCCTGCAATCCCAGTACTCTGGGAGGTTGAGGTGGGTGGATCACTTGAGGTCAGGAGTTCAAATTCAGCCTGGCCAACATAGTGAAACCCTGTCGCTACTAAAAATACAAAAATTAGCTAGGCGTGGTAGAGCACACTTGGAATCCTGGTTGGGAGGCTGAGGCAGGAGGATCACTTGAACCCAGGAGGCAGAGGTTGCAGTGAGCTGAGATCATGCCACTGCACTCCAGCCTGGGTGACAGAACGAGACTACATTTCCAAAAAAAAAAAAAAAAGACAAGCATTGCTTTTTCCTTGGCAAGAATTCTTTCTCTTTTTTTTTTTTTTTTTTGAAACAGAGTTTCGCTCTTTCACTCTGTTGCCCAGGCTGGAGTGCAGTGGCGCAACCTCGGCTTATTGCAACCTCTGCCTCCTGGGTTCAAGTGATTCTCCTGCCTCAGCCTCCCAAGTAGCTGGGACTACAGGTGCCCACCACCACGCCCAGCCCATTTTTTGTATTTTTAGTAGAGACGGGGTTTCACCATGTTAGCCAGGCTGGTCTCGAACTCCTGACCTCAAGTGATCCACCTGCCTCGGCCTCCCACAGTGCAGGGATTACAGGTGTGAGCCACCGCGCCCAGCATCCTGGCAAGAATTCTAAGCAACAGAGTAAACAGGATGGGCACAATTAGTTTACTTTCCAAGCTAGAATGTCAGGGGGCACTGGAACCATTCTGGGGAAGGTAATACTTTGAGGTGGAATGTCTTTTTTTTTTCTGAGACAGAGTCTCGTTCTCTTGCCCAGGCTGGAGTGCAATGGCATGATCTCAGCTTATTGCAACCTCCACCTCCCGGGTTCAAGCAATTCTTCTGCCTCAGCCTCCCAAGTAGCTGGGATTACAGGCACCTGCCACCACGCCCGGAAGATTTTTTTTTTTTTTTTTTTTGTATCTTTAGCAGAGACAGCGTTTTGCCATTTTGGCCAGGTTAGTCTCGATCTCCTGACCTCAGGTGATCTACCCACCTTGGCCTCCCAAAGTGCTGGGATTATAGACATGAGCCACCGCGCCTGGCAGGGATGTCTTTTCTTTTTTTGAGACAGAGTCTTGCTCTGTCGCCCAGGCTGGAATGCAGTGGCGCAATCTCAGCTCACAGCAACCTCTGCCTCCCAGGTTCAAGCGATTCTTCTGCCTCAGCCTCCCTAGTAGTTGGGATTACAGGCATGCACCATCATGCCTGGCTAATTTTGTATTTTTAGTAGAGACAGGGTTTTTCCATGTTGGCCAGGCTGATCTTGAACTCCCGACCTCAGGTGATCCGCCCACCACGGCCTCCCAAAGTGCTGGGATTACAGGCGTGAGCCACCGTGCCCGGCCGAGGGATGTCTTTTAAATCAAGCTACAGACTTGGGCCACTAGGCTGTTCATGGTTCCTGATTCTTTCTCACTGACCCTTTACCTCTGCATGGGATGGTCCCCAGAGGGATGAGGTCAGGCTGAGGCTGTAGCCTTGATATACCTGACACTTTCCTTGCTCTTCTCCTGTTCCCCATTCTGGACCTTTGGGGGCCCTTGAGGGTCTGGCTTTTTAAGGCAGAATCCAAACTGCCCAAGAACCACTGATTGTTTCTGTATCTCTCAGAAAGGGGCAACCAAATACCCTTTTAACCAACACTCCAAGAGTGCCAAGACCAGACCTTGGTACATGCAGGAACCCAGAACATGGCATGTTCTTGTTCTGTGCCTTTTTCTTATGGTGGAAAAGGATTGTGTATTCTGACCCCTCATCTGGGAAAAGGAAGAACGAGTGAATTACTACTCGGATATCCTTGGCAGCCAGCTTGCAAGTGTTAATAATTCATAGCTCTCCAAGGATCCTCAGGCCTCCCCTGTCCTGACACTTGGTTACTGAAAAGAACTAGAAAGTTCCAGTCAGCAGTCATGTGGGGCCACAGTGTGTGCTGCAGCCAAGTGGCATTGCCCCGTCTCCAGCCTGTCACCCACACTGCTATAGAACATTTATCTCAGTCTTGCATCTGGACTCTGGCCTAATAAATTCCTCCAAAGGTATGCAGAGTACACAGTCGCCTCTTAAGGTGGGATGAGGCCAGAGTAACAGAGAGAGTGGAAAGGGAGACTGTCATAAATATTGACTCTAGACAGGGAGAGAAAACCACTGGAGCTTAAAATTCCAGGCTCAGAGTAAGTTAATGAGCTACTAAAAAGACAAGGTAGTAGGACATGCATACTAGGACAATCAGACCTGAAGTTGGAGGAAAAATGTGAGGATACCCACTGAGCCAGGCAGACTGGTATAGTAGAAAGGGCATTGGCCACAAAAGCAAAAGCACAGAGTTTTTAGCCATGTTTCTGCCTGAGGGGGCTTTGGCTAAGTCACTTCACCTCTCTGAGTCTTTGTTTTATAATAAAGAAAAATTGAGATGATACAATTCAATAACAACAAAAACAACTTGATTTTAAAAATGGGCAAGCAAATTGAATAGACATTTATCTAAAGAAGATACAAATGGCCAGTAAGCACGTGAAAAGATGCCCAACATCATGAATCATTAAGGAAATGCAAATCAAAACCACAATGAGATGTCACCTCAAACCCATTAAAATGGCCATCAATTAAAAAACAAACAAACAAAAAACAGAAAAGAACAAGTGTTCATGGGAATGTGGTGAAATTGGAACCTTTCTATGTTGCTGGTGAGAAAGCAAAATGGTGCAGCCACCGTGGAAAACAGTATGGTGTATGGTGGTTCCTTAAAAAATTAAATGTATGATCCAGCAATTCCTTTTCTGGGCAAATACCCAAAAGATTTGAAAACAGGGACTTGAACAAATATTTGTACATCCATTTTCATGGCAGCATTATTGACTGCAGCCTAAAGGTGGTAGCAATCCATTCCTTGATGGACGAATAAATAAAATGTGATGTATGTACACAGTGGAATATTATTCACCCTTCAAAAGGAAGGAAATTCTGACATGTGCTACAACATGAATGAACTTTGAAGACATTTGCTAAGTGAAATAAGCCAGTCACAAAAGGACAAATAGCATATGATTCCACACATAGAAGGTGCTTAGAGTAGTCAAATTTGTAGAAACAAAGTAGAAAGGTAGTTGCCAGGGGCTGGGGAGGAAGGAATAGAAAATCGTGTTTAACGGCTACACAGTTTCACTTTGGGAAGATGAAAAAGTTCTGGAGATGGATGGTGGTGATGGTTGCCCAATAGTGTGAAAGTACTTAATGCCACTGAATTGTATAATCAAAATGATTAAAATGATAATTTTTTTGTTATGAATATTTTACCACAATTTAATTTTTTTTTTTTTTGAGACAGGGTCTCGCTCTGTAGCCCAGGCTGGCGTGCAGTGGCATGATCGTGACTCACTGCAGCCTTGACCTCACAGGCTCAATCAATCCTCCTGCCTCAGTCTCCTGAGTAGCTGGGACTACAGGTGCACACCACCACACCCAGCTAATTTTTGTATTTTCTGTAGAGATGGGGTTTCACCATGTTGCCCAGGCTGGTCTCAAACTCCTGGACTCAAGCATTCCTCCCGCCTCAACCTCCCAAAGTGCTGAGATTATAGGCATGAGCTACCGTGCCCAGCCAATTTTTAAAAATTGGAGAGATCAAAGCTTCCTGACCAGATTGCTCAGGTGTGCCACATGTAGGTTATTGGCATGCCAAGATATTGATCCCTTTCATTTTTGAATAGATCATGCAGAGCTGAGCACAGCTGAAATCCTCAGGCAGGTCACTGGAAGAGCTTCTTCTTACTCCAGTATGCTATACACATATTGTAATGTTTAAAATTTCAATATAATTTAATTATTATTTATACAGAATAAGTGCATGAAACAAAAATGCATAGCTCGGTAATTAATCTTAAACACCTGTGTAACCTTCACTTAGCTCAAGAACTAGAATATTGCCAGCATACCAGAAGTTAGGGTCGTGTGTTACCACCTAAGCAGGAATCCCCCAAAGTTCTGCCCTATATTTGGACATCATGTAAATGGAATCCTAGTATGAAAATGAATGAACTACAGCTACTCACAGCAACGTGAGTGAACCTCACAAACATCATATTGAATGAAATAAACCAGAGACAAAAGGAATACACCAGGCCTGTAATCCCAGTACTTTGGGAGGCCAAGGCGGGAGGATCACTTGAGGTCAGGAGTTCGAGACCAGCCTGGCCAACATGGTGAAACCCTGTCTCTACTGAAAATACAAAAAATTAGCCAGGCATGGTGGCGGGCACTTGTAATCCCAGCCACTCGGGAGGCTGAGGCAGGAGAATCACTTGAACTCAGGAAGCGGATGTTGCAGTGAGCTGAGATTGCACCACTGCATTTCAGCCTGGGCTGTAACAGAGTGAGACTCCATCTCAAACAACAACAACAACAACAGCAATTTTTAAAAATTTCTAAAAACCATACAATAACAACTATTTATACATGATGAAGGTGAGACCCAGAGAGTTAAAAATGAATTACTCTGGATCAAACACCTGGGAAATGGGAAATGGTGGCGTCAGAATTGAACTCAGGTGTTCTTTCTTTCTTTTTTGTTTTGTTGTTTTTTTTTTGGAGACAGGGTCTCGCTCTGTCATTGAGGCTGGAGTGCAGTGGCATGATCACGGCTCACTGCAACCTCTGCCTCTCAATCAAGTGATCCTCCCACCTCAGCCTCCAGAGTAGCTGGGACTACAGGCATGCACCACCATGCCTGGCTTTTTGTACCTTTTGTAGAGACAAGGTTTTGCCATGTGGCCCAGGCTGGTTTCGAACTCTTGAGCTCAGGCAATCTGCCCGCTTTGGCCTCACAAATTGCTGGGATTGCGATGAACTCAGGTGTTCTGATCCTAAATCCAGATTTTCCCATTCTACCTTCTGCTTTGAAAGATATAGAGGAGGCCAGGAGGGCTTAGCCCCGAGGTGGAGGAAGATAAGCTGGTATGAGGAAGCTGCTCAATGTCATTTTAAACCGTTTATCCATGGGCTCAGGTCATGTCTTTGTTGGGGGCCAAGCCAAGGCCCAGCAAAGACAAATGGCTCTTCCAGTGTGGGTGGAAGAGGGGTGAGGTCACCCAGTCCTCGGCCTGTGGTTTGCTTTGCCTCAGTGCCGGGAGCAATCTCTTGCCCTGATTTGCATTGTGGGCTGAGGATTCAGGTCAGTGAGAAGGCCAGTGATAGAATTGTCTGTGTGGGTGCTGCTGATAGGGATCAGCTGCTGATCATGGCTAGGGCTAGCGGCTGAGCACACGGGCACCAGCCTACTGCTCGGGCAGCAAGGCAGCAGGATGGAGGGGTTTGTAAAAATGCCTTCCACCTACCCTGCTGGGCTTGCCCGAGAGGCTCTGAGTGTGTGAAGGGGAAGACAATTATCGCTAGGCTGGAGAATAGAAAGAGCACCATCAGGTGAGAAAGAGAAGAAAAAAAGAGAGGGGAGAGAGTGGATAAGAAGAAGGAAGCCTGGGACACAAGAACAAGGGCTTTGCTTGCTCTAGGGCTTTGCTTGCTAAACTCCTAGGGAGCACACAAGTGAGAATCCAGGGCAGAGGGAAGCAGGATGGGTGCCCTGAGTGCTTGGCCCCATTTCCTGGGGCTTACTGGCCTCGTGGGTGGGAGTTTTATAGGCTACTGCTCCTTGGGGAGGCCTCAGTGATTGAGGATACTCCTGTATGAGCCTCGGCCCTGACCCCAGGATGGGGGACTGGAGGATCCTAACAGGATTGGGGGTTGGTTGGGTGTAACCAAGGTATCTGCCAAAGGGAGAGTACCAAGGAAAGCGGAGGCACCTCCTCCCTGGCTGTCCTTCACCCCCTCTCCCCTCCTTGTTCTCTGGGAGTGGCTGGCGAGCAGCGGCCTCCCCGCAGGGCCAGGCAGGTGGGCCAGAGCTTTTGGTTTGCTGAGGTTTGTCAGATTTTCCAGCTCAGGGCCCAGCCAGCTGGCAGGAAGCAGGACAGAGGTCACTTGAATTCAGACCACATGTCCCTGTTAAATACATTAGCTTTTAAATCAATCTTTGTTCAAAGTCCAGTGAGTTGCAAGCTTAATGCTCACCTGCAGAGACAGAATTCCTGAGTGAACGAACAGAGCAGCTCCTCTTCCATCTCCAGGTAAGAACTGCTCGTGTCCTCCTTGAGGGTGCTGGCCACCGGGGCCTGAACTACCTTCTTTCTTTTCCTTTTCCCTTTTTCTTTTTCCAAGCCAGTAGCTGGCTGTCTAGGGCAGAGAAGAGTCCCATGGGGAGGCAGCCAGGCCCCTTTGGCGGTGGTTGGGGGTGAGAGATGATCCACGCTCTGAGATTCTTTCTGCTGGAGATGCCCCTCACCTTTGTAGGCTAGGGTCTGCTTCACAAAGAAATTGGTAAACCGACCTCAGAAAAAGCCTTCCCGGGGTTGTGTGGGGGTTTGATGTGCAGCCAAAGGGAGTGAGACAACTGACTTCACAGGTAACCAGGCGGATATGCCCGGGACCTTCCTACTGATACAGGGGCCTTGGGTAGCAGAGAAGACTCTTCTGGAAGCAGCCTTTAAAGGATGCAGCCTAACTTAGCTTGCCCACTAGATAATAAAAGCAGGCATCTTTCCTCTCTGTATCACACTGCAGCACTAAGACATGAGAAAAACCAGTGGATTTCCAGGCTGGCTGAATTTTAAAACATACATTCCCCAGGCTCTCACCTTTGGCATTTCTAAGTCTCCAGGCCTTGTGTGAATTGAAAGATCTTTATTTGAAAACTCTCCCAGAATCATTCTGATCAGTGCAGGTAGGTTTGGGAACCACTAGTAGTTTATTTCTTAAGCAGAAGACTCATGAGACTTAAGTATGACACTTACCTAAGGGTTCACTCGCTATGAAGACTCCTGGTCTGGGTTGGGTCCAGCTATGAAGATTTGGGCGTTGGCTCTGAGAAACACATTCTTCTTTATTTACTAAAATCTCTGCAATGTGTCACCAGGGCAGCTTTCAGTCTTGTATCTAGAAGGCAAGAGGGGGTAGCAGGGACTGCCTCAGGCCATGATTGTCCAGTCATCTGAAGTCTGCAGCAAATTACTCAGGGTCTTTGAATTTCTGTGTTATGATAGTAACTTGTGCTTATCTTTGACTTTTGTATGTTCTCTGCACCATAGGGTGTGAAGTTGCTGGTAATGATGTCTTATATTCATAGACCACTGGCTAGGCAGCTACTTCTCCCCCAGGGGAAAGAACATAGGACTGGAATACAAATCATCAGAGTTTTGATTCAGTTGCTAGTGACAGGCCATTAGACAAACTACTTAGCCAACTGGAGCCTCAATTTCATTATTGATCAAGTGAAGGTCTGTCATCTTTTCCCCAAGAGTGTACTGAAAATAAAATTATAAGTACAAATGTGTGGTCCTGCATGGTGGCTCATGCCTGTAATCCCAGCACTTTGGGATGCCCAAGCGGGAGGATCACTTGAGGCCAGGAGTTCGAGACCAGCCTGGGCAATGAAGTGAGACCCCCGTCTCTACAAAAAATAATAATAAATTAATCCTGCATGGTGGCATGTGTCTGTGGTGTCAGCTACTTGGGAGGCTGAAATGGAAGGGTTGCTTGAGCCCAGGGGGTCGAGGCTACAGTGAGCCGTGATTGCATCACTGCACTCCAGCCTGGGTGACAGACTGAGATCCTGTCTAAAAAACAAAAAACCATGAATATGTTAAAAACACGATGTAAGATGCCTAGATTTCAAATGTGTATATCGAAAGTCTCTGTAGAATAGTAAGAAGAAACAAATTGCAGTCACTTGGGAAACCTTGTCCTAGTCTTTTAATCTCATTGAGCCTCTGTTTGCTCACTTACAAATAAGAAGTTGAGACCAGATCATCATTAATGTCTTTTTCAGTTGGCCAAGTATAAGGTAGATCCTGGAGCCTTGAAGGGTAGCTCCTTGTCATTGGGGTATGAATTAAAATGTCACCTCCCAGGAAGGACTTTCTAAATCAGCCTCCCACCTCCATGCCACCAGTATCTCTATCATTCACAGCGTGTACCATCAGAAATCATCTCATTTGGGCTGGGTGCAGTGGCTCACATCTGTAATCCCAGCACTTTGGGAGGCTGAGGCAGGTGGATCACCTGAGGTCAGGAGTTCAAGACCAGCTTGGCCAACATGGTGAAACCCCATCTCTACTAAAAATACAAAAATTAGCCGGGCGTGGTACTGCCTGTCTGTAGTATTAGCTACTTGGGAGGCTGAGGCAGGAGAATTGCTTGAACCTGGGAGGTGGAGGTTGCAGTGAGCCAAGATTGTGCCATTGCACCCTAGCCTGGGTGACAAAGTGAGACTCCATCTCGAGAAAAAAAAAATCATCTCTTTTACTTGTCACCTTTGCCAGATGTTAAGCTTCAAGACTGCAGGGATCTTGTCATTTGTGTTACTTGCTGTATTACCAGCCCCTTGAGCACTACCTGGCATAGAACATATTTGCATAAATGGAATTAGTGTGGCAGGGAAGGAGCTAGAAGAATAGATGCAGATGGCGATGGCTTTGATGAGGTGTTCCTCAGGAAAGGAGGTTGAAGGACTCCAATCCTCTCTCAGGGCATCTGAAGTCCAGGGTCTAATCATATGGGAATGGGTTTCTCTGGTCACTTCTTAGTGAAATGATTCTTGCATTCGTTGCATAGGGATGCAATGAGAGTGGCAAGCTGGAGCTAGACGTGTTTTCCTCAAGATCTCAGCAACTTCTTTCTTTGGTCCTTCATGAGGGACTGCCCAGATTTCCTTAATCTCTTTGCCTGATGGGTATCATGGCTAAGTGATTAAGAAAATGAGCACTGGGATTGGAAACCTGCACTCTAGATCAGGCTCTCTAAGCTTCTATTTCCTTGTCAGTCAAATGGGCATATTAGAACCTAGTTCCGGAAGTTATGAGGGTTAAATGAATGCACATAGTGTCTAGCACATCTTAAGTGCTATTGAGATAATCTTCAGACAGCTTTGCTATTACATGACCCCCGGAAATGAAGGAACCCAGGGAATGGCAGGAGTTTTGGAAAGTAGAAAAGATAGCCCTAGCCCACTTAGTGGCAACTAGAGAAGGTTTGCTTTTGGTCTGAGGTGGTCACTGGTTTCTGAGGTGCCAAGCCTGGTTGGAGGCACAGATAGTCAGCATTCATAAAGCTGCGTAGAACCATGGGGTCCCAATGGGGACATGAAACTAAATGATCCAGAAAAGCCCGTGGACTTTCCACCAGTTGTATTGAATACATACCTGATGGTGTGAGAATACAGAAAGGGGCTGTGGTGCCTGCTCTTAAGAAAGCTTATCTTGGCTGGGCATGATGGCTCACGCCTGTAATCCCAGCACTTTGGGAGGCTGAGGAGGGTGGATCACTTGAGGTCAGGAGTTTGAGACCAGCCTGGCCAACATAGTGAAACCCCATCTCTACTAAAAATACAAAAAGTAGCCGGGTGTGGTGGCGGGTGCCTTCAATCCCAGCTTCTCAGGAGGCTGAGGCAGAAGAATTGCTTGAATCCAAGTGGCAGAGGTTGCAGTGAGCCGAGATCGCACCACTGCACTCTAGCCTGGACCACAAGAGCAAGATTCCATCCCTCCTGGCCAAAAAAAAAAAGCTTATCTTGTTGGGGACACACGACATGGATCCTGAAGCTCCTCTATAGTCTACTGGACTGAGTCCAGTGCTCACAGTCTAACCTACTTCTTTTTTTCAACATATAACTGTGCTCTGATCTTTCTGAACCATTCACCATTCTGGGAATGCATCTCCTGCTGTTCCTTCTGCCTGGGATGACTTCCTCTTCCTAGTCTGACTACTTGTATTTCCAGAATACATTCTACACCTCAGGCCTGGGAGGCAGGGTAGATGGTGGAAGGAATCCAGACTCAACTGGGTTTGAATCCAGACTCTGCTTATCCAAATAGTCAGGGGAAACCAAGTTAACTTTTCAGAGTCTCTTTTCTTTTTCCTTGTAAAATGGCCCATCAGGATTGAATCAGAACCCATAAAAAGTACCTAGGCTGGTTCCTAATCCTAGTAGGGAGCTCAATAAATATATATAACAATAAGAAAGCTTTTGTATTTAAATATTCCAGCACCCACAACGTTGTTCAGCAGTTAAACTTCATAACTCTCCCCACTGGACTCCAGGCTCTTTCAGGGCAGGACGGTAGCTATTCTGGGTTGAGCCCTGATACCTGCCTCGCAGTAGGTATTACATAGAACTTGTTAAGTACATGAGCGATAACTGAAATTCAGAAGATGAAATGATACCTTCAGACTGTGGTGGTCATGGAAGGATTCGTATATAATCTAAAATTTGAACTGAGCCTTGAAAATGGTAGGTCTTAAATTCGTTCACTTGGAACAAATGTTTACTTAGCACGTACTATGAGTAAGTGCTCATGGGGCATGAGCAAAGGGCAGGCTCGTGTGGGTGACCATGCATAGACCAATTGGGGCTTGCTGAGGAGCTGGGGGCCTGAGGTAGGGCTGGATTATGCTGAGCCTCAGTGCCTGAGCAAGAAGCTTGAACTTCTTTTTTTTTGAGACGGAGTCTTGCTCTGTTGCCCAGGCTGGGGTGCAGTGGCACGATCTTGGCTCACTGCAAGCTCCGCCTCTTGGGTTCACACCATTCCCCTACCTCAGCCTCCCGAGTAGCTTGGACTACAGGCGTCCGCCACCACACCCAGCTAATTTTTTGTATTTTTAGTAGAGATGGGGTTTCACTGTGTTAGCCAGGATGGTCTCGATCTCCTGACCTCGTGATCCGCCTGCCTTGGCCTCCCAAAGTGCTGGGATTACAGGCGTGAGCCACTGCACCCGGCCGAGCTTCTTTTTCTTGAATTATTATTATTATTATTTTTGAGATGGTAGTATAATAAAACCAGGGTTAGAAAGTTTGTCTCGAGGCAAGACTCTTGTAGTAGTTTAAACATACCAAAAAAAAAGTGGGGGGGTAGAAATGCAAGTTCAAAAAGTCACAAAATGTCGATTTGGGGAAAGCACTTGTCTCAGCTGGCACTCAAGGCGGTTGAGCTGTCTATCAGCAGCATGAGGGTGTCCTCTCTCTGTGGGTGCCTCTGTTTCCACACAATATTGGCTCTATCCCTCTCCCAACTCATAGAACTCTTAGATAAGCAATCAAACTGTGAAAGGCCTTGAACTCCAGCCCAGAGTCTTGCCATATAGGACAAAGTATTGTTTATGGTGGCTGGAGGTAGGGAAGGTACTTAGTATCAGCAGGCCAAATGAACTTTGGGATAAGTAGATTCCATTCTTGATCATAAATGAGAAATAAAAACTACTCAGTGGGTCTGGGATCACTCTTCTCCAGATAATTCTCAATGGAATGGATTTCATTGATTTCTCATATTTGAAATTTATCCCTGGCTAAGACCAAACAGTAACTATCACAATGGGAAAGTACACTAGGCAAATACATATTTTAGAATCTTGCTTCTCCTTCTATTTTTGATATTAATTATTTAAAGTAAATATACTTGAGTATTTGAATTTCCATATGCTTTGCTTTTCAGAGGAGAAATCCAGGCAGCCTTAAATATGATCTGCATAAAAATATAGGATCTGTTCTAGGTAAAATATATTTGAAGAAGGGTGAAATTGAGTTGTCTTTATCTCTTCCTTGCTAGAGACATCTGTCAGTAGCAGCTCAGATACAGCAGGATTTTTTTGCTTATGCTGTTGGAAGGAACAGCATGTGCCAAGGCTCTGTGGCAGGCTCTGAAGGAGGCCAGCCATGGCTGGTGTGAGGCATGAAGCCTTGGAGTCAGGGCTGATGCCTGTAGGGAATTCTCAGCCTGTCTATAGTTGCTGGCTTAATGTTGCACAGTCTCCACCAACTGTATTTTCCTAACAAAAGTCTAGTGGGTTTGTTTTCTTCTTTCTTGTTACACAGATGCACACAAGTGCTGCAAGAACAGCATTCCTCAAAGTGCACACTGTGGTCAAGCGTCCTGAGAATGTGGCTTTTTTCTTGCTAAAGTTCAGAGTGTTTTATAGGCAAGCATGGAGTTCAGTGGAAAGCAAGTAATGTCTAGGTTTAATGTTGCCGGAGAGACCCTGCCCTTTCTTTTCCTTATGCCTCAACAAAACAGAAGTAACTTACTCTATGGTTTCATACTAGATTATACAATCAGATACCCTTCCACAGTCAGAGTAACTAGGGTTAAACATTCCTCACCAGCAGTCCTGCTAAGTGTTTGTTTTTTTTTTGAGATGGAGTCTCGCTCTGTTGCCCAGGTTGGAGTGCAGTGGTACTATCTTGGCTCACTGCAACCTCCACCTCCTGGGTTCAAGCAATTCTCCTGTCTCAGCCTCCCGAGTAGCTGGGACTACAGGCGTGTGCCACCACACCCAGCTGATTTTTGTATTTTTAGTAGAGACGGGGTTTCACCATATTGGTCAGGCTGGTCTCAAACTGCTGACCTCAGGTGATCCTCCTGTCTCAGCCTCCCAAACTGCTGGGATTACAGGCATGAGCCCCCGCGCCCAGCCCCTGCTAAGTTTTTAGTGTTTAGTGTTTTCATGGATTGAGTGTTGGTTATGTAAGTGCCTTGTGGGGAGAGGCTCTGTTGTCTTCGTGGTGTGATACTGACGGCATAATTGATTCCTAGTTACTATTAGATAAGGTGATGGTGGGTTCAGGTGTAGATGACTATATTTATGGAATAATCCTGCCACTTCTAAGTCCCAGACCTTGGAAGATGAGCAGAGATGACAGTACCTGGGCTGTTTCTTTCCTGATGGTATTTCATTGCATCTGGCCATCGCTGGTGACAGCCCCCTTCTGTCTTTCTCCCTCCAAGCAGAATGCTGTTTATCCCATGCCCTCTCTCTGATCTTTTGGCATTTCAGTGATGCTGTCTGGTGAGTGAGCCTATTCACTAGCTACTCCTTGGCTATGAAGGTCCCTCTCTGGGCCAGGTATCTATAGCTAAGGTAATGCTTCACTCACTCCATCTTCTCCACTGCTGTCTGTTCCTTGGGTCCCTATGTTCACTTCTGTTAGAGCTTATCCACTCCAGGCGGTGGAACTCTCTGGCCAGCTTAGTCTTGAAATTCTGTTAAAGCTCCCTGGACTCTTTTACCTCCTTGATACACAGCATTTGGTTCTATTTTGTAATTCCCTGGCTTTTAGACTTACAGGATACTTTTGAGTCCAGAGTTTATTATTTGAGCTTTCTTTCATGGGGAACAAAATCTCCAGCCCTGACTTTTCAGCAGCTAAAATTAGCTTCGCAGAAGTGATCTGGACTGAGTAGATAGAGAATCCCTTGCCTGATCATTGAGGTGCCTGCCCATTCTTAGTCTGTAATTTCTTCCTGTCTTCTGCAAAAAGAAAATCAGGAAAAATTTCAAATATTCTCACAGAAAATGGGATTCCCATTGCATCAGGCGTTTCATCAGAGGACAGGAAAGAGTAACTTGGATGGAGTGGACTTCTATGCTCCAGAAACTGTGCTGAGAGGCCTTGCATGCTCTACTGTGAGCCATCTTCACGGCATCCACATGTGCTTCCTATTCTAGGGGTATTCTATCTTCAGCTCAAAATTAAGGAACTCACCCATGTTCTTACAGTTAACAAGCGGTGAAGCCAGGATTAAAAACTAGGTTTGGCTCTAAAACCCTTGCTCTTTCTACTCTACCTTACTCAGAATCGATCCTGGGGGAAGATGGAAACAAAAATACAGATTCCCTTTTGTATACACATCTGGCTCCTTTAGAATTGCATCATGGGGAACTATTCTGCTCTAAAGATCTTTTCAGATAACTTTTCCTGTGTCAACCCACTAACTTTTGAAACTGCTTCCACAGTCCCTTCTTCTTTCTTCCCAACTCATGCTGCTAAGCTAGTCCCTGAAACATTTCATCTTCCCAATCCCAAACTCCTAGCTCCTCTTATCTGCCAATTCATGTTGGCCCCACAGTCTGACATTCCAGCTCTGTGCCCCTTGTAAATCTAGAAATCCTCACATCCTACTCTTATGGGCTTGTTAGTTTGAGATGGAGTCTTGCTGTGTCACTGAGGCTGGAGTGAGTGGTACAATCTTGGCTCACTGCAACCTCCACCTCCCGGGTTCAAGCGATTCCTGTGCCTCAGCCTCCTGAGTAGCTGGGATTACAGGCACGCACAACCACGCCCAGCTAATTTTTAAATTTATTTTATTTTTTTTTAAATTTGAGATGGAGTTTCACTCGTTGCCCAGGCTGGAGTGTAATGGCGTGATCTCAGCTCACTGCAACCTTTGCCTCCTGGGTTCAAGTGATTCTCCTGCCTCAGACTCCTGAGTAGCTGGGATTACAGATGCCCACCACCAAGCCTGGCTAATTTTTGTATTTTTAGTAGAGACAGGGTTTCGCCAAGTTGGCCACGCTGGTCTCAAACTCCTGACCTCAGGTGATCCGCCTGCCTCGGCCTCCAAAAGTGCTGGGATTACAGGCATGAACCACTGTACCTGGCCTTTATTTTTTATTTTTTGAGGCAGACTCTCGTTCTGTCGCCCAGGCTGGAGTGCAGTGGTGCAATCTTGGCTTACTGCAGCCTCCGCCTCCCGCCTCCCGGGTTCAAGCAATTCTCCTGTCTCAGCCTCCGGAGTATATGGGGTTATAGGTGCCTGCCACCACACCTGGCTAATGTTTTTTGTGTTTTTAGGAGAGATGAGGTTTCACCATGTTGGCCAAGCTGGTCTCGAACTCCTGACCTCAAGTAATTCACCCGTCTCGGCCTCCCAAAGTGCTGGGATTATAGGTGTGAGCCACTGCGCCTGGCCTACCCTTATGTTTTAAAAATATGTTAGCCCCAACTTAGGGTAAAAGTTACCACTTTCCTTTTCTATTCTTGATGTATATTACTGTAAGAAAAATCCATGGGAACCCATGCTGCTGCAAGTTTATTATATATATATATTTTAACCTAAGTTGTTTCTTAGACATTTTAATTCAATTCATTGACTCTTTGTAGTGAGCTAATGCTGTGGCCATTAGTTCACTGTCTTAGTTCACCGCCAGCTCGGGGGCTCCATTCTCTTTTGGTTTACATAGAATTTCTTTTAAGTTTGAAATAGCTGTCAGTTTTTTTAAATGGGGACATTTTATGTAAATCTAGATTTCCAGAGTCTCTTGAAAATTGAAAGGTGGCATGCTGGCCTCCTCTTCCTCAGGCAGTTGTCTTCTCATGAAAAGCAGCAGCTTTTCCTCCGTCCCCTCTCGGCCACCTTCGCTGATTTACCTGTTTGACCCTAGAGATTATTTTTCTGTGGTACTTTTGCTCCATATTCTCCAAGTTCCTGATTTTTGTCAGCTACTTCGTAGGAGAGATTGAGGCTGAGGTAAGTGACCTTGTTTTCTTCTTTATCATATTTTTTTCTACTTCTCTTCTGCCCCTGGAGAAGAGGTATTTCCTCTCACCAAGGCTAACCCCAGTTTCCATGTTCTCCATATCATCTCTTGATACAGAAACATGCTGATCGTTTCCTTAATGTTAAAAATAAAAACATCCAGGCTGGGTGCAGTGGCTCATGCCTGTAATCCCAGCACTTTGGGAGGCTGAGGCGGGCGGACCACAAGGTCAGGAGTTTGAGACCAGCCTGACCAACATGGTGAAATCCTGTCTCTACTAAAAAAAAAAAAAAAAAAAAAAAAAAAAAAAAAAAATTAGCTGGGCATGGTGGCGGGTGCCTGAAATCCCAACTACTCAGGAGGCTGAGCAGGAGACTTGCTTGAATCTGGGAGGCAGAGGTTGCAGTGAGCTGAGATCGCACCACTGCACTCCAGCCTGGGTGACAGAGCGAGACTGTCTCAAAAAATAAAATATCAATATTCGTTGCTTCTGTTACTTGGTATCCACTTGCTTCTTAGTGTTTTATCAGGCCCAGACTTCCATTTTCTGAATGTCAGTGGCATTTTCTGTTTTCATTCTCTCTACCTCTTAGCATTATTTGGCATTGTTAACTATCCCATCTTAAAATTCTTCTTTTAGTTTTGATGACACTAAAATTTTGGCATTTTGTTTTCTGATTATTCCTTTTTGCTTCCTCTTTCTTTTCTCTCTTTCTCTTTCTCTCTTTCCCTTCCTTCCTTCCTTCCCTCCTTTCTGTCTCACTCACTCTGTTGCCCAGACTAGAGTGCAGTGGTGTGATCTCGGCTCACCGCAACCACTGCCTCCCGGGTTCAAGCGATTCTCCTGCCTCAGCCTCCCAAGTACCTGGGCTTACAGGCACGTGCCTCCATGCCCGGCTAATTCTTGTATTTTTAGAAGAGATGGGGCTTCACCAGTTGGCCAGGCTGGTCTTGAACTCCTAACCTCAAATGATCTACCCGCCTCGGCCTCCCAAAGTACTGGAATTACAGGTGTGAGCCACCGCATCCAGCCTCCTTTTTGTTTCATTTTCCTATCACTTAGATACAGGTATTGCAAAGGCTTTATCCTTGGCTCCCCTCTTTTTGTAATCTCATTGATGGGCTTCATGTAGTGCTGCTGTGCAGATGGTCCCAAACCTCGACTCTAGTCCAGCATCTCCTAAGCTCTAGGTGATGTTCCGTCAAGTCCTCTAATTGAAACCTACCTCAAACTGACATTGCCATCTCATTCCTCATGACTACACCATCTTTTAATGGCATCACATTTCTGCCAGTCATCAAAGCATGAATTAGTTTCCTTTGACACATTCCCTTTCAAACACACAGCCTGGGTGGGCAGCATTCCTCAGAAGGTGCTAGAGCTGCTGTAATAGAAGACCACGGAAGGTGTGGCTTAAATAACATTTATTTTCTCATGATTCTAGAGGCTGGAAGTCCAAGGTGTCAACAGGTTTGGGTCCTCGGAGGCCCCTCTCCTGTCTTCTCCCTGTGTCCTCACATGGCTTTATTCTCTGTGCAAGTGCCTCTCTGATGTCTCTTCCTCTTTTCTTAAGGGCATCAGTCCTGTTGAATTAGGGTCCCACCCTTATGACCTCATTTAACCTTTGTTACTTCTTTAAAGTTCCTGTCTCCAAGTATAGTCACATTGGGGATTAGGGCTTCAATGTATGAATTGGAAGTTGGGGGCAAAAATCAGTCTATAATAGAAGGGGAGTTCGGGGCTTGAAGTAGGAAAGCTATCCAGGCTGGTTAGTAGAAAATACTGAGCCAGGGTTATCAGTTCAGGGAAAGTATACAGCTGGCCCTTGCGGAGAAGCAGGCAGATAAGTGAGTGGCTACAGAGCTACAGTGTCCTTGCAACCCCTGGACTAAGAGGAGCCCAAAGCACAGTTGTGTTCGAATTGAGCTGTGGCCTCAGAAGACTTAACTGTGCATTTGCCACTCTGCGACAGGGGATCTTTCCTCATGACAGTGAAACCAGAACAAAATAACTACATGCCAGGGGAGTAAGCCATCATTAGGAAGAGTGGCAGGAGCCTGTGGGCCCTGACACTGGGTGCTGCACACCTGTTGTTCCTCCTGGACACTTGTCATGGTGAGTGTAAAGAAGTGTTTTGGACATCTGTGTTGTCACAGCTGTTCTGTCTGAGATAATCTCTGCATGGAGAAATCTGAGGGAACAAGGCTGAAGACTTACTACAATGTCACTTAGTCCTCTCTGTAGTTCCTCCACCTCTGTCACCTTCATTCTATTCTGATGGCTGCTATGTGGGTCAGGCAGGCCCTTTATCACGTGTGAGTAGGATTTTGACAACAGCCTCTTACCTGGCCTCTCTGCAGTGTGTCTTTGCTTGAATCCAGCCTACCTGCCCTTCTTGGAACCCAACTCTGATCCTGTTATTCCTCTGCTTAAAAGCCTTGAGTGGTGCCCCTTTCCACCAAGCTAAGGCCAGATCCCTTGGGCTGATATTAAAGGCCTTTATAGTCTAATTTGTCACCCATGATTTCCCTTCTGTTGGCTGTCCTTCAACCACATTGGGTTTTAGCTCTTCCTTGACGACACCCAAGCTTTCCCTCTTTCTTTCTCTCTCTCTTGCTCTCCTCTTTCTCTCTCTCTCTCTCTCCTCTTTCTCTCTTTCGACAGTGTCTCACTCTGTCACCCGGGCTGGAGTTCAGTGCACTGTCTCGGCTCACTGCAACCTCCGCTTCCTGGGTTGAAGTGATTCTCCTGCCTCAGCCTCCTCAATAGCTGGGACTACAGGTGCCCACCACCACGCCTGGCTAATTTTTGTATTTTTTGGTAGAGGCAGGGTTTCGCCATGTTGGCCAGGCTGGTCTTGAGCTCCTGACCTCAAGTGATCTGCCCACCTCTGCCTCTGCCTCCCAAAGTGTTGGGATTACAGGTGTGAGCCACCGCACCTGGCAAACTTTCCCACTTTCATAACATGGTGTCCACACTGATTGGTGTCTAAAATGGTCTCGTCCTTCTTCTGCACTTGTTGAAATGTCATCCATATGTTGTTAAGGCTCAAATCAAGTCCTGCCTAATTTTTGAAGGTTTCCTTAATTTGTTTCATATTGTAGGTCTTACCTCACTTATACTCTGCTCACAATGATATTTTTCTTTCTTTCTTTCCTTTTTTTTTTTTTTTTTTTTTTTTTGAGACAGAGTCTTGCTCTGTCCCCAGGCTGGAGTGTACTGGCGCGATCTCAGCACACTGTAACCTCCACCTCCCGGGTTCAAGCGATTCTCCTGCCTCAACCTCCTGAGTAGCTGGGACTACAGGCATGCACCACCACACCTGGCTAATTTTTGTATTTTTAGTAGAGACAGGGTTTCACCATGTTGGCCAGGATGGTCTAGATCTCTTGACCTCATGATCCGCCCTCCTCGGCCTCCCAAAGTGCTGGGATTACAGGTGTGAGCCACTGCACCCGGCAAGTTATTTTTGTTCTAAAACTTTTTCTTAACTTTATTCAACTATAAAGGCTCTTGAGAATAGGGGTGGTGTATAACTTTATCCTTTCAACCACTTGACAGTGTTTTGCATATAAGTGAGGGGCAGATGCCTGTGGCATGAACAAATGAAATCAGGTTTGGGTAGTATGTCTTCTTGATGCTGAAATGGAAAATAGAAGGAACTATGTTCATGATCCCAAACAGATTTCACCTGCCCCAGCATGCTAACTGAAGAAACTAATTGTTTGGGAAAGGGAAGAGATTGGTAGGGAGCAAAGAACTGTGGAGTAAATCTGGCAACCATCACTCATCCTCCAGGGTTCACGGGATGACTGGTAGGGCCTCAGTCCTGAATGGATTCTGCCCATAGGTTTGGAGGAGGATGAGGAATGGCCTCAGCTTTTAAGGTGTTTAGGTTTGGGAGGTGGGGAGCAATCCCCTAGACTTAATTAAGAGCATAAAGAGTCCATGAGAACAGTGAAAGGTTGTTTTATCTGCTTGGTTCTATGCTCCCCCGACTCAGAACTAGAACTTGGGGAGGGAGGCACAAGGAACAGATTGCAGGTTGTGACACACTCCTATCCTGCTGGCTGGGGCACTGATTGTGGGTACACAGGATCCCGAGGACTGCACGGTGTGACCAAGGGCTTCTCCTAATCAGGCTGCCACCTTGGCCTGTCAAGTTGGATAAAGGTGAGCCCAGGGTGGCTGTGATTAGTTCATTCAATCTCAACATTCCTCTGTGACCCATGAGGGAGGGAGTTATCCTGAGGCTGAGGGGAGACAGGAGGAGTCGAGGCAGCCTAGGGTGATTTTTTTTTTTTTTGGTGGAGTCTCGCTCTGTCACCCAGGCTGGAGTTCAGTGGCCTGATCTCAGCTCACTGCAAGCTCCGCCTTCCGGGTTCACGCCATTCTCCTGCCTCAGCCTCCCGAGTAGCTGGGACCACAGGCGCCCGCCACCACGCCCGGCTAATTTTTTGTATTTTTAGTAGAGACGGGGTTTCACGGTGTTAGCCAGGATGGTATCGATCTCCTGACCTTGTGATCTGCCTGCCTCGGCCTCGGCCTCCCAAAGTGCTGAGATTACAGGCGTGAGCCACCGCGCCCGGCACCTAGGGTGATTTTTAAGCTCTAGTTCCTTTGATCTGGTTTAGGTCTTTAGGTCTGCTTTAGACCTGAGGTGGGGCCTAAGCATCGATTTTTCTAAATCTCTACAGGTGATTCTGAGGGGCAGCTAGGATTGAGAATCAAACTTGTAAGGTGATTGCGAGCATTAAATGAGATAATGTGCCATAGAGAGTTTTCAAATGACATGATTTATTATTGCTAGCATCACCTGACACGGTCTACAGAGTTACACAATTTCAACTAAATTCTTCTGCTCACTCAGATGAGACAGCTGGAGCCTTTGGGCATGGGTGGACAACTAGGACTGAGGAGATGAAGGAAGATCTTGTCATTCTGCTGACTTCACTCCTCAAGGAGTTGCCATTTATTTTCCTTCTTCAGAAGAAGAATTTACTTACCCCTGGCCCATGTTTTGTCTGGTCTCTAGCAGCTTCAGAATTCCTTTTCTTTTCTTTTTCTTGAGACAGAGTCTTGCTCTGTCGCCAGGCTGGAGTGCAGTGACGCAATCTTGGCTTACTGCAAGCTCCACCTCCCGGGTTCAAGCGATTCTCCTGCCTCACGCCGCCACCACACCCAGCTAATTTTTTTTTTTTTGAATTTTAGGAGACAAGGTTTCACCATGTTGGCCAGGATGGTTTTGATCTCCTGACCTCGTTATCCGCTTGCCTTGGCCTCCCAAAGTGCTGGAATTACAGGCGTGAGCCACTGCGCCCAGTCCAGAATTCTTTTTCTTTCTTTCTTCTTCTTCTTTTTTTTTTTTTTGAGACGGAATCTCACTGTTGTCGAGCTGGAGTGCACTGGCACGATTTTGGCTCACTGCAACCTCTGCCCCCCAGGTCCAAGCGATTCCCCTTCCCCAGCCTCCCGAGTAGTTGGGATTACAGGTGTGCACCACCATACTTGGCTAATTTTTGTATTTTTAGTAGAGACGGGGTTTCACCATGTTTGCCAGGCTGGTCTCTAACTCCTGACCTCAGGTGATCCACCCACCTTGGCATCCCAAAGTGCTGGGATTACAGGCGTGAGCCACCATGCCAGGCCCAGAATTCCTTTTCAAAATAACACCTGGAAGCTCATAGGAGTTACACAAAGAGCACTCAGGAACAGCTCCCAGCTCAGACTTCCAGCTTTCTGTGCAGAGGAGTTGGTGAGGGTGGTGCTGAGGATCTCATATATCAATCCTGTTGATGGCCGTCTGGGGCCTGAGAGTCCTTGGCCTGCCTTGGGCTGGGAAGAAGTCCCCTAGGTCCCACCAGCTATTTCTTTCCTATGGAAAATAGACCAGTGGCTTTAGTTCTTTCTACTTTGCCAGATCCAGAGGTCATACCACCCTCCTTTTCATTACCAAGCCTTCCTAACTTCTAAAGGGTATTTAATGTTTCTTCTTGACCACGGCCACATTATTCTCTTTCCTGGCAGCAATAATCTAATCATTTTGGAAAAAAGCAAAATTTAATGGTATAATTAGCTTTTTCATCAATAAAATTGGTGAAAAAAAAAATCTCATTGGCTCTCACCCCCGAGCGGTTCCTGTCTGCCAGCCAACACTTTGTTCTCTTTCCCACAGATAAACAACTTTGTTGTCAACTATTGATTTTTCCCCCCCGAGCTCAGGAATGGTTATAGCTTTCTTTCATCTCCAGTTTTTTTTTCTTTTTTTGAAACAGGGTCTCATTCTGTTGCCCAGGCTGGAGTGCAGTGGTGCGATCTCGGCTCACAGCAACCTCTCTGCCTCCAGGTTCAAGCCATCCTCCCAACTAAGCCTCCCGAGTAGCTGGGACTAAAGATGTGTACCACCATGTATTTTGGCTGTTTGAACTGGGGAACAAAGCCTGCTGGATTTAATGGACTCCAACTTCAAATGATTGCTGCTAATGATATTCTAGAAATCCATAGGCCTTCATTTCTTCTGTGTCTATCCACCAGAGGGGTCTGATCTCTAGATTTTTTCAGGAGGCAGAAGATGAGGTGGGGTTAAAGAAGTAGGAAAGAGTATCCTTAAATACAAAGATCCTTCCTAATTAGGCCCTGTGTTCCAGAGTCCCAGGCATCCTTGTCATGGAGCAATGACAGAGTCTTGCGAAAGAGACATACCCCAGCTCTGAATTAGGGGACAGAGTAACACCAGGATGTGGACTAGACAGAACAAGGCCTGGAGGTGGACCAGAGCCCAGCTCCCTTGGCTCCTAGATGAATCATCTTTCTGCAAGATGGCAAAGGAAACAAATAGTTTTAGGTTCCCATGTAAGACCAGGCTTTTGAGGTTTAGGTCTGCTTTCCCCATTGGTGCAGCTGGGGGCGTTAAATATTTAATCAGTTTGGCCTGGGTACATGCAGATCGATGGCCATAGCATTAATCCATTAATGGCTGTGTGGTGGGGAGTACACAGTGGCAGAAGGCAGTTGGGGGCTTGCAGCAGTAGCTGTTTCCCCACCAGTATGGTAGCATTTCACTATTGGTATAAAGTGGCTCTAATTTTCTGGCTTCAACCAGACAAAAAAGAAACTGACCTTGAATGCTTGAGCCTTCAAAGCCATAGATGCAGATCTGAGCGATTACCATCTGGCTGTTTGAAAACTTCAAACAAAAAAGTCAACTTGAGATTCTGCCAAGAAACAGTGATTTGTGTTTCTTTGTATGTCAGGCTCACAGGTCTCCAGTGAGACATAGGAAAACCTTTGCCTCTTCCCCTCTCTCCAAACACAGGGCTGGTTCTCCTAGTGAGGAGGTTTCACTTTCTATCCTTGGCCTACAAACAAAGAGATTAAGAGTTTGTGGTTGACACTGCAGGGCGTGAGATTGTTGAGTCTTGGGTGTGAGTGCCTTAGAAATGAGCATTCATATGCTGATCACAAACAGCCTCATCTCTTGATGAAAACATAGTATCTGTTGGCCTTATTCTGATTATAAGGACATATTTTAAATTTTGTAGGATTTGAATGAGGTTCTCCAATAATTACTCCCAACTTTAAGAGGGCTTTGCATGTTTTGTTTGACATTGTTTTATTTTCTTCACAGCAAATATCATTATCTGAAATGATCCTATTCATTTATGTAATTACTGTCTGATCCTCCCAGTAAAGTACATTGAGACCTCGTCTTTCTTTTCTGATTTTTTTTCTTTTGGGGTCTTTTGGCCCTATGAAATGGAAAGGTGTAGGGATCTACAGGTGAGCTTGGACATAGATGTGAACTCAAGCTGAAACTGAACTGATGCTCGCAGGTTGGGATCAGCAGAAAGAGGAGTGAAAGGTGAGGGAGCTGGAATGGGCCACAAACAGGTGCCTGGATGTGACTCAACTCTGGTGATGCCATATTTTCTCCTTTCATCCCAGAGTGGTGTTTTCCTGGCAGCTGGTCATGGCTTTTGATAAGGCAGAGCTGCCTAGCTCTCCCAAGGTGCTGGTGTTGACCACTGGTGAGTGGCTTTGCTGTTTTCTTGCCTCAATGCTCGATGGGGAGTCTATTTGTTTGCTTCTTTCTTCGCTACTTAGTCACTCGTGCCACTGGTGGCGTGGGGCTTCAGACTTTGCGGAGACTGCAGGAGAGGCCTGGTATTGGGCAGCTGGGGGCTCTCTGTCTGATTTGTACTGTACGTCTCTGTGGGCATGAAGGTCAGGGATGGCTATCTTCAATCACCATGCCATGGCTTCTAGGGTGCCTGGAGCACTTTGTGGCCTATTCTTCACCCTCCCCCATATCCTGTGTGGTCATCCGTTCTTGTCCCTCCAGGAGGGAAGGGATAGGTGGTTTATTCTGATTTGTAGGTAGGGAACTGTGATGAGAGGAACTTGAGGGCTTGCCTTGCAGGTGGTGTGAAGAGCAGACTCCAGTGCTCTGTTGTGAGCCTTCTGCCTTCTGTATCAGCCTCTTGCTGTTCTGGCCCCTGTTCTTATTCTCCTATAAAAGAAAAAGCTTTCAGCCAGCAGGTGTCGGGGCACTGGCAGAAGTCTTACCCTTAATAATAACTGTGTGCCGGAGCCCTAGCTGTCGGTTTTACACTTGTCCTGTCTTCCTCCTATGGCTCAGGACCTTGCCCCTGCAATGGGGCAACAGGAGGGGCAGGATGAATGGAAATAGAAGCTGCTTCAGGCCAGGCATGGGGGCTCATTCTGTAATTCCAGCACTTTGGGAGCCTGAAGCATGAAGATCACTTGAGCCCAGGAGTTTGAGACCAGCCTGGGCAACAAAGCAAGACACTGTCTCTAAAAAAATTAGTTAGCAGGGCATAGTGATATGTGCCTGTAGCTCCAGCTATTCAGGAGGCTGAGGTGGGAGGATCGCCTAAGCCCAGGAATTCGAGGCTGCAGTGAGCTGCGATTGCGCCACTGCACTGCAGCCTGGGTGACAAAGCGTCTGGGAGGGAGAGCCCCAACCTAGCCACTGGAATCCCTTTTCTATCGAGCATCTCTTTTCTGCTGTGGCTAGAGACTTCAGGGGCCAGAACAGCCTTTTCTAGTGCATCTCCAACATATTGGACCAGCTCTAAGGCCTGGTGTCCTTTTTTTTTGAGGCAGAGTCTCACTCTATTGCCCAGGCTGGAGTGCAGCAGTGTGATCTCGGCTCACTGCAATCTCCACCTCCCAGGTTAAAGCAATTATCCTGCCTCAGCCTCCCGAATAGCTGGGACAACAGGTGGCTGCCACCACGCCTGGCTAATTTTTGTAATTTTAGTAGAGCTGGGGTTTCACCATATTGGCCAGGCTGGTCTCAAACTCCTGACCTTGTGATCTGCCCGCCTCGGCCTCCCAAAGTGCTGGGAATACAGGGGTGAGCCACTGTGCCTGCCTTTTTTAATGGTTTAAGCTCTTCCTTGTCCTGTCCTACCTCACCAAGCTTCTACTAATCCTTCAGTTCTTGGAAGTGTCATTCCTTCAGGAAATGTTCTTTGTTCTTCCCATCCCGCTCCCTATTCCCAAGACCCTTTGTTATTTTCCCCCTTATCACTGCATTCTTCCCCAGCATGACACTCACCACGTGTGGTTATAGGAATGTAATAATGTTCCCCAATAGAAGAGGCAAGGTATGGGTCCATCTTGTCTACAGATTTAACCTCGATTCCTTGAACTTGAAAAGCTCTTCAAATGTTTGAATGAGAGTGGGCTTGTCATAAATTTTTTGGGTCATGTATTTGGACTTAATTTCTTTAGGTCAGAGGACAAAGAGGAGTTTGGTTGGAGATACTGAAATGGAAGCATCTGTGTCCAGTACTCAGTAAAAAATACGTGGGTCTGAAACTCTAGTAAAAAGGTTGTCCTTGGGGAAACAGATTTGGAAATCATTAGCAAGTTCTGGAAGGTGTCCTCCTGTGCCCCCAGCATTACTACCCAAGCAGTCTAGATTTGGTGATTGGAAGAACAGAATTATAGGAGATGGAGGATGGGGTTCTCACTCCAATTAGATTCTCTTTTCCATGGTTTTATTAATTTATTTTTTTCATCACAGAAATGACCTCCACCTTCAACCCCCGAGAATGTAAACTGTCCAAGCAAGAAGGGCAAAACTATGGCTTCTTCCTGCGAATTGAGAAGGACACCGAGGGCCACCTGGTCCGGGTGGTTGAGAAGTGTAGCCCAGCAGAGAAGGCTGGCCTTCAAGATGGAGACAGAGTTCTTAGGATCAATGGTGTCTTTGTGGACAAAGAAGAACATATGCAGGTGAATGAGACATTTGGGGCTTTTCTTCCAGGATCTCTTCAGCCCCCACATCTTCTCTGCTGATTATAATTTTGGGGGTTGGTAGAGTTTGGTTCTTTCCTGGCTGCCACTGGCAAGGCAGGACACCTTTATTGCTGTACCTTGTGTTGGCCAATCAAGTCCCCTATGAGGAACCAAGAACTGTACACATTACTCTTGGATTTGAATAGCGTTAGGTCTAACATGAATTGCATGTTCACTATATACCAAAAATGGTGCTAGGTATTTTTTTTTTTTTTTTTTTTTTTGAGATGGAGTTTCGCTCTTTCACCCAGGCTAGAGTGCAGTGGTGCGATCTCGGTTCACTGCAAGCTCTACCTCCCGGGTTCATGCCATTCTCCTGCCTCAGCCTCCCAAGTAGCTGGGACTATAGGCACCCGCCACCACACCCAGCTTTTTTTTTTTTTTTGTATTTTTAGTAGAGATGGGGTTTCACCGTGTTAGCCAGGATGGTCTCGATCTCCTGACCTCGTGATCCGCCCGCTTCGGCCTCCCAAAGTGCAGTGATTACAGGCATGAGCCACCACGCTCGGCCAGCAATTTTATATTCATTATCTTGTTAAGTCCTCATCATGACCTCATAAGGTATATGTTACAATTTCACAGATTAGGAAGCTAAGTACAGATATCTTAGCTTGCTAACATGTTCCTGCTGAGGATATATGGGAGAGTCTGGCCTTACCTTATTCTGCCTGACTCCAAAAGCATGGTCTTTTCCTTACACTGTGCTGTCCCCATGCACACGGGAGGAATGGTTACAATCTAGGGCAGCGCTCCTCTCTAGAAAGGACCAGTCTTGTAAGAACCCTCTGGGCTGGGGTTGAACCACACTCTATATTCCAGCAGTGCCAGAAGCTCAGCCTAATCTGCACCTGGATCTCGGGAGGGCAGGGATGGAGGTGGCTGAGGAACTACCTGCTTCTACTTGGGTGTCAAGGGTCAACTAGCAGCATCTCCAGGGCCAGATATTGAGCCAGATGGTCAGCATTTCCCTCTGGCAGTTGGCAGAGGGTTATTAAAGTTACCTTTTTCTTCTTCCCTCCTAGGTTGTGGATCTGGTCAGAAAGAGTGGGAATTCAGTGACTTTACTAGTTCTGGATGGGGATTCCTATGAGAAAGCAGTGAAAACACGGGTGGACTTGAAAGAGTTGGGTCAAAGTCAGAAGGAGCAAGGTTTGAGTGATAATATACTTTCCCCTGTGATGAATGGAGGTGTGCAAACTTGGACCCAGCCCCGGCTCTGCTATCTCGTGAAGGAAGGAGGCAGCTATGGCTTCTCTCTGAAAACTGTCCAAGGTGAGAATTTTTTGGGGAGCAGGGGGAGGCAGGGGCAGGGCACAGACAACAGGCTTCCAGAACAAAGATGCTACTGGTTAATGACTTTTCTTCTTTGACTGACTTTTCAGTTGCTATAGATAGCTTGCAACAGCTTGCCTCCCTCCGTCTCTCACTCCCTCCCTGCCCTTTCCCTTGCCTTGCACAGTTGTGCAATGGGGGAGGGACACTGGACAGCAGTGGGGGTGGGGGGCACTGGGTACTCCTGTCCCTGAGTGTTTGTCAGGCTGGCACTTGAGGACTCTTTGAGGTCAGGGGGCCAGAGGGTTGATGCTTCTAGCCCTCTTAGGGTGAAAATGAAGGGCAGAATAAGGAATAAAAGGCAAGAAAAATGAGATTCTTCATAATAGCTATTTTTGAGTAAGATTGGTATCTTTTTTTTATCTGAGTGCCCAGATAGTCATTCATTTATTCAACAAATTCTTGAGCACCTGCTGATGTGCCAGGCACTGTTACCTTTGCTGAGAATACCGCAAAAATTTCCACCCTCCTGTAACATTTTGATAGTACCCTCAGCTGCGGCTCAGCCCCACCTGTTCTGAGGCGCATCTTTGAGCTCTGGCTAAGAGGTACATAGTGATTTGAGAAACCCTGACCATCAGGAAGCACCAGAAGTTCTATTTCTAGAATTTCAGAGGTGCAGACTAACCTGTGTTCAGTTGACCGTGGCTCTGGGGTATTGGTTGGAACCAGAGGAGCTGTGTTAGCTGGTCAATTCCTTCTTGAACACTGCCTCTGCCTATGTTCTTTCTGGGGCTGGAGAAGCACTGGTGGTAGGTCATGATTTGGCAAGTGATACAGCAGCAGACCAGTGGTAAATTTAAAATAGTTTCTAAGGCTTATTTAACCTGTACCAAGAGATGTAAACTCACGATAAGGGGTATTTCTCAGGTCTGTCAGTTATTAAACACAGTGGTGTGTATAGTCAAAGGAAGCTTGGCACGTCTTAGAAGCCTATTATCAGTAAAGTGGTAAAAAAAAGAAAATCATAATTCAGATTCTACTCATCTGGCTCATGTGCTAATGCACATGGTGAATGGTTTAGGTTAGCTTTATGAGGAAAATGGTCTCTTCATGACAAATATATAACAAGGTAGCAGGAGAAATGCTGAGTGTTTAAGGAAGCAGAGTTTAAGTTATTGTCATTCCTTACAAGTGATTTATGTAGTCATTAGCAAGCGATCCCTTGCCTAGGTTGACATACAAGAGTCCCCCCTTATCCTGTTTGGCTTTCCATAGTTTCAGTTACCTTACCTGCAGGCAACTGTGGTCTGAAAATATTAAATGGAAAATTCCATACATAATTTTTGCATTGTGAACCATTATGAGTAGTGTAATGAAATCTTGTGCTGTCCTGCCCCGTCTTGGACATGAATCCTCTGTTTGTCTAGCATCTCCACGTGGCATGTGCTTACCTGCCTGTTAGTCTTACTACTTACTACTCAGTTACCAGGTCAACTGTCACGGTATTAAAGTACTGTGTTCAAATAATCCTTATTTTGCTTAATAATGGCCCAGCACAGAAAGAAAAATATCACATATTCTCATATGTGGGAGCTAAAAAAGGTGAATCTCATGGAGGTAGAGAGTAGAATGAGAGATACCAGCAGCTGGGAAGGGTATGTGTGTGGGGTAGGGTGGGGATGAAGAGAGCTAGGTTAATGGGTACAAACCCACAGAGAGAAGGAATAAGTTCTAATGTTTGATAGCACAGTGGGGTGACTGTAGTTAACAACAATGTATTGTACATTTCAAAATAGCTGTAAGAAGATTTGAAATATTCTCAACACAAAGAAATGATAAATGTTCAAGGATGGATGTCCTAAATATTACACCCTGATTTGTTCATT